>NC_000009.12:121345552-121970552 GCF_000001405.40 Homo sapiens | reverse complement strand
TGTCTGTTCATATCATTCGCCCACTTTTTGAGACACATCAGCATTCTTATTCCTTTATTGGGAGCAAGAAGTTCAAGAGCCCTTGTATGGCCTGAGTCTTTTTAAGCTGTGCCACCTAAACATGAAGGGGTAGAAGCGTTCTACTGTATTTTCATTAAATGACATTGAAACACATTTAGTTTTATTTTTCTTGTTCTAGTTGCTTTTCTTTACCTACGCCAGTTAATCCATAGGAGCTGCATTCTATGTCATCTATATGAGCTGCAGGCCTAAAATTTAATAATGGGGCATAGGACCATTGGGAAGGATAGGAAAGGCATTTTACAACTTATCAAGTCATAAATAGCAGCACCTCATTTTTAATTTAAAAAGCATTGACTTTTTTATTGATAACCAGGAACAGTTAGAAGTTGGAACTTGACTTTTATTCTAATATAAAACCCTTTCATCTCATCCTCTTCTTACCTACAATGTAAAGATATATGATAATAGCTAACGCCATTTACTGATATTTTTTCTTAATTTCACCTTTTGTTTTTAACTCAGCAAGGATTATCCATGAAAGTACTTTGTAATCCATAAAGTGTGTTTATATGTAAGGGATTATGATCATTTTGATAAACTTACCATGCAGAGGAAAAGGCTGAAATTATTCTCAACTCCTTTGCGTAGAAATGTTTCAGAATAAGTTGAAAAATTACCTGATTTATGCTGCACAGTGTTGTAGTGCTGAATCCTGTGTCCAAATCTGAGACTATGTCACTCCAACTGCATAAAATGATGTTATGTAGACTTCCAGGCTAGAAGTTACCTTTAGAAGCCAGGGTTTCTAGCGTTTGCACAGAATCTGACCTATTTTTTGAAAAAAACAAATGGAATCCCAGCCTTTCCCTTCAACTCTTTAGCAAAAGAGGATCTGAAGTTTCTGTCCATCATTAGTTATTTCTTGAGAACAGTTTGTCAGCAAGACTGCTGAGGCGGGTCTTCACTTCCTCACACAGACTAAAGATAAAAAGTAGATCCCCCAAACTCCTCATCTCCCCAGACTGCCCTGGACAGGTGCAGAGGAGTCCTCAGAAGGAGCCCCAGACCCGTGTGCATGCATCATGCATCTCCCTGAACTCTGGGTCTTGTAGCCTAGGGTCAGTTTCTTGGTGGGACTGAAAGCAGTCCTCAGGCAGTCTACCGGGGGAAGAACTTGACTCTGCTGACACCCACCTTGGCATATTCGAGGGTGCCTTCTCTGGAGCTGAAAAACCTGAGATTCCAATCCTGACTCTGTCACCAACTGGTGGTGAGTCCTTGGAGATGTTGCATAGCTGTTTTGAGCCTCATAATCTTTTCTATAAAATGGGGATAATGATGTTCAAATAAACAATGAGAGGCCGGGCACGGTGGCTCACACCTGTAATCCCAGCACTTTGGGAGGCCAAGGTGGGCGGATTACTTGAGGTCAGGAGTTCAAGACCAGCCTGGCCAACATGGTGAAACCCCATCTCTACTAAAAATACAAAAATTAGCTGGGCATGGTGGTGCATGCCTATAATCCCAGCTACTTGAGAGGCTGAGGCAGGAGAATCGCTTGAACCTGGGAGGTGGAGGTTGCAGTGAGCCGAGATCGTGCCACTACCCTCCAGCCTGGGTGACAGAGTGAGACTGTGTCTCAAAAAATAAATAAAAATAAAAATAAGTGAGAAAAACTTTTAATGTATGGTAAGTGCTTGATAATGCTGAGTTTACCACTCAACAGCAGATCACAAGGTCAGGAGTTTGAGACCAGCCTGGCCAATATGGTGAAACCCTGTCTCTACTAAAAATACAAAAAAAAATTAGCCAGGCATGGTGGTGCATGTCTGTAGTCCCAGCTACTCGGGAGGCTGAGGCAGAAGAATCGCTTGAACCCGGGAGGCAGAGGTTGCAGTGAGCCAAGATCACACCACTGCACTCCGGCCTGGCAACAGAGCGAGACTCTGTCTCAAAAAAGAAAATAAAAAAGAAAGAAAGTATCTACTGGACATGAAAGAAAAAACAATGCTTAGTTATTATTCTCTTTCCTGGTATACTTAAAGCAGATTTTTTAGTTTAAAATCAATGATGTATCCTAAAAATGAAGCTGCTTGATGACTGTGGACTAGAATCGACATTGGAGCTGGTTACCAATGCAAGGTTCTGTTTCCAGGTAGCAAGATGTCACTGGCTGATATTTATTTCATGTGTTAGGAGAAATTACCTTTGGCTCCTGAAGGAGGAAAACATCTGTCATATGTGAACTATTTTGGCTAAGGTAGCATTTTGTAATATCTAGTGACTCAATTGATTTTCTTACCAAGGTTCCGTGGAGGCTCTGTAGGGACATGCGAAGCAGGAAGCTTATGGGGTAGGATTCTGGAAACGTTATATAAATGGAGGTAAAATTCACATGTGATACAATGAACCATTTAAAAGCGCACAATTCCGTGGCATTTAGTACATTCACAAAGTCGTGCAACCGTCACCACTAGCTCCACAGCGTTTTGCCACTCCAAAAGGAAACCATCAAGCAATCACTCTCCATTCCCCCTCCCCCCACTTCCCGGCAACCAACAGTCTGCTTTCTGTCTCTGCAGATTTAGCTATCCTGGATATTTCATCTGAATAGAATCATACCCTATGCAGTCTTTTGTGATTGGCTTCTTTCACTTAGTATAATATTTTCGAAGTTCACCCTTGTTGTGGCTTGTGTCAGTACTTCATTCCTTTTTACAGCTGAATAATATTCCAAGAGATGGATAGACCACATTTAGTATTCATTTGTCAGTTGATGGACATTTGGGTGGATGCCGTCTCTTTTTCAACCAGAGGGATGCTACAAGGATCTATTTCATATGTTGGCATTCTACATTAGATTTCCTTTGAAGCGAGGGGATCTTTTTTGCTACGAGAAGTTTTTAGAACTCCTGTTTTTATCCAGACTCCTCATTTATTGCTAAAAGCCCAGACCTTAGAACTCATCATGCTGGTCAGTTCCCTGGTTCAAGAACCTCCCTCTGAGGCTGGGCGCGGTGGCTCACGCCTGTAATCCCAGAACCTTGGGAGGCCGAAGCGGGTGGATCACAAGGTCAGCAGTTCGAGACCAGCCTGGCCAACATGGTGAAACCCCATCTTTACTAAAAATACAAAAATTAGCTGGGCCTGGTGGTGGGCACCTGTAATCCCAGCTACTCGGGAGGCTGAGGCAAGAGAATCGCTTGAACCCGGGAGGCGGAGGTTGCAATGAGCCAAGATGGAGCCACTGCACTCCAGCCTGGGCGACAGAGCAAGACTCCTCTCAAAAAAAAAAAAAAAAAAAAAAAAAAAAAAAAATCTCCCGCTGAAGCATCACTGACAGAGGAGCGGCCTGTGTCCTGGCAAGACAATAGACTTGGTATCAGCCAGGCCTGGGATAATGTTCTCAATCTCTGATCATGGCACCCTGGGCTTGGTGGTAAAGTCACTTTGGCCTAATCATGTCTGTAAAATGGAAATCCAGGTACCTCCTTGGCTGGATTGTCATGGTCATGATATGAAATGACACGTGTGAGAAAGGCCCATGGAATCTGAGAGCATTAGACAACAGCTAGTTCTTAGGGTCACCAAGTGGTCAATCAGGCTTTCCTTTAAAATCATGCTCATGGTGACAAATAAGTCACCAGCTGTTGAGGCAAGCTGTTTGAGTTGTGGACATAATGGTTCTGCCCCACTGAATCATACATGGGGAAGCTATGCTGGAGGGAGGTAAGAAACTTGCCCCAAGTCCCAAAGCTAGTAAGAGATAGACTGGAACCTGGGTCCTGGGCCTGACTCCTACACCAATGTTTGCCTGGCCATGAGGCTGTGTTGGTCTCCAGTTTCCATTTCACATTCAAAGCTTAACTTTGAAGGTATGGGAAAAAAATAAGAATAATCAACGGAAAATTTCCTCTTTCACTCAAGGTATTAGGGCAGCCTAAGTCTTTCTTTTTAAAACTTCTGTCAGAGGCAGAAGTAAATAAATTGCAATCTCAATTATTTTTAAAGCAAGATGCTTGTTCCATCAATTGATTAATTTTGGGCTCGAGGGGACCCATTTTACTAGTATTGGGCTCCTTCTCCTGAACATAGATATTTCAGGGAACTGGACTCCTTTCTCAAGAATCATAGCCATTCAGGACCCCAGTGTAATATAAATGAAGACAGAGACAGGCTTGGAGAAATCGGAGGGGGTTTTATTGATATCATGATGCCACGCAATGCCTGGGAGCTGGGTTATGGACTGCTTTCCTCTTATTCAGAGGTATATATTTGGAACATGACTTATATATGGCCCAGAAGCCCCTTTTTCCATGTAACATTTCACAATCCTCTCCCCATTTCATTACTTCCTATCACCCTAACAACCAGGTTTGCTGTAAAGAGAGGAGTCAGCCTGCCAAGCAGCTGTGGTCCTAATTCGGAAGTGTTTGTCCACTAAAGGTTTTATTGGGCACTCAGGCTTTACTTCTTACCTTGTCTCCAAGCACATCTCTTGGGCCCTGTGCCATGTTTGGTGCCAATAGATGAATCCCCAAATCCGGTAGATTCTATGTAGAATCTAGAATAAAGTTGAAACATTCTCAGAGAACAGAAAACAAGGAATCTCCCAGTGGACTCTGTTTTGTGGCTGGGCCTTGTCGTACAACCAAGGAATGTAGCTTTGTCCAATCCTGGAGAAGATTAGAGAAATATTAATCAGAAATTCTCCAGACCCAGAACCCTGCCCCTTAAATTGGTGGCACCTCTTATTGAAGTCCCCTCAAAAATAACGAAGAGGAGTTCTTAACTATCTAAACTAAGCATGCTGTCGTAAGCACAGAACATGATCTTTCTGACTGGAGAATAGATTCTTCCTGAAGAATCATCCGCTATCCTGCTGAATGGCCCATTCATGTGTGCACTGCTGACCTCCAGTTGAAATTCTGGGCTCAATTGATTCCTGAGGTGATATGGTTTGGCTCTGTGTCCCTACCCAAATCTCATCTCGGATTGTAATCCCCACAAGACCTGGTGGGAGGGGATTGGATCATGGGGGCAGTTTCCCCCATGCTGTTCTCGTGATAACGAGTGAATTCTCATGAGATGTGATGGTTTAAAACTGTGTGGCAGCTCCCGCTTCTCTCTCTTTCCTGCCACCTTGTGAAGAAGGTCCTTGCTTCCCCTTTGCCTTCCGCCATGATTGTAAGTTTCCTGAGGCCTCCCAGTCATGCTTGCTGTTAAGCCTGCAGAACTCTAAGTCAGTTAAACCTCTTCATCATAAATTACCCAGTCTCAAGTAGTTCTTTATAGCAGTGTGAAAACAGACTAATACATGAGAGTTCAATCAGGAACCCTGACCCTGCAGACCAGCACACATTGACCCCAAGCACCTTTGAAGATTTTACATAAATAAAAAAGTCTGGGTCACAGAGAAATGAATATTTGCATACTTATTTGAATTTCATTTGTACCATGTGTGGATTAGAGAAACAGATATTTATTTATCTCGAGTGTTTATTGAGCACTTACTGTGTGTCAGGGGAAGACTGCAGAAGTGAATTAGATCGCCAGCCAGTAGGGGTGGCAAGACCCACGCATCAATATCTGTAAGGTGGAATGTGCTAAGTACTGCAAGCATAAAGACAAATTGCCAAGAGAGGCAGGTGTGGGGAGAGGTTATTTCCTGATGGGAAGAACTTTTAAAAACTGACAAGGAGGTGGCACTTGACCTGAGGTTTAAAGCGTGAGTAGGATTTGAAATATGAAAATGAGGGGAAGGAGGTCCCTAGTGAAGAAAACAAAGGCACAAGGCTCTGTTGGGGGAGCCTCGAGGAGTTCAGGTAGGCAGGAGGGATGGGTGCATGGAGTGTATTAGGAGAGAGGAAGGTGGGAGCTAGATGGAAACCCAAAGCCGGAGGTTTATGGCCTTGAATGTCAAGAAATTTGAGGCCAGGCACGGTGGCTCACACCTGTAATCCCAGCACTTTGGGATGCCTAGGCGGTGGATCACATGAAGTCAGAAGTTCAAGACCAGCCTGGCCAACTTGGTAAAACCCCATCTCTACTAAAAATATAAAAATTAGCCAGGCATGGTGGCACATCCCTGTAATCCCAGCTACTCAGGAGGCTAAGGCAGGAGAATCGCTTGAACCCAGGAGTCAGAGGTTGCAGTGAGCTGAGATCACACCATTGCTCTCCAGCCTAGGCAACAGAGGGAGACTCAGTCTCCAAAAAACAAAAAACAAAAAACAAAAAAAAGGAAAAGAAATTTGAGCTTGTTTTTGTGTGTGATTTTTTTTCCTCTCCTCTAATGAATGTGTCACAGTCTTTATTCTTAGTCCCTGGCACAGTATTCGAAACCTTTTTTTTTTTTCCAACTTTTATTTCAGGGTCGGGGGTCCATGAGCAGGTTTGTTATGGAGTTGTTTTTCTATCTGGAATGCATGAAGTCTTGAAAGGTATCTGTGATTTTGTGTATATGTGTATTTTTTTTCTGGAGCAAAAGCCAGAAATTTCATCATATTTTCAAAAAGTGAAGAACCGAACTGTCATCCTATTATCGTTGGAGGCTATAAAAAGCCACAACTTGTCTGAGGTTCCTGACTTCAAGATACATTGCGTTCCCCATACCTTGAAAGGTCTCAGGTTTCAGATGATAGCAAATGAGAAAAATGTGCATACATTTTCAAGTGTGAGCAGGAAGGAGATGACTAATGATAAGTGCATTATTTTATGTGCAAGAAGTAAAACCAGACAACTCTCTTCCGTTGAAAACGTTTAAGCATTAAGTCAGAAGTAATCAGCAAAAGCCTTATTTGTGGGAAGTCTGTTGAGAGGGAACCATTTCCAAGATGTATGGGGAAGAATTTCCTGAGCTGATGTGAGAGTGTCATTCCACAGGGCCATCAGACAGGAGCCGAGCCCCTCTGCCGGCAGGTAGGCATGCTCTCCCTCTTGCCGTGGGTGGAGTAGATGGGAAACTAGATGAGCATATGGCCAGTCAGTCACCATTACGGGGAAATGGCAGTGCTGAATTCTTTGTGGGCCCTTCCAAAGTTATTCCAGGTAGTGATGAGGTAGCAAATGTGTTTGGAAATTTCCTTAGGAGTTGCACCAGTGAACCTTAAATGTTCGTGTGCTTTTAGAATCAGCAGTTGTTAGCCCAGAACACAGCACATGCTGGGCTTAGGAGACCAAGGTTTTAGTATCAGCTCCACCTTGGTCTCAGAAAAGTCACTTAGACTTTCTGGAGTTCAGTTTCTTCATTAGAAAAAAAGGGGAATAATAGTTTCTGCTCTGCCTGGTTCACAGGGGAGTGTTTCTTGGGTGCTGACCGTGTATAGCATGGTAGTAAATGTTCACATATAGTCCCAGCTAGTCCTCACGTAGGATCTGCAGTAGGGGCTATGACTACCTCTATTTTATAGATGAGGACATCGAGGCTTGGAGAGGTTGAGTGGCATGGCCAAGTCCACCTGCTTATGAGAGACAGACTGAGATTTAAAGCCAGGTCTGTCTAGCTCTCGCCCTGCAAGAGAACAGACGTGCAGATATTTAGCACATGAAAGAGATGGGTGCCTGCAAGGCGTTAGCATTCCCTGGTTGGGTTCATGCCTATCCAAGGCCTGTTCTCTGTCTGTAAACTTTGGGGCAGGGTCTCATGTCTCTATCTCCAGGGCCAAGCGCAGAACCCAAGCAGGTGCTTATGGGTAAGGAAGGTCTATGGTCAGTGAGGCGGTGACTTTATTTTCAATAATGTTCACAACCAGAATGAATATAAAGTAAGCCAATGTACAAAGAAGAGTGACTTAAAGCAGGATCTCACATGAGACAAGAGAGAGTCCAAGACAGAAAATTCCCCATTTGCAGTTATGTGTTCCAGACTGGAGAACAGGCTGAAGTTTCATAAGAAGACCTGGTGAGCCAAGGACTAGATTGAGTCATATGAAATCACTGATAGTAGACAACTTCTGGAATACAAGAATGGCAATGTCATATGGTTTAACCTAATAGTTGGCTGGGAATGGTCAAGACAAGCTTCTTGAAGAACATAAAGAAGGTGGGGCTTGCACTAGCTTGGGCTTGGATAAGTAAGAATATATAAGTAGGCTTGGGAGAGGAAGTATGGAGGCAGGAAGCAGGTGACAGGGTTGGGTGGAGCTGGGGAGGCACAAGTGGTGGGTCAGGACCACCCATCATAGTTCCAAAGGGGCGTTTTGGGGTGGAGAAGACAGATGCTGCTTCCCTGCTGCCCATTTCGTATTAAAATGTTTTCCTCATTATGAAAGTAATGTGTGCTTATTGTGGAAAAATTGGGAAGTACTGAAAAGTGCATAGCATGACATCTCCCTCAAAGTCAGCCACCCAGAGCTAACCTGATTAACTTTTTACTTAATAAAAATAGTATAATCTTCTCCTGTCATTTATAGTTGAAGCCATACTGTCTGTGTAATTTTGGTATGCTGTTTTTATTTTTCTCCTTTTTTATGGGATGGAGTCTCACTCTGTTGCCCAAGCTGGAGTGCAGTGGCACGATCTCAGCTCACTGCAACCTCTGCCTCCCAGGTTCAAGTGGTTCTCCTGCCTCAGCCTCCCGAGTAGCTGGTATCACAGGCACCCACCACCACGCCTGGCTAATTTTTGTATTTTTAGTAGAGACGGGGTTTCACCATGTTGGCCAGGCTGGTCTTGAACTCCTGACCTCAGGCAATTCACCCGCCTCAGCCTCCCAAAGTGCTGGGATTACAGGTGTGAGCCATGGCACCTGGCCTATTTTTCTCCCTTTTATAAGGCAGTTATTGCCCCTTTCTCATTTATAACTCTTCTTGAACATCATTTTCATCAATGACTGGACCAGAGTTTACCTCCCTATTGGAGAATGTTCAGTTTATTTCTAGCATCTATGCTTAAAGCTCTGTGTGCAATGAGAATGGTGTCGTAGGGTAGAGAGAGTCCCTGGGGCAGCAGGAATAGAGATGTACTCTGGTTTTCAATGTAGAGTAGAAGAGTGGAGTGGGTGAGGGTTGGGACCCTGGAGCGAGACTCTTGGGGGTAAATTTGGCTCTGGCATTTATCACCATAAATAGGGCAGAGATTCCCACTCTCCGTACTTTTTTTTTTCATCCATAAAAGGGAGTTTTCAGTTGGATGTTTTTAAACCTACAAAGCAGTGAGAAGTTCTTAATTTGGAGAGAAGGAATATGTTGCTTATTCCTAAGAAAGTATTTGACATGGAAAATATCCAATCTGAATGTAGTTAAATAAACTGAACAATATGTGTAAGCTGAAAGGGTTTCTTTTTTTTTCTTGAGGAAAAAAGTGTGGAGGAAGAGGTGGTAAAGTGGGAAGAGTGCTACAGCAGTGCCAGGTTCATCTTCGACCGTGAGGATGGACTTGATTTTCTTCTAATGATCTGTTAGATTATCAGAAATGGAAGATCAAAATGAAAGCCAGTTTCAGTCATCATTTGAAAACCCTTGGTTATCACACCAAGTGTTTGGCAGTGTTCTCTAGCTGCTTTCCTTCCTTTTCTTTTGAAGCAATTTCCATTTCTTCCTTCACTTTAAGCAGCTGAAGAGCCCTTTGCAACCCTCATCACAGAGGCTAATGAGAGAGGTGGGAGAGGGAGGAATTTGAGCGGTTCAGAGCAGGAGGATCCACCCCCAGGCTCATCCTCTCTGGGCGTGCATCTCATCAGTGAGAGTCAGCAGCCTTCTGTGTCTAGCTGTGGGGCTGGCTTTCCTGGATGTGCAATTCCTGTCTTGGGGGATGCCTTTATTTACTTAGAGAGGATCATTTTCTTCCCCCGGACTGCGCCATGCCTCTGCAGCACCGTAGACCGGTCCTGAGAAACTGCTAAGGTGTGAACGAATGCAAGTATGCATACGTGCATGAATGAGTGCTGAGGGCTTGCTACATGTAGGTTCTGTGCTAGAGGCTGGATCGGTGATGCCCGTAGCCTCTGTGAGGTGCAGGAGGCAGCAGAAGCACCAACAGCCAGGTGAGCCAGGCCTGGGCATGAGGAGATGTGGGTCAGGAAGGAGGCAGTGAGGGAGACCTAAGCCAAGGAAGCAAATCTTGGTGAGGGCTGCAAGGCAGGACAGGACATGGGGCTCTCAGAGCATGGACAGCTCCAGAACATTCATAGCTGTATTGACAAATTTATAAAAGCTCTAAGCTGGAATCAACCTAATGTCCACCAACAGAATAATGCACTCATTATGGTTATTCACTCACTGGAGTACTATACGTCAATGAAAATGCATGAATTATAGCTTCGTGCATGGATATTGAGGTACAGCAAAAGAAGCAAGTCATACAAGAACATCTACAGTACAGTTCAACGAAATAAAATTCAGAACAGGCAAAACTAAACTTTGTTTTATAGAAGTGTAACCCTAAGTAGTCAAATATGAAGAAAAGTGAGAAAAAAGATCAGAAGTTTAAGGTGGTTACTTCTGGGCAGGGATGGGCAGCGGGAGGTGTGATCTGAGAGGGTTACAGGTGGAGGCTGAGATGTGGCTATGTTCTATTTCTTAACCCAGGTGGTGGCTGTATAGGTTTTAGAATTATTCTTTAAATGTATGTATCTATGTTATACATGCTTGTATATGTGTGATATTTGAAAATTTTACAGAAAAAAATAAAGAAGTCCAATGTATAATACAGATCACAGTGAGCAAGCAGGGACGGTGTCAAGAGATGGGGCCAGAGCTGCAGGGCCTAATTAATGAGTCAAGTCAAGCATTTGGCTTTTCCTCCTAAAAGCAACAGACAGATTTTCAAAGCAGGCTGACACGATGAGGTTTATGTTTTAAAACCATCACTTTGGCTGCAGCATGAAAGCCAAGTTGGGGTGAGGCAAGGGTGGCTGTGGGACAGTTACGAGTTTTGGGGGATGTCGGTCATGTGGGTTAGGTGGCAGGAGTAGGGATGGAGAGAAATGTTTGTATTAAGACGTTTTTAGGAGGATGAATGGACAGGGCTTGGTGATGGATTGGATCTGAGATGTGACTGTGAAGGAAGAACCAAGAAAGGGGCCCAGGTTCAGCAACTGGGTGGCTGCTGGTGCCAGTCATGGAGGTCCCAGAAGCTGGGAGAAGAACAGCTTTGTGAGGGCCTGATGAAGGGTCGTGAGACTTCCAGCGATATTATCTAATAGGTAGTTGGGTACATGGGCCGGGGGCTCATGAGGAGGTGTGGCCCATTACAACAATAATTGCTCCACAGAGTAGACAGGGACGGTTTGGTCCCCATGTGCGGATTAGACACTGTCTACACCAAGTGATTTCGGTGGCAAATGTGGTGAAGTGGGGTGAACCCAGGACAGGAGGTCTGGGTTCAGATCCTGACTCTCACTCCTCTTTTTGGTGCATTCTTAACCCTGTTCCACCTCAGCATGCTCACAGAGCTCGGCCCTGCCTGCTGGCTCAGTTGCTGGGCACAGAAACATCCTGTCTTCAAGGTGCCCTTTGCATATTACCTCTGTTGTCTTAATTCACTTTTAGGCTTTTGGAGTTGTGCAAGTGCCTTGGGGGCCTTAAGAAGCACTGGACCCCCCCCCTTGTAAAGTGGTGCCCATGCCTGGCAGAAGGAGTGATTAAGGACTATTGAGTGGAGCAGGCAGTGAGGGTTTCCCTAGAGCACCTGCTTCTCCAGGCTTCCCCAGCGAGCCTCCTCTGCTCATTGTCATTACAGCCCCCATCTCCCCATACACCTGTGCAGGGCTTGGAAGTCCATAGAGTCATTTCAGACCAATTATCCTAAATGATATTTGCCCAACCACGCAAGGTAGTCAGGAAATGAGTCATTCTTCCCATTTCACAGGCAAGGAAACCAAGACTCAAACCACATGGCATTTCACAAGCTTTAGGCTTTAGGACTCTATGTGTTCGAGGGTAGGTTGCTGGTCATGGAAACGGTTACCTGTGTCCAAATCTACTAGCTGAAGCCTCTGTTTCTATACACCATGACCTCTGTGAGGTGCTGGAGGAGAGAAAAACTGGAATCTGTCCCCAGAAGCCTGATTAGGAGTGGGTACTGGAAGTCCTCTGCCAGGAGGAAATGGTGGAGGTGCTAAGGGTGTTTGGCTTCGAGAAAAAAGACCCCAGGGGATAGCATTTCCATTTTTACTTGAAGGTGGTTATATGGGAAAGGGGGTGAAGTCTCTTCGGGCACCAATAAGGCAGAGCAAAGACCCATGACTGAAATTTGCAGAGGGATTTAAGCTCAAAGAAAGAAAGAAAACAGCAACAGCAATGACTTACTTCGCCTGAAATGATAAGGGTTGACTGAAAGGAGTAGCAAGTTCCGTGTAGTTAGAAGTAATCAAACCAAGGCTAAATAGCCATTCAGGTCTTAGTTGTGCCCTCTTGGGCAAGTCACTTAACCTCTTGGAGTCCAGGTCTCCTTATCTAGACAATGAGCATACTGTTCCTACATTGCAGGTTGGTTGTGAGGACCAAATAAGGCACTGAAGCAGATCTCTGGGGACACTCGTTCCACAAGTAGCTATTGAGTTCCTACTAGGTACATGACATACGCTATCTGACTTAATTTTCATGGCAGGCTGGCCCCTCACTTTTTTTGAGGCCCAAGAAAGAAAACAAACTGAAGCGTTAGCCTCCTTCCAGCCCCTCCTTCTCTTCCCAATCCTGACTCCATCTACCACTGTAAGGAGTTGGGTAGACCCTACAGTTCACACATCTCAGCTCTGTCCACAACGACCCCCACCCCCAACTGGCTGTTCCTGGCCATTCTTCAGGTCTAGGGAGAAGGCCCCAGAAGCACCATTTGCTCTTGAGAGGATGGACTCCAGCCATCTAGGAGGGGAATTTCGGGGTCCTGGATACCTAGAAGGGGCTCCCGGAGGAGGGAGGGCATGGGCTCCATGTGAGCACGCCTCCTTGGCCTCAAGGACTCCTTGCCCCTTGGGAAGGGGGCTACCAGAGTTGGGCTGGAGAAGGACCCTCTCAAACGCAGGGCACAAGGCAGGGGCCCACTTGCCAGGGTATAAGCACAGTATTTTCTGCAAACTCAGTAATTGGTGGTGCTTAGTTACAGTTACCCTGGGTGTGCTCAGCCCAGAGCCATTCTGGAGTCTCAGTGACAGGCTCAGAGCGGGGTACAAAGCCAGGGAAGCAGAGGAGGAAAGAGGGGGCGGGGAGATGTGGGCTATCAGGACAGGGCCAGCAGCTCAAATGATCAAGTCTGTAGGGACAGATTGACCAAGTTTCCTTTTGGATCAGGGTTCTTCCTCCCATGGTGGTGGAGGGCCTTTATGGGCAGGCTGTTTCTGGAAGAGTCCCTGGGCAGTGGTAGAAGGCGCCCCCTGATTCAGACTGGCTAGCCGGTTTGAGGAAGACCTGAGACTATAAGCTCCTGCCCTGAGGGAGGGGTTGGGGTGGGAGAGAGTGGCAAGGACGAGGCCTTAGCCATGGAGTCGAGGATAGAACCACAGCCCTATTAGAACAGCCAGCTGGGCCAACATGCAGTGGGGAGGGCACAGCGGGGCATCAGATTCTGGTTTGAGTCAGCAAGGCCACTCCCAGACTCCCCTTCTTCTGGGGCTTGGAGTCAGCTAACTACTCCCTGCTGAGGTCAGCAAGGCGTAGGACTGGATGGGGCAGATCCACTGGATGCAGAACCTTGGAGCCTGCAGCTGAGTAAGGACAGAAGAGGAGCTGGGTGCTTCCCAAACGTTAGTGGGCACCAGAATCACCTGGTGGGTTTGTTAAAGCCCAAACTGCTGAACTGTACTCCCAGAGTTTCTGATTAATTTGCATTTCTGACATGTTTCCAGGTAAAACAGATGCTGCTGGTCCAGGTACAACACTTTGAGAACTACTTGCCTGCCACCCCCGGCCTTGTGTCTGTCCCGGGCCACCGGAAGACCCTGGGAAGCAGCCCTTCATACCTACTAGGGCTTGGCACTGGGCTCTCAGCAGGGCGGCCAGTAGGCCCCATCCTCATGCACAGTGATGGAGGATGCCCCTGGCGAGGGAGGCCATTGAAACAGAGCTTGCCAGTAATACAGGGAACAAGACACCCAGTTTAATACAACTCTACTCGTAGGTGTCACATATATTGCTTGTGACCACAGAACTGAAGAAGCAAAACAGAGCCACTTTTTAAATTCACATTTTTAGGAATGTTTCCTTTCCCTGCCTTTCTATGCGGGTTTCTTAAGACAAGTGAAATATTAAATGATTGTAAAATCTAACCTTTAGGGAACAATCACACCATCTTACAACAATTCTTCTAACGAAGGAGAAAGTTGCAGGTTTTTTTCTCCCCCTTTCATGCTCTTCCAGCTGGTTTTCAGGCAAAGTCCTAGGTGCATTTTCAATTTGGTCTCAGCTTTTCTCTGCAGCAGAATAAGTGGTGGGAAAATGTTTTCTCTAGGCAGCAGCAACATTTCTGTCTCATTTGTCTGGTTTTGCAGTGTAACATGGCAGCCTGTGGGCTGCTAATTTAAACTTAGGTCCTTCTAGGAGTGCACTATTCATGATCAGTAAACATATCAGGATGCAGATTTTAACCACTTAATTATTGAATGTGGAAATGCTTCCTTGCTTCATGAATATTTTAAAATGGAACAATAGATAAATTATGTTCCACTCCCAAATTTCACTGTGGTTCTGAACCACTTCATATTTAAGCATTATCTGATTACCCTGAGGCTGTGAGCTCTATTTTCCCTCAGAAAATTTGGTAGCAGAGTTACTTTGTTCCAGACCATAGAGAAGTCGAAGGCCTTTATCAAGAACAGGTCATCTTTGCACCATTTAGTTTGTCCTTGGATCTATAAATGTCCTTGCTGGAAATGGAGGTCAAAGCAATACTTTTATAAATGAGGATGTAGCCTTGTGCAGTGGAAAAGGCAAAGGACTCTAGGGTCCAGTGGGCCTGGGTTTGACTCTAGACTTTTTCTTTTGCTCCCTGTGAAATCTGGGGCAGTTATTTAACTTCTCAAAGCGTCAGTTTCTTCATCTGTAAAATGTGACTCACAGTAATAGCCACCTAACAAGATTATTGTGATCATTACATGAATGATAGTTCTTAACTGCACCACATACTACCTGAGTATGGGAAGCATTTAATGAGTGATACTAAATTTATATTATGATTTTCCTTATTGTTCCCCTCATATAAAGTCCCTATCACAATGTTGAGCCTATTGCCATTTAACAAATGAGTTTTATTATTACTATTGTTAACATCATCACAATTTTTACACATGGATGTATATTAAAACACACAGTTTTCTACCACACAAACTATATGCATTTTATTTTTTAAGATGGGAATTTATATAAGTAAATGGACAGCTTAATGAAGTTCAGGAAGATTGAAGTAAACCAACGGTGCTCGTATTAAATAGTTTAATTAAGATTATCCCTGATGCAAAACATTTGTTCGATTTGCACCTCATATTGCAAATGGGCTCCATAGATTTTCATGAACTTCTCTTTGATGTGGAAAGGCGGCTCTGACCACATAGGAGAACTGGCTGGGAGTCGAGGTCTTGGGCTGAGTGTCTGCCTTGTGGCTGCTCTGTGAACTTGACTGAGAGCCAGTCCCCACGCTTCCCTTGCATGTGGTCTGTTTATCTCTAGAGACTGCTATTGTGCAAAAATGCTACAATTCTGTAAATGCATGTGATTTATTATCTTTAAAAAGAGAGATACAAAAAAATTAAAAGAAAGATTTCATCCTTTAAAAACCCTTAGACTTTGCAAATTTTGCCAGTTGTTTTTAAACCAACAGGTATTAGGTGCCAGCTAGTTGAGGGCAGCTTAATTGGAAGCTGTGTTTATCATCTGGAGTATGTGTGTGTGTGTGTCTGTGTGTGTGTGTGTGTGTGCGTCTGTGTGTGTGTGTGTGCTTGCACTGAATGTGTTCTTGACAGTCTCTCACCATCTAGCTTCTTGCTTCTGAAGAGAAAGGTTTGCTTCTCCCCTGCATTCAGAAGAAACGCTCTAGTTCTGGTTATGAACGCTAATTACTTTGAAGAAGAAAAATAGGATTGTGTTTCTAAAAATAGTTCTGGATACAGAAGGCCATTTTTTGATTCTCTTAGAATCTGTGTGCTTCACAAGAGTGATATTACAAGGTTTCGCATTTATCCTCAGCCTGGATTCATTGCTAGCATCTTTGGTGCTTGTAACTGGGGGACAGAGTGGGGCTTGTCTCCATGTTCAGCTATTGTTCAGTGTCTCCTGTAGTTTGAATCTTAGCACCCTTCCACCACTTGTTTGTTTATGAGAGATCATTCCTCTGGTTCACAGGCCTGTTGACTTGGCCTATGATAACACAACAGTGAATACATGATATCCATGAAGTGAACAGACAAGTGTCACTGCAGCTGATGCACTGTAAGAAAAGGAAGCAATACTAGTGTTGGGAGACCCGGGTTCTAGCCCCGGCCCTGCCACTAACGTGGTTCTTTCTCACATACAGTGGGGCTGGGGCTGTGTTGGGTCCTGTGGATGCAAAGGTAGTTCAGAGAAGCTCCCTCGGCCAGCTCTGTCATCTGGGCTTTCTCTCTTCAGCAAGGGCTTGGGCTTGACTACTGAGGACATTTTTGGCCCTAACATTCTGTTAACTCAATTATTGATAATAAGAGTAGTAAGCCTCAGGCAAGTTGTACAGGTGGCTGTTCTGATAGAACTCCAGCAACAGGTAAATCTCTGGGTGGGTTCCAAATTATAGATGGCTCCAAAAAGCATGCTTCGATTGTGAGCTTTTTGTACCCCATGCAAGGTTCGTCGGGTTTTTTGGTTGCTTTGCTTACTTTTTTGTGGATTTTTTGGGGGAGGGGTTGGTCTCTATAAACTGGTTCTTGGTTCTTTCTTGGTAGTTGGGAAATGCTTTGGTTAATCTTCTTCTTTTTTTTTTTTTTTTTTTTTTGAGGCGGCATCTTGCTCTGTCACCCAGGCTGGAGTGCATTAGCGCGATCTCAGCTCACTGCAAACCTCCGCCTCCTGGGTTCAGGCAACTCTTATGCCTCAGCCTCCTGAGTAGCTGGGACTACAGGCACACGCCACCATGCCTGGCTAATTTTGTATTTTTTAGTAGAGATGGGGTTTCACCATGTTGCCAGGCAGGTCTCGAACTCCTGGCCTCAAGTGATCCGCCCGCCTCAGCCACCCAATGTGCTGGGATTACACACGTGAGCCACAGTGCCTGGCTGCTTTGGTTAATTTTCTACTCTGGGCTCTTATTGGCATTTGACCCACCTTATATAGTACCCCAGACAAAGATCTCTAAATTGGTGGAGCATGGCTTCTTCTTCAATTATGACGTGCTCATTTGAAGTTGTGTTTTCTCCTTTAGTTTGTTTTACATATGAGTCATTTTTGGTGGTATCACTCCAGTCCTCCATTTTCCTCCTCCTTAAACTATATGTACTAATCTGAATTAAAGGAATTACATTCATATAGCATAATAATGTATGGGGCTATTTATCACACATCTGCCAACATTTCAACTCTTTTCTTAGGAAAGAGCTTTATCTGTAAAATGAGGATCATAATCATTAGAATCTTTGAAGGAGGGCCAATAAATATTCCTCTCTTCCACTTGGGTTCTGAATTACTTGAGAATAAGATAAAGAAATAAAGAGGATAAGGGCCAAAATATCACCTTCATTATGAAAAAAGTGCTGCTGGGGAATGCGTCAGGTCTGTGGGCAAATGAGCTTCCTGAGGCTGAATCCGGAGCTTGACTCAGGCAGGCAGCAGTTCCCCCTGCAACCCCAGGCAGGTTTGTGGGAACCAGAACCAGGCTCTGGAGGGCAGCAGGAATGAGCTCCATGAGGAAGGAGAGGAAGGGGCTGAGCACGTTTGCCAGTGTCTCCAAATTCACCAATCAAACAAGGCATTTTATTTCCCCAGGGGAACAGAGTGTGTGGGGGGCAGGAGAGGCCAGAAACATTATGCCAAAGGTGTTCCTCTCATGCTGAAAGAACTATCAAGTGTATGGAAAAAGTGCCTCCTCCCCAAACAGAAGCTGGGTAACTAGCTGAAAGAACAAGCTATGGACCCTGACAGACCTAGGTTCAAATCCTAGTCCTCCAGTTTTTTTTTTTTTTTTTTTGAGGCGGAGTCTTGCTCTGTCACCAGGCTGGAGTGCAGTGGCGTGATCTCGGCTCACTGCAACCTCTGTCTCCCAGGTTCAAGCGATTCTCCTGCCTCAGCCTCCCAAGTAGCTGGGACTACAGGTGTGTGCCACCACACGTGGCTAATTTTTGTATTTTTTAGTAGAGACTGGGTTTCACTGTGTTAGCCAGGATGGTCTCGATCTCTTGACTTTGTGATCTGCCCAGCTCGGCCTCCCAAAGTGCTGGGATTACAGGCATGAGCCACTGCGCCCGGCCCTAGTCCTCCACTTTTGGGCTGTGTTGTTGGGCTGCATTCCCAGGCAGCTAAGGCATTCTAAGTCACAGGATGAGACAGGAGATGGGCACAAAATACAGGTCATAACCACCTTGCTGATAAAACAGGTTGCAGTAAAGAAGCCAGCTAAAACCCACCAAAACCAAGATGGCGACAAGAGTGACCTCTGGTCGTCCTCACTGCTACACTCCCACCAGCGCCATGACAGTTTACAAATGCCATGGCAATGGCAGGAAGTAACCCTATATGGTCTAAAAAGGGGAGACATGAATAATCTACCCTTTGTTTAGCATGTCATCAAGAAATAACCATAAAAATGGGCAACCAGCAGCCCTCGGGGCTGTTCTATGGAGTAGCCGTTCTTTTATTCCTCTACTTTCTTAATAAACTCGCTTTCACTTTACTCGGACTCGCCCTGAATTCTTTCCTGCGGGAGGTCCAAGAAACCTCTCTTGGAGTCTGGATCAGGACCTCTTTCCTGTAACAGTGTGATTCCAGAGGAATTCTTCTACTTTGTTAAACCTTGCCTGTAAAATAGAGATAATAATCAGTCACTGTGAAAATTAAGTGAGATAATATATTAAAAATGCCAGGCCCATGATGAGTGCTCCATAAATTATAGAAGGTCAAATGAGATAAAGACAAATACATAAGTGTCCCTTGTAAATTATGCAAGTTTATGTAAATATAAATAAATTTTATTATTTATGGTGGTGGTTTTAATGCAATGCTGAATTCCACTTGCTATACAATATGGTCACTGCTCTCTCTTTAGGCTTATTTAAATAGGCTGGGAATACCTGGTGGCTTGTTATGCATGTCTTTTCTGTCAGCTCTTACAAAAAAGATCCACAAGCCAGGAGGAAAGAAGAAATTAAATTAATGAGAAACTTGCAGGCATCCGAATGACCATCCTTCTGATTCCAGCTATTTTTGTAGCTTCTCCTGGAAGCTGTCATGTAATTCTGTAGTGGCCATTAGAAAATCTTCACTCCATTTAATTTATGCTGAGAAATCATTAGTGGGAATTTGACACAGACCCAGAGTGTTCACGAGCTGATGTTCCGCCATCAGGCTTTACAGGACAGCTTTGTGTGCCAGAGGCAGCCCTGGCAGTGAGTGTGCCCAGAAAGAAGATGGAGCAGGGGGCTGTGGCTTCACTCTGCAGCCTCCTTGTCCCCTCGTCATCATCATCAACATCACATTTATCGAGGGTTACTGTGGCCAAGCGCTTTCGGGTTTAATTTTTACCGTAACCCTATAAGGTATTATTGTCCTCATTTTACTCCAGGTCATGGACAGAGTCATGATTTGAGCCAGGTTCGGTTCATCCCAGAGCTCGTGTCGTTAGGAGCCCAGGCGACAAGCTCCTCAAAGCCTGGAGGGAGGCTTGGTCAGTCCCTTGCAGCTTTCCTGTCATTGGCATTCGGCACTAACCAGCAGCCCTCCTTTTCCTGGCAGTGATTATTGCTGATGTCTCACCCCAGACCACATTTTTCGATACGGTTCATTTCTCTCCCTTGCCCGGTGAGCTCTCAAGTGTCCCCGGGAGAAGCCAGGCTCTCTGAAGGACCCCTGTGGCACCTGCTGGCCTCAGGTCAGACTCTACCTTGTTCTGGTCAGAGAAACCACCCTTGACACCAGTCTTTGGGATATGAATAAATTGGAGTTTCATTCAGTCCTGAAAAAATCTATGAATCCTTGCCCTTTGTCAGGCTTTGGGACAGGGGTTAATTTAATAATAGCACCTATCTGGTATGGTTGGGGTACTCAGTGGAAGGTGCCTAAACAGTGCCTGGGATGTGGTGGGCACTTAGGGAGAGGGGCTGTGCTGTGATCATGGTTACAGACCAGCCCACGGCCTCAGGGAGCTCACTGCCTGCAAAGAGTGACACACAGATGGAAGATCCCAACATCATTTGAGGAGTGCGGTGATACGGGGTGCAGAGCGCCTAGGAGGGTCATAACTGAATCTTGGGTGAAGAGTCATTGGAATACTCTTCCAATGCATGAAGCTAGTGCAGACGCAACATGGTACAGGAGCAAGAACGTGACCTGATGCAAGCTTTGGGCACAAAGGGACCGAAATGGGAATGTGTCCTCCTTAGTCATAGGGAAAAGGTGAAAGATAACCTCCACCAAGCCAGGGAGTGTGAGTAGAGGCTGGATGGATGCGGACAGAGCAAGCTGGGGAGGGATTAGTAGTTGTGTCAGAACAGGAAGGACTGAAGACCCAGACATGTTGCCTGGGGCAGAGAAGACTTGAGGAAGACTATCTTAAAGTTTCTCTGAGGACAGGGAGAGGAACATTTATTCAGTATGGCTCTGGAGGGAAAGAAGAGCTAAGAGAAATGAGATAGAATTTTGCAGAAGGCAGATTTTTTAATGAATATTTGCAAAAACTTTCTCATAATCAAGGTTTTCTAAAAGTGGAACAGGGCTGCCACTGGGCAGACTGATGGACCCAAGCAGAGCCGGGTGACGCAGATGGTAGAGGAGAGACAGCCAAGCTTTGGTGTCAGACACCTAGATTTGAATCAAACTTTTGCACTGACTGTGTGGCCCCAGGCAGGTCACTTGACTCATCTGAATCTGCATTTCTTGCAAGACCCAATTACAAGTGTGAAAGTGCTTTTTAAACTATGAGACATCACACAAAATGTTAGTTATTATGCTCATTGTCATTTCACAGTAGTTACTGGTGAATGTGTCTTAGTCATCCAACTAATTTGTGTTGGATTCCGTCTAAGACAACGAGTTTGTCTTAGAGGTTTTAACTTAGTGCCATCATAGAATAGTAAATGTTTGTTGAATAAATTAATTAATGAATCAATGATTTTCCTCCCCAAATCAGCCCTGAAGCTTGAGCGTGGGTTTTATCCCAAGCCTGGTACATAATAGACTCTAATTTAAAATGTATTGAGTGGTTGGATGAGGGAGGGATTAACTATGTTAATTGCTGTTAACTAATGTGATAGTCATTGGATTTAGCACTTTTACTAATATCTCATTTAATCATAGACACAATCTTGTGAGATGGCCCCATCTCACAAGAGTGAGTGGCAGAGTGTCTGACTCAGGATTGCAATGGTGACACAAACATTGTGTGAGAGGCTGGCCCAGCCTGCCTGAAGGTCATTCTCACCTCCAAGATTCCACATTTCTAGGGCAGCCATGCCTTGGTAAGAAATGCTGAGCCCTATGACTAGGGAGGACACATTCCCATTTTGGTCCCTTTGTGCCCAAAGCTTGCATCAGGTCATGTTCTTGCTCTTATACCGTGTTGTGTCTGCACTAGCTTCCTGCAGTGGGAACTCAGAAAACAGCAGTTTACTGACCCCTGAGTAGCCATGCAATGTCACCCATTCAGGAATGGTCTAACCCACTCTGCAGCGCACATGCTTGGCAGCTAGAGTTAGGACCACAGCTTTTGAGGCCCCAGATCCTGAACTCCAGCCTGGTTCTGCCACTTCCTGGCTCTGTGACCTTGAGCAAGTTGCTCTTCAAACTTCAGTTTCTGCATCTGTAAACTGGGACCATACCTACCTCATCCAGTCATTACAAGGATCGATGTTAAATGCTTGTTTAGTCCTGTGCCGGGCGTATGGAAGGGCTTGGAGAGCGGCATGTAATCACCATCATCAAGTGACTGGCAGAGTTCCCAGAGGTGGTAGATATTACTTGATGAACAGTAGCTACCTACAAATCGTTTCTATAATTTGCTAATTACAGAAACATATGTAAGAAACATTTTTTCTGTCACTGTGATATTGAGGTTCATGGTTAGTTTTCTGGTAACTACTGAATACCCGAAGACTAGAGTTCAAGTCAGTGACAATTCCCTGTCTGCCAGAAGCATTTCCATTTCTCAGAAGAGCAGCCCCAGGATCATTGCTTTGGTTCTGGTCCTGCCTGCCATGTTCCGGTTGTGTTAACTTAGGAAATGCTTTCAGCTATCTACATCTCTATGTTCTCCTCTGTAAAATAGGGATGATTGGAGCCACTTCACAGGGTTATTAAGAGGATGCAATGAGCTAATGTAGCTAAGGGCCTGGAATAGGGCTTGACATGTAATAGTTATTCAGTAAGTGTCAATTCTAGTGCCAGGTCTGAGAGTGTCTAGCTCAGTGCCTAGTTGCAGAGTAGACAGTCAGTAAATGGTAGTTTTCTTTATTCCTTTTCAATTTACAATCTCCTTCCATCCTCCAAAAGCACGGCACCAGCATAACCAGGCTTTGTAGCTATCGAGCCCTGCTGTTAGAGGAACCATGCTGGGGAGAGAAATGTCACAGTTCTTTGTTCAGTGGGGACCACTTAAAGCTGAGCTCCGCGGGGGTACTGGAGATCCTGGGGGGTAAGTAACTTCTGTTAGTCTCTCTTGTTATTCTGTAATAGGAGGCTCCCATCCAGCATTCCAATATTGAAACTCCACATATCAAGGTATCTGAGGCAGAGGTGGGCTGCCAGGTGGCTTGTTTCAGAGAACATTTTCTATTATGCTCTCTGTGGCTGAGATAGGGAGCACTTCCAGGGACCTTGTTCTACACTTGTATTTTCCTTTTTCACTGACACTAAGTGACTTTAAGTCAAATGCACCCAACCCATAGCAGCATGCAGAATGCATCTGTACCCATGTGGCATCTTGATAAAAATTACAGGTGTATATTTTTCGCACACTTGAGGTTTATCTCTCTAAACTCAAAAAGCTCTTTCAATTTTAACTATTTGGAGTTGAAATCTTCCTAAAATGCATGATACAGCTGCTTCCTGAAATTGAAGGAACATAATTTGATATTTTTTCTTTTTTCTTGGTGCCTTGGAATTAAGAGGTGTGCTGGCAAACTGGTTTCAAAAAACAAAACAAAACACTTCCTGATGGGTAGTGTTTGTCTATTTCCATGGTGTAAATATTCCCACCACAGCTAATTTCAGGCTATCAGTGGTTTTTAACAACCAGCTCAAAAGACTCCTGAATATTTATGGACAGCTTGAGCTCAGCTCTGCAAGGAAGCAGCGTAGCACTGTGGAAAGGACGTGGTTGTTAGACCTGGACATACCTGGTTTTAGTCCCCATTTTTCTGCTTGAGAGCTGGGCTACCTGGAACAGGATCTTTAATCTGAGTTTCTATGTATAAATTGAGCTAAACATGACCACACCATGAGGGATAGTGAGGACCAGAGAAGGCGGCAGAGGTCAGGGGTCCCAAGTGCTGTCAGGGCCAAGCAGGTGATCTAATGAATGGGGGTAGGCTGAGTGGGGACCCTGGAAAATCCCAGAAACAGTGGTTCTCAAGCTCAGCTGCATATTGGAACCAATAGGGAACTTCTCTGCCTGGGCTCCACCTCAGACCAATTAAACCAGAATTTCTGGGGGTGGAGCCTGAACATGGTTTTAAAAAAATTAAAAGAACACTCTTTGAAACACCAGTGATTCAAATATGCAAATCACGTTTGAGGACCACTGGTCCTGACGGACACTTGTGGGTAGTGAGCATGCCTGTCACCTCCAAAATAAGTCAGCGGGCTTAGCACACAGCAGGGGTTACAGGATAGCCTTCCCAGCCTGTTGTACTGTGTGGTAACCTGGTAACTGTTTTTTGCACAAGAACTTTTTCGTCTTCCTAAATCTTGAAGGCTGGCCCCAGGTATGATTCCCGTGGTCAAAGCCCCTGCCTCTGTAAGCCCCACCTGCTTTGCCTAGTCGGCCATGAGCTGTGGCAAAACCAGAGGGCTGTGTGCGTGTTTTGTGCCTGTGTGGATCTTAAGTGGAAACTGATGAGGTCATGCCAGGGGAAGGGGGCCCAGGAGCAAAGGATTCTGGGATTCTACCCACCATTCTCTCCCTATCTCATTCCCCAGCTCCTGTCGGCTTGTTGAGACCCCCAAGCATGCCACGCTTTTTGATGCCTCTATGCCTTTGCACATCTCACCCCCAGGCCCAGGGCACTCTGTGTGTCCACTCTGGCACAGTAGTTCCTGTATTATATTGTCATTATTAGTTTACCTGTTTGTCTTAATTCAACAAATACTTATTTAGTGCCCGTTATGAACCCAGCAGAAGGAATGCTGGATTTATGGTTTAAACATCCTGTGAGCTCTTCAAGGCTCAGAACCACATCGGATGCATTCATGCCCTTGGCATTTGGCATGGGGCCTGGCACATAGAGTTTTTTTTATATTTTCGAAAGATGGAAGGAAGGATGGGTGGATGGGAGGCGATTCTATCTTACCTCCATGTTCAGGACTGTGACTTAGAGGGATAAGTTTTTGAAAGGGTGACTTTCCAGGGAAGTGGAGTGTGTTTGTAATTTCCAGAAATTTCACAGGGAGATTCAGTTCCCATGGCAGGATTTATCCATGGTTGTTAAATTGTGGATCACTTTCTTTAAGGGACATGGACATTGACTTTTAAAATAAATTTTCTCTCCAATACTGTCCTGAATGGAATCATTAAATGTAGAGTGAGTTTGGAAAATTGTAAGTAGTTCGGTATAGATGGAAGGGGTGGTGTAGGAAGCAGAGGGAATGAATTTGGAAGGATTGGCAGGGATTTGGACTATAAAGGACCTTGAATGCCAGGTTAAGGAGCTTTAGATCTGCCCTGTGGGCAGAGAGGAGGACCTCGTGGACACTTTAGAGGAGGAATGGCAGAGGCATGCTCAGTGGGTGGGTAAGAGCATCATTGTGGTCGGCTCCTTGAACAGATCAGATCAAATCACTCTTCCTTCCGAGCAATCTCCCAATCTACCATTCCTGCCCTTGCCATTTGCATAATTTACTTTTAATTATTGCTTTCATTATTTTCACAGCCCATCCTGGCAGGAATAATCTGATACTGGGTGGAATTAAACTGATGGGACCTCAGCAAACCTCCTTTGTTCATATTATTAACCCATGTATTTTTCAGAGAAGATTTTATTAAAAGAGATCATCTGGGATTTGCTCCTAAGCTGTATTTTCCGGAGACAGCACAGCCAGCAACTGTCCCTTGCACCCGACTCCTCTCTGTGGGTACAGTTTTAAAAGCAGGTGTCACTCAGCGCTTAGGGAGCACCAGTTTCTAATTAGTTGCTTGTTAAACCACAGGCCTCCAGATTGGGCTACTAAAATTACTAGTTTATTTAGTGAAGAAACACTAATGGTATTTTTTTAACCCTGAAAACAAGCATTTCCAGTTCTTTGCTGATGCCACATTTTTCTGAGATGAATGTTATTGTTACACATTACTGTTACTATTTATGGTGCCCAGAGCAGTGTGGGTTCTTTGCAAATGTTATTATCTTGTCGATTTCTCACGGGATTTTGCAAATACTGCTTTTCCAGAAGAGGAAGCCTGGTCTCAGAGAACTGAGTCACTGCCTAAAGTCACATAGCCAGTGTGGGCCAGGCTGGAATTCAACCTGGGGCTGGCCTATGTCCTTGTTCTTTTCAATAGCTTCTTCACTGTCACTTGCTTATTGATTTCCATTTGCCAATGGACCACGCTTTATGACATAGGAATTTGTATTTTTGTTTAAAAGCATCTGGAAAATAATAAAAATAATTTGAAAATATAGCTTAAGTATATTATGTATTAAACAAAACACCATTACTGTCAATTCACTTAAAGGAACTCAATATTTTCTTTTCCTTTTTTTTTGAGATGGAGTCTCACTCTGTCACCCAGGCTGGGTGCAGTGGCGCGATCTCGGCTCACTGCAACCTCCGCCCCCTGGATTCAAGTGATTCTCCTGCCTCAGCTTCCCAAGTAGCTGAGACTACAGGTGCCTGCCACCATGCCCAGCTAATTTTTGTGTTTTTAGTGGAGGCGGGGATTCGTCATGTTGGCCGGGCTGGTCTCAAACTTCTGATCTCAAATGATCTGCCCGCCTTGGCCTCCCAAAGTGCTGAGATTACAGGCGTGAGCCACCGCACCAGGCCCGGAACTCAATATTTTCTTGCTATACTAGTGAAGTCCCAAATTCTAAAATTACCCCAAGGGCAAAAGTTTAGTCCTTCAATGATTATTCATGGTGCAACCAGCCTTCCTATGCTATTTTTATCATTTTGTTAATTTGGTCATAGTCTGTTCTTCCTTCCAGGAAAATGCAATTGTATAAAATCACTTTTGATCAGGAATTTGTAAATGTCCATTAATCTGGGTTTTGACTCTCTCACTGTTAGCTATTCATAATACAAGGATTGAGTTTTCTTTGATCAGACATGAAGAAAGAAATGGGCAGTCTTATAGAATCATTCATTCACTTATTCAACAAACATTTTCTGAGCATCTCCTGTGTGGGGTGCACAGGGGGATAGACCTGTAAGGCTAACCTACATGGTCTATTCCCACGAAGCCTGGATTTCAAAGGAGGTAGGTAGGCATCACATGAGTATACAAAGAAAGAAAACAAGTGCAATGAGGCCAGTAAGTATGATGATGGGGACAGTGATGGGAACAGTGAGACATCATGTTTTTCTTGAGGTGCTCACTGGAGAGTGGAGAGACAGATGTTTAAACAAAATAGATACAAGCTCTGGCTTCTAGACACCTGCAGGTGTAACATTTACTATTTTGATCATTCTTGAGCAACCATGAAGATCTGAGAAATGTAGCAGTTTGTCATTTTGCTGAGGCCTAAATGATCTTCCATTGTAAAATAAAAGGTTTTGTCCCTCGGTAAAATAATTTGGGCATTAACAAGTGGGAGAGGTAAGTGTTTGGGGGAAGTGGTGAGTCTTTCCTGCATTCACGGACTCACACATCCACATAGATCTTATTTCAGTTATTGATGCAACAAACCTTTATCTTAGTGTCTGTTACGGTCCGTACGCCTAAGAAGAGCCAGGCTACTCATGCCTGTTTCTGAGAAGGGAGAAAAAGATACATAAGTAATTATAATACAGTTGGCCCTTGACTGTCACCAGGCTCATGTCCAGAAACCTTTGGGAATCCCTAAATTGACTGCTGTTATGCACATATTCATTGGTCAGCGGTGCTCACTCACTACTTAAGTAACTTGTTAATTCAAACCTGCCTCCGGATGGGGGTGAGTCAAGGTCACCCAAGGCGTTTTGCACTCATCATCTCATTTCACGATCGTGTGATTAGGATTGTTATCTTCATTCACATCTCACATGCCACGTGACCTTCAGGACTGCCAGCGCCAAGGGTCTACTGTACGCCATCCCAAGTCTGATACGCCGGCATGAAAGGGCGTGGGAACAGCGAACAGCTCCCTTGCTTGGGGGCACTTGGTTGCACCTTCTTGAATGAGGGGATGTTGGAGCTTGGTTGTTGCAGAATGAGAGAAGCTCATCAGACAGAGAAAGGGAAAATCATCAGGCAGTGAGAACCAAATTTGCAAAGGCAGGAAAGTGTGAAAGCACTCGCTATATTCAGGCAAAAAAAAAAAAAAAAAAAAAAATAAGACAGATTAGAAACGTGAGGAGGGAGGGAGTAGCAGGAGGTTAATTTTGGCAGGTCAGAACTAGACTGCGAGAGCCTGAATGTCAGGCTCAGAGATCAGACTAGATTCCATGGCAGTAGGAAAAATAGGGTGTTTTTAACTAGAGTGACATCCCTGTTTATTCATTCAACACTCTACAAACATGTATTGAGCAATCACTGTGTACCGGGCACTCTTCTAGGAGCTGGGGTTACAGGGTTACAGTAGAGGAAAGATGCTCATCGCGAGGTCCCCGCTTTCAAACAGCTTACATTTCAACAGAGGGAGACATAAAATACACAAGTGAGCAAATAAGTCAACAGTGAAGGGCCAAGACGATGTGTTAGTGCCTGGGAAACTATTTGAGAATGGATGATCAGAGAAGCGGCCTGACTGTGAAGGTGACATTGGAATTGAGACCTGAGTGTCAGAGAGGACATGCAAGGAGCTGAGGGAAAATCTGTCAGGCAGCAGGAACAGCTGGCACAGAGGCCCTAAGGCAGGGTGAGTCTGGTGCATTTGAAGTTCACCAGACACAAAGGTAACATGGCTGAGTTGGTGGGCAAGAGCAGGAATGGTAGATGATGCTGGGGGCTGAATGGCAGAGGCTGGAGTAAGAGTATAGATTTGATTCTAGGGTTAAGTTGACATGAGCTGCTTTTTGGCTACTCTGTGGACTGCATGGGAGAAGGGCAGGTTATTCTTGCCCTTCCTGGTTATTTTGAGGCCTGCAGGAGGCATGGTGATGGCTTGAACAATCTCTGCAGCAGTGGGGAAAGAGAAAGAGGGAAGGGTCAGAGTGTTTGGAGGCAGGGGTGGCAGGATTCCTGCTGGGTACAATGAGGGAGAAGAGGGAGAGAGGAATCAAGGATACTCTTGGGATTTTGGCCTGAGCGACTGGGCAGAGGCAGGGAACACAGAGGAGTACTGATCCGTGCCACACAAATATCCCTGGGGGACAGTCCCGAAGATGAGCAGGGTCAGGGAGAACTAGAAGGCTGCAGGGCCAGTTGGCAGATGAGAAGTGTGCCCTCTGAACAAAAGCACTGGGCAGGGGAGCTGGGAAAGAATTGATCAGAGAGACCATCATTCCTAGTTCTACTCAGCAGGCGGGAGAAATCAGTGGGATCTGATGAGCTAAGAAGTTGAGAAACTCAAGAATGATGCGGTTGACAATGAAACAATGAATTAACATGAGAAATGCAACAGGAAGAATAGATTCCAGGAGAAGAAAAGAAGTCCAGTTTTAGACAGGTTGACTTTAAGACACGTGTCAATGCTCCGCAAATGTCGGCTGTTGTCATCACTGTTGTCACCATCACCACTGATTTCATAGCCATCAGCCTGTCAATAGTAGTTGAGGTCATAGCGGAAGGTGAGTCCACCAGTGGAAAGCCCAAGAGAGGAGGGTAGAGGAGGAAAGCAGCTCCCACCTCCACTTCATTTAGAAGCCAGTGCAAAAGGCATTTTGCAGTACTCAGGGCTCACTTTGGTGATGAACGCGGATTGACTTGAAAGTGTCTTAAAATTGACTGCAATTTTAGAAGGTAAAGAGTAAGCCTTTGGTTATATCTAGCAATCCTGAGGTCTTCCTTACATGAAAGTTTTTACAGACACTCTGGGTAAGATGATGACAGGCACAACACAGTTAAAACGTTTTCATGGAGAAAAATGGATGTGAACGGTAGAATCTTAAACGTGTTAGTTTTCGACATTGTGAAATTAATTGGCTCCCAAATATAGCCGGCTTCTGCCTTAATTGGAGTTCTCAGGAGCCTCCAGCTTTCCTGCTACCTTTAGCCAATGTTTCTAGGTTTGATGGTGAATAAAGACCTCTTTGTTTAATTAGAGTTGAAGCATGCCTTAAGAAGTTAGTAATCTAATTAAAATTATATTTCCAGTTTATATGAAATAGAAAAAGAGGAGATCAGCAAATGTCCTATGGAGCCTGCTCTCTACCATGCAGTGAGCTAGAAACAGAGTTTCGGAGTAGAGTAAGAAATGGTGTTTTACCTCTCCTGTGGTGGATGATTGTGTGTGGGTGAGTGAAGGAGGAGGATAAATCAAGAGAGAGAAAGTCGGCTGGGCATGGTGGCTCATGCCTGTAATCCCAGCACTTTGGGAGGCTGAGGTGGGCAGATCATGAGGTCAGGAGTTCGAGACATAGTGAAACCCAACATAGTGAAACCCCGTCTCCACTAAAAATACAAAAATTAGCTGGTCAGGGTAGCGTGTGCCTATAGTTCCAACTACTCGGGAGGCTGAGGCAGGAGAATCGCTTGAACCTGGGAGGCAGAGGTTGTGGTGAGCCGAGATCATACCACTGCACTCCAGCCTGGGCAACAGAGCGAGATTCCATCTCAAAAAAAAAAAAGAGAGAAAGTTATAGATCACAGATGGTTAGAAATCCAAGGGAGGGAGAGAGAGAGTTTTAGAGATGGAGGGTGAGGGAAGAGCCTGTAGGCTTCCCATAATTTCACCTAATTTAGAAAAGAGGATTTATGACTATGAATCAAACAAGATTCAAAAAATATAACACAGCTATTACAAGCCCTTTGCTTGTAAGCTGAGCCTTGAGAGACTGGATAAATGTTTGACCTGTGCCATTGTTGAAATATCTGAGAATGAGCTGGGTTGTCATGTTCCAGTAACGAAGGAAGGCAAGGCAGTCCTCTCAGAACGCTGGAGGAGGGAAGACATTTGTCCTTTCTCGGCAGTCACCTTTTCAGGTAGTACAAGAGATTCACTCACCTCTCGTCCTCACCAGCCCTCCCCCAGCCTCTTTCCCTGCTCCCCTCTGCCTTCTGCTGCCTTCATCCTCTCCTTGCTGAGCGAATGCATACAAGCAGCTGAAGCCTGGACGGCTCTTCAGAGCCGTCACTGCATCGCGGAGGTGCCTTACCTGCTGTCTGCAGGCTGGGCTGGGTGCAGGAAATGGGGTACGATGAGCACCAGCGATTATCTCAGTGCTGGGGTCTGAAGTTTTGTTTTGTTCTTGCTTTTATAAAATTACAAAAAAATTATTATGAAACATTTTAAACTTTCAGAAAACAATATAATGAATATGTATGCACTCCCCACCAAGATTCTGCAGATATGAACAGTTTTGCCATATCTACTTTGGATCTCTCACTCTTGTGCTTTTTTAAAAAATAAATCATCTACTGCTATGACATCCTTCTCCCCCTACCCCCAGAGAATCACTATGTTCTTTTACTTTTACTACATAGGTATGTTTGGCAACAAAGTGACTATTTAATGTGTCCCTTTTTGTATAAATGATACGACATCATTTTATATAAATGATACAAGCCATATCTCCTTTGGCAACCAGCCTTTTTGCTTCACATTATCTTTCTGATATTTATCCAATAAGATGTTTGGATCTATGTTGGATCCACATTTACTTTAACTGCTGTATAATATTTCCTTTATAAACCCTAGTTATATTATAAATAAACTGGGATTATAATATTTAATATTTCCCTCAATAAACCCCAGTTTTATTATAAGCAAATACTAGGGTTTATTAAAGGAAATATTATACAGCAGTCCCTCTTCATTAGGTTACTGTTACTAAGGAAAAGCCAAGTTGTTCTTCATCCCTGCTATTACAAGCACAGCTGTGGTCAATGTCCTTATACGTGTCTCTCATTCACATGTGTGAGTTCCTCTGCGGTCAACACCTAGAGTGGAAATAGGCATCTTCTATTTTACTGGTTATTTTTCTCACATCGGACTTTATCTCTTCGGTTTGCTGCCTTATCCCTTGCACCTAGAACAGTGCCTTGTAAATACTCAATAAATAGCTGTTAAAAGAATGGATACTGAGAAATTACTCCCCAGAGCGATTGTACTAACCTACACTCCCACCAGTTTATATGAGCATTTCCATTGCCAACTTTCTTGCCAACACCTGGTTATGAAACTTATCAAATGTTTGCCAATCTGAGGCATATCAAATGGTGTCATATTGCTTTAATTTGCATTCTTGTGATCATTAATGAGGTTTATGGCCTTTTCATAGATTTATTGGCCATTTGGATTTCTTTCTCTATGAATTATCTGTTCATATTCTTTGCCATTTCTGTTTTCTTAGAGCAGAAATGCTCTAAGAAAATTTGTAGAAATTTCTTATTTGTAGAAATGCTCTATTTACCTTGGATAAAAACCCTTTGATGGTTTTATGAGTTATACATATGGTCTCTTAGGCTATAATTTGTCTTTTACCCTGTTGTAATTTGCCTTTTGATAAATAGAAGTTTTGAATTTTATATGGTCTTATTTTTTGTTTGCAAAGAATGATGGTTTTATTCCCTTTTTAGTCCTTATACCTTTTATTTCTTTTTTTATGTCTCATTTCCCTAATTGTGGGAATTAGGAGTGTGGACATGCTTGTCATATTCCTGATTTTTTTTTTTTTCTTTTTGAGACAGCGTCTCACTCTGTTCCCCAGGCTGGAGTGTGGTGGTGCAATCTTGGCTCACTGAAACCTCTGCATCCCGGGTTCAAGTGATTCTCCTGCCTCAGCCTCCCGAGTAGCGGGGACTACAGGTGCCCACCACCATGCCCGGCTAATGTTTTGTATTTTTAGTAGAGACCGGATTTCACCATGTTGGCCAGGATGGTCTTGATCTCTTGACCTCATGATCCACCCGCCTTGGTCTCCCAAAGTGCTGGGATTACAGGTGTGAGCCACCACGCCTGGCCATTCCTGATTTTAAAGAAAATCTTTCTTACGTTTTACTGTTGAGTGTGATGTCAGCTGTGGGTTTTGGTAGGCATCTTTTATCAGGTTATTTTATACCATCCTTGCAATCCTAGGATAAACCTTGGTAATTATATATTATTTTTCATGCTTTACTGGGTTTATTTCCAGATATTCTCTTTGGTTCTTTTCTTAGATTTATTTTTTTCTTTCTTAAATTTTTCTTCCCTGAGGGTTTGATGTTCTTTCTTTTAAATTTAAATTACTTTGAATATTCTTATTTCAGGATTTTTTTGGTTTGCCTGGTCTTTTTCTAGGGAGGGACATCTCTTAATACTTTTCACAGAGTCTCTTTATTTTGCTTCCATTGATTTCCATAGCCATCGAATCACCAAACATTTATTAAGCAGCTACTATATGCCAATAGAGAAGGGTGGGGGGGAATAGGGGAATCTCTAGACTCCAAGAACTCATGGTTTGGTGAATACGATTAGTGCTTGCTGTCTGCAAAAGCCTTGCACAGCAAAGCAATTGGGGGAGTTGCCAGGTGCCCTGGTTTTGGAGTCAGATGAATTTGCATGCAAATTCTGGCCCCATCAATTATTAACTATGTCACTGTAAGCAAGTTAGTAAGTTATTTCATTTTTGTATGCCCCAGTTAACCTCTTCTCTTAAAGCAGGACAGTAACAGGATCTACCTCATAGACTACATCTGATTGTATGTGATATAAAATGTTCAGCACAGTATCTGGCACAAAGTGAAAGTCAACCAAAAATAGCTGGCATTATTCACGTCCGTTTTTCCACTTAATCCTCACAATTGCTTTACGAGATAGATTATTGTTACCACTTGACAGATGTTGTCATATGAGCATGTGGGAAAATTTAGTAAAATGTTGTAAAAATGTTGGGTTTTATTAATATATGTAAAAAGGCTTTGATAAATGTAAAACATCATGCAATGGGAAAGAAATGTCATTTTCTGGGATGGTTTAAACCAAAATCCTTGTCTGCATTTTGTGGTGTCATTACAGAAATTTGAAATGATGTCAAAGACCTGGAGAAACAGCCTAGCATGTCTCATACGGAGGGAGCAGAGAAAGGATTGCAAATGCCATTTAACGACAGTGTTTAGGTGTTATTGTTATGTTTTAAAAGCCCACATAGTGATGTAGTCAAATGTTTCATAACTATTTGCATATAGCCCCAATTTTATTTTAAAATGTATGTTTTATGTGCATATAATATATGGGAAGGAAACACACTAAATGTTAATCATGATGATCTCTGACCTGTAAGATTATAATTTTAGCTTTTTTCGTTAAGCTTTTCTTTGTATTCCAAGTTTCTAGCACGAGCCTGCTCTGGCAAGGAAAGGACCTTCCAGTTATACCTGTATAAGGACAGGTTGACATCAAGTCCCAGAAGATTCAGTGCCAGTAGGAACCCTACTTACAGGCACACACTGGAGCTGGTGGGGGGCTTTAGAAACAGGATTTCTGGGTCCTTGAGGGCAGAAAAGGAGTGAAGTCTTGTCTCTTCTCTTTCTGCAATCCAGCTTGATATAAATGCTCTTAACTGGCTTGATACAGTGGCTCATGCCTATAATCCCAACACTTTGGGAGACCAAGGTGAGGAGGATCACTTGAACCTGGGACATCGAGGCTGCAGTGAGCAGTGATCGAGCCACTGCACTCTGGCCTGGGAAACAGAGTGAGACCCTGTCTCCAATAAAAAAAAAAAAGAAAGAAAGAAAGAAGAAAGAGGTCTTAATTATATGGACTCTTGTCAGCCTTTAATGATTGAATTTGTTTGATTATTTCAGCTTGTCCTAAGAACTGGCCGACATTCTCTTCTCACACTCCACCATTGTGAGTCTTCCTCTCTCCTTCCTCTCATCTACCATTCTCCAAGCAGGGAGATCTAACTGAGTTGGCCAAACCACCCTTCATGTAGAGTATTTCCTTTTGGCAGTCGTTAATAGCTCAGTTTCAGCCAGTCACTAAGAGACTGGGTTACGTAGGTTACTACCTAAGGCTGCTTTTCCCAGAAGCGGCCAGGAGAGGGTCCGGGTACCTGGAGACCTGTCGGGGCTGTGCTCTGTCCAGGCCTGGGCAGCTGGCGTTCACCGAGCGAGGCTCTGTGCTCTGTACATGACACGCATCATTTCCCTGAGCTCTTCTCCCAGTTTATCCAGGTACCTGAGCCAGAACCCCTGGAGGTTTCCATGAATTCTCAATGAGCCCTCTTGAGTTCAACTCCTAAAGATCTCTCAATTTTGTAATTCTCTCCATCTTTACCACTTTTGTCCAGTCACCGTCTCAAGTTTGGAGAGCTCTAAGAATCTCCTAACTTATTTTCTCCTCATCCACTCTTAACTTCCATCTGTTTCATTCTCCTTACAGCAGCCAAAGTGATCTTTTCAAAACTAAAATCTAATTGGATTAAGTTCCTGCTAAAAACACTTCAGTGGCTTTTCATTTCCCCACAGGAGAAAGATAAAATTTTTTAAAAATTTTAAATGCCTGACAAGGCCTTGTCTGATCTAGACTAGACCAGCAGTTCTATAAGTGGGGTCCTTGAACATTCAAGGTTCCCTGATATCTTGTCAGGATATCTATGGAGTCAAAAGTATTGTCATCATAATAATGATAAGGCATCCTTTGCCTTGTTCTTGTATTGACTTTTGCAGTGATGCTGTAAAAGCAGTGATGAGTAAAACTGCTGGCTGCTTATTACTACTTAAGACAGGAGACCGGGTGTGGTGGCTCACGCTTGTAATCCCAGCACTTTGGGAGGCCGAGGCGGGCGGATCAAGAGGTCAGGAGTTCAAGACCAGCCTGGGCAACATGGTGAAACCCTGTCTCTACTAAAAATACAAAAAAAAAATAGCCGGGCATGGTGGTGCATGCCTGTAATCCCAGCTACTCAGGAGGCCGAGGCAGAAGAATCACTTGAACCCAGGAGGTGGAGGTTGCAGTGAGCCGAGATTGCGCCATTGCACTGCAGCCTGGGTGACAGAGCTAGACTTAGTCTCAAAAAACAAGCAAACAAAAAAAGACAGGGGCACTGAGGTGGACTAGTAGTCATTATTCATCACTGCCACATACTTCAAAGTTTAAAACAAACAAACAAAATGCCAGATTCACTTAAGAAGGTCTTTGATGAAACAGTAAAAAACCTTTTTTTAAATTAAATCTCAGCCCTTGAACACGCTTCTTTTTAATATTCTGGATGATAAAATGGCAAGTAGGCTAAAGCACTTCTGCTGCCCACCGAAGCGCAGTAAGGCTGTAGGGACTGTTTGGGTTGCAAGCTGAGTGAGCCCCTTTTGTCTTGAAACAATCAGAATGTTTTTCATGGAAAGAACAATTGGCAGACAAACTATAAGTTGTTCAGGTTTGGACATTTGTAGACATGTTCCTGAAACTAAGTGAGCTTTTCACTTCGAGGAAAACAGCCAACAACATTTGCACCAATTATAAAATTTGAACGTTTAAGCAAAAACTGGAATCTCTGAAAACTCCTATCTGCCGCCATGAGCTTGACAGCTTCACGATATTTAAAGACTTTTCTGTTGAAATCAGTTGGTGATATTAATGAATGTGATTTTCTGATGTCATATAATGAAATGCACAACATTCGGAAGAGCTATATAAATCAGTATTTTCCAAGTGTTGCAGGTATGACGTTATATAGTTTGGCATGGGTAAAAGATCCAAAGCGCAAGATGGACGAATGGATTTATTTATTTATTTATTTATTTATTTATTTTTGAGATGGAGTTTTGCTCTTGTTGCCCAGGCTGGGGTTCAATGGTGCAATCTCGGCTCACCATAACCTCCACCTCCCGGGTTCAAGCAATTCTCCTGCCTCAGCCTCCCAAGTAGCTGGGATTACATGTAGGCATGTGACACCACGCACAGCTAATTTTGTATTTTTAGTAGAGACAGGGTTGCTCTATGTTGGTTAGGCTGGTCTCAAACTCCTGATCTCAGGTGATCCGCCAGTCTCGGCCTCCCAAAGTGCTGGGATTACAGGCGTGAGCCACAGCGCCCGGCTGGACCAATGGATTTAAATGTAACAGAGTATGAAAAGTTTATTGACATGGTTTCAGCTTCCATATTGCAACTAACTAACCTTTAAGAAAGCATTGCTTGACCAGATTTGATCATGCCTGATTTTCTTCATATACTTCACTCCCCAACATATCACAGCAGACCAAATGTAGAAACCAACATGAAAATCCAACTATGTCTTATTAAGCCAGACATTAAAGACATTTGCAAAAAATGTAATGTTCTTTTTTTTAACTTTTTTTGTTGTTTTGGAGAAAATAATTTCCCACAGAAATACATTATTTGCATTAACACATAATGGATTTATTATTGTTGTTTTTAAATGAGTGAATATTTTTCCTGCCTTCATTTCTGTTTTGGAAATCGATGGATAGTGAGAGTATAAAGGACTCTTAAGACCAAAACCTTTGAACACCACTGATCTCCACACTAGACAGAGGTCCGGATTTCTAACCCATCTCACATCACTCCTAATGTTCCCAAAACTCCCTCAAACTACCGTCTTTCCATTACTCCATCAGTTACTCCAGCCTGACTCTCTTCTGCCCCAAGGCCTTGGCACATGTAGTTTCTTGTGCTGAAAACCCGTTTGCTCCCCATTCTCCACTACTCTGTAATTCACCTCTCCTCGCTCTTACCGTCACAGCCCGGGAGAGCGTTCTCTTTCCCGGCATCTATGGTACCCACTCGCATTTTCTCCCTTCCGTAGGCTCCATATTAATATATTTCATACATGTTCTCTACCTTCAGATTTAAATTCTCATTATCTCCCTCCTTGATCATTTCCCCTTTGTACCTATTTTACAAGTTTCACCTCCTCTACTGTCCGCCGTGTTATATTAATCACCACTTGTCTGAAACAAGAGAGAGGAAAAACTAACCGACATTTTCGATGCTCAGGGAGCCAGTTGATCAATCTTTTCCGTGAGACATCATACATTTTTAAGTGGGTTCTCACATACCTCTTTACAGGCTCGGATGTAATTTAGTCTGTGGTTTTTTCCTGCTCAGGAAGAAAAGCATCTGCATTTTGTCATTAATGAGACAGATTTTCCTGTCTCTTGTAGTTGGAAATCGCTGAGATGTGTGCTTATTTTTCGCATCTGCCATACTTGCCATTTTAATGGTACATCATCTTTTCTCGGAGCTCCATCCTCTTGAAGTATAAACTCAGACCTTACTGATCCTCAGGATCACTGGGAATTAGCCTTATTATTTGATTTTCCTTTGAAAAAAAAGTGGGTTATCTAGATCTATCAGCCTGCCGTACTACTATGAAAGGTTTGACAAGATTTTCTTTTTGAACTGTTAAGAAAGCCTTTGTAATAGCATGGGCTCTCCATGCTGTCAGCTGAGGAGGTGGGGAATGGCGCTTCCACTGGCTGCTAATGATTGTGGATGAGTCTCTTTTCCTCCCTGGATCTAGTTTTCCCATTTATGAAGTGAATGGGCTGGATGTTTGTGAAAGCTCATCCTACTCGTAAGACTCTGTAATCCAAACACATCCTGAGAACCTGTTATGTACTCAGGTGGTGCCTGGTACCAAGGAAGGATGCAGGTGCAGGAGAAAACACAGCCTGTGTCTCCAACAAAGAATACAGTGTTCTTAGAAACGAAATATTTAAATCTACCAAAACCTTAGGTACAATACAGAATATTCATTTTTTATGTATAGTATACATGTATGTGTGTGTAAATGTCCAGCCTAGGTCAGGCTTCTTGCTGCATCCTGGGATGTGGCAGAGACAAAGGAGAAGAGTGTTAAAGGTCAACTCTCAAGAACTCATAGGCTCGTAATGGAGATAAATAGAATATGCAGCCCAAAGCTTGCTATGTAGGACATTGGATGCAGGTAAGGATAGAACAAGGTGCGCTGAGGCTATGGGGCAGAAGTGGGTCAGGTTGGAAATGGTGACAATATCTGATTGAAGAACCTGGGGAGGACTTCCTGAAAGAGATTCTTTATTATCAAGTCTGAATTATGAGGTCCAACGCTAAGCACTGCAAGAATTCAGAGAGAGGAGAGAAATCAGTGTGCTGACATCATTGAGAAAGGCATGAAGGAAGATGGGGCGAGAGGAGCCACAGTTGGCATCAATATTTCTCTGCTGAGAGTGCAGAGGGACCAGTGGCTTCCTCTGGAAAGCAGGCAGGCAACCCAGGGTGTCAGGAGGCTAGTCTGCTGGGACAGGGCCCTCAGAGAGCCCTCTATTGTTCCACAAGCCCTGTTCTCAGCATGCTCTGAGGGATTAAGGCATTTAAATAGTTCATGGGCATTTTAGTTCCATCTGAAATGGGGCTTGAATATTTCTTTCTTTTCTTTTCTTTTTTTTTTTTTTTTTTTTTAAATAGTAGAAACAGGGTTTTACCATGTTGATCAGGCTGGTCTCGAACTTCTGACCTGAAGTGATCCACCTGCCTTGGCTTCCCAAAGTGCTGGGATTACAGGTGTAAGCCACCACGCCTGGCCTTTTGAATATTTCTTATAGTTCAGAAAGGCAGGGGTGAGACGTTGTGGGAGAAAGAAACTGGAGAACATATTACTTCTGCTCCAACAAGAAGTCTAGTCACTGCGCAGCTAATTTTAACCTTGCAGCCACTTAGCTTCCTCCATCTTCTAACTGAGAGAGGTCTGCATGCCCACAAGGGGCTCTGAGGACGTAGGGTGGCCTGGTGCCATTAGCATGTGCTCTCTGCCCCAAGCACGTTAGATCATTACCCAGCGCTTCGGTGTTTGACAAATGGGACAGGTGCCACTCAGGCAATTTCCCAGTGAATGGCTGAGCCAGGTGGAGCAGGGAGATAGCTGGCCTGACTGAGCAGGGAGAGCTCATACTAATCATTAGGTCTTTGAACCTTGCCATGTTACCAGTTAATGGTAGAATAAAGTGAAACGAGTAATTAAATGGATTCCAAGCCACTGGCTGTGCTTCCTGCTTGAGCACATCCCATCTCCTCACTGTGTACAGCCAGCTGAGTACAAATTCAGTTACCAGGAAGGAGGGCAGTGTGAAATTGTGATACTTACAACCTTAATAACTACTGTTGACTAAAAACATTAATAAGTAGGCACCTATTAAGTGCCAAACTCAGCGCGAGGAAATTTGCATTAAAACACATATCCTCACAACTGCCCTGTGAGGCGTGGACAGTGTATCAGCTCCATCTTAGAGATGCAAAGGTCCACACATAGAGTGGTGCAGTGACCACCAGGACCACCTGATGGCGTGGCAGACCTGGGACAGCAGCCACCTAGGGAGTCAGGAGCTCTGGTCCTTCTCATCCTTGGCCCAGGACGCTGCCACTGCCGGCTGGCTGGCTGGCCCCGGGTGAGCCATTTCTTCTGTCTGCAGCAGGTAATCTGGGAGGACGAGCATTCTCAGGTGCTGATTGCTGTGGGATTGAGTTTAATTCTTCACCAGCCATTAGACTTGGTCATGTGATGGCATGTCTTAAGATGTGGGTCACGGTTTCACTATTTGTGTAACTGAGAAAATGAACCAATTTGTATCTATACTTTCCCCAGGCAAATGATTTGGGGCTACTCCCTTAAGGCTTCAAACTATTTGAGTAAAAGAGCTCAAATAGAGGCCAAGTGCTTTGAAGAATTGAAGGCCTTTTTCTCTCTCCTTGAGCCCAGTTACTGATACTGCATGTTTTACCCCATAATTTACAAATCACAGCAACACGGTATGACAGGGAGTCTTTTTCCGATGCAGCCAGGAACCTGGCCCAGTTCTCTTTTGCCACTTACCTATTGTCTGGTCAGACTTGGTTTTCCTGAACATCAGTTTCCTCAGATGGTGGAAGTTGATTGGGTCATCTTTAAGGAACTCTTCTAGCTCTCAAATTTCGGGAGAGTCTTTGGGGAATGCAATATTTCCTTTAAGTGAATTCTTTTCAAATGACAGGCATTTGTTCCATTAATCACCAAAATTTAATTGTAGCCACTTAAAATTTGAACTCTTAAAATGCTTACACATATTTGTCTTCTTAGCAGCAGTTAATATTAATTATTGGTGAGTTTGGTTCTTCCTTCCGAACATCAAAGCATAGGACCTTGTTGCTAAGAGGAACTGTCACTCACCTCTTATTCTACAAACACCCAAAGGAGCAAAGTGGCCTGTCTGGGGTCACACAGCTGGAGAGGGGCAGAGGGCCGGTCCTCGGAACCTGCCTTATGCCTCCCTGTCAAGTGTGCTTTCTTCTTGTTTATTGTGTTATAACAACTTTTTGTCCTTAAGGCCTTGCCTTGTGTCATCTCTGCACTCAGCACAAGACCCCTGCACAGAGTGAGCACAAAAAACTATAAGGAACAAATGAATGACTTGTGTCCCCTGCAAATGGCCTCAGCATGCTCCGTTTGTGTCTAATTTTAATGTCATGGCCACCCTTCCCCATCCCGTTTTTCATACATATTCCTTGACTGAGAGAGAAGCTGCAAATGCCTCTGGCTCTCCTAAAATAAAATATGTAACTTTTTTTTTTTTTGAGACGGGGTCTCGCTCTGTTGCCCAGGCTGGAGTGCTATGGTGTGATCTCGGCTCACTGCAACCTCTGCCTCCTGGGTTCAAGTGATTTTCCTGCCTCAGCCTCCTGAGTAGCTGGGATTACAGGTGTGCGCCACCACACCCAGCTAATTTTTGTATTTTTAGTAGAGACAGGGTTTCACCATGTTGGTCAGGCTGGTCTTGAACTCCTGACCTTGTGATCTGCCTGTCTCAGCCTCCCAAAGTGCTGGGATTACAGGCATAAGCCACCGCGCCCGGCCAAAATGTGTAACTTTTATGGAAAGTTTGTGTGGTTTGGGGGCCTTTGGGGCTCTCTTTACATTTGAAGACCATGTTTTGATGGTTGATGTTGTCTGAAACTACATGATCTACGTAAAATCACAAAGGTTGTCTCTGATAGGCTAAAGATTGTTTTTTATTCAAATGAGAAGAGAGGATTCATTTTATACTAGTGTGGCAAATGTATGTTGTGTGTGTACATAAAATTTTATAAAAGTTTTTAAAATAATCTATCATGACTGTAAATGAATAGCATTTTTACAAACTCAAAGGGGGTGTGGTAGCTCACACTTGTAGTCTCAGCTACTTGGGAGGCCAAGGTGGGAGGATCACTTGAGCCCAGGAGTTCAAGACCAGCCTGGGAAACATAGCAAGACCCCATTTCATTGAAAAAAAGAAACAGGCCGGGTGCGGTGGCTCAAGCCTATAATCCCAGCACTTTGGGAGGCTGAGGTGGGCAGACCATGAGGTCAGGAAATCAAGAACATCCTGGCCAACATGGTGCAACCCTGTCTCTACTAAAATACAAAAAATTAGCTGGGTGTGGTCGTGCGCACCTGTAGTGCTAGCTACTTGGGAGGCTGAGGCAGGGGAATCGCTTGAACCCAGGAGGTGGAGATTGCAGTGAACCGAGAACACGCCACTGCACTGCAGCCTAGCAAAAGAGTGAGATTCTATCTCAAAAAAAAAAAAAAAAAATCCAAAACAAACAAAATAACTCAAAGGGGCAGGAGGAAACTTTTAGAGGTGATGGATATGTGTTTTACCTTGATTGTAGTGATGGTTTCATGGTTATGTGTACATGTACAGACCCATCAGCTTGTATACACTAAATAGGTGCAGTTTTTAATATAACAATTACATCCCAATAAAGCTGTTGAAATAAATGAACAAATAGAAGTGACATCACATTTTCTAGAAGTAGTACCTCTTACCAAGGAGGAGCTGATTGACAGGTGGTTCTGAAACAGAATTCTTGATTTTATCGAATCACAGGCATGGCCATGCGTCCCGTAGCCCCCTCTGGTACTGCCCCTCCCACGCTTCTCCATCATCTACTGAGATACTTTATGATTGTGGCTCCTGGAGCACCTCCATTGAAACCACCTGGCTGCATGTTCCATAATATCCAAGTCTCAGGGTTGGGAATAGCATCTTAACAAGCTCCTATGCTGACTTCTGAAGCACATCAACATTTGAGATTTATTGGCCTCTAAGGTAAGATCCAAACCAAATAACATGTGATGTACAAGATCCTTCATGACTAGGTTTTTCCACCTTACTAAAACCATCTGCCACTGTCTCCTGCCTGCCAGTGATCTGTGCTATGATACTGAATAAATGGAAATTAATAACCCAGCACTCCAGCAGCTCTTCACTCTATTCAGAGCACTCCTTAGGCCCTTCTTTGCCTCGCTAACTCCTAGTCCTCTGTCACCATCCTGGCCAGAATGATATCCCCTCAGAAGTCTTCTCTGCCTTCTCCCACCTTCAAAAAAAAAAAAAAAAAAATGCCACCTTCTGTGCTCTTGTGATATTTACTATTTTATTTCAAAATGAGCAGTTTACATATTTCTTTTCACCTCCCTGGGGGCCAGGAAAATAGGTTATCATGTATCTCTAGATTCCTTTACCTGAGAGTGCTTGACATGTAGCAGGATTGACTGATCCAAAAAGCTGGATCATAGTTCAGGGAGAGGGTGTTTATAGAGGATCATGGTGCTGATTTTGTTGAACAAAAAAATAGTAACCATGAAGATCAAATTCCCGGAGGAACTGAAAAGCTTAGAGAGAGGGTAATGGTTATAAAAATACTTCTCTATCCATCTATCTACATAGATACAGACAGCGCATGCGCTATGTGTCAGATGCTGTGCTGAGAGCATTGTAAGCTCTACTTCAATTCATTTTTACAACAGTGCTACTGTTATTTTGTCCCTTTGACAGGTGAGGAGAGAAGCATAGAGACATGAAGCAACGCTATGCTATAAACCAAATGTTTGTGTTCCTCCAAATACATATGTTGAAATCCTAACTCCACCGGCCAGCCCCACCATGTGATGGTCTTAGGAGTTAGGGCCTTTGGGAGGTGATTAGGTCATGGGGGTGGAACCTCATGAATGGGATTCATGCCTTTATAAAAGGGGCCCGAGAGCTCCTTCACCCTCTTTCCACCGTGCGAGGCTCTCATGAGAAGTCGGCTGTCTGCATTTGCAAGAGGATCCTTGTCAGAACCAACCATGCTGGCCCTGTGAGCTCGGACTTCCAGCCTCCAAACCACGGGAAATACATTTCTATTGTTTCTGTGCCACCCCAGCTATGATTTTCTGTTTTAACAGCCAGAGTGGGTGAAGACAAGCAGTGTGCCAAAATACAGCTGAATTGCTTGGATCCAAAGCCAGGCCTGGCTCGTGCCAAAGTTCCTGCTCCAGCCTCGAGGAGGAAGAACCACTCAAAGTGACACGGGAGAGAGGAGACGGCCTTGTTGATGGAGCCTTGGCCCCGAAGCCCCACTCTGCCCCTAAGCAGCTCCGAGACTGGGCACAAGCTGCTGTCCTCCCCAGCCTCAGGATCCTCGTCTATGCCACAGGGCCAGGAAGAGCACCACCTCCAGGGCTGTGCCGTCCTCAGCCCAGCGCCTGGCACCCAGCCACTGTGCCCATCATCGGGTTGTTCTGAGAATGAAAAGGATTAATGAATGTGAATGACTCCTTAGCAAGCCTTGTGGCAGTGAACACAAGAAGGGGGGAGTTATTTTTGGATTCTAAACAAAGCCTGGGTCAGCAGGGACCCGCGGACCTGGAGGGAGAGCGTGTGGATAACAGCAAGAGTTTTAGAGCGCGTGGCAATCCTTTGCCCTGACCCCTGGCATGCTGGAAATGGTCTGTGGGCAGCGCAGGGTCCCCCAGGGCCAGTTCTGGCTGTGCACCCCAGCCCCGGGCCCCTCTGAAGCAGAGACTGCTCACATCTGAAACACCACGGCTCCTTCCTGGCAGAAGCGTGTGAAGGCAAACTTCAAAGTGTGTGTCAGGATCCTCTTCTGCCTGCAAAGATTAAAAAACCCCTCGAGAGACTCAATAACCTGCGAGCCTTCACACGCGTAAACTGGTATCTTTTTGAGAGGAACACAGAACCTGGAAGACATTGATATGGCAGGATTTTCAGAGCTCCCGTGGCACAAGAAAAGTGGGAAGGAAAGATGAATGCTTTATGTTCTAAAGAGCAGGCCTGTGCCTTTCATCCTGAGATTAGAGGCCTGGATGCCAGGCTCTCACCCCTGAATGGGTGATGTTCTTAAACAAAGGGTGAGGGTGGAGGAGGGGAGCAGGGCACTGCCATTCATTCATTCACTCCACAAACCCATCCTAAGTGCCGTTCCAGGCTCTGGACTAGGCTCTGGACACAGAGAGATTCAGAGACCAGCCCCTGCTGCTGACTTGCAGTCCAGCCAGGAGACAGCTGCGGGAGCCTGTGGAGAGCCTTGGCATGGGAACCTAAGGGAAACCTAAGGAGGTCTCTCACCCTTCCTGGGAGGGTCTGGAGGGCTTTGCTGAGGAGGAAAGCCATGAATTTGAAGAATGAGTCAATGCTCATTTGAGGAAGAGGAGAGAGGGCCTCCCAGGCAGAAGGGACATGAGCAAAGGCCTGGAGCCATGAACAGGCCTGATGTGTCCAGAAAACGGAGGGGAGGATGGTCCCGGGGTGGGGTGGGCGGGCGCAGCTGGAAGGCTGGCGAGATGGATGGAGGCCCGGCAGCGGGAGGCCTCGCCCACCCTATCTGGGAGCCCACCTAGCCTGGGAGCCTGGGACTCATCTCCTGGGCTCTGAGGGGCCCACAAGAGGTGTTAGTAGCATCTGAGTGACATTTGGTCACTTTCTCTGGGTTCTTATTTCTACTTTTTTCTAAGTTTAGGAGAAAAGCACACATCCTGTTTGTCAGGTTCTCCAGCACTTTGGTCTTTCCTTCAGAAATATCATGGTAGAAGATTGGAACTGCAATTCTGCCGGTGACATTAGAGATCCCTAAACAGAGCCTTTCAGAGGAGAAGTGAAGCCTGTGTCTGCTTCTTCCTCTCCCACAGCTGAGCCTGTTCTCCTCGCCATCAGGAGAGGAAATTCTCATAATAAGATGATATTGTTGGATTAAAACAGGTCGAAAAGAAACAAAATCAATATTTTGCAATTTGTTTTATTATACAGAGCTCCTGGACTTTGCTTACAGACATTTTGGCTCACTTCCAGCCCCTTGTGACAAATGACTATTTCAGGGAGAGTTAAGATGTCTCTCACAAGCTGGAGGAAATCTCCAGAACGAATTTTAGATGATAAAAGTAGCTGGGCTTGACGATTTTTGCTCAGGTTAAAAAAAAAAAAAAAAGTGCTTGTTATCCCCACAGGTATTTCTGCAAGAAATTGCCTGGGCCTGTTTTTTTTTTCTTTCCTCTTTCTGGAAGTGCCCGTTTTCACTGTGACCCCTGCCTTTTCATTAGGGCACTCCCAAAGCTTGTCTCTCCACCTGTCATCTTCTCCTCTGTCCTCCAGCTTCTTTTCTTTTTCTCCAGAACTCTCATCTGCTCCTTCCCCGATCTTGCTTGGCCAAGTCTTTTTCATCTTCCTCTGAAAGGATTGTTCTCAATATCTCCTAACCCTTTTCAGCTACGTTGTGATGAGAACAAACCAACTAACAAATAACATTAGGCAGCATACAGAACTCAGGAAATGGGAGTCAGCCAGGGCTGTGGCCCTTGCCTCTTTTCTCTGCCCTCCCCTGCTGTTAAGGGATCACTGCCACAGTGCTGGGGATGTGGCACTCAGATGGGAAGGAAACATCCTAGCCTCACATTCAACGGCGTCACTACACGCCGAGCACCTACAATGGGCCATGCACTGTACTGAGTACTGAAAGCATGAAAGAGGCAGCGGTTAACTCCACTTGAGGGTGTCTGGGAAGGCTTTCCAGAAAGCCAATTACTTCTTATATTAGTCCGTTTTCGTGCTGCTGATAAAGACATACCTGAGACTGGGTAATTTATAAAGAAAAAGAGGTTTCATGGAATCACAGTTCCACGTGGCTGGGGAAGCCTCACAATCATGGTGGAAGGCACGTCTTACATGTCAGCAGGCAAGAGAGAATGAGAGCCAAGCAAAAGGGTTTTCCCCTTAATAAGTCTCATAAGATATGGCAGCCATGATTCAATTATCTCCCACTGGGTCCCTCCCATAACATACGGGAATTATGGGAGCTACAACTCAAGATGAAATTTGGGTGGGGACACAGCCAAACCATATCACTTCTCTAGCACAAAAGCAAATGCAGTTAAAAAAAATGAATTCTTTCAGTTGAGGATGAAAACCAGAGTATCACTTTCCTGGGAGCGAAAGAGAGTCAGTGTGATGTTGGAAGGAAAGCTCAGGCTTGAGCCAGACTGACCAAGGCTGGAAACTTCATAACTTCTGTCAGCCTCTATGAGCAGAGCAAGCCACTTACTCTTACCAAACCCCAACTTCTTTACCTGTAAAATGAGGTACATTAAAAGATGAATATGGTTTTTAAAGCACCTGGAACAATGCCTGGCTCAGAGGTTGTCTTCATAAGCACTGATTTCACTTGATTTTAAAGGGGTCTTTTTGCAGTTTTGGAACAAACAACAGTAAGGTATTTTCAAAAATTACAATGGTTATGTTAAAAACAAAATTGAAAAAAATGGAAAAAAATACTCCAACCCTAACTTCTACCAGCAATTTTAAGCTCTTCTAGACCCTGTCCACCTGCAGATGTAGCTTTAATGTTTTCTTGTAACGTACAAGCTATTCGAGTTCTACCGGCTTTTGGATGATATTATGGCATAAACTTTTCCGCACATTGCTATGCAATCCTCATAATCATCTTAGTGAATAGAGAACATCCTAGGGTGCAGTTGTACCATAATTTATCCCCGTAATCAGACATTTATGTGGTACTCAATTTTGTTCTTCTTTAAATAAAACCCAGCTCTAGAATCACAGGGCTAAAGGGAATGAATATCTCTGAAGATCCTCATGCAAAGTCCCATTTTGCTTTAACCCAAAGGGTGAGTTATAATTGTTGCCTTTGCCACCTTTAATGCCCATGCGTGCCCCTTCACCTGCAAAGCATTAGGTGTTGACTTTCTAAAAGTAAGTGCTAACTTAGCATGTGTAAGGTGGTTTTGAAATGTGCATGTCTTTGGTTGTTAATGAGGGTGGCCGTGTTTCCATATAACTGTTTGTATTTACTATTTATGTTTCATTTTATAGTACTGGGAAATTATCTGTTTATATCCCTTGTCCACTTAACCTTTGGGATTTTGAGGTTTGATATACACATGTGCATGCACACACACACACACACACACACACACTGAATAGATATTGACCCTTTGCGCTAAAATAAAAGCTTTTTGGACATGACTAGGTTACGGGGCCTGCTTGGGGCTCTAACATACTCTCTCATTATCATGGTGACAGCAGGGGCTGCTATAGGATTTCCAGAATTGGAGTCATTTCTTCCAAGTGAGAAAAAAATCCATTTTACCCTTTGTGAGTCTCACACTTGTGGTTAGCAAATGCGATCTTTCTACTAATTCTAGGGGCACTAGAGTGTCACTGGGTGTTTTATGTCTCCTCTGGCCCAAGGTCAGCTTGCTCTCAAGGTAGTTATCAGTCTAATGTAGCAATTCACAAACTTGAGCATTCCCGGACCCCAAGAATTCCTTCAGAGACTCTAATGAGAAATGCAACATTAAAAATTCAACATTGACACCTGAGGTGATGACTTGGCACCAGGGCCACAGATGATAAGTATAGATGCACACACAGAAAGGGAAATCATGGGACAACAACATACTTATATTAAATCTTTTAAAAAGAGTATCAATAAAATGTAAACAGACAAGGGCGACATTCTTATGGTCTAAAGAAGTTTCCTAGGGATTATCAGTATATGGTTCTGGGTAGAGATAGAGTTGTCCCTCCTTGGCTGGTTCAACCTAACGGGTTTGTCCTGAAATTTCCCCTGGACTGAGGAGTTGAAGTTGAGGAACAACAGCAGCAGCAGCAGCAGCTGGCAGTTAGAAAGTGCTGACCAGTCGCCAGGTTGTGTGCTAAGCTCCTTGAAGATGTTATCTCATGATCCTTGAAGCACAGATGAAAAGTTTTCAGTCTGTGACTGTGTCAGGCTTCCCGGGTTCCTCCGTGGGCTCAGAGAAGGGTTCTTCAGGGCAGACCATCAGCCTCTTTTTTTCATTTCCCAGCTCTTCTTCCTTCTACCTGAGGAGGCGGCTGTGAACATCTAAAGCTTAGGATTACTTCCCTCTATCTAGCCCAAGGCTTCCTTGCAGGCCTCTCTACCCTTCTCCACCATCTGCTTTGCTTCCATTCTCTATTTTCAATCCCCTGCTCCCTCTTTGTCTAACTATCCCCAATTGGAGTGACTCATAACTTGTGATTACTAAAGCTGAAATCCTCAAGGTGCTGAGAAAGTACACAGAAATAAATCAGCAGGTGCCAGAATTTCTCCTAAGGGGGACTCAGCACTGGGGAGGGATTACTGAGGTTTAATTTACACAACAGCTGTGCTTCTGAAAGGGTGTGTAAATCAGTCCAGGCATAATTGAAAGGCACTAGGAAAAAAAATTGTTACTTAGAGGAATCCTGTGGCGAGTTTTTTTTATAAAACAAATCTCATGATTCTCGGGAGTTGGGCTCTGCTGTCCCCTCTTCCTTGAAGCTCTGTTCACCCCCCTGCCTCCACTGGGTTAATTGCTCCTTAATCTAAGCACCTTCAGGACATTACTTGTATCTCTGCCTACTGGCCTTGTGATATGAATACTTCTTGGCACAAAACAGGCATGAAACTCATGTTTGTCGAGTCAAGGAAAGAAGGAACTGGCTAGTAAAACCAGTGAATTAGACTCAATTCCCTGAAGGACAGATGTGTGATCTGACGGACGTCTTTTGCATACCACCAGTGAGGGTTTTCCACTGGTGTCTTCCTCTTTGATTGGTCAGTAAATATTTGAATGAATGAATGACTAAAAAATTCACCTCTCTTAATTCATCCTTGGATAAATCCATCTGTTAACAAAGATTAAGTTTATGAGTTAACTTTAAGATTGTTAGAAACTTGTTGGCAGAAGTCAAAATAACTCAAAAGCATGAGGATGTATTATTCCAGGTTGTTGTGCATTAGCTAGACGCTCTCTCTTCTTACCTTCCCCAGGCAAAGCGGTCCTAGGCCCTCTGTAGTGGGTAAGGATGCTCCTCCCTCTTTGAGAACAATTCCTTCCCTGCAAGGGAGGCTGCTCGTCTTCATGGTCTTCACAAGACTGAAATGATCATGGCCATATTTGGTGGTATAAACTCAGGGGATAGAGTCTTATCCAATTGTCCTTGTGTTAGAGCAGACATAGAACAGTTTCCAGAGGTGAATCTTGGCCTTGCCCACAGATCCTACCTTGGCCCACTCCTGTAGAGATGAGGTGGCCATCTCTTCAGGTACGAAGCTTATTAGGTACCTCACTTTAGAAAAGGATGTCAACCTTACCTTTGGTTTGATTATCTGTCAAAGAAAATAGACTAGGTCTAAATGTGCAAGATGGGCTATTTGCTTCCCGATGATTTGCTGCCTAGTGACGTCCTTCATCGTTTACCAGAGAGATATGGAGCTCATCTGGTTTAGATCATTGGATCAAGCCAAACCATCAGAGAGCTTTGCTCCTTGATACCATTGTTCCAGCTGCCTTTCCTGGCTCTGCTTTTGTGCTACCCTGCAATGGGAGACATTACCAGAAACATTGAATTTATAAAAAAAAATTTTTTTTAAACAGAGTCTCACCTTGTCACCAGGCTGGAGTGCAGTCGTGCAATCTTGGCTCACTGCAGCCTCGACCTCCCAGCCTCAGGTGATTCTCCCACCTTAGCCTCCTGAGTAGCTGGGACTATAGGCATGCGCCACCACACCTGGCAAATGTTTTGTATTTTTTTTGGAGATGGTGTTTTGCCATGTTGCCCAGGCTGGTCTTGAATACCTGAGCTCAAGCAATCTGCCCACCTCAGTCTCCCAAAGTGCTTGAGTGCTAGGATTACAGGCATGAGCCACCACACTCAGCCTAAAAAACATTGATTTTAAATTTACTATAATGCATGCAAAGAACTTCAAACCGTGCTTGGCACAAAGTTAAACAGTATTAAAGTGTTAGCTATTATTGTTAACATTGTCATCACTGTTAGTGTTAATATTAGGATATTTCCTTTTTTTTTTTTTTTTTTTTTTTAGAGATGAGGGTCTCACTATGTTGCCCAGGCTGGTTTTGAACTCCTGGCCTCAAGTGATCCTTCCCTCTCAGACTCCCAAGATGCTGGGATTACAAGCATGAGCTGCTGTACCTGGCTTAGGATATTCTTGTGGACCTCATGCTCTGTATTACTCACTGTCTCCCCACAGGGGAAATTTCTCTTGGGCCCCACTTGCAGGACAAGCTGGACTTCTGAGCAACTGTCTTCCATATTACAACATCTGTGGACAAAGCGAATCTTTGAACTGTTCTCTTTCCTTCTTTCCTTTGGCTACCAGGAAGCCTGCAGCCATATTTGTGCCCTCACTCTCAGGACCTCCGCAACAACTGTGCAGGCCCTTGAAGCGTTATGCCTCTTTGTGTTTGTCTTTAACCTTCTGTTTTTATTCTACCCTTGCTCTTCCTTTCCTCCTATTTCCATGTTCATTTTAAGGCATTTTATCTATGTCTACCTATCTGTGTAAGCCACTTCACATCCTTTTTTTAAACAGCATGTATGTGTTTCTTTTTAAAATCCATATTCTCAAGTATTTGAAAGGGATAAACCTCCTGAAGTTATATTGCCATCTTTAAAGTTATTTAATAATGATTTTATTGAAATATACAAAAATGGACTTTCTGAAATGTATAATTAATTAAATGAGCCCCCATTATCCCCATCATTTAGCCTAGCTTCTGATCTTGTAAAATATGTCAGGTGGACATTTACCTTTTTGTTGACACTTTCTATTCATAGTGCATAATTCATAAGAGCACTGCTCAGTGTGTTGTCATAGAATGAACATACTGGGGTAACCCAATCAAGGACAAGAAATAGAACATTACCAGGACCCCAGAAGCCTTGCACATACCCTCTCCACTAGCCCCACGGGTAACCATCATACTGGTTTCTAACCTCATCTGTTACTTGGCGTGTTTTTGAACTTTACATATTAATGCTGCCATACTGTATGTACTGTTTTGTATCTGGCTTCCCTCACTCAACACTTGTTAGTGACATTCATCTGTGTTGTTGGGTTTAGCAGAAGTTCATTCATTTTCATTGTTGTGTGGAATTACATCTTGTGAATATTCCCACAGTTTATTTCTACATTCTGTGATTGATGACATGGGTTATTTCCAGTGTTTGGTTATTATTTCATGTTCTTTGTGGTAGCAAGATGGGTCAGAGAAGAAATGAAGTGAAATGGATGAATGAATGCATTTTTAAATTTATCTCTAATGATGCCTCCCCACTCCTAAGTGCCTTGGCCCTGCAGTCCCTGGAGCCAGATCCCTCCCCAATCTGAACTCCTTGGACAGCCCCTACCTTGTCCTTAATGCCATCTGCCCTAGACCCAGCTTAGGTGACACCATTTAAATAAGCATTACACATCTCCTATGGGAATGGCATCATTTTGGAGTCTGGGGGTACATCAGGCATGACAACAGATGGCAGTTGCTACCCTCTTGGGACACATGTTCCAGTGGCATCGAAATCTCCCCACCTTCACTCTGACATTTCCCATCACTCTGTGACTTCTGGTTTCTCTGGTCAATGCTCTACCCTGTAGCAGCCTCTCCGTTAGGCCTCACAGAGTCTCACTCTGCACATTCATGGCCCAGCCCTCTGCCAAAGATGTGGAGAGTCTCCCCAACCCATCCACAGACTGATTCCTCTCCAGTAACCTGCTCCATGAATTCCAGCAGCTCAGCAAATCTGATACACCCCACACCCTGGTCCGTGGTCTGTAAAGTGACCACAGGCTGAAGGCTGGGTAAACCGAGGCCCACCTCATGTTTCCCTTTTTGCAAGGCTCACAGGGCTGCACTGCCAGTTGTCCAGTGCTTAAAAACACTGGCCTCAAAAAAAAAAAATGCCTACTTTTTATAGTTATTTAGGGCAAGAGTATAAGTTTGCTGTCACTCTCTCATGGCCTAAAGTGGAATCACATGCTTTTATTTTCAATGACCCCATTTTATTTCATTATATGGGCTTAACTTAATTCTAGTGGATTTTTAAGTGCAATTTATTTCCTATGGAGCAATGTAAGAATTTAAATGTAAGATTTAGAGATTATACTCACAATTTATGCTTGCGCCACTGGGTGCTGTCAGTTGCTTTTCTCTTTCTTTCTTTCTTTCTTCTTTCCTTCCTTCCTTTCTTCACTTCCTTTCTTCCTTTCTTTCCTTCCCTTCCTTCCCTCCCTTCCCTCCCTTCCCTCCCCTTCCCTCCCTCCCTTCCTTCTTTCCCTCTCTTCTTTTCCTTCCTTTCTTTCTTTCTTTCTTTCTTTTTCTTTTTCTTCCTTCCTTCCTTCCTTCCTTTCTTTCTCTCTCTCCTTCTTTTCTTTTCTTTCCTTTTCTTTTCTTTCTTTCAACAGTGTCTTGCTCTGTCACCCAGGCAGGCTAAAGTGCAGTGGTGCAATCATAGCTCACTACAACCTTGAACTCTGGGGCTCAAGTGATCCTCAGGCCTCAGCCTTCTAAGTAATTAGGAATACAGGTATGCACTGCCTGGCTAATTTTTTTCATTTTTTTTTTTTATAGAGATAAGATCTTGCTATATTGCCTAGGCGGTCTCGAACTTCTGGCCTCAAGCAATCCTCTTACCTCGGCCTCTCAAAAGCACTGGGATTATAGGCATGAGCCACCATGTGCAGCCACCCTCTACTTTTATTATGGTAAAATATACATAACATCACATCGCATTAGCCAGAATTGGGTCAAAGCCCTAAACATAAACCAGTATTGTCAAGGGGGATGGGCCCATCACAACTGGCTTAGACCAGTCAGAATATACCCCTGGCAGGGCCTTGGACTGGGGTCAGCCTCTTCTGAAGCATGTGGCTTTTAGGAAGAGCATGGCTACCTAAACAGAATGTAATATGTTAGGAAATGGGACGGGGTCTTGGATGGGCCTTTAATTGTGTCTGCAACAGCTCCCCAGCCCTCAAATACCTAGGCAGCTGAGTTCCAAGTAAGAGACATCTACCTGGGGAGAAATTAGGTTTGTCTGAATAAAGTAATAAAAATCTTAACTGGAGATCAAGTTTCATAACAAAATTTTCAACCCTCTTGACTGTCATCAACTACAAATCACACTCTAATGTGGGTAGCTGTCCTCGAGCCTGACATGTGCTCATGATTCCTTCAAGCTGGATACCATCGTTCCGTTATTTCTGATCATCTTTTAAAGGCCAACTCAGAAAGTGCTTCCTCTGAAAGCCTTCCCAGAACCCCAGAATCAAAATGAATTTTTCCTTTTTCTGTATTCTGTTTTATTCTGGTTTGCACAAATCGCCACTGTGTATCAAGGCTTTTTTTTCTTTATTGCTTTGTTTTTAAAATTATAAAAATAGTATACATCTTCCTTGTAAATAATTCAAACAATTTCTAAAGTCTATAGATTGAAAGGCAAATCTTCCCTCAGCTTATCCCTCAACCCCAGCCTCACTTCCCAGCGACAACCACTATAAACAATTTGCTTTCAATCCTTCTAACCCTTCTTAGTGATACTGAAACCTGTAAAGAGAGACAAATTTATTATGTTGTAGTAATTTTTACAAAAACAGGATCACACTATGTATGATTCATGCATATGACATGCTATGACTTGCTATTTTTACTTATCAGTACAGTAAGGACATCTTTCCATGTCAGTAGATACAGATCCGGACATCATTGTTTCTATGGCCTGTGTGCTATACCAGTTTGGGGCATTTTCATTCTTTTTATAATTAATCCTCTGATGATGAGGACTTAAGTTATTTCTACTTTTTCACATTTCAAACAACATTGCCAGGAACCCCCTCAGTGTGTGTGTGTGTGTGTGTGTGTGTGTGTGTGTGTGTGTGTGTATGTGTGTGTCTTTGTCTATACATGCCAATATTTCTTCAGGATGGACCCTTAGAAATAAAATTGCTGGGTCAAGAAATAGGTGATTTTAAATTTTGATAGCTACTGCCAAATTTTATGAGAATGTTTGGGGGCCAACTGCTGCTTGTATAAGATAAGTAATTTCCAGATGTCCAGACTTTATAAGCCAATAAAATGTAAACGAAAAAGAAACCCAAATTGTGAAGATAACATAAAGTAGCCAACATTTTATTTTTCTCTGTAAGGATCCTTTTAAAAAAATCAAGTACTAATTATTAGGCTTGAAGCATGTGAAAATAGCAATTTTTTTGTTCTTTTACACACACAAACAGTACATATTTATTCAACAAAGATATATTGAGCTGGGAAATACCAGGTAGGCAAAGATATTTTAAAATAGCACAAAAGTTTCTGATTCAAGAAAGAAACTTCTAGTATTTTAGGAAGGACAGGCATCTATCTAAGCAATTAGAATACGATGTGATGGGTGTCAGAATAAGCAAACATGAGATGTATCGGGAAGTCAGAAGAAAGCGGAACTAACTTTGGGAGGTGTCCTGTCTGCTGGCAAATGTGCACATGTTCTTGTAACAGCTGTATACAAGCACAGCACTAGTATATGCACTCCAAAATGGCACTTTCGTATGTCAAAATAGCCCAATATCTGCTATTTCGTATGGTTTAATGTAGTCCTGTGAGCATGATTTCATGGAAGAGTGATACATTCACACAATTACACATGCATGCACATGCACACACACACACCTTTGTTTACTTTTTTCATGTTGCTATGATGGGTAAATACCCAGTTTTATGTCCAGTGGTCACTAGTGTGGAATCCTTGGCCAGCTCCCCCTCCCACCACCACTGCCAGTGACTGTCTGTTCTGTGAGGAGAGAGGTTTCCGTCACAGAAAGAGCAACAGGAGGCAGAGGAAATCGAGATGAAATGGCATATGTTCCTGACCTGGGTCCCTAGCACTGGTTTTGAGCCCCTGTGGAGAGCGGGTTAGAGGCAGAGCTGATAGGTCTGGGTGAGAGGACCTGGGCCACACTTGGCACAAGCAGGACCCCAGGAGCACAGTGACACAGGTTCCTGACTCTAGTCCTCTCTCCTTCTCTATGGGATCTGGCTCCATTCCCAGATAGCCTAGGGAGCAGGAAGAGCCAGCCCTCTTGCTGTGGCATGGTGCTCCCAAGCAGCACTCCCCAGCACCGTGGTGTGCAGGGGAAATGGGGCATCTGCGACTCTGCAGGAGCGCAGGCAGGAGTGGTCCAATGAGGATGGAGGGGGCCGCATGACATAGGAGTGGGCTGCGTGAGGATGTGCTGGGTGCTCTTGAGGCTCTTCATGGAGACGCCCAGGAAGGCCTGAGTGATCTATATGGAGGGTGAGAGCAGGGCAGCACTGTCTCTTTTACTGGGCAGCTTGGGGGCTGCTGAGATAGATAACATCTGGGCTTACCATTTCATTAGAAGGCCCTGCCTACAGATTTTAAGCTCCTTGAAACTGTGGACTGTATCTTCATCAACCGTCATTCCATGCCCTGGCCCAACCCAGGCCTCCCAGGTAATAGGTGCTCAGGTCATTTCCTTATTATGGTATAGGCCCTATGCCTGGAGAGGGCAAACTTCCCTGTAAAAGGTTGATAGGAACTAGCTTAGGCTCTGCCTGCCAGGCTATCTCTGCCACATCTATTCAGTTCTACTGTTGCTGCGTGACATTGGCTGTAGACGATATATTAACAAATAGCTGTGCCTGTGTTCCAATAAAACTTTATTTACACGAACAGATTGCAAATTGGTTTGACCCAAGGGCCATAGCTTGTCAACTCCTTCATATACTATGGGGGATAGAACAAGAGCAGGCTGTCTTAGGATCAAATCCTAGCTTCCGAGCTGTGTCACCTGATAAGCAAGTTCACCTCTTTGAGCCTTAGTTTCTCCGAGTGGAAAGTGGGGATGGTAATTGCTGCCTTCAGAATTACTGTAAGAGTTAAACGAGATAGTGATAAAGGGCATCTAGCAGAACCCTGGCCTGTAGATGTCACAGGGGCTGAAGAACTGCTAGTTTTCACTGAGTGTGAAAGCCAGATCCCACCTCACAACCCACCTTCATTTCCGCAGCCCTGTCCAGGGAATACCATGAAAGAGCATGAGGCAGGATTTTAAAGGCTGACAGAATGAAATGCATGAGATGTTGATTTGATTTCAATACAAGCACTGGGCAGAGACATAATGTCCCTGGTCTTCCTTATGCATAGCCTTCAGGTGTCAGTTCAGTAGTGTCCTGGTTTTATTACATCCATCACAAGCAGCTTAAAGCTTCCAAAAACACAGTCCTAGACAGATGTTGAGCCTGTCTGGGGATTAGAAATATCCTTTTCCATTAAGCATAAAGTAACTTAATCACCAGGTATGAAAGATAAGCAACATAAACAGCATTCCCTGAAGCTTTCATTAAAATTAAAATTCTACTTAAAATTTGCTTGTATTTTCTAAGACTTGAGCCCCTTCAAAGAGATAATATCAGCTGTAAATTTTCACACTGACAGAGTGGCAGAGAAGACTGTGCTGGGGACAGTGATGTACTATGTAATTTAACTTTGCCTCCTGGTCTTCTTTTTGCCAATGGACAGATCCGCACATTTTAAAGAAATAATTAGCGTCAGTAAGATTTGGACTTTGACCATTTTCAGAAGCAGTCAGATGAATTAAAAAAAAGACTCTAAGTCAAGATGACTAAGGGCAAGGTGCTTACAGTCTTGTCATCCAGATTAGTGCTGTGGAAAATGCTCTTATGATAAAACAAACAAAAAGGGAGTCATGGATAAGAAATCATCGGGAGACTTCTAAACCCAAAACTTCTTGCTTCCCCTTGTCTAGGGTGGAGCAGGGTGACTGGAGAAAGAGTACAGCAGCCAGAGTTCACTGCAGTCTTTACCAAACTTTGCAGGAGGAACTACCTTGAAGGCAATTCAGCAGAGTCACTGTGGGTTTGTGGAAAGATTGTTGAAATCAGATAAGCCTGGCTTTGAATCCTAGTGCTTTTTTTTTTTCTTGACTCTGATATTGGCCAAGTCTCTTAATTTCTCTAAATCTCATGTTCCTCATACGTAAAATGAGGAAAAGAATGCCTTTCCCAAGGATCTTTATGGGGCTTAGAGATCACACACTTAGAGACTGCCTCAAACTCATCACATTCTAAGTGCTTACTAAATTCTTGATATCATGTATGTGTTGAATATCTGCCCTGTGCCAGATTCTGGACTAGCCACTGAGGATCTAGAATGTCACAAAAGACAGCCTCCACTCTCAAGATGCTCCCAGATCCAATAGGGTATTGAGACAGACACAATTTAGGGGGTGACAAGTTCAACAGTGGATGTGTATATAAGGTATAGAAGGGACTCAGGCAAGGGAGTGGTGTCCTCTGTGCTAGGTTTTGGTGACACACGACGCCTGCATGGACTGTGGGGCAGAGAGGGGCATTCCGAGCAGAAGGGGGAGCTTATGTGAAGGGAGAGACACAGAGAGCATTTCATATCTGGGGGATCATAAGCAGCGTGGTATTGCTGGACGGGGGCGGGGGGGAAGGTAAGGGTGGAAGATCTCCTGATGTGCTTGTGCATCCTCGGGGACCCGGGTTTGAAGTGTTCTGGATGTTTCCTCAGGTTGACCACAGAGGCCTGGCAGGCACCACATGGCCTCCATACCAGAAGGCGTCTCTTCCAAAAGGAAATTCCACCGTTACCCTTAACAGAGCTGCAGATTTGAGTTGGATCTAGCAGTACAGTAGATGAGCGGCCCAGGCCCCTGGGTCATAGGCCCTGCTCTGTCTACCTGCCTAAAAATTCATGTAAGTTCCCTAAGAGCAGGAGCACTGTGTCCAATTCAGCTTGGAATGCCCAGGCCAGGGCTTCTTACATAGTAGAAGCTTGCAAATATTTGTTAATGCTCCAATGCCCTATCCATACAGTGGGGTGATCACCTGTATGCTGCTTCCCTCAAAGGGTTATTCTTTTTTTTAAAATTTTTTTTTATTATACTTTAAGTTCTGGGATACATGTGTAGAAGGTGCAGGTTTGTTACATAGGTATACATGTGCCATGGTGATTTGCTGCACCCATCAACCCATCATCTACATTAGGTATTTCTCCTAATGCTATTCCTCCCCTAGTTCCCCACCCCCACAACAGACCCCGGTGTGTGATGTTCCCCTCCGTGTCCATGTGTTCTCATTGTTCAACTCCCACCCGTGAGAACACGTGGTGTTTGGTTTTTTGTTCCTGTGTTAGTTTGCTGAGAATGATGGTTTCCAGCTTCATCCATGTCCCTGCAAAGGACATGAACTAATTCTTTTTTATGGCTTCATAGTATTCCATGGTATATATGTGCCACATTTTCTTTATCCAGTCTAACATTGATGGGCATTTGGGTTGGTTTCAAGTCTTTGCTATTGTGAATAGTGTTGCAATAAACATACATGTGCATATGTCTTTATAGTAGAATTACTTATAATCCTTAGGGTATATACCCAGTAATGGGATTGCTGGGTCAATTTTTTTTTTCTCCTGAGATGGAGTCTCACTCTGTTTCCCAGGCTGGAGTGCAGTGGCACAATCTTGGCTTACTGCAACCTCCACGTCCTGGGTTCAAGCGATTCTCCAGCCTCAGCCTCCAGAGTAGCTGGGATTACAGACGCCCGCCACCATGCCTGGCTAATTTTTTGTATTTTCAGTAGAGACAGAATTTTGCTGTGTTGGCCAGGCTGGTCTCGAACTCCTGACCTCAAGTGATCTGCCCACCTCAGCCTCCCAAAGGGCTGGCATGAGCCACTGCACCTGGCCACTTGTAGGGCTATTCTGAGAACCAGGGGGCATAACAGGGATGGAAGAACTTTATAAAGTCTCAGAGTTTATTCAAATATAGTATGTGACCATCATTATTATTGTTAAAAAGAGTCATATACCAATTAGAACCTTTACCAATGTTGAAAAACCAGTTTCCCCCACATTAAAAAAATCTCTATGACTATTCCTGGCTCTCTTATTTAACAAAACTCAGGATTTACACTTTAAAAATACAAACAAATGCAAACCACATAGTTAAATTTGGTTACTTGCCTTTTTGTTATTGCAAAGTTGACTTATTAGTCAAAACAATGATTATACTTGAGACAATCAAGGATTTCCAGGCTCTTTCCTATGTTATCTTAACAATGTTCATTTACAGGAAAGAATTTTTTTTGAAATTGCACTTGCCCAAAAAGCAAGTATTACCTAAAAAAGAGACATGTTTTCCTAAACATTTTCGATTGTCTTGACAGCTCGAATGTCACTTTCCCTACAAACCCACATCCCCTTTGTTTTAATGATGAATGTGTTCTAAAGAAAACCACTGCTGGAAAGGGCTAAAATTGGTGTTTGATTTCGCTGTAATGATGCATCACTGTTTTCCAAACTGTTACACTCAGCTGACGGAGGAAACTGTGAAGGAACTGGAAAGTTTCTAAAGCATTCACAAAATACGGGGACATTTTCTCTAGTAGCCAAATGTTAAAGAGCTGTTACGAAGAACAGTGTTTGAAATGAAGCCATGCTGCTCCCTGCAGAAAAGCAGCATACTTTGGCCCAAGTAATAACAAAATGATATCAGAAGTACCTCATGAGAGAAAGAGTGTAAGAGACTTACCAAGGTCATTCACAAAATCCAAATAGATGGGTCAAGGTCATTTGCAAAACCCAAAGAGATTAATTTTCCCCAGGACACCTATTGCTGCTCTTCTCCCTTGTGTCTGCAAAGCGAGGGAGACCACAGCTCTAGCTCTGGTTTTGCACTTGAACGCTGTATCGTGTGAGCAAATTAGTTATCCTCTTCTGGGCCTCAGTTTTCTTATCTTTATTTTGAAATTATAATTTCTGCCCTACATACCTTACATTATTGCCTTGAGGATCCAGCGAGGTTATGGGGGAAAATCGCATCTTAGACGCCATCCACATTGTTTAAGTTCCAAAATGGTGCCCTTTCCTTCCACACTCCCTTCTATCTTCCCTTGCAATTTCCTTTGCAGACATTCCTCCTTTCCCAGGCATTCCTCTCTTCTTACCTGCCACCCACTCAGCTCTACCCAAGTCTTTCACCTCTTGGCCCCAACACCATTGCCTCATGGAAGACTTAGAAACCTGCCCAGAATGCTCTGCGGGAGCTGAGTGCCCGGCCCTCACTTTAAGCTTGCCTTGCACTGAGTGAGCTGTCTGTGTGCATGATGCCTCCACCAGATATAACATCTTCCATGGATACATCTGCTTGTTCTGCTTTGTGTCTCTAGTTCCCAACACAATGCCTGGAATGTAGGTACTCATTTGCCATGGACCCTGGTGGACTGAACAAAGGAGGACGAATGTAGGAATAAAGACAAAAGCATATACTTGGAAAAAGGGGTCAGGTGGCTCCTTGCTTCTAGCGAACAAGGGCCCTGAGTTTCTAGAGCCCTTCTTATTTATTGAGTAAAGGAGATAGGGAGTAGGGGGTGGTTGTTGGTCAGCTGCTTGATTTAGTGCAGGCCTGCATGACTGCCTTCTTAGAACAGTAGACTCCAGATGTTCCAGTAGATAATCTCAAGGAGCACGGCGGCAGGGAGTGATTGCCCTCAGCATACCTTCTGGCGGCAGGTGCAGATGTGAGTTTGCCCACATCCTGCACTCATGATCAGCAGTTTGCTGTTTGATCATTTAGCCTCCAGTGGAATGCTGAGTTGGTCACAACCCTCAGGCTTTTGGCTCCCAACACTCAGATATGGTTGGAAGAATGAATGAATAAATGAAGGAATGGATCAATAAGTTGACCGTTATGGATTGGATGGCATAATGAATGAACATATGAACACATGAAGGGATGGATAAATAAGTTGACTAACTGTTATGGGTTGAATGGAAGAATGAATGAATGTATGAGCAAATGAAGGAATGGTTGACTAAGTTTACTAACTGTTATGGGTTGAATTGTGTCCCCTGACAAAGTCATATGTTGAAATCCTAACCCCAAGTAACTCAGAATATGACCTTATTTGGAGATAGGGTATTTACAGATGTAATCAAGTTAAAATGAAGCCAACAGAGTAGGCCCTAATTACCTTAGAAAGTCCTTACAAGGAGAGGAAATTTGGACACAGACACACAGAGAGAGAAGACAATGTGAAGACTCAGGGAGAAGACAGCCATCTACAAGCCAGGAAGAGAGGCCTGAAACAATAGCTCCTGGAAGACAAGCAGCACATCTGCATGTCTGTTCTCATAATAGATGCTCCAGTGACTTGAATCAACAACTGGATGGACAAACAAATGAAGAGATGAGTAGAGAAAACCACTGCTGAATCAAAAAATGACTTTATTAGTTACTTGAATATTTTATGAATTCCCAGCGCAGGGCTGTCAAAATGGGAGATGGTTTTCTGTTCGTTGCTCATGAAACACCAGCTCGTGGCAGGATCTTTCACAAAAGTATTCTTCTTGGTGACCAGGCTGGCAGCCTTCTAACCTGGAGACATGAAAGCCTGAATGAGCCATGTTATGATGCTGCCTTGGCCCCGGTCCTAACTGACTTACATGCTTTAGAAGAAGAGAGAACAAAAGGATCTGATGAAATGTCAGAACTGGGAGGAAACTGGGGTCATGTATTCCAGCCTGCTCATTTTACAGATGGGAAAACTGAGATTGTTCCAGGGGAATGGGATTCCCTCAGCCTTCCAGCAAGTTTGGAATGGATCTGGGACTGGAATCTGAGTCACCCAATGCTTCTTGCTCAGTCTTCTACCCACCAGAAGAAGGTGTCTTCCCCTTTTTCTTATGCATTCCACATTCTTTATGTTTGAATGCTAGACATCAGTGTCGAACCCACATAGCCTTCTTTGTTCACCTACTCCTTCTCTTCTTCTTTAGGAAATAGCTATAATCACCCCCATTTTACAGATGAGAATACTGAGCCCCAGAAAGGCTAAGTAACTTAGCAGGGCTACAAGATGAATGTCCAGCAGAACGAGGATTTTATCTTGGCCATGTCACTCCAAAACTTTTTAGCATGCAACACTTTTTCTTAATGAATCTTTATCCTTAAGCCTTAGCTATTCTTTCCCAATTATGTATAACATAGTTTTAAATATCCACTTGGTTGGATATAATACATTTTTCATGGCGAGCCACCACAGATATGACAGTCCCCCAAGAAATTTGTAGTAAGATTTAGTGGATTTCAAAGGCCTTACTTGCCCTTGGAAGGTTGCTACCAAATGGAAATGAGTGAGCAGATAATCTAGACATGGCAGATAGCAGGGTTGACACACAGTGATTGCCTGAAAGAATCTTAAATGATTTTTAGATAATGGACTTAAAGGTGGTGCTCTCTGATTAGTGGAAATCCAGACTCTATCTCTTATCCTATCTGGATTTGCATTGCTTATTTTCCTTCATCCACGGACAAGCTTTTTAATAGGATCATTGAAATCTCTATTTTTTTTTTTTTTTGAGACAGAGTTTTGCTCTTGTTTCCCAGGCTGGAGTGCAGTGGCATGATTTCAGCTCACTGCAACCTCCACCTCCAGGGTTCAAGCTATTCTCCTGCCTCAGCCTCCCAAGTAGCTGAGATTACAGGCATGCACCATCACACCCGGCTAATTTTTGTATTTTTAGTAGAGAAGGGGTTTCACCATGTTGGTCAGGCTGGTCTCGAACCCCTGACCTCAGGTGATCCTCCCACCCCAGCCTCCCAATTTGTGTCTCTAGTTCCCAGCACAATGCCTGGAATGTAGGTACTCAATTGCCACAGACCCTGGTGGACTGAACAAAGGAGGACGAACATGGGCATAAAGAAAAAGACAAAAGAGTATATTTGGAAAAAGGGGTCAGGAGGCTCCTTGCTTCTAGTGAACAAGGGCCCTGAGCTTCTAGAACCGTTCTTATTTATTGAGTAAAGTAAATAGGGAGTAGCGGGTGGTTGTCGGTCAGCTGTTTGAAATCTGGAAATACAGACATGAGCCACCGTGCCCGGCCAAAAACTCTATATTTTACTGTGGTGGTGGTCTCCAGGAACTTTAGGAAGGCAGATAGAGCTTTTTACTCCTCTCTGGACCCCATCACCTGGCACAATATCTGCTCCCTGGAAGGTATACCACAAATATCTATGAAATAGTCAATGTACTTTTCATTTTGGAACCACTGAAATTTTAGAAATAATACTCTCTTCTGATTATTGCTCATGTACACCCTCTGGGCTGGCATTGAACCTCCTTCCCCTTTCCCCTTTCCCTTTCCAACCTGCCCTACACATAGGATTCCCAGCAAGCCACAACCCACATGCTTACTAGCAGATTAAAAAAAAAAATCCTCCTCCTGTTTGTGTGTGCCTGTTTTGCACTGGTTTCTGTGCTAAGTCTAGGGAAACACACTAGGTTTCGCCTTCCAGGAGCACCCATCCTAATGGGAGACTTGAACAAATAACTGTGATGGGATAAAGACAAAGACAAGTGTTAAATGAGGCACTGGTGATGAGCAGGGCAGAGAAGGAAGAGTGATTGATTCTGCCTGGAGGGATCAGGGGAGGGTTCATGGAGAAGACAGATTTTTTTTTTTTTAAAAATTATTACATAAATGGATCTGAGCAGCTGACATCCCAAGTTCCCATGCTACTCAAGAAACTCAGAAATAGAGTTCACTGTTTCCAATTCTGGCTGTTTAGGCTGCTGACTCAGATTCAGATTCATAGCTTTGAGGAGAAGAGTCTAAAAAATAATTAGAGATACAAATCTTCATGACAATTTCCTGTTATTAGGAAAGTGATTGCAGGTCATTTGAAAATATTGCCTAATCTCATTACTTCCAGTTTCCCATACTCCTGTGTGAAATATTTTTAAGCCCATATTTGTGTTGAAATTAATAGAAAAAGTATCACCCTATTTTATTGTGATCTCAGTAGTTAACTTCATGGCAAACAAAAGATTATAGATGAAAAATCTTTGAATTGGTGACTATGAATTTATTCTTTAACAACTCACAAAGTCATAGACTAAAGCCAGATTGTATATCAAGGGCCTTAAAATGTTCACACTTGTTGACTTAGAAATTTCACTTCTAGGAATTTGCACCAAAGACATAATCCAAAATTATGAGAAAGATTTTTTTGCACAAATAGGTTCATCCAAGCAGTGACAAATTAGAAACAATGTAAATATGGGTTAGCTTGAGGGATTGTCATTCTGTCATTAAAGATGATGTCTATAGGTAAACTTGGTGATATGGCAAAAATGCTTATAATAAAATGTTAAATGGCTGGGTGCAGTGGCTCATGCCTGTAATCCTAGCACTTTGGGAGGCTGAGACAGGCAGATTGTCTGAGCTCAGGAGTTCAAGGCCAGCCTGGGCAACATGGTGAAACCTCGTCTCTACTAAAAATACAAAAAATTAGCCAGGCTTGATGATGTGTGCCTGTAATCCCAGCTACTCAGGAGGCTGAGGCATGAGAATAGCTTGAACCCTGGAGATGGAGGTTGCAGTGAGCCGAGTTCGTGCCATCTCACTCCAGCCTGGGTGACGAAGCAAGACTCTGTCTCAAAAAAAAAAAAAAAGTTAAATGTAAAATCAGGTTTTAAAATTGTATGTATAGTGTGACTTCAGCTATGTGAAAATATTATGTGCATCCAAGAGGAGTGGAAAGGGATTTATCAAAATACTAAAAGTGATAATTTCTGGATAGTGAGATTACATATGAGAGTTTTGTTCTCTTGCCTATATAGTTCTATATTTTTCATTTTCATGTCTTCTACAGAGAGATATAATATTACAATATTAGAACCAGTGATATTACAGAGAACCCCCGCAACTTGGATCACCACTAGTGAGCAATGTACAGCATAGGCCAGCACGTTCTGAGGGCCTGGGGAACAATCCAGAAAGTTAGCTGAGCTTTTCAAAGTGAAAGAACATGACAAAACAAACTTGGATTTGTTTGTGTCCATATCTGTGGGTCCAAAATGGCAAAAGGAGCATCGACGTCCATACATGAGTCAATACTGGCAACTAGACGCTGGTGGCCTCATGGTTTCATGAGCTCAGGTTATTCACGGCTGGACCCAGATAGCACGAAGGTTATCTGTGGGGACTAACACCTGTTGCCTTGGTAGAAAAAGGAAACAAGGGCATGGCAGGGGCCAGTCAAACGGGCAGGGATCCTGGTCAGGTTGTCTCCCTTGTGGAAAACAAGGTACCGACCAGGAACAAGGGCAGAAGCCCAGTTGGAAGAAATTGACCTGGCTCCATGAGGATGGGGTCGGTAGCTACTAGAGCCTGAGGTTTCTCTTATGTGTGAGGATTCCAGACTTAAATCAGAAGGAACACCACCAGGGCAAAGGCGATTGTTGGGCCTGGACTGGCTCAAGGCTCCAACAGGGCTGAATCCGCTGGTGTGGCTCCAGATGGGCCACACATTAAACATGTAGGAATGTATTGGGCTGGGCGTGGTGGCTCACGCCTGTAATCCCAGCACTTTTGGAGGCCGAGGCGGGCAGATCACGAGGTCAAGAGATTGACACCATACTGGCTAATACGGTGAAACCCTGTCTCTACTAAAAATACAAAAATTAGCTGGGCGTGGTGGTGCGTGCCTATAGTCCTAGCTACTCAGGAGGCTGAGGCAGGAGAATGGCTTGAACCCGGGAGGCGGAGGTTGCAGTGAGCCAAGATCGTGCCACTGCATGCCAGCCTGGCGATAGAGCGAGACTCCGTCTCAAAAAAAAAAAAAAAAGAATGTATCAAAGCCACACAGTTGCAGATGTCCCTTGGATGATCATTATGAAATGTGGAAATAGTTTTAGTTGTTAGTATTTTCTCCAAATGCTGTTCCCCCAAGAGAACTCTGTCATGAATATGGGAATTAACGCGGTTTATGTTTCATGGACAGGCTTAGCCCGGGCATGAAGCTGAGTTGGCTTGTATATTTAACCCACGTTGTATTTGGTATCCCTGAGCTGAGCTGGAAAACCCTGCAAACTCCCAGCTATAAAATAACAAGATAAATGTCACTCCATTCAAAGCACAGAAGAAAAGATACACCTCAATATTTTCTTTCAATACTTTACATTTACCTAATCCTTTTAATTGTACCATCCGATTTGCTTTTACTGACAGATTCACGAAGTATAGACGTGGCAGAACCAGAGAGGTTGGTGACTGCCTTATACCAGCCACTGGGCGCCTATGGGATATCTGTGTGTGTAAAATGAGTGTTTAAAACATTTTATAAAAAATAATGTGCATAAAAATAAATACATGTAATCTCATATTCATACGTTACATGTATATATTTATATAAAATCTCACCTAATCTTCACAACAACCTTACAAGGGAGGTATTACCTTCATTTTAAGGATAAGAAAACAGAAGATCTGAAGAGTTAAGTGAACTTGCCCAAGTCACACAGCATCTCAGTGACAGAGTTGGGATGTGAACCCAGTTTTGAGTTTAAAACAGGTGCTGCTTTTACCAGTGCCATCCAGCTTTGCCATACATATGATAGGTACTTTTCAGCCAAGCCCTGGGGACTGCCAAAGATTTAGCTAAGTGTTCTTCCCATGCCCTCAGAATTTCTGTGTTCTAAAAAACCCAAGAGCAAAAAGCAGTACGGCAGGATGGAAAGAGTGGGACTCGGGCTCCAATCCTGACTCTCCTATTTGTTGTGATGCTGGGCAAGCTCCTCTCTTTAATCTTTAGTTTTTCTGTCTGTAAAATAGGGAGCCTGTTGCATTGCAGGCGTGGTATGAGGATTAGAGGATCTATGTGAAATACAGTGCAGTTTCAGGTACATTGCAGGCCTCTGAGAGTTGGCCCATTGTGACTATTACCTTTGGACCGAGGCCATCAGAGAATGTGTCTGAACTTCTGGATAAGGAAATGTGGTTACAGTAGTCATAGGAAAGCCCCCAAGCAGCTGGGCTCATTTGAGATAAGAGTCCCAGGGGTAGATGATATAGTCTATAGTGTAGAACCTGCAGATATCCCCCATCTGATAACCTGTGACTCTGTGAGAGAGAGAAAATGCTTGCTGAATGTCAGAGCAGAAAAGGCTCTAGAGTTTCCCAACACGTGTTACAATGACGAACTAGAAGTCCACAGAGAATGGCATGGCTGACCATTCCTGTGGCCACTGACCATTCCTGTGGCCCTGGGTCTGCTGTTTAACTCCCATCTGCGTCAGAAAAGAAGCATCTGGACTCCACTAAAAACACATAAATGGAGGGCTTGCTGATGACTTACTCAAACTCAGTACAGGCACGAAAAAGGAGAGTGAGATAAACCCGTCAACATCCCATTAAGGACCTTTAAAAAAAAAAACAACTCGGTAGAAACTCCAGGCTAAACAGATCAAGCATAAACCCAGCTGCACACAATTAAAGACACACTAAGCCTAAAGTGGGACACAGGGAATTGAAACAGTCTGTGAGAAACATCTTTTTCTCCAAGGTTCCTAACTACTCTGGTTTAGCTAATGCTTAGAGGGAAATGCCTCGCACAGAACAATGGAAAAAGTAAGAACTCAGGAGTCAGGCAGACTTTTATTCAAAACCACCTCCATCATGGCACACCTGTGCACTCTGGTAACTTAAAAGGATGTTCTTAAAGAATAGTGAAGTCCAGGAAAATATGTTCATCATAGTTTGGGTGGAGGAAAAAGCTTTCAAAATAACAAATACGGAGGATCTATTTTATATAGATAAGGAAGGATAGGCACCAAAGTGTTCACTGGTTGCTTCTGGGCTGTAGGATGAGAAATGGTTTTTATTTTCATCTTGATTGCCCATGGTTTTATTTTTTCTTTATAGAGGATATATATTATTTTTATAAAGAGAGAAAAGCAATGAAAGTAATTTTTGTGTGATCACACAATAGATCTTCTGTGTCTAACAATATTACAGATTAGATATCTGAAGAAACTCCCCAGTACATGCTGGCTAAAAAATAAATAAATAAAAAATAAAAAATTTAATGTAGGAATGTGCTGGCAGGAAAGTACAAAAAAATTATCAGAAGCCAGAAGCAATGAGAAAACACAAAGTAATGAGGAAACACAGCTTCAGAGGGAGTGAACAGGTGTTGAAACTGGGGTTTCCGTGCAAGCATCTGACAATCCCTTGTGGCCTAGACCTTGGGGCCACATGGAGACAAGAAACAAAGTCTAGAGACCCAACAATGAGGGAAATTAGATTGGAAACTCCCACATAAAACCAGGACCACTGAAAGATCACATTCTCAGCGAGTGAACCAGGAAAAACCCATCCCGCAGGGCAATATAGGGATACTTACCAGTGTTGGCCTTGGTTCTCGGGGGAGGGAAAGACAGTGTCTTCTTTAAGAGCCATAAGCCCAATCTCACAAGAGTTTGGAGTTGGAATTCACATTATCTGTGTGACTTGAAAAACAGAATACTTATAATTTAGTTCAAAGCTGTTCTAAGTTGTTGGTGTTCCCAGACACATGACAGAAGCAAACACAGTTCTTCTCTGACAAAATGAACTTTAAGCCTGGAACACTAAGAATTCCTACCAATGAAGATCCAAAGGGTAGTCTTAGCCAGAGCAATCAGGCAAGAAAAAAAAGTAAAAGGCATCCAAATAGGCAAAGAAGAAGTCAAACTATTTCTCTCCACCGATGATGTGATTCTATACCTAGAAAACCCTAAAGACTCTGCTAAAAGGCTACTAAGAACTGATAAACAATTTTAGTAAAGTTTCAGGATACTAAATCAGTATACAAAAATCAGTAGTATTTTCTATACACCAATAATATCCTGGCTGAGAGTCAAATCAAGAGCACAATCCCATTTACAGTAGCCACAAAGAGGTTGAAATACCAGGCAGGGTGTGGTGGCTCACTCCTGTAATCCCAGCACTTTGGGAGGCTAAGGTGGGAGGATCTCTTGAGTCCAGGAGTTCAAGACCAGCCTGGGCAACATGGTGAGACCCCATCTCTATACACCTGTAGTCTCAGCTACTCAGGAGGCTGAGGCGGGAGGACCACTTGAGTCCAGGAGGTTGAGGCTGCAGTGAGCCGTGATAGTACCACTGCACTCCAGTCTGGGCAACAGAGTGAGACCCTATCTCAAAAATAAATAAGCAAATAAAAATAAAATAGGAACTCAGTGGGTTTAATGGCAGATTAGACTCACTTAAAAATAAATTAGAGACCTGATAAACAACTGAAAGATACATTTGAAGAAATTAGTCAGAATTTAGCACAAACAAATAATGAGATGGGAAACACAATGGAAGAATTTTAAGAATGTAGGATAGAATAAGAAGGTCATACATCCAATGGGAGTTCCAGAAGGAGATAATAGAAAGAAGGTAGAGAGTTGATATTCAAAGACGTTAAGGCTGAGAATTTTCCAATGAGAATAGAAACGAAAGACATCAATGATCTTTGACAGGAAGCCCACTGAATTTCAAGCAAAATAAAAAGAAATCCACGGGTAGATATACTGTGAAACTGCTAAATAACAAAGACAAAGAAAAGATCATAAAAGCTACCAGAGATACAAGGCAGATTATGTGCTAACACACAGTGGTAATTAAGACTGACAGCTGACTTCGCAACAGTAACAATGCAATTCACAAGTCAGTGAAATCTGTTTGAGTGCTCAGAGAAAATAACTGAAAACTTAGAATTATGTACTCTATGAACCTGTCTTTCAAGAGAAGAGGCAAAATAAAGACGCTTGAGAACTAGGAGCAACAGACCCTCACTAAAGGCAAGATGCTCTAGTTAAATGCTAAATTTAGGTCCAGAGGCCATTGGGACTATTAGGAGACACCCTTGTGTGATGTGGAGAGTGTAATAAACACAGGCATTAGAGAGGCTGTCCTGGTTTCAAATCTCACTTACTAGGCATAAGTACTTTTTGAGCCATTCTTGTCACTCATTGGCTACTGTTTCTTCCTCCATAAAGTGGGGGAAATAGTGTCTACTGCATAGGGTTATTGACAGAGTTAAATAAGATACAATGTAAAACTCCTAAGAGACATTTGGAAGGGTAATTTTTAAATTTAGTCATTCAACATGTGTTTACCAAGCATGTGATATGCACGTGGCACTGTCTTTAGTCACTGGGAATGTAGCAGAGAATGAAACAGACAAAAACCCAAATGTCATGGAGCTTACGTTCTAGTGGTGGTGGGATAGAAGAAGGGAGAAAATGGAGGAAAAAATTAATTAAAATATAGGGTGGGCCTGGCAAGGTATCTCATGCTTGTAATCTCAGCACTTTGGGAGACTGAGGCAGGAGGATTGCTTGAGGCCAGGAGTTCAAGACCAGCCTGGGCAACATAGCAAGACCCTGTCTCTACAAAAAATAAAAATAAATTAGCTGGGCATGGTGGTGCACCTGTAGTCCCAACCACTTGGGAGGCTGAGGCAGGAGGATCTTTTGAGCCCAGGCATTCAAGGCCGCAGTGAGCTTTAATTGTGCCACTGCACTCCAGCTTGGGTGAAAGACTGAGACTCTGTCTCTAAATGTGTGTGTGTGTGTATATATATATATATATATATATATGTATATATATATACACACACACATACACACACACACAGAGTGAATTAATAGGTGATAAGTATTAAGACAGAAAAAATAAAGCAGAGAAGTGCATAAAGAGTGTTTAGGGCAGGGCTTATTGAGAAGGCGGTGTTGAGTAAACACGCAGAGGATAGAGGGAGCAAGCTGAGGGAGGAAGAGCTCTCCAGGCAGGGCAGCCATCAAGTGCAGAGGCCTTGAGACGGAGTTGTGCCTGGCAAGTTCAAGGAGCTGCAAGGTGGCCAGCAGAGCTGGAGCAGAGGGGCCCAGGGAGGAGGTGATGTAAGCAGCTCATTGACACAGCATGGCCCCTGACAGGGGCTCAGGTCTGATGAGCACAGGGGCTGATGGAGCAGGAGAGGGCCCCTCTGCAATGCCAAGATTTCCCGAGTTATCAGGAGCCAGGCAAAGAAGAAGGGCACCCAGCAACAGAAGCAGGCATGAGGACAAGGAGAGGGTGCTTATGGCTCCTTCCCTGCCCAGCAGCTGGCCAGACATGCATCTCACCACATTCCTCAGCTGCACACGTGGATGTGTTGCGTGAAGTCTAAACCATGTATGTGGCTGTAGTCTTAGCCACTCAGGAGGCTGAGGCAAGAGGATCGCTTGATCCCAGAGGTTTGAGGCTGCAGTGAGTGGTGATCATGCTGCTGCACTGATGGAGATGGCCAGAATGACCTGCTCCCATTAAGTGCCATGCCCAGGGAGCCCACCGTGCCTGGCCCATCGGTGGACACACGGCCATCAAGCACTTGACCTTGGGTTGCTCTGTGGTGGGAGCGTTAGGACCCTGCATTGCCAGAGCCCCCACACTGGCAGCCATTTTGCCTTCCAGGCCTGGCCCTGCCCCACCCTCTCAGGCCTGTCATTCCCTTGGGCCTATGGTTTCCTGTCCTGGCTCCCTGTTCCACTTCAGCCACCTCTGCTATCCCTATTGCAGCCAGTGGGGTTACCCCATCTGCCTGAAGCCCCCACATCCCCTTTTCAGGGCCAAAGAGGCAGCAGCAGTGCCTCCTGGCCCCTCACTTGAGAACAGGGCTCCCCAGCCTCCTTTTTCCCAAGCACCGTCTCTCCCTTTCTAGCGTCCCAGCTTTTCTCTCTGTGGGGGTGGGGGTGGTGACAGCAGGTTTTAAGAATGGAAGAATGGAGCCGGACATGGTGGCTCATGCCTGTAATCCCAGCACTTTGGCAGGCTGAGGCAGGTCACTTGAGGTCAGGAGCTCAAGACCAGCCTGGCCAACATGGTGAAACCCTGTCTCTACTTAAACAAACAAACAAGCCAGGTGTGGTGGCAGGTGCCTGTAGTCCCAGCTACTCGGGAGGCTGAGGCATGAGAGTTGCTTGAACCAAGGAGGCAGAGATTGCAGTGAGCTGAGATTGCATCACTGCACTCCAGCCTGGGTGACAGAGCTAGGCTCCATCTCAAAAAAAAAAAAAGAATAGAAGAAAGAGAGGGAAGGGAAGGAGAGGAGAAAAGAGAAGGGAGAAAGGGAGAAGAAGGAAAAACATCCATTTGATGGGGAGAAATGCAGTGAAATGAGGGAAAACACAGCAGCAGAGGCTGTGCCCGGTACAGTCAGGACCAAGGGGAAACTGAGTACCCAGGGATGCATCAGAATGGAGACATGGGCAGAGAAAGCTTCCCTGAGGAGGTGGCCTTTAAGGGCTCTCCTGCAATTGAGAACACCCTCCCGGGGCAGTTGGAGACTTCGCGCGCGCGTGTGTGTGTGTGTGTGTGTGTGCCTGGAGGGAAATGCCTGGGAAGGTGGGCTTGTGGGATGCGGGGTAGCCAAGAGTCGACATTCAGCAGGGACTTGCAGAGTGGGCTGGAATCCTGGTGAGAAGGGAAAATTAGATCAATCTGGAGTCATCGCAGAGATGATGGCCGGAGCACTGATGAGGCTGAGTATCTGGAGAGAAGAGAGAGAAAAATGAGCCGAAGCCAGGGCCTGAAGAATGACCGCAGCCCCCAGAAGAGGCAACAACGAAGAGCGGCTCAGGCTGCTCAGGTTTGAGCCTCAGTTCTACCGCGTGCTAGCTGTGTGATCTCGAGTGAGGTGCTTAACCTCTCTGGGCCTGTGTCCTGCCTGGCAGGCTTGTTATGAGGTCTAAAAGCACCCAGTGGATATCCGCTGTGGAAAACCAGTATGGTTTTATTTTTTCATAACTGGAAAAAAACTACTGCAAGCACATAGCCTCTGTGTGGGGGTGAGCCATGCCTTCTCTCACAAAGGTCCCCCTTTTGATCTTTTCCTGTGTGTGCATGGCTGGCTGGCTGACATTCTTAGTCATTCAGGTTTCCTTAATAAGTCTATTGACTGCTAGACTGTTAGGTCAAACGCAAATTAATGTGGCCTGAATCAAATTTGTGGAATAGGTGATTGGTTGACACTGACTTTGCAGAGCCAGTTTGGGAAGCGGTCATAAGGAAAAGACCTACAGCTGACTCGAGGCGTGGTCTGTAGTGCGCGGCTGGTTCGTGCCTCGGATCCCTGTACGCGTTTTTCTTTTGGCGTGGGATGGCCATGACACCCACAAACAGATCCCCATTCCCAGGCTAGCCGCAGCATCGTTTCCGAAATGATCTCGGCTGGAACAGCCTGTTCCTCTTGCGGCGGGTGAAGGAGGTGCTTCCTCCCGCCTCAGGGCCAGGGTCTGCGTAGTCATCCCTGCCGCCCCGCCGCCAGGACCCCGCACTGAAGTTCAGGCACCTGCAGATGGCCTCCTGCACGCCCATCTATGCAACCTCGGACCCAGAAGTGTGAGTCCTGACTTATGTCCCGACCCGGGAGAAGTGTGAGTTCCGAATCATGTCCCGATTTCCAGGAGAAAGAGGGCCTTGGAGTCGAGACATGAGAGGGAAGAGGTAGGAGAGAAAGTGACACCGAAGAGGTTGGGCACCAAGACTGTGTGTGAGATGGGAGAGCTGAGGGCAGCAGCTGGGGCTGTGGAACTGACCTCCAGGAGTGTTAAGAGGAAGATGACTAAAAGTGAAGGGCTGAGGGGTGGGTTCCTGGCCCACAGTTGGGAACTCTAGGCTAAAGCCACCTAGCCCCGGAAAGGGGAGCCCGTGTTGGGCGCCGTAAGAAATGTGTCTATTCTTTCTAGATTAATCTGCTGCGCTGGACCAAGGTGGAACCATTCCCAGCATTCCGTGTCTTGGGTGGGAGCCAGAGGCAGAATTTAACGGCTCCTGCTTACTCAGTTAGAGATAACAGAACCTGTAGATGGCGGAGCACACACACTCAAAAACACACACAAACACACACAACCAAACGGGCACACACAGATACAATGACACACAGCCACACAAATGTACACAACCACACATTCATACACACACACAACCACACATACACACTCACACAAAACACCCACCACAGACACACACCCACACCCACACACCCACACCCACACAAACACACCCACACAGACACACCCACACATCCACACAAAGGGACACACACAGATACAATGACACACAGTCACACAAACCCACACAACACATTCATACACACAACCACACATACACACATACACAAACACACAAAACACCCGCACATCCACAGACACACACACACCCACACACTAACACAAAACAATAACACACAACCACACGGACGCACACAGATACAATCACACACAGTCACACAAACCCACACAATCACACATTCACACAGACACACATAAACACACACAACCACACATACACACACACTCATAAGCACACATGACCACATGTTCACACAGACACACATACACAACCACACACAGTCACACAAACACACAACCACACAGACACACACATATGTACAACGAAACACACAGTCACAGTCACAGTCATACAAACACAAAACTACACACAACCACACACACTAACACTCATACAACCACACATTTACACAACCACACAAACGTGCACAGACACACACGCAGCGCACACTCATGCACACACAGTCACACAAACACACAATCATACAACCGCACATCACACAATACACACACACGCACACAGCCACACAAACACAACTCTGTGCACACACTCACATACACAAACACAGCTACACAAACACACACAAACATAGCTCACACAGACACACACACACAAATGAGGTTCATTGTGAACATTATCTGCAGCAAAGCAAAACGTTCCAGACATCTTTTCAAGATGAAAGAGAGAAGGATTCTGAAAACTCTGTAGGGAGTGAAGTGTGGAAGCTCATTGTTACTACATTTAAGACATGTAAGATAAAGATATATCTTTATTTAGTCCCCTGTCTTTATCTTTTCATTTAAACGAGCATAGGACGTGGCTAAAAAGGCTTTAATCAGTTTATTCCTGTCGTTGGTCCCACCTCCCCTGACCCCCGCTGACTTTTCTTCTCAACCATGAATTCTCCCATCTTAACGTTTTTAGGGATTGGACCTTGAGGGTCCAATTTTTTAACCCTTTTTTAAAAAAATTATACTTTAAGTTCTGGGATACACGTGCAGAAGGTGCAGGTTTGTTACATAGGTATACAATGTGCCATGGTGGTTTGCTGCACCCATCAACCTGTCATCTACATTAGGTATTTCTCCTAATGCTATCCCTCCCCTAGTCCCCACCCCCCGACAGGCCCTGGTGTGTGATGTTCCCCTCCTTGTGTCCATGTGTTCTCATTGTTTCAACTCCCACTTATGAGTGAGAACTTGTGGTGTTTGATTTTCTGTTCCTGTGTTAGTTTGCTGAGAATGATGGTTTCCAGCTTCATCCATGTCTCTGCAAAGGACATGAACTCTTCCCTTTTTTATGGCTGCATAGTATTCCATGGTGTATATGTGCAACATTTTCTTTATCCAGTCTATCATTGATGGGAATTTGGGTTGGTTCCAAGTCTTTGCTATTGTGACTAGTGCTGCAATAAACATATGTGGTGTGCATGTGTCTTTATAGTAGAATGATTTATAATCCTTCGGGTATATACCCAGTAATGGGATTGCTGGATCAAATGGCATTTCTGGTTCCAGATCCCTGAGGAATTGCCACACTTTCTTCCACAATGGTTGAACTAATTTACACTCCCACCAACAGTGTAAAAGCGTTTCTATTTCTCCAGAAAGGTTTCTGTGTCTCCATCTCAGCACTTCCTACATCCTGGTATAAGTCTCTTCTTTTAGGGGTCTCCTGCACCAGGCTGTAGGCTCCTTGCAGGCAGGGACACTGTCTCATTTATTTTATAGACCCCGTGCCCAGTGCTTGGCATATAGGAGAGAGATGTCACATGTTTATCTGCTTGGTACCAACATGAAGACACTTAGTACCCATGGCTTTGCTCAAACATTTGGTGAAACGTGGAATCCAGGTGCTCATTACTTCCTCCCCACAGGTGTGGCTCGTGGTGGCCCAGCCCCTTAGAGCTTTGGAGGCCATCCTGCAGCTGCTCTTCAGATGATACTTACATTTTTCTCATGCAAAACAGCTTGCAAAGAATAGTTCATTGTGCTTTCTGATTTCAGCTTTCCAGATATCTGTATGCACAGAAAACAGATTCCCTCCAGTTTCTGACAGAATGTCTCCATCTAAGCTTAAGCTTTCAAAGCTTTCCATCCTTGGGTACTGCCCATTGAGTAGACGTAAGTGGGATAATCTTTGTCTCCCTTACCTACAGCTCTCTGTGGGGTGTGGTCCAGCAGATACAGGCAGAGGAATGGGATAGCAGACGTAGAGGTAATTAAACTATCCCCAGTTCTTCCTTGTTAAGTGGGAAGGAACATCGCAGAGTGGGGAAAGGACATGTTTTGATAACAGAAAGACTTGATATGAGTCCCTCTCCCGCCATAGACCTGCTGTGGGACACTGGGCAAATTATTCATCTTCTCTGAGCCTCAGGTTTCTCATCTGTAAAATGGGGATAATAGTACCTAACTCAGAGGATTGTTGTAGAAGTTAGAGGTAATTTTTTGTAAAATCATGGTCACAACTATGTTAAATCTCACATGGCCCCCCTCACACACACACACACACACATATGCATGCATGGAGAAGGCTAGAGAGACAGACAGAGAAGAAATTCTGGAAATAAAACACCAACATGTTAACAATGGTCGTAGGTACGTAATGGAATAAACTGTGATTTTTTTCCCTCTTTGTCTGCTTTTTGGTATATTTAACTATTTTTTTTACATGAACATATATTGACTTTATAATTAGGAAAATAGGAAATAAACTTAAAGGCATAAAATAGGAAAAAGAAATAATATGCATTAAGTATCAGGCATAAGTTGGCACTCGGTAAATGGTAGCTATTTTTACTAATTAGTTATTATGCCTAATAATAATACTTAGAACTAATGATTTCCTCTGGGACCATAGGTTGTGAATTAGTCTGTAGGTGGTGGTTGATGACTCAGAGCTCCCTTCCCAGTGAGGGGGAGTTCTGGGCTCACTTCCAACTGGGGCCCCCTTCACGGCCTTCCTGATCCTTCTGCAACCCCCTGACTGCCAGACCTGACACTGCTCCCACAGCGGCCTCCTTCCCCACTCAAAACAGTCCAGCAACAGTACTGCCAGTGGCCACGACAAAGGGGACCTCACTTCTGGGCAGGCAGAGGTATTTTCCAGGGAGGAGCTTCTCTTCCATGGAGAATGTGGCGGGACATTGCCATCCCTCTGTGGATGGCAGGTCATTCATTCAGGGGGACAGTAAGAGTAAAATTTCTTCTGTTTGGGTTGCAGAAAAGGTTCTTGATATGGTTTGGCTCTGTGTCCCCACCCAAATCTCATCTTGAATTGTAGCTCCCATAATTCCCACGTGTTGTGGGAGAGACCCGGTGGGAGATAATTGAATAATGGAGGCGGTTTCCCCCATACAGTTCTTGTGGTAGTGAATAAGTTTCACGAAATCTGATGGTTTTATAAGGGGAAACCCCTTTCATTTGACTCTCATTCTCTCTTGCCACCACTTAAGAAGTGCCTTTTGCCTTCCGCCATGATTGTGAGCACCCCCCCATGTGGAATTGTGAGTCCATTAAACCTATTTTTCCTCTCAGTCTTAGGTATGCCTTTATCAGAAGCATGCAAATGGACTAACACAGTTTCCCAGTAAGAGTTTCCAATGTCTAAAATGAACTTGATGCTGCTGATTGGAAGATTATATATATATATGTATATATGTATATATGTATATATATGTGTGTGTATATATATATCTGTGTATATATGTATATGTATGTGTGTATATATATAAAGGTAGAAGGAGACTTTTTAACTTTCATAATTGATAGATATTATCATCACTACATATATAGTTTATATATTTTTTATATTTTTTAATATATATTTATATATAAAACCTATATATAGGTTTTATATTATAGTGATATTATCTCATATATATGAGATATATAAGATATATATATCTCATATATATGTGTATATATATTATCATCATATATATACACACACGTATATATATGATGATAATGGTGAGGATTTAGCCCAGGTGAGAATTTTAGACTAAACCCTCAAATCCTTTAGGGTCCAACAGGTTCAACCAGAGAGAATTGAAATTGTGCATAAAGGAAAGAGAAGGTGAAACTCCTATCTGGCTGAGTGACTATGAGCAAGTTAGACAACCTCTCTGAGCCTGTATCCTCAGGTGTAAAATGAGGGATCAGCACAGTTGGTCCTTGAAATCCCTGGAAGTTCTCAGTTCCGTGACACGATGATTATAGATACAGTCAGTTCTGAGAAGAAAGTGAACTTGGACGTTTTCTATGCTCAGTGAGCATGCTGCCAAAATGTGATGGATAAGACAGGAAAGGACAGGGATTTTTTCTGGGGCCAACACTTACCGGCTGGCCCCAGAGATGACAAATTATGGAAGGACTTCAGCTGGTGGCTTCTAAACAAAGGCAGCAGATCTTCCTAAATCGTTGTGATCCCGCTGTTGCATCAAAGGCTAGCACTGAACTGCTAGGTGTTAAATGCCTGCCCTGTGCCAGGCACGGTGGCAGATGTTGTACATATCGTATGTGATCTCTGATCCTCGGGCAACCCTGCAGGAGTGGCATCGCCATTGTTTCAGGTTGAAGCAGTGGAGACTCTCAAGGTTGCTCGTGTTTTTCAGTAGATACTTTCTGTGCAGCTATGATGTGCTCAGTGAACAGCGCTTAGAATCCCAGTGTGAGCAAGGTCTTCCTGCCCTGGTGGAGCTGGCAGTTTAGAACAGCTAGAGATGGGTTCAAGGACGATTGTAATATAGCGTGAAAAGGGCTTCAAAAGGGGTTAAAAACAGGGTGTCATGGGAGCCTAGTGAAGGGGGCCCCACAAACCAGCAGAAGGGTGGGGCAAGGTGGAAGGAATGAAGTTCCAGGCAGAGGCCAGTTTCATGCAAAGGCTTAGGGTCTTTGTCTATCAGACAGCAGGAGGGCTTAGTGGGCAGGGCAATGTGGCTGGAGCTTAAATAGGACTGTGGTCTGAGATGGGGCCAGAGAGGGACCCAAAGTCAAGGGCTTGACCAGGCCAGAGAGTTTAGACTTCACTCTGCAGGCAGAGAAGAGCCAGTCATTCATGCATTCATGCACCCATTCATGCATTCATGCACCTAGCCAGTGTTTATTGAGCACTTACTCTGCACCAGGATGGAGGAGTCAGCAGTGCACAAAACTGTCAACAATACCTGCCTTTGTGAACTGCCATTATTGATGGGAGGTGGAGGATGAGAGGACAGGAGATGGAAAATAAACAAAATAAATGAGTAAAATCTATACTGTGATGAGTGGTGATGAGCGCTATGGAGAAAATGAAGCAGGGAGAGCTCTGGAGGGCTGGGAAGATTGTGGGCTGCACTTGTAAGCAGAGTGCTTGGGGGAGGCCTGCCTGAGAAGGGCACACTTGGACACACACTTGAAGGAAATGAGGGAGTGAGCCAGGGACAGGCTTGGGGATTTTGGCTATGACATGAAGGACACATTGGAAGCGGAGGTTGCGAGCCAGGAAACTGGTGAAGAGGCTGTTGAAGTTCAGGTGACCCATGATGAGCTGACAAGTGATGGCAGAGATGTGTGTGAACTGCAGTGACAGGAGGGATAGGACTTGGCTGGCTTGATGCTTGTGAGGGGAGAGGGAGAATGAATCTCTTCTCTCTGGTTTCTGGCCCAGACACTGGATGGATGGGGAATCCCTCCTCTGAGTCAGGAACAAAGCTGGAGGCTCAGAATTGGGGTAGAAAAATGACTAACTGAAAAGTAACTTGCCCTGTTCACCTTGTTTATAGCAGCATTATTTACAATGTCCATGAATGAATGAATGAATGAATAAACAGACTCAGCCTTTAAAAGGAAGGATATTCTGAAACATGCTACAGCATAGATGAACCCTTAGGACATTATGCTAAGTGAAATAAGCCAGATACACAGGACAAACACTATATGATTCCACTTTCCTCCCCAGCCTCACCTCCCCCCCCGCCCCGCCCAAGATGGAGTCTTGCTCTGTTGCCCAGGCTGGAGTATAGTGGTGCGATCTTGGCTCACTGCAACCTCCGCCTCCTGATTTCAAGTGATTCTCCTGCCTCAGCCGCCAGAGTAGCTGGAATTACAGGCAAACGCCCGCATGCCCTGCTGATTTTTGTATTTTTAGTAGAGACGGGGTTTCACCATGTTGGCCAGGCTGGTCTCAAACTCCTGACCTCGTGATCCACCCATCTCGGCCTCCCAAAGTGCTGGGATTACAGGCGTGAGCCACTGCGCCCAGCCATGATTCCACTTGTGTGAGGCACCTAGAGTAGTCAAATTCATAGAGTCAGAAAGTAGAGTGGTGGTTGCTGGGGGTGATGTGGGGGAGTCGAGAGTTATTGTTTGATAGGGACAGAGTTTCAGTGGAGAACTATGAGAAAAGTTCTGGAGATGGAAGGTGATGATGGCTGCACAGCAATGAATGTACATCATGCTGCTGAATTACACACTTAAAATAGTTAAAATGGTAAATTGTATGTTATATATATTTTTCCAAAAATTAAAAAAGTATTCCAAGTAATTTGCCCAAAATCACATAGCGAGCAAATCCAGCCCAACTCCAGAGCTCCTCGTGCACCTCCAGCCTCTTATTCTGAGCTCTCTCTGTCTCTCACTATTCCCTCCCTGTCTTCTAGGCTGGCTTTGATTACTTGGTAAAATTACTTCACTTCTCTGGGCCTATTTTTCCCCGTCTGTAAAGTAGAGATACCTCATAGGGTTGTTGTGAGAATTAAATGAATCCATGCACCTAACATGCCTGCCACAGAGTAAACTCACGATGTATTAGATATTATTGCTATTCTAATGTCAGAACAACCCAATCCAGGTAAAACAGCACAGACCTGGACTAAAATCCATGCTCTAGCATTTGGGAGCTATGTGTCCTTGGGCAAAGCACTGAACTGGCTTAAGCCTCAGTTTCTACCTATTATCAAGCGCTATCTGGGCTGATAGTTCCTGCCTGGCAGGGCTGAGAGCAGGACTAAATTGGACCTGTGTCCAAGGCCCCCAGTCCAGTGCCTGCATGTCAGCCACAACCTCCAGTCCATAGCGGCTGTTACTGTGTGGACACAGGATCACAGTTATGCAAGGAAAAATTCACATAGTGACCTAACATCTTTTTCTACTTCCATGCCATTTTATAGGCAGAAATAGCACCCCCCTGCTCGTAGTTGAGGTATTTGAAGATCCTGAAGCCATATCTTTGTGCAGGCTTCAGTAATGTGTCTGTGTCTAATTTATTCGTTTTACAAAGGGGACTGATTCAGCCAAGTCTAAGTAACATTGACTGATTCCCTGCTCCGGGCCTGGCCCCATGCTGTTGCTGGAGAGTCAGAAATGAGTCAGACACAGCCCCTGTCTACAAAGAGCTGAACTGGCCCAAAGAAGAGCCAAGGACGTTGTCACAGCAAACTGCACTAGGAGTGCAGAAACCCGGGTTCTTTCCTGAGCCCTAAAACCTAAGTGCTGGGAAACCTTGAACAAGCCACACCTCCCATCTCCAGAACTTGTCTACAGGCAGAATGAGGACCTTGAACTTGCTGGTCTCTATGACTTGAAGCTATTTCCTCTTCAGATGTGTTGACTCCTTTGCCCAGTGCTCTCTGGGAGCAGTCTGCAGGGCACAGGATAATTAGGGGAGGTTATACCAGAGCCACTGCCTTCTGAGCTATAAAGACTTGGCCTTGGGACCTTCTCAGTCAGCCAGGATGGGCTTAACCCTATGGCATCCTGGGATCCCAGCAGCAGTCTGGTGAGGAAGGGGAGGGGGATAGAGCCAGGAACTGGAGAGGGGACCTGGGCCAAGGCTGCAGGCCAGTGTCCCACCCGGGTGAGCAAAGAGGGTTTAAGAGTGGAGGTTCCAATAGCCAGGGCAGCTTCAGGCTAACTGGGCTCCCGGGGCCAGGAAGCTGACTCACTCCAGACCCCCACTGGGTGTTGGGGTTGCCTGGGGGCCCCCAGGCAGTTCAGGCCTGACTTCCAAGCAGCACACCAGACACCAGATGTATTCCAGACTTGATCTGTGTGCCGAGGGAAGGAGCTCACATCCCACTCCTCCCCTGGGAGAAAGGACGGGGGACAGCTTGCTGCGGGGGAGGCACTTTCTTCATGGGGGATCTTGAAGCATTTGCTTCATTGGCCCAAGTTTCCCCTCGCCTGTGGGAAAGTGTCCCAGCTCTCCTCGCTGTGGTCGGCCTTCTGGCCGTCTCTCTATCCCATGCCAAGGCATAGTCTGCTCATCTCACACGGGACACCGAGCTAGTGCTTTCTTATTTCAGGCCAGAATTGAGTTGAAGCCGGCAGAGCTGAGCTGAGATCCTGGGATCATTGGTATGTGCACTGGCATCGCGATTCCTAGTCAAATTCTTGGTAGCCAACCCAAGTCGATTAACGTGGGGAAGAGAAATTGCAGGTTATCATTCAACCACCATTGCCATCCATATGCATGAAGCCTGGGGACCTGACTCCCTTGCAGAATGAAGCATAACCTTTAGAGGGACCAATTTCAGAGAAATCGCCACCGCTACCTCCACCCACTCTCACCGCCTCCCTGCAAGCCAGAATGAGTGTTGCTTTTAGCTCTGTGGCAGCAAAGGAAGCTGCTTGGGCTGCCCACATGCCATATATGTTCTCAAAGAGTTTGATGGGCTTCTGCCACTTAAGAAATTGGTCACATTTAGAGATATTCGCTTCAGTGAACATGTCATGGCTGTATGTAGGAAAAACATACTATTATCTCTAGAGCTTGCCTGAAACAATAGGCTTGTTCCTGAAACAGATGTTTTGTGAAACCCACCGTGACAGGCTCATCATCCTGGTCTGGAGATGGGCCAGTACTTAGTTACCAGCCTCGCAAGGACACCAACATCTCTGCTGGCTGCCCGTTCATCCCACGCAGCTGAGCTCAAAGGGAGATACTCCCTGTGGCTCCTCCTTCTGGCTCGTGGGTTCTGAAGTTAAACATTTTACAAGCTTGAGAATATAGACAGAGGCAGTCAGCCAGGTGTGCCTTGGGAAAGAAGTTTCCAGGATATTGACTGAGAATGTTTTAGTGCTGTTCAGCTAGCATCTATTGAGGGCCTACTGTGCACCAGGCACTATTCTAGTTGCTTCCAGTTACATGATCTCACAGTAACCCCCAAGGGTACCTAGGTTGGACATAAGGACACTGGACTCTTACATCAGTTTCCTAGGGCTGCCTAAAAAGTTACCTCAAACTGCGTGACTTAGAACAACAGAAATGTCTTCTTTCACAGTGCTGGAGGCCAGAAGTCTGAGAGCAGGGTGTCCGCAGGGCCATGCCCCCTCCAAAGCTCTAGAGGAGAATCCTTCCTTGCCTTTTCCAGCATTTGGTAGCTCTTGGCCAGGTAACATGACTCCAGCCTCTGCCCTCGGTTCCCATGGCCTTCTCCTCTGTGTATGTCTGCATCAAATCTCCCTCTATCTCTCTCCTATAAGAACATCTGTCCCCAGATTTAGGGCTCTCTCTAAATCCAGAATGATCTTGGGATCCTTAATTATATCTGCAAAGACTCTTTTTTTCCAAAAAAGGTCACATTCACAGGTTTCAGGGGTTAGGACTTGGATATATCTTCTGGGGGACAGTGTTCAGCCCACTGCAGCCTTCCAGCTGTTACCTAATGGTTCCCCCAAAGTCACATATGGAGAAGGGGTCTCATAGGGCACGGAACCCAGGCTGGTCAGCTCTGAGCTAAGACACTCTATGGAGCTTTGATCAGGTGGCACTCATCAGGTGCTGCAAGGCAGGCCCTGGTGTCAGTGCTGAGATATAAACATGAAGTGATGGGCCCTGTTCCTAAGAAAGTTATAGGCTGGGCACGGTGGCTCATGCCTGTAATCCCAGCACTTTGGGAGTCCAAGGCAGAAGGTTTCCTTGAGCCCAGGAGTTAGAGGCCAGCCTGGACAACATAGAGAAACTCTGTCTCTACTAAAGATACCAAAACTAGGCAGGAGTGGTGAACTGTGCCTTTAGTCCCAGCTACTTGAGAGGCTGAGGCAAGAGGATTGCATGAGGCCAGGAGTTTGGGGCTGCCGTGAGCCATAATCACACCATTGCAGTCCAGCTTGTGCAACAGAGTGAAACCCTGTCTCAAAGAAAGAAAAGAAAGAAAGAAAAAGAGTTGTGGTTGAGTGGGAAGGAGCTATGCATATTGGTTCAGAGTCAGAGTTCTAAGTCCAGCCAATCCAGAATCATAAGCCGGCTTTGCCACTTCTAAGCTGGATGACCTTGGGCAAATTATGCCATTTTTCTGTGTCTCATAGGGAAACGGTCTCTTATGGAAACTGGGAATCATATGAAGAAGAATCCTAACCTCAAAGGGTCGTGGTGAGAATCAAATAAGAGGATGTGCTTAGCACACAGGTGTCCAAGCAGCGAGAGCTCCAGCATCCTGACCCCACAGCCTTTGTGGTTAACCACTGCTCACTGCTTTCCACTTGCTAGGATGCCCCAGAATATTTGAATCAGAGCCTCCAAATGGAAAACGGACAGTGGAAGACTTCTGTACAAGTCCCCAGAAACCAGGCTGAGGAAGAGGGAGAATCCGAAGCTGACTTCAGGGTTTTGAGCTTGGCTCACTGGGGTGATGAAGTTGCCAGTAACAACATGGAAATAGCAAGAAGCAGGTTCAAGGGGATGTATTATCTTCATCCTGGAACGTTGGATTACCGAGATGCAAGTGGGCTATCTGGGTGGATTTTCTGGCAGGTGTTGGACTTCCAGAAAATGATTCTTCAAAGCTACACGAGGACTAAGAGTGTGGGAAATAATTGATCCCATCTGGGCAAATTCAAGTGTTTTCCTGGGTGAAGACTTCTGGGGGCAGAGAGCAAACTAGAAAACAGAAAACAGAAGTGGGTACTCATGGGTTTGTGGTCACGGCATTCAGTTTTCTTGCCTGCAGAGTGGGTGCCTTGCTTTGTTCTTCCCAAGCTGTTGTTGAGGCTGCATTAGGTCAGGAATGGGAAATTGCCCTGTAGATTGTGCCCTGAGCTGTGGCGAGAGGCAGCAGACAGTAGCGTCAACCCCAGTCTCCCAAATGCTGAGCAGGACAGGAGAGGTACAAGTGAAGTGCCCCCTGTCTCTGTGTCATAGCTGAGAAATTAATAATTGTTCCCTCTTCTGGTTTGAACTGGCCTTTTGAATAGGCTCTAAATTTGTTCATAATTGCCAAAGGAACGACACAATAAAAACTGGAATTTCTCCATTCCCTGGCAAGGGGGGTGCATTTGCCAGTGGTTTTTTTTTGTAAAAGTGGGTGTTTTTGTACTTTTCTCCCGAGCATTGTGGAGCGTTTCTGCTGCCCCTCATCCCTGGACCACCACCTCCCACACATCCCCCTTGCCCTCTCCCTCTCCCGCGTGTGTGTTTGGCAGGACGGGGTAGGTCAGTGGATGTTGCCATGACAACTGAGAAAGAGACAGCTCTGACTTCAGCTCCGCGCTTGTTAGTAGGGAAACTAAAAGAGTCGCTTTTGTTTTCTTTCTTGGGGGTTGGGATGCCCACCACATTCCTGTTGGCATGGAAACCTTTGGCTCCCACCGGGTGAGTCGGTCAAGTGGGGTAATAATTGATTTGAATGGGTGTTGGGAGAGGCTACTGTGAAGAGGCAGGACCCTGTGGGTCTGGCCATTGTGTCGCCATAAACACACTGCTCCTTAGGGCTGTCCCTCTGGGAGGGGGAGGTGGATGGGGACGGCAGCCTCTAGACCCCAGTCTGTGCATCTGCAAATCTCTGGGATTTTTAAGCCATCTTGTATCGTGGACCAGCGATGTGTCTGGCATTCTCCTGGGTTCTTTACATTTGGTATTCCACTTCGTGCTCACTAAAGCCCTGTGGGTTTGGTGCTGTCACCACTTTGCAAATGAGGAAACTGATGCTCAGTAAGGTTAAGTACCTTCCCCAAGGTCAGTCAGCCAGGAAGTGGCAGTGTCAGAGCTGAAGCCCAGGCCTGCGTGATTCATCCTCCCTGCAGCTCTCGCCACTCTGCTGCCTGCCTTAACCTTGCGCTTGAACTTACACAGTCTCTCTAGAGTCTCCAGAGCCATCAGGGAGGCATCATCTAAAAAATGTACCTTGATAACTAAACATTTAGTACTTCTGTGAGAAACACCACTGCAAACTGTCTGGATGTCTGCTTGGGGAATTGTGCAGTGACAAGAGAAATTAAATACTTTAATGGATTTTGACAACAACTCTATGTTCAGGGAATTCAAATTGCATAAAGTAAAAAGTTAGACTTTTTCTCTGGACCTGACTGCTAATAGGCATGCCTAATTTATTAGTCAGATTCTTTAAAAAATCTAATCTTGATAGGACCAGAGTTCTTTGAGGAAAGAATGTCATGGGTCGAAGGAGGCCGCGAAATCTTCCTGGAGGAGGTGGGGCTTGAGTTGACCCAACATCCCTAGCTGCAGAGTTAGTACTCAATAAATATATGTCAAAGGAGTCATATAACAGCTACCATTTCTTTGGTACTTACGATGTTCCAACCAGGGTGCCAGCCCCTTGTTTATACCACCCCATCAAGTCCCTCAACACCTCTGGAGAGTGGATTCTATCGTCCATCTCCATTTTACAGAAGAGAACCAGAGGCTGAGTATTGATCTCCATTTCCTAAGGCCACACAATTGGTAAGGGGTGGAACCAGAATGACCGTTATTCTCATCACCATAAATTATTAATGTGGTATTTTTGCCCTAAAGATGGGTTTATAGACCCATAAGCTGAAAAATGACGCCCAAAGGTCACCCTGCCCATTTTCTTGTCTTCAGGCAAAATTACCCCAAATTCTTCATGTTCTCTGTCTTAAAGAATACTTTACTTACACAATCATGTATCAGCATGTGTTTTTTGTATCACCTATTAGATGTACAGTACTGCCAGAAGAACAAAAATGGATTCTATTTCTGGCAAACTCAGAGTCTATCAGGAAAAAGAAGCCACAAACTTAAATGACTGTGATATAAATTTAGAAAATGATAAATTCCACTATAAAGTACTGTGGGAATCAGGAAGAGAGTATTTCTGAGTGGGAAGGATCCAGGAAGGCTGTGGGCTGGTGTCTAGAGTGAGCTTGGAAGAATGAGCAGGATTTGGACTTGGCTGTCGTGAAGGGGTGGGCAGGACAGAGGCATCCCAGACACAGAGAGGTGGCACGAGGTACAGGCCATCGAGTTTGTGAATAAGAACGCCCAGGAAGACTGTGGGCAGGGAGCAGGTCAAGGACAGGGACTTAGAGGACCACCTACTACTAAGGGTCCTAGAGGAGGGAAAACAGAGGTTGGAAAAACACCACAGAGAGTGCATGGGTGCAGGAGCCAGGAAATGAGAGGTTCAGGAAGACAGTGGTCAGCTTCATTGAATGCTGTGAACAAGCAAGATTGGAGAAAGATTAAGAAGATCAGTGACAATTAGGAGGTGCATGGTCACCCTTGAGAGAACAGTATGTGGGCAGTGGAGGCAGAAGCCAGTGTTCTCGTGCTGCGGCCAGGAGGGGACCATGCACATGGAAAGACTTCCTCTAGGTCACGCTCTGCCAGGCCAGGGCGCTGACTACAGTCTTCTAGGGGTGGACCAGCAGTGAGCCCCCTTGACCTAGCCTCCCTGGAAGCCTAGGGTCTTAAGCATCAGACAGGTCCTGGTTACCAGTTGATACTGTTTAGGAGGCACGTGACTTTGAGTGTTGTGTTTAACCTGAGCTTAGCTTTGTTTGTTCAGTCACAGCAGCTAACACTTACTGAGTGCTTGCCACGTTCCAGGTATGGCTCTGAATGGATTAGCCCATTTAATTCTCACAACAATGCTGCGACATAGGGAGAGTTATTATCCCTATTATACAGATGAAGACATCAAGGCATGAGCAGGATAAGAGACTTTTCAAAGATTACCAGCTAGTTGGGAACAGGGGCAGGATTCCAACCCACTCATTCTGGCTCTGGAGGTGCATCTTAATATCTCCATCTTAAGGTCTCTGTGTGGTTTAACCAGGGTAATTAATGCCTGTTAGAGTCTCTGGCCCAAAGGAGGGGCTCACTAAGAGTGATTCCCTTTTTCCCCTGACCAAATACAAATGCAAGGTCAGGACACCCTTGTCTGAGAAAGGTCTGTGGGATCTGCCTCGTAAGGCCTCATTCGCATCAGTGCAAATCCCATACAGAATGGCACTCAAAAATTGCTTTGGAAAGTGGGATACAAATGTCATGAACTCCTGGCGTGATGCTGAGTGAAGCTGGTTTTGTGTTCAACACCTGTACCGCGGGAATTGACCGATGTGCCAGCGCAGGTAAGTGGCGAGAGCCCTCAAAGCAAATCAGTCAGTGATGAGTGAAATTAACAAAGTGTGCAGATGTCATCTGCAATCTGAAGAGGGAGTATCTGACCTGGGATATGCCTACGGAATTACTGAATAAGGGTTCATCGGGTGCTCAGTGTATAGAAGAGAATTAGGATTACCATAGAAAATGAACTGGGTTTAGATGAAATTGACTGTCAAAAAGAAATTACAGTCTAGGCAAAGAATAACTTTTACACATGGCTTCCCCCAACTTATTGTCTGTATTCACATAGCCCTATACTTTGGTACAGAACTGTGTTTAAACACTAAAATGCTTTGTGTTGCAGATAGGCACTGAGTATGTAATTAAAAGGATCCCTTCATTAGCAGAGCTGTACAATGAAAGCTCAAGTTGGCCTTTTCTGCTAATTTTGGAGGTGGTAAAACAGAGGCTAATACAACCACTGATTACAGTTGTCATATAGACAGTCTCTTGCTGTTGCCATTAGGAAATTTTTGTTCTTCCAGGGTAGAGACAGGCTTTTCCCAGGGACTGTGAGAGAACAAGAGGAAAAAAAGATTCATGCTGGCAACCAGAAGTAGAGGGGTGTAGAAATACAGGGGTAGTGCAGGGGTTTAACACGTGGGCTGTGGAGACAGACCACCCAGGTTCCAATCCCAGCCTCCTCGCTTAGGCCATTGACTTAACCTTCCCACGCTTCAGCGTCCTCAGGTGTAAACTCACGTTAGTAACTGTGACTAACTAATTGGATTGTTGTGAGAATTCACTGAAATAATGACTGTATTCATTGTCAGATATTTTTAAGCACCTACTGCGTACTGGGAGCTGTGCTGGGGCTGTAGGTATAGTCATAAACCAGGCAGTAATGGTGCCTGCCCTTCTGGGAACTTTCCGTCTAGAAAAGAAATAGGCATTAAGCAGACAGTTATGCAAATAGCCATTGGAGTGTGATAACTACTCTGAAGAAAAAATAATGTATACTGTGGGCTTAGCATTGTGCAAGATGCAGATTGAGTTCTCAAAAAATTTCTTGATGATGATGATGAAATACTAAGTCGGGGAGGTTATAGAGAAAGGAATGGTTGATTCTATCTCCAAAAGCCGTGGGAAGCATTTTGGGAAAGGTGAGAGAGAATCTTAAATTTGAAAGATGGCTGTTTTTCTAGTGGATCATTTATAAAAGGAGGGAGGGATGTGGATGTGGAGGATGAGGGAGGCAGCAACCAGGCCATGCAGACCTGGAATGCTCTCTCAGGCCTGGGGACCTTGTTCACCGTGCCTTGGGCAGTTGGTGCAGGCAGGGCTTATACTTCAAAAAATCTTTCTCTGGGTTCCAGAGAAAAGCTAAGCACCAGCCAATTCATCTACGGAAAGGCAGTGGCCAACTATTCAGTAGCTTTAAAGGGGGCTCTGAAGTCCTTCAGGCAAAAGGCATTCTCCTCCCTTTCTGCCAAGGTGGCTAGAAGAGTCTGAGCTTTTCATTCAGAATTTTGGCCACTCTGGCATTTATGCTCAATAGCTGTGTCATTTTTTTTCTTCTTTTTCTTTCTTTTTTCTTTTCTTTTTCTTTTTTTAAACACAGGGTCTTGCTCCATCTCCCAGGCTGGAGTGCAGTGGCACAGCTCACGGCTCACTGCAGACTTGTTTCCCGGGTTCAAGCAATCCTCCCACCTCAGCCTCCCAAGTAGTTAGGACCGCAGGTGCGTACCACCAGAGCTGACTAATTTTTAATTTTTTGTAGAAGTGGGGTCTCGCTATGTTGCCCAGCCTGGTCTAGATTCAGGGCTTCAAGCAGTTCTCCCACCTCAGCCTCCCAAAGTGCTAGGATTATAGGCTTGAGCCACTTAACTCTCCCTTCTTCTTCACTCTTTTTTATCTCAAAGGCTCTGGATGAGAAGTCCGGGGGCCTTAGCCTGCCTTTGCCACCCCTGTGTGATGCCTCACCTCAAGTCAGTGACTTGGCCCCACTCTCTATGTATTTCAGAAGGAAAATGACACATGGTCATTGCTAGTGCCCCTTCTAACTCAAAATCTGACTTTTTCTGTACCTGGGCAGCAGCAAAGTTCTCTCTCACGCATTACTTCATCCTCAATAGAGAAGGAGGGTGTCAGAGCAGGTACAGTGAACTCCCCAGCCAGGCCTGAGAAAATGAGGCACACGTGGAGGGTTTGTTAGGTGGTCCTGGACAGCCTGGAATGAGAGTTTCCCAAGAAGGAGCAGTGGAGGAGCGGAAAGTCAATCTAGTGTTTGGTTACATGGGATGGGGAGTGAGGCAGAAACCCCATATTCTCCTGAGGTCCTCGGGGTGAATACCAGTCTCTCCCACTGAGGGCTGGTGACTAGACAGTGGGCCCCTTGAGATGATGACACTCATGAGAGAAAGATGTCAGTGGTTATAATCCAAGTGGCAAACAGGTATTGAGGTGCTGTGTCCATCTTCTCTGCTAATCCTAACACCAGTCCTATAGGTTAGGTGCCATTATTATTCCCATTTTATATTAGAGGAAACTAAAGCTTTGAGACTGTATGACTTGCCCAAGGTCACACAGCTTGTGAGTGGCAGAGCTGGGATTTCAACCATGCCCTGATCTACCCACAAAGCCCAAACTCCAGACCCCCTGCACCACCAGCCCCACAGCCCAGGGAGGAGGAGGCGACTGGAGCACCCCTCCTTGGCCTATGTGTACAAAATGTTTCATTGCCTCTGACCGTGCTGCAGGCCCAGTGGGCAAGAGGGACAATGGCGAAGACACGCGCTCCATGCTCAGGGCCGGCAGGGCAGAGAACCCTGTTGGAAAAGAAGCTTATTGGGAGGTCTTTGTAAAATGAGCTGTCAGCTCCTTCATCCGTAAAATGAGAGGGCTGGGCGCAGTGACCCCAAAAGGCCTTTCCAGCTCTGAAATAGCATGAGTTCTGGGTCTGTGGGAGCCAGGGCATTAGAGTAAGTCCTTATGCTTGTCCTTCAGTTAATGCGTCGCCTGGCCCTGCAGGAAAATGCGCCTGCAGCAACCCCAGGCCTGGCAGCTCTGGGAATCCATCCCCAGGCAGGGAGAGACCTAGTCTGCTGTTGTCGCCATGGGGTCCTTTGTTAATTCATATAGTCGACACACATTACAAACATTACATGTCAGCAATTCTTGGGAGCCCGGAATGTAAAGTAACAGATTGACTTGTTTGGCAAACAAAACGAAGCAGCCAGATGAGCACTGGTACCCTCCCGAGAAGTCACATTGAGGACAGTTACAAGCCCCCCAAGCAGATTCATCTTGATGCTTTGTGGAAAGCCTGTTTTGAGTCCTAAACAATGTGGCCGTTTTGTGCTAGGCGTAGGCTCCATCCTCCTGCTTTAGCCTCACGCCACCCCACAGAGCCAGAAACTTCTCTCCATTGCCAGGGAGGGGAAAATGAGTTCAGTGAAGTTGTATAACTACATCAAGTGAGCATGATGGCGTGGAAAGCGCCTGGACTTTGAGGTCAAAGCTGAGCCACCTTAGGAAAGTAGGTTAACCTCTCTGAAGCTCACTTTTCTCATCAGTGAAATGGGACCATTTGTAATACCTAATTCGTAGGATTCTTGCTAGGGTCAAAGGAGATGTTACAAATAACCGGCCTGACTCTCCAGGTCCTCAGTGAGTGCCTGACAGCTCCCCGTGTATGGAGGCCGCATGATGCAGTGGTTAGAAACAAGGATGCTGGAGCCCGCCTGTCTGGGTTTCTTTCCCAGGTTCAAAACACATTGGTTCATATCCTTGTGCCTTGGTTTCCTCATCTGTAAAATGGGGATCATATTAATAATAACACCTGCTTCATAGGATTTTATCAAGATTAAATTTTTTTAAATTGCAGTTCCTGGCACATAGTATGTGCAATTAATATCATCGCTATTGTGTTTTGTTGCGTTTTGATGTTTTGTTGCTGTCGATGATATGTTACAGAGGAAAGTGATCAAGCCAGGTGGAAGTGGCCTGACCGGGGTTTGTGGGGAGGAAGGGTCATTGCGTGAAGGGGAATAGGTGGGAATAGGCTCAACGTGGGTCTAGGTCTTAGAGGGACTTGGATGGCAGACAGAGCTCTCTCGTTAAGTCCTTTCCTTGTCACTGTGGAAGCCCACGCCTCACCTGTTTTAGAGTCTATCACCTTCCCTTCAAGTTGCCTAGCATCACCCGTCAGGCAAATGGAGCCTCTGCGATAGCAGAGATTTATCAAGCAACAGAGCTGGGCTATACAGTAAAGTTTATTTTTAGTGACTTCATCCTCCAGTTCTTTAAATTAGCTGCAGGGCTAATTTAAGGGACTTCTTTGGTGCATGGTTAGCATTTTCTGCAGGAATGCCAACACGATACATGTGCGTTTGGAATCCGCTAGTGACTGAGGGGACTTCGCCTTGGCCGAACAGCAGGGACGGGGACCTGTTTATGTCCCTTTGCCATGCGGCACCACTGCCACAAGGCTCTCCTGCCAAGCCACGGGGCTGCCTGGGAACGTGATCCAGGGTGTTCTCTCCCCTTTTGTCCCACATGTTCAAGCAGTAGTTGCTAAATCTGTGTGTCTAAAGCTGCCTGTCTCTATGCCCATTACAACTGCCCTAGTTTAGGTCTCACTTTCTTTCACCTAGACCAGTGATTCTTAGACCTTAGCCCGTATCAGAATCACCCGCAGGGTTTGCTACAACAGACTGCCCAGCCCACTCAGAGTTTCTGAGTCAGTAGGTCTGGGGTGAGATCCAAGAATGTACATTACTAACAAGTTATCAGGAGGCACTGATGCTGCTGGGCTGGGGACCACACTTTCAGAATCGTTGACCTAGACCATTCCAGTAGCTTTCTAATACCATCCACCCTTCCCCTCTCAGTTCGGAATACATAGTGCTGGCAGATTTATTCGTCTCCAGCGTGGTTTTAATCTTGCCATTCCTCTCCTCAAAATCTACCACATTCTCTCATTCCCTACACTACTAAGTCCAAGCACCTTTCTCTCACATTCAGGGTCCTGTATGACCTAGACCCATGCTGGCTCACTCATCATCACACTGCCAAGTCACTGTTTATATATGGGTCTTGTTTTCCCTCACTTGGTCCCATGCTTCTGGGTGACAGGGACTGTGTCCACCTCACTCTTGTATCCGAGGCCCCTGGGGCATGTGAGTGCTTGGAACATGTTTCATGGATGAATAAATTATTGAAGGAATGTTTAACTAGAGATGGAAATTAACTCAAGCAACTTCTCAGCAACTAGAATTTGACCTTGCTAGATCTACTTCTCTGTTAATTTCTGGAACTATATACCACTTATACATAAGAAGAAAAGTCTCTGATTTGATTTAAATCAAATGATCACAAAAGCTATATAGTGAACTAAGCATGGGGTGTGTTGTGAGACAGTCCCAAGTGTAAATCCTGATTTCACTACTGATTGGGTGAGCTTGGGAAAGTATTCAGCCTCTCTGGGCCTGTTTCCTAATCTGTAAAATGGGAATCGTTTCCACCTACACTGTAGAATTGTTATGAGAAACAAATGAAGCAATATAGGTAAGTGGCTTGGAGCAATGTTAGACATGTAGTAGGCCCTTGATAAATGAACAGTTAACTTTCCAGGCAAAATAGAGATAGGTGGTTTTTCACAAGTTTCAATGAAAAATGATTCCATTGTATTTGAAAAATGCTAATAGATAAAACATTCCAGAACTCTTTCACCTATTTTAATGAATCAAGGATATAACAAATTCAGTTTTAAAAAAATTATCCCAAAGGACTAGTCAGCTTGATTTATATTTTCTTTACCAGTCACTTTTATTTCATAAGCCCGACATTTCCATTAAAATGCTATTAAGTAAAAACAGGATCTTACATATTTGTGATGGCTTGGATCTCAACATGATAATTGGAATTATCTCCAGCAAAGATACCATTTCTCATTGTTTCATTTCCTCTTACATATCAGATGTATCGTTAGTGCCTTCTTCCAGCTGAGTAAAACCACCTCCCTCTGAATTTGCGGTTGAGTCCATGAAAATGATATCTCTGGCTTTGAAGACTCTTTTCATCGTGAGGTTATTAATTGGGATTCAGGAAGGATGGGAAATGGTAGTCATCCACTAAATACAGCAACCCTTGAAAGAAATTTGAAAGGCTGTCGCTAGAAGAAAAAACAGACTCATTCTGCAAGGCTCTGGAGGCAGGAGTTGGACCCTGGAGAAAGACAATTTGCTGGTTACCATTGCGAACACCTTTCCAGTCTGAGGTGTCCCAGAGGTGGTGGAGTTCCCATCACCAGGGCAACCCCAGCTAAGCCCACGACCCTGGATGATATGCTGATCAAATGACCTTATCTATCTGGATTTAAATTTCTTCTCTAGAATCATTTCAAAAATGTTCTGGAACTAGATACTGGTGACAGTTACACAACAGTGTGAATGCCTGAAACACCACTGAACTGTCCACTTGAAAATGGTTAAAACGGTGAGCTTTATGTTCATTATTATACTATGATAAAATAATAAATGACATCGTTGGACAGAGTGATCTCCAAAGCCACTTATAGCTGTAAGATTTTATGCTTCCTGGCTAACAAGGTGAAACCCCATCTCTACTAAATATACAAAAAAGAAAAAAAAAATTAGCCAGACATAGTGGCACACGCCTGTAGTTCCAGCTACTTGGGAGGCTGAGACAAGAGATTCGCTTGAACCCGGGAGGCGGAGGTTGCAGTGAGCCGAGATCACGCCACTGCACTGCAGCCTGGGTGACAGAACAAGTCTCTGTCTCAAAAAAAAAAAAAAAAAATTATGCCTCTGAGAGGGAGCACATCACTCAGGGGACTGATCACTGACTCTATTTAGTCAAATGACAGACCATGTGACACTAGATCTCTAACTGAGGGGGAATGGTTAATTAATACAGAATATGTCATGTCATGAGAAATTACACTGATGAAAACACTCTTAATACCATGGGAAGATACTTACAATGTAGGGTATAAAAAGAAGGATTTGGAATACATGTAATGTAATCCTAACTTTATAAATATAGATAAGAAATCAAAATGTTAATAGTGTTGCTCTCAGACTTGTAGAATTACAAATGATTTTGATTCCTTTATACATTTCTCAGAATGTCTACAAAGAGCATGACTTACTATTATAATCTTTAAAAAATTCTATAAAATAAAAAATCAATAATTCCACATAGGATTTGTAACCCACAATGTGAATTATGATGTATATTTGAATAATGGGGTGGTGGGTCGGGTGCAGAGGCTCATGCCTATAATCCCAAGATATTGGGAGGCTGGCCAAGGCAGGAGGATCGCTTGAGTTCAAGACTAGCCTGATCAATGTAGCGAGACCTTATCTCTACAAAAAAAACTTAAAAATTAACCAGACTGGCCAGGCACGGTGGCTCACGCCTGTAATCCCAGCACTTTGGGAGGCTGAGGTGGGTGGATCACTTGAGGTCAGGAGTTAGAGACCAGCCTGGCCAAACCATTTAGTAGAGATGGCAAAACCCCATCTCTATAAAAATACAAAAATTAGCCAGGTGTGGTGGCACACACCTGTAATCCCAGCTACTCAGGAGGCTGAGACAAGAGAATCACTTGAACCCAGGAGGCAGAGGTTGCAGTGGCAGTGAGCCAAGATCACGCCACTACACTCCAGCCTGGGTGACAGAGCAAGACTCTGTCTCTCAAAAAAAAAAAAAAAAAAAAAAAGTCAGGCTAATGGTGGTGCACACCTGTAGTTCTAGCTACTCAGGAAGCTGAGGCAAGATTGTTTGAGCCCAGGTACCTAGGCTGAGCCTAGGCTACAGTGAGCTGTGGTTGTACCACTGCACTCCAGCCTGGGTGACAAAGTGAGCCCCTATCTCTTAAAAAAGAAGAAGAAGAAGAAGAAGAAGAAGAGAGGAGGAGGAGGAGGAGGAGGAGGAGGCGGGACTGGGCACGGTGGCTCATGCCTGTAATCGCAGCACTTTGGAAGGCTGAGGCAGGTGGATTGCTTGAGGTCAGGAGTTCAGGACCAGCCTGACCAACATGGTGAAACCCTGTCTCTACTAAAAATATAAAAAAATTAGCTGGGTGTGGTGGCGCATGCCTGTAATCCCAGCTAACTCAGGAGGCTGAGGCAGGAGAATGGCTTGAAGCCAAAAAAAAAAAAAAAAAAAGGAGAAGAAGAATTACAGTAGTAAAATAGAAAGAGCAGTGGATCAGTGGATTATAAGAACTGACTTATAATTCCAGTTCAGCTAGATGATACAGGTGCAACACCTTGCCAAGCCTCAGTTTCTTCGTCTGGAACAGGGGCATAGTCATAACAGTCTACTGTGCAAAGTGGAGTGAAGAGCAGATGACCACCTGACTGTGGATGGATCTGCCAACTGAGGAGTCCTCTGAGCTATTTTCGTTGTTATTGAGTGTATTCCAACTGTACATTTCCAAATCTTTCCTTGAATAAAAACTTACTGAGTGCTTATAAAGTCATTGATTGCCACTTACCCAGTAATTTAAGGGCTAATTTCCGGTAAAAGTGTCGCCTTTTTTCTCATCTTTCTTCCTATAACCTTAATGGGAAAACATTTCATTTCAACTGAAAAGCAACCACCTGATATTTACTGTCTTAAGTTCAAGGTGATGATGACAAAATCATTTTAGCAGAAGGAAAATTGCAGCCCTTTGGGCACATTCGCCTCTCCCAAGGAGTCAGGACTCTCCTCTTTGTGGGAGGGAGCATTTCTTTCCTTAAAACCCTCCACATTGTTGAAGTTGAAAAGAGATTTTTCCCTCATGCTTCTCTGCTTCTGCCCTCTGCCTGTCCTTGCTTTGAGACCAGCATCAAGACCCACTAAGGAGGAACCGGGAATAGGCCTTCCAGGACTTTTTATTCACACAAGGGAGTTTTTCCCAGAGGCTGGCTCCTTGGACTGGGATGAAGAGAGGACCGTTCGTACAGGGCTATCACGCATGTTGTTTCGCTATTGAATTTAAAAGCACTTACAGGTTACAAAGCATTATAACCTTGATATGTTAAGGCTTACGTTGCAAACTTTTTCAATGCAATGGATTCAATGAAACTTTCTCAAACACCAAGTATGTTTCAGGTCTTATAGAAATAGGAGTGAAATTTCTATATGAAACAGATGTAGGCCTTCAATGAGCTCACAAAACGGTGAGAGAGACTGGCATGTAAACCAGTGCAGTGCAGGCATGACAAAGCAAACAAGGAAGCAGGTCCAAGAAATAGGGATGAGGCATGAGAGAGAGGGACCTGTGTGGTCAAGAAGCCATCTCAGCTGGTTTTGAAAGTGGAACAGAAGTGTGCCAGCCAGCCACGGCCAGAGGAAAGCAGGCACAAAGACACCCAGATGGCCCAACCTGGGCACTAATGGTGTGCTTGCTTGGAAATGAAAGCACTGGGCATGAGGACATTTAATAAGGAGTAGAGAACAGGCCTTGGTACCATTAACAGCAGCACGTCTCAGTACCACGAGACGTCATCCTAACTTCCTTGGATCAGTTAGTCAACCAGGCAGCATTTACTGACCATGTATAACATGCTCGAGGTTCTGTCTCAGGAATGAACACAACAGGTGAGAGAGGGCTACGCCTGGCCCCAGATCCCGACAGGATAGGACCCAGGAGTGGGAACTGACCTGCAATTGCAGAGAGGGCCTTTGAGTGTGGAAGGGAGCTGGGTGTCCAAGGAGCATGGAGTCTCCGGTTCCAGGGCAGGCCAGTGAGTGGCAGGTTGGGAGGAGCAGCACACAAGGCTTGGGCTGGAACTGTGTGCCTGGCAGGGGGATGATTGGAAATGAGGAGGCCCGGGAAGAACTCGGGAAGGGCCTCAAGTGCCAGAATGAGCAGTACAGACTTGGGAGTCCTCAGTGGTTTTAGCAAGTAAGTGACTCAGCCAGGCTGGCCTAAAAAGAGGTGACTCAGGTGCCAGTTTGAAGGATGGATCTATGGATGGGCAAAGCCAGAGGCAGGAGGGCCTTTGCTACAGTCCAAGCAGGGGCAGAGCAGGGGTTGGCTTCAGGACTAAGGAGGCAGAACTAGCTGAGGAGGAGTCGGCATTTATTCTGTGCTTTCCTGTTGAGTAACTGGCAGATGGTTGTGACGTTCAAGGAGATGGGAGACATAGATTTGGGGCAGGGGGAATAATATATAGGTCTAAGGTGAGAAGAACATTCTGTGCTAGAGGTGGATATTTAAGAGTTATTAGCTGCTAGTTTTCTTGAATATCAAAATAATTTCTGAATATCCAGACTAAGGAATCACTACACTATAATCATTTTTTGTATGAATTCCAAATTTAAAAAAAAAAAACAGTTAAGCCAGAAATATAATTGTTTCTATTCCTAGAATTCGGTAGCTGATGCATCTTTGCAAATTGTTCGTTGAACTGTGTTCTGGCTTCTCGCCAGTCCTCAATGAGATTTTTATATTTCTTAATTATTCAATTACTACCCATAAGTAAGAGTTTGAAATCAAATCCAGACTGCTACATAACAGAGTATTCCGTTGAATCATGAATACAGTAAAGGAAAGTTTTCATACTGGGAAACCAGGATGGTGGAAGGAGGAAGGATACATTTCTAGCCGTGGCTCTGCCTTGGTTTCATGTCCTGGCTTGGCTATGTGCTAGCTGTGTGAGCTTGGGCAGGTCACTTCTCTGTGGTCAGTCTTGCTGTCTGTAAAATAAAAAATGCTGGTAATGCTGCCTCCCGAGGAGGCTGTAAATCTCAAGTAAAGGAGAAACTGAAAGGGAAAGTGTTATATCATTAATTCTTTGTGTGCTTCAGGTCTCAGCAGCTTGAAAAACCATTCGCTGGAAAGGAAGATGCTTTGGACGGCGAGCTGACCAGTGCTCCAGACTGCAACGCCAACCCCGAAGCCCACCTGCCTTCCATTTGCCTCAAGCAGGTGTTCCCCAAGTACGCAAAACAGTTCAACTACCTGCGCCTGGTGGACAGGATGGCAAATTTGTTTATCCGGTTCCTGGGCATCAAGGGGACAATGAAGTTGGGGCCAACAGGCTTTCGTACCTTCATAAGGTCAGTGAGAACAGCCCCCTCTGGCTTGGGCTTTGGGCTGGGTGGAGTCCAGTCTCACATCTGGCTGGCGGGTCTCCCTGACTGCGCTCGGGAGAATCTGTGGTGCTGGGTCAGTACCCCATTTGAGCTTGGATTAGCCTAGTGGCTGGCACATGGTAGAATCTCATTTGTTGAGTGAATTAATGAATATGATGGGTGTGACCGCATTGCAACCTTATGTTCATGATTTAAAAACAACTCTGTGCCTACCTTGAGCTGAGTCCTGAAAACGCATATTAATAATCGCCCCTTGGAGTCAGGCAGACCTTGTGCTTCTTAAACTGGGCTTCTCCCAGTGGTGCATGGCTGTGTGTTTGGCGTTCGTGAAGCCACAACAGAGAAGCAAGGCACATCTTTCCAAAGTGTCAGTTTCAGAAGGGAAAAGTTAAATAACTCAGCTGATAAATATTTTAATACATTTGTTCTAATATAAAAATAGCATGGCCATATTATAGAGTGTAATGCAAAATTTGCATGAATTTTCAAGATAAAGCATGAGATAAAGAAATTATATCTTTGCTGCAGCCTGCAAAGTTAGCAGTTGCCGCTTGGTTTCCTGAGATTACACATTAATTTCCCTCTACCCTGTGGGGGCACTTTGGGGCAATACAGCAGCATTTACTGGCTTCTAGGGCAAGTAACCCTAAGGCAAGTCAAAGAGCACCCCTAAACCTCAATAAATCCATCCTGTAAAATGAGGATAAAGCTGCCTGTGCCCTACAATAGTGTGTGTAATATTAGTTGAGATCGCATAGAAACATCTAGCGTATGGTAAGTGATCAATAAATGTCAGTTTCTTCTTACAAGATTAAAAGAATTCTATGAAATTATATGTATGTTTATATATAATTCATATAGATATATATATGGTCCTACACAGAGTCTCGATCAAAGAAGGTTCCCACTAAGTATATGTTAATCTAATAACTCTAGATCCCTTTAACAAATATGAATGGGCGACAACAGTGAATTATTCCTTAGCAATTAATTGTATCCTATACACCTCAAGGAGGATGTCTGCTAGCACTCAGTATTGCTGTTGTTTTTCCCATCAGTGATTTTAATATTTTTGTCTTGCACCTCAAAGTCATGCTTTTCACAGCTTTATTCACTAAAATAATTAGAAGTCTTGAGTGGGAAGCCACTTTTGTCAAAGACTTGTCTCCAAAGAAGTTTTATAAATTCTAACTCTAGCCCTCTGCTATTCCTGACAGGATGGTACACAGAAGTATTGGCAGGAATTTTGCCGTTTCAGTACACCTGAAGTAGTAATTTTGCATGGTGACTTTGAGAAGGGCTTTGCGTTAGTTTCAGGAGGTAGGGCAGGGTGGGGGAGGGAAGCCCAGTGGAAAGAGGACAGGCTTTGGGATCAGACAGGTCTGGCTTCAGAGCCAAGCACATTACTTCATAGCTGTGTGGCTTTGGATAAATTCCTTATCTTCTCTGCACTCAGTTCTCTCATCTGCAAAATGGGAACAATCATCCCTGCCTTGCAGGATTTGTTATGAGGTTGGGATAATATATCATAAAGCAGCTGGCCTGATGCCTAGTTCATGGGAGCTGCTTTTTCAGTGGGAGTCTTGTGGTTATTATTTCCATCAGGCAGTGGGAATTTTCAAAAAAATCAATAGGCACATGTTATTATTTGCACTGAAAAGACTGCCTGACATGATACTCTCTGACTCATTTAGGAATTACATTTGGCTTTCAGTAACAGGGAACCATCTACGAATGGCTTAAATAGGAACTTTCTTTCATATAACAGGAACTTTTGCAGTGGGGGTTCTAGAGCTCATTAATGACTCCACAGGATGATCCATGTTCCACTTTCTGTCTTTTTGCTCATCCCTCCTAAGTGCATACTTCCACTTCAGGGTTGTCTTATGGTCACAAGAGGGCTGCTCAAAATCCAGCCATCATGGTTGAGTTCCAGGCAGAAAGGGGAAGAAGGGGAGGAAGAAAAAAGGCCTCCACACATGAATTAGATCCCTTTCAAAAGCTTTCCTGGAAGCTGCATTTAGTGACTTCCACTTCCATCTTACTGGCTACCACCATCTGCGTAGGAAGCTGGGAAATAGAATTATTCTAACTGTGCATAGTGCTACCCCATTATAGTGAAAAAGAGAAGGAAGAGAACAGATAGGTAGGCAGGCTCTGCCCCTTTGTGATTCCTGGACCTTGTAACATAAGAAAGCAGCTTAGTGACAGAGGCCCCAGGTCATGAGGGCACTTAGGGCACCGTGGAAGTATTTGGGGCCCCGGAGAATTATGAGATTGAGCAAGCTGGGGTGCTTCTCTCAGCATAAGACATCTGTGGGCACAGATCTTTGGAGCAAAGGCAGAAGCTTCCTTGGCCCTCCCCAGCCTTCACACCATCACACAGAAGACTCAATTCAAGATCAGAGAACATGAAGGAATGGCTTGGCTTCATGTGGATGACATCTTGGGAGTTGCAGAGAACCCTGGTCCTGTGAGATCTGTTCTATCTCAAAGTTATGCTATAAAGGATTATGTCTGGTTTAACCTAACGACTGTTCCTGAGCACCTGGTAGCCATGGGACATTCAAAGGCAAATAATGGGACCCTGCCTGCCCTCAAAGGACTGTCAGTCTAACAGATAGCATGCAGTGAACACATCATCAAATGTAATGTTTTCGTAGAGTCACAGGGCGGTAGCTCATGGACTCCCCAGCAGGGTGGCATTCAGAGTGCTCCAAGTACAGAATGGGGGAGGCTTCCTCTGCCTGGTGGAATCAAAGCAGGCTCCCGAGAGGAGGCAGGGTTTGGACTGGTAAAAGCAGGATTTTTCCAGGCAGCAGGGAGAGCCTGAGAATGGATGGCATGCATAGCCCAAATTTAGAAGTTAGAAAGGTTTATCATCTAGGCTAAATTGCTGGTAGAAATGGAAATGCTTCCTTTTTACTTCTAATAAAGTCCTACCCATAGAGAAGAGAGAGGGGCAGATTCGAGAGAGGGGGAGATTTGAAAAATTGCTTATGGTAAGAATCACCACCTCACTTGCCTACAGGTTAGGCAGGAAGCATCAGCTATCACAGAGGGCTGGGTAGACAAGGTCGGGGAGGGAAGGCTGGCTGTGGCAAGCTGGAGAGCACATCCCGTGTCTAAAGGAAGGCTGCTCCTGGGCTCATATTACCAGAGCTTTTGATTTTTCAATCCTAAATATCTATGTAAAATCTCAATACACATCTACAAATGTTGGCAATTTGAAAAATAATTTTAAACACTGTGGATTCAGTGAAAGCATGACTGCCCATAGATACCACTGGTGGGTGACCTCTGGTATGAGAGGAAGGAGGTACCTATTAAGAGGACTGCTATGACTCTTGAAAAGAAAGCAGAATTGAGAATGGCTCTAACCAAGAAGATTCCTAAAATGCTCTCAGATTGGAACCAGGCGAGGTCAAAAATATAGCCACAAATCTGTCTCTATGTGATAGGCTTTATGATTTTTCACCCTTTTGCTCTCTATAATTAAGGGCATTTGCATGAAAACCCAGGTTTTGTGACATTAGGGACTATTAGGTCCTGCAGCCATCATTCCCAATCAGTGGCCAAACTCATTAGGGAGCCATGGTGACCGTGACACTGAGAACCACTTCTTCAAGTGGGGACCAGGCAGCCAGTGCACAGGAACTCAGACTGAGCCCCTCTCCCTGCTCCCTCCCTTCCCAACAAATGTCTGTAGTAATTAAGAATGCAGGGAGAAATGGAGAAAGCATTGCACAACGATTAACAGGTTTTTCTTTTTCTTTTCTTTTCTTTCTTTTTTTTTTTTTTGAGATGGAGTCTTGCTCTGTTGCCCAGGCTGAAGTACAGTGGTGCAATCTCTGTTCACTGCAACCTCCACCTCCCAGGTTCAAGTAATTCTCCTGTCTCAGCCTCCTGAGTAGCTGGGACTACAGGCGCCCACCACCATGCCCGGCTAATTTTTGTATTTTTAGTAGAGATGGGGTTTCACCATATTGGTCAGGCTGGTCTTGAACTCCTGACCTCAGGTGATCCACCCGCCTCAGCCTCCCAAAGTGCTGGGATTACAGGCATGAACCACTGCACCCGGCCGGATTTTTCTTTTTCAAATGTGCCAGAAAATCCTAACAGCAACCTAATCATAAAAGATGATATTCTCTGCCTTTAGATTTCTCTAAGTATGTTCAGTCTTGCCGGCTAAATTTAACAGCACGCATTTTCTCTTGCTAACAACCCTTCTCTCTCTCTGTTCCACTTTGGTTTAAATTTTGCTTCATTATGAATTAATAATATTAATGCCATATGTTAAATCGAACCAAGTGCCCTTCTCAGGAGCACTTTGAAAAAGACATATTCACTGGCGAGATATACACTCCTCTCAGCGCTCCCACGCAAATGGCAGAAGTTGAACTTGCTTTTCATCTGTTCTACCCACTCTCTCTCTCCAAGCTCCTTGAAGAGAACTAGAGGGAAGAAAATAATAAACACTCCAATTGAATTTATTTCCAGTGTCCATCTCTCATAATGTGCTGCATAGATCAGCAGTTTTCGGAGTGAATTATGCTAATGCCAGTCTGGCCATATTCTATTTTTCTTTTTCACCAAGAAATAAGAAATAATGAACTGTTCTTCTCTCGTCTAGACTTAACTCTCTCTAACCAGCTTTTCATGTCACTTCCTCAGGAGGCACATAATAGTAGTGCATATTACCATGAATTAAGTGCCTCTTTTCTTCTTTCTTTTTTAACATTTTATTTTATAATAATTGCTGGGGTGTGAAGCCACCTTTTTCCCCGAGAAATAGACATTATCTGATTGATTCTTCAGCTTGACAGCTTTCTTGGAGGGAGATGCATTTTTGTCATTCTCCTTCCATTGGATTACTGATTTGGGGGGCATCTATGTAATTCACGAAGGAAAATTTTTACAAATGTGTCCCACATCAGAATTGGACATCAGTTTGCGTATGCTGCATTTTTCGTGATGGCAGCCCAGAAATTAAGCAGTTTGCCAAAACCAGGTTTATTTCTAGGAAATGCAGCATCTTCTCTGTATCGTGAGCATTTGCTTCATGTGAGGTTCTCCCACTGGGTGGCTTCTGATCCTGGGCCTCCTTTTGAATGAGGGGAAGGTTTTTCTTCCTTTCCCCTTTCCCCTTCCACTCCCTTTTATCATAAGGAGGTATTAACATGCTTCGTAATGGGTAGCTGCGGGGGGCTTTATTCTCTGAGAGGCAACGTGGTGTGTTAGAATGTTCTAGAATAGGAGCGTAAGGGGCCTTGCTTCCCCCTCTGTCATTAACTCCTCAGTGACTTTGATAATCTCCCCTGCTTCTGTGACAATCCCTTTCCAGCAATATTGCATGCCTTGGATGTCAATGGCCTTTCGAAGTCATACATTTTAAACTGGAGTTGTCTTCTTGCCCCCTTAGATGTTTAGGTAGTGTGGTTTTTAAAAAATAAATATTGATCATTTGTTAGCTTTCACATTATAGAATCCTCTCCAGAAGAAAAAAAAAGCTTCTTTTCTGCACAGAGAAGGATGAACACAAAAGAAATTCTATAAATAGGATTTTATGGAGTGGAAAAAGTTGGTTCCTAAATTTCCCATGAGATGTCAGTAGTTGTTAAGAGGAAATGAGAATGATCATTTCAAATATTTCTATACTTGGACTCCTAATGAACTTAAATGATTTGTGATTCTCTCCCATCCTATGTGCCCAAATTCCTTTGATTCTGGAAAACAAAAACAAAAACAAAAACAGACTATTTCTTCAAACTGGTTCTACATCAGAGAGGAAGGATGGGAACTGCCATTTGCCACTTCCCCATGTGTGCCAGGCACTGAGCTAGTCCTTAAAAGATCCTTGTACGGTGAGCAGCCTTTTTCTTACTGTGCAAATCGAAATTTCCTAATGTAGACGCAGAGAGCTTCCATGACCTGCACAAGGTTACGCAGCAAAACCAAGGTTCAAACTCATGTGCATTTGACTCCAAAGCTCATCTTTTCCATGTACATTTCTAACCTATCCTTTCCTAGAAACTTTTCTGGCTTCTCATGGTACTCTATTTCCTGGACTTTTCTTCCACTGAAGAATTTATCCTTCCACTCATTAGTCATTTGAAGAGCTGCATCCCCAGGCATAAGGGAAAACTGTTCTCAATGATTAAGAGCCACATTTTTACCCCAGACTCTAAGATCACGTATAGTCTCTGAGAACGGTATCCAAGGCCCATTCAGCAATTCATTGCTGTCCAAGCCCAGAATACTGCCTACACAGAGAGGACACAAATAAATTCTCATTCAGTGGATAGATGGATGAAAAATTCATTCCAAAGTCTTGATATCTTGACTGTTGGAGTCATTCATTTCCTGTTTGAGTTTATTGAGAATGTTTGGTAACCACAGGGCAAATCCAAGCACCCTGGTTGCTTAGCCCCAGCCCCATATCCCAAAGCTTGCCACAGGAGTGCTTTAGAGGCTCCAACCCTTCTGGTCCCTGGCCTGAGACCTGGTTTCTTGATTCCTGAATCCCTCCTGCAGCCCTGGACTGGGCCATCTCCCCACAGCTCCCAAGCCCACTACTCTATCTTCCAAGGATGGACTAGATGTGAATTCCGGCTGTGTGACGTTGGGCAAGTCACGTCCCATCTCTTGAGCCTCAGCATACGCTTCATTGAAATGGGATCAGGAATACCACCCTCAAGGAATGGTTAAAATCCAGAGAGCTGATGAGCAAGAAAAGCCCTAGCATACAGATAGTGCCCAAGAAATGCCTACAGAATCAAGATTCTTTTAAGGCATTTGCATTTCCTGCCTACCGCAGCCAGCATGGATCCCTCCTCTGTCCCAGTAGCAGATGCTGCAATCAACTATATTTGCAGGCATCACTAGGGAGGAAGAGTTACCTTGGAAAGGGAATAAACGGAGAATTTCTTTGGTAAATTACGGCTCCTGCTAAAGGTTTGACACTTCTATTTTCTACCTGTCAGAAAAAAAATGACTATATACCAGTGGTCAGTTTGGTTTCCCTTTTAATACTCTATTAACCCACAGAGCAAGCTAGGCAGCGCTCCTGACTTGTGGAAGAGCAGGTAGCCCAGAGGACACTGATATGATAATTAAAGGACACTGTGGCTGTTCCTAATGAAGCTTTGTAAATTAGCAATGCAGGCTGTTCGAATACCCTGGGAGAGACTGGACCATCCTCCCCCACAGAACCCAGTAGATAGCCGTCTTGGTGACAAGTGACGTGAAAACCTCCGCGTCCATTGACATGTGGTTACTGGGGCTCAATAACCGTGTGCTGATGTGCTTTGAAGTCTGCCACCGCGACTCGTGATTGAAATACGGAGCAGGAGCCCAGGAGGAAGCAGGATGTGCATTGATGGCCTGGGAAATACAGGCGGGAAGAAAGAAAGGGAGGAGGGAGGAAGGGGGCAAGAAAGTGTGCTGGCATACAAGGAGCACCAGGCTCGTCTGGGCACCATGCGGGGCACATGCCCAGCCACTGTCATTAGGGGTGCGCTTGGGTTTGGAGAGGGGCCTCTGATGCCCAAACCCTGCTTGCCAATCAACCCCTCCCCTGTCCGGTCCCTAACAGAGCTATTCACACAAGGGATAATGGCAAATGGGAAATCAAAGAGCCACTTCACCATTAGCTGAGGCAGTGGATGTGGATTCGTTTGAAAAGTTGAAAGCGGCATTGAATGTAGTTCAGCCAACCTGACAGCTGGCCCAGAGGCCTAGCTTTCAGGATTCCCTGGACAAATCTAGCCTGCCTTGGGACAGGCCTCCCAGCACGATCCTGTCCAGGACAGGGGTGCACCTGGACAAGCCAAGGGCTGCTTCCAGTCTGAAGAGAGAGCCCAAGCCCTGTACACAGATATTCCAACTGGTGTACTCCATTTCTCCAGAACGGGCAGGGTCACTCACTGAAAGGTTGGGCTCCAGGCAGCCTCTGGGGTGAGATGGCTCTAGATCTAGAGGAAGAAAAGGGAAAAGGGGGAGAGAGTTGGGGAAGGGAACTCACAATTGCTGTGGGCCTACCAGGTGACAGGCACCATGCTGGGTTCTTGGCATGTACTCACAACCATGTGGGCAGGTATTATCATCTTCATTTTAGAGCCCAAGAAATAAAAGCACAGAAGGTTTAAGTAAATTCCCCACAGTCACACAGCTAGAAAAGATTCCAGTCAGGATTTAAATCCTAATCTGTCTGATGCCTAAATCATGCTCTTTTTGGCATACCAGACTGCCCTCCCCTCCACATTTCCAGACCAAAAAAAAAAAAAGCTGGGGAGGGGTAGGAGGATTCTAAACACCCCTGCTGTGGCATGGACAGGGAGCACCAATGCTGACATCAGACTGAAAACCTGGTTACTGTGGCCTCCCTGCACCTAAACAAGTGGAGCATCCAAAGCTCAGAGGCCCGTCCCCCACAATCCTCCTGTCAATTCCAGGTGACTCCCCTAAAGTCAGGAACAAGGAACCTCCCCAGCAATTCTGTGTCAGCCCACACAGAGCAGCAAGGACCCAGCCTGTGCTGTTCTGCTTTATAAATCTGGGGCTTAGTGTGGCTGATTCAGGGCTTATGTAGAATCTTCAGGTGACAGATTGAGATGGGTAAAGTACAGAAGCCTTGAGCCCTTGTCCATAGATTTGTCCTCAGGGACTCATCTGGTGAGCATTTCCAGTGGGAAATTGCTTCTGGACAGTAGTGATGGCTTCAGCCTGTACTGTTGACATGCTGTCATCCTTGGGTCATCTGAGCATGACACCGTCAGCTGCCTGGACACTCCAGGAGAGGGCAGTGCCGAGGGCCTAGCTTCCCCTCCTCCTTCTGGAGACTAAGAGATAGGAAGATGAGGACACGTTGCTGGTGGTATTTCTTGACATGTGGAGTTTGTTCTCTTTTAGAGCAAGCAGGGACCCACATTGCTGTGCAAGGTCAGGCTGACACACAATGACTATAATAAAGACCACCTGTTTTATAGATGAGGACACCGAGACTCAGAAAGGTGAAATGTTTTAACCAGGGCCATGCAGCTTCCAAGTGGCAGAGCCAGGCTACAACTCAAGACTTGCTCTCCTGGCCAGGCACAGTGGCTCACGCCTGTAATCCCAGCACTTGGGGAGGCCGAGGCGGGCGGATCACCTGAGATCAGGAGTTCAAGACCAGCCTGGCCAACATGGTGAAACTCCGTCTCTACTAAAAATATAAAAATTAGCTGGGTACCTGTAATCCCAGCTACTCAGGGGACAGACGTAGGGAGAACTGCTTGAACCCAGGAGGCAGAGGTTGCAGTGAGCCGAGATTACAATACTGCACTCCAGCCTGGATGACAGAGCAAGACTCTGTATCCAAAAAAAAAAAAAAAAACACTTGCCTTGCTTTTCTAAAGTTCTTGCTCTTTCCAGCCTGTTAGACCCATAACTAACCAAATGGCTGAACTTACAGGAACCTGAGGATCTAACCTCACTTACATCACTGCCTTCTCTACCATGGCTCCATGCCAGTCACCCTGCGGTAGTTCCAGCTGTGGTAAGGGAGGACATTCCAGACCCAGAACACAATCCAAACAAAAACAATGTCAGTCGGTTCAGGCTGCTAGAACAAAAATGCCACAGCCTCAGTGGCTTAAACAACAAACATTTACTTCTCATGGTTCTGGAGGCTGGGAAGACCAAGATCAAGGTGCTGGTAGATCTGATGTCTGGTGAGGACCCAATTCCTGGTTTGCAGACGGCTGCCTTCTTCTATGTTCACATGGTGGAGAGTAGAGAGGAGGCAGGCTCTCTAGTGTCTCTTCCTAGAAGAGCACTATTCCCATTCCCAAGGGCTCCACCCTCACGACCTAATCACCTGTCAGAGGCCCCACCTCCTAACACCATCACATTGGAGGGATAGGATTTCAACCTATGGATTTGGGGAGGACAAACATTCAGTCCCTAACAGGAGTGGAGGAGAGATAGACAGGACAGGTTTCAGGCTGGCAGTGACATGTCACTTCCCATTGTTGGCAGGAGCTGCAAACTCAGCAGCAGCAGCCTGTCCATGGCTGCCGTGGACATCCTCTACATTGACATCACACGGAGGTGGAACTCCATGACCCTGGACCAGCGGGACTCAGGTATTTGACAAATGCCTCTGCCATGGCCTGTGGGGGTCCTGACAGGCATGGGTGGTATATTTTCTGTTCCTTCTTGTCAAGGGTTCAGATGGGGGAAGAAGATGATGCCATCAGATCTAGACATAATCCCAGGGATTGAGCTGAATTTAAATGCTGGAGCACTGTCTGCTACCGAATTCTCATACCACCGTTAGCATTCCTTGCCTTTGCTTAAGGCTCAGATTCCATCCATACTGGGAACACTCAGTTATTCATTCATTTGTTCACCCCTCACACACATTTCCTGAGCAGATGCTGGGCCCAGCCTTGGGTGGGCTGGAGGGTATAGTGCTTGGTTCTCGTCCTGAAAGAATTCACTGTAGCATTGGGAGGCAGATGAGAAAATGATGCTAGGTAGTAGGATGCCTGGCTCGGAGGGAGAGAAGCTCAGAGAAGCTATCCGGGAACTCAGCGGAGGAGCTCCTCATCCAGGGAGGGCCAAGGAAGACTTCAGGAGAAGGGTGTACGGGATCAGCTGGTGAACAGGGCTGGGACAGACACTCTGGCAGGGCTATTGCCTGGCCGTGGCCTGGACACAGGTGAGGCTGTTGAGCTTAGACCATACCAAGTAGCCCAGATGGGCTGGAGCAAAAAGGGATGTGAGAAGGGGTAGAGATGGGGTTATGGGAGCTGTCAAAGCCTTGAATGCCACACAAGAAAATTTGATCTTGATCCTCTAGGTTCTGTGGTGAAGGGTTCTGTGAGAAGAACCCACCTTTAGGTGGATGAGTTTCCTATCTTTTTTCTCACAGAGGGTGTTTCTCTCTCTCTCTTTTGTTTTTTGTTTGTCTTTGAGACGGAGTCTCACTCTGTTGCCCAGGCTGGAGTGGTTGCAGTGGCACGATCTCAGCTCACTGCAACCTCTGCCTCCCAGGTTCAAGCAGTTATCCTGCCTCAGCCTCCCAAGTATCTGGGATTACAGGTGCAAGCCACCATGCCCGGCTAATTTTGTATTTTTTTTTTTTTTTCAGTAGAGACAGGGTTTCATCATGTTGGCCAGGCTGGTCTTGAACTCCTGAGCTCAAGTGATCCGCCTGTCTTGACTTCCCAAAGTGCTGAGATTACAGGCGTGAGCCACTGCGCCCAGCCCAGAGGGTGTTTTTCTAAAAAAATTATAATAACCATAACTGATATTTGTACAGCTCATCACAAAACTTCAAGGTCCTTTCATGCATATTTCCTCATTAAATGTCCCGGTAAACCAGTGCAGTAGGCATTATGAGTCTCATTTCACAGACGAGTAAACTGCAGCTCAGGTGACACAGATCACACAGGAACTGTGAGCCCGCAGCACCCTGGCACCCACGCCACGCCCTCTTCTGGCTGCCTCCCTCCAAAAGGGACGCACAGAAGGGAGGCACCGGGTCGTGAGGAGTGGGGCAGCTTGCTCCTGTGAGTCTGTGGAGAGGACATGAAGTCAGGTTGGGAGATCCAGATTAGAATTGATTATGCCATTTCCTGCCCATGTCAGCTTGAAAAGTCATTCCACCTCCTTATCTCCAGTTCCTCATCTGTAAAATGGCGCCAACAATCCCTGCTCTCCAGGGTGGCTCTGAGGTCTTTGGAGTCCTCGCTGATGGTGCGAGGCAGTTTATCTTATTAGTGGACACCCCTTGGGGAGAATCCTGGGGGCAGTCTGCCTGGCAGCTGTTGCACCCCTAGCCAATCCTGCCCTACACCCATGTGGGCCAGAAACTTCCCAACTACAGAGATGCAGCCGGTCCTTCCTGCAGGGCACTGGCGCTCAGACATCATTTGCTGTTTGGCTTTGTGTTTAGTAGTGATGCTCCTGGCTGCCAGTTCTTGGCCAATTCTTATATGCCAAGCACTCTGCAGGCACTTTACATGTGCAGCACCGGCTAGAATTCTCCTAGAGGTAGATATGATTATCTCCATTGTGCAGAGGAGGAAACTGAGGCCTAGAGAGGCATGGCTGGTGGATAAGGTTCAAACACCAATCCACCCGAGCCCGTTCCAGGTTGCCTTCTCCTACTCACTGGTCCTAGAGTGAGATGACCACCGAGCTCCCTGCAGCTCCCCTTTCTTTAAGTCAAAAGCAAAACCCAGGAAATAGCAGCAGTCATTGAATCAACAAGATGAGTGCCTCTATCGCATCTCTGCAGTTGGCAGCTCCCTTACAGCCCTCCCTGGCAACCAGGAGAGGCGTGAGATGGAGCGTCTTCAGGAGAAGTAGGCAGATTAATTATCATTTCGAGGACTGAGAGTGCTCATGTGACAATCGAGCAGCGGCACTTTCTGCTGACACCTTCAGAAAGCAAAGAAGTGTTTGCTCTGTGAGCTGAATGTGGGGAGTCATCCAGGATCCCACGGAGGGGGCCAGATGAGGGGGTGGGAGTGGCAGTGGAATTATTAAATATTGAAATTGATCAGGAGTAGCAGCAGGAAGCTATTTATCATGTTTTATTGCTGCAAACTAGCATTACCATCTGGCCCATTGTTAATTCTGAGTAGTTTTTCATGTTTTGTTTGCCTCTTAAATTGCTCCCGGTAAGCGGAATCCACGGGGGCTGTCCGCAATTCAAGCTCCGGTGAGGTTTTCTGGGGTCTGCCAGGGTCTCCGTATTCTGCTGACCAAGCTATGGAAATGAGAAAAATACTTATTTTTAGCACATACTGATAAGCAAATTCAGGGCTGGGATCTCCCAGGCCCTTGGCCAGACCTCAGCCCCTGACTAGGTGGAATAGTCATCACCAGGTGGAATAGTAGTAACAGCAGTTTTGAGATTACTTCACTTGTGCATATATCGCTGCAAATTCTCACGCCAGGCCTTCGAGGTGGGCAACAGCACCCCTTTTTACAGATGAGTACCCTAAGGTTCCAAGAGCAAAAGTGACTTGTCTAAACTCCCACAGCCAGGGAGCAGCAAAAGAAGGCAAGATTTGAACTCAGTCCTCCTACCTCCTCACCCAGGGTGCTCTCCCCCCATCCAGGGCTACACCAAGCAGTGCTTGTTCACTTAAGTGATACAGAGGGGGCAGGGCTGGTGAAGCAGGAGTCAGAGGGGACGGCAGCAGCGGGAGGATAAAAGTCAACTCACAGGGCCTGCTGGGAGGACAGAACTGGAGCAGAGAGGGTGCCTGTCCAACCTCCTGTCTCCCTTTCCTCCGTCCTCTGAGTTTTCCTCACTCCTGGAAGGAAATAGCAGGGCCTGGGGGTCTAGGAAGTGGGCCTGGGCATGAAAGCCACACATGGGAAGCCTTCTGTGCCTGTGGTCTCAGGAGCCACTGCTGGTGCCAGCCAGGGCCCAGTTCTTGCCTCCTTCTCAAGGCTGGTCCAAGCCCCTGATTCTCAAGGAGAGGGGCATCTGGAGACAGCCACCTTCTTAGGACCGTTCAGGAAGCTACTGAGTAGCAAAAGGAGCAGTCTGTGGTTAAGTGGTCGTTCTTCCTTTTGCCAAGTGTCAGCAGAAAGACCAGAGGGTCTTCTTTTCTTCCCTCCATGGTGTGGATCCAAGGGGTTCGAGGCCCTCAGATCCAGTTAGGTACTGGCTGGAGGTGTGGGTGCCATGCTGAGGGAGACGGCTTTCCCCATCCCACAGCTGCTGGGGGCTGAAAAGAAAGAAGCCTGTGAAGAATGATAGAGCCTGGGTTCTCACGCTCAAAGAACACGTACTCATTCATTCATTCATCCATTCAACTAACAGCTAGTGAATGTGTTACCAGGTATTGTGCCCTGCAGGGATATAAAGATAAATTAGGTACAGATCCTAGCCTCTTAAGGGAAAAAAAGAGACCATTTACTGAACATTTATGTGAGACAAAAATAAAAAATGCTTGCTAAGAATTACCTCATTTACTTCTCACACCATCCTGTGAGATAAGCATTGTTATTCCCATTCAACAGATGGAAAACCTGAGCCTCAAAGAGGTGAAATTACACAGACACGTCAAGTATTACAGTGGGGGCCAGTAGCAGTGGCTCATGCCTGTAATCCCAGCACTTTGGGAGGCTGAGATGGGAGGACTACTTGAGGCTAGGAGTTCGAGACCAACCTGGGCAACATAGCAAGACCCCGTCTCTATTAAAAAACTTAAAAATTCACCAGGCATGATGGCAGTTGCCTATAGTCCCAGCGACTTGGGAAGCTGAGGCAGGAGAATTGCTTGCACTCAAGAGTTCAAGGCTGCAGTGAGCTGCAATTGTGCCACTGCACTCCAGCCTGGGTGACAGAGAGAGATCCTGCCTCTAAAAAATATATTACAGTGGGGACCCTAGTATTTGAATAAAAACCAGTCTAACTTCAGTGTCTGCTGCCCTTTCCATTATACCCAGTGCTCTCAGTCACAAATGAATATGACATACAGTTGACGATTGCAATAGTATATGACCAGAGCTATCATGGGGGGAAGCAACAGAGGAAGGTTGCTGTGAGGGTTAAGATAGAACGCATACAAGGCACGTAGCATGCTGTGACCCAGAAAAGCCACCCACTGTGCATTCTGTATCCTTGAGGGCCTAGCACATGGCCTGGAACATGCAAAGCATCTCGCCCAGTGCCCAGTTAATGTTTGATGAGCAGACAAATGCAAAAATAAAAGATGCCCTGCATCCTCAAAGCAGGGAATCCTGAGTGTGAGAACCGTGGCTCAGAGTAGAGGTGGTCTCTTTGACAGGGTCTCCCTCCCCTCCTCTGAACGCCCATTTGGACTGGATCATCACCCATACCCAGTGCCTGCTGTGTCAAAGTGCTAAAGCATCTTCCCCTCTCCCGCAGCCAGCCAGACCTTCCTTCTGCCGTTATAAGACTTTGGTGCCCACTGAAGGGGTTAACCAGATCCCTGATGCTTGAGACCTTTAAGAACAAAAATAACCTGCAAAAGGAGACCTTGCTATTGAAATGGAGAAGAAAAAATGGTGCTTAAAATAATTAGGAAAAAAATAAAAACTAGTGAGAAAAAGCATGCACATGATGAAATCTAAAACTCAAATAATCCGTTTAAATAAATTTGCTTTTGATTGTTTGTTTTGTGTTTTATTAGACCTCAGGTGCATAGAATTAGATTAGCCATCACCCATCACCCTGGGTTCATGAGACACTTCCATCATGATCCACGCATAACCTACTTTTATTTAGTTAGCTTTTTAAATTAGCTATTTTTAATAATGGAATAAGCATCCGCAAACTCACCACTCAAAACAAAAGCTAGAATTTGACAGTGACCTACATCTAATATGTGGCTCTCCCCACCTAAGGAACCCCCCGTCTGCACCCTGGGTTCATCATTCCCCAAATGGGCTTGCCTTCACCTCTGTCAGAATGTCAATGGCTCTTCAAGAGCTGGATGGAATTTAGTAACATGTAGCTTATGCTCTCCAGCATGCCAATGTTAATTGTCATTTAAAAAAAAGATAAGAATTTTAATTTTCACTTCTAGAATTTCCAGCAGGACACAGAACTCTAAATGAGGATGTTATCAGCAAAACTGGGATGTCGTAGCCCTCGAGTAGCCCTCTCATTGCCCAGAATTCAAATAAAGAAACAAATTTGTCAGTGAAGATGCATTTATTTCATGTAAATTGCACTCAGGAGGTCCTTCTTATCATGGAGACTTTGCCCTCAGCTCTTTCCAGAGTGGAATTTCACATCTCCGTGGTAAGAGATGAGGACAGCATCAAGATTAGGCAATTAAAGGCAAAATCATGGTGTCAGCTGTGAGAGACAAACATTTTACTCGCAAAGGTAACATTTGAGCTGGGCAACCAAGAATCTTGTCCTGGTCCTAACAAAAGACCAACATCTGGGGGCTTCTGAACTTTGTTTACTTCAAAGCCAGATGTTTTTGCTATTTTAAGATATAAGCTAAAGGTCCCTTTCAGTAACCAAAGGGAACATGAGAGCAAAGGAAGAAAAAACTGACTGTGGAGTCTTCCCCACGTCCCCTTCCCATGAGAGCTCAAACACCACACACCTCTTGCTTGGAGAGGGAGATCTAAGAATGGCATTGTTTATTATCTGACATATGCTGAGTGCTCTTTGACCAAAATAAGAAACATTTCTTCCACTGCTTGATGAGCTACATGCCTGCCTCCTGAGCTATGTGCCCAGCTCCGGGGGCTGCCTTGGGTTGACTTGCTATATACCCAAAGCCACAGTCTCCAGAATCAGACAAACTGGGCTTTCAATCTGCGCTTGGTCACTTGCTAGCTAACCTCAGGGAAGTTAGGCAACTTCCTCCAAGCCTCAAGTTCATCAGGTGTAAAGTGGAGATAATAATGGTGCCTGCCTCCTGGAAACCTTGGGATGGATGAAATGAAACAAAACACGGAAAGCGCTCAGGGCCATGTCTGCCTGTGGAAAATGCTCAGGAAGCGGGTCTGCCCCTAGTGTGATCCCATTGCTCCTACTGCACTACTTTCTCGGGAAGTGCTTCTGGGGCACCTACCCCTGCCAGCTGCTCTGCAGGTGCTGGGGACAGAGATGGGAAGAAGGGCCTGCCTCACAGCCAGATGAGAGGGTCAGGACGTGGCCGCAACAGACTCTCCCTTGGTGGCTGACAGAGTGCCAGGCCCTCCTCATCCCACCCTGGCGACAGTGGGGACAGTGAGGCTGGGGAAGACAGAGGAAATGTGGTGCTGGCAGCCTCGTCCATGGCTGTGTGAAGCAGGAGCCCTGCCTGCTCCCATCACTTACAGGCCTGTGCCGGCCCCCAGCTGCCTGCAGTCACTGGTCTCACAATTCCAACCCCAGGGGAGGACATTGGCGCATTTCAGGGCCTTGAGAGCTGGACCCCTGTCCACTCTGCATCCCCACTCATCACTAGCCTCACACTCACTCCAGCCAGAATGGCCGGCCCCCTCAGGCCCCCACCTCTGCAGGAACCCCCTCTCCTTGCTCACCACCACCCCCCAGGTCCCCTCCCTCACAGAGCCTCCCCCAGTGCTCAGGCTGGGCCCAGTACCGTCTCACCTGCTCCGCAGCACCCAGCGCTGCCCTTGACCACAGCACACATTGAGTACTGTGAAAGGGCCTGGACATCTGCCCCCGACATGAGGCCAACATCCAGGAAACAGAGCTGTTCCCGCCTGCATGAGGCCAAGCACTGAGACTGGCATCTAGCAGGTGCCCTGCTACACATGTCCCATGGACCAGGGCTCAGCCGCGGCAACCCACCAATCCCATGGGTGTCTGAGCCTCATGACCATCTCTCAGCAAAATCCCTCAGTCACCGACTGCGAGTCATCTGACGCCTCTGCTCACATCGGCTGGAGTAAGCCCCAGCTGAAATGTATTTGGTTAACGATGCACTGAAATATTGAAGAGTATTTTCATTTGGAATGTTGAGCGCAGTCTCCTTTATACATAAACATGGCTTGCCCCCTCCCCCTGAAATACAGGAGGCCTCGGATAAGTAGGCCAGTTTCACGCAGCGCCTCGTGCGAGGTGTCTGGCACGAACGATGTTCTTCAGCCTTGAAATTATCTCGCAGTCAGATGGGCCTCTCTGGATGTGTGCCCTACACGCTTACAAAATAGTTGGCGTCAGAATTATTTTTAATAAAAGCAAGAGAGCCAGCAGAGATGCCGGCTCAACCTCCCCCTCGCTCACCCAGACCCTGATCTCCCAGGCCTGCTAAAGCCACTTCTGCACCCGTAGTGCCACCAGACTAGGTGGAGTCACACCCGCTGCCCCTTTGTCGGGCGAGTGCCTGTCCTTCCTCATCCTCAGTCACCTTGAGGGTGGAGAGAATAGGATCTCTGCCCATCGTCTGGCCCCACCCCCCAAAAACAGACAAAGGGGAGAAAGCTGAATTCTTTTTGATGTAGGCCTCCCCTCTCCCTACACTTGTTGCCCACCATCCCCAGATCTTGTAGGAACAGCAGCCGCAGGATCCAGTGTTGTGTAGAAAGCCGGCAGCTGAGTTAGACAGGCCGGGTTTCAATACTCTGCTACCTTCCCTCGGGAAGCCCTGAGAGGGGGCACTGCACCTCTGGGAGCCTCAGTGTCCTTTGAAATGGGGCAATGACATCTACCTTGGGGCACTGTCAGGATTTAGTGATAAAGTATGCACCTGGCCCAAACAGTAGCTTTTTCTCTGTCTAACCACCACCATCCTTCCTGGTGGGTGTGTGTGTCACAGATTACAAACCATTTCCAAAGTCACTTGTCCACACAGTGCACACACTCCCAGTGAGCTCTACCGTGACCCTATATACAGAGGAGGAAACCAAGGCTCAGAGGGCTAGAAACAGCTCCACAGGCAGGCAGGGGCAGAACAGGGGCCAGCCCCGAGTCTCAGTCCTGGTCTGCCTTGCGCAGTGACAACCGTCACAGGCACATGAAGATGTGAGCCCCGTCCCGGCCCTCAAATTCTCCCAGGCCTGAGAATTGGGCAGAGCTGTGTTTAGTAGGATGGTCTGGCCCTTGGTCTTGGCTAAGCCTGGCGTTAACAACAACAGCATGTCCAGGGAGCTCTCGGGGCTGTGAGGGCTTCCCCCCCACCACTCCTCTCATCCATCCGTTCCTCCCACAGCCTGGAGCAGGCAGTAAATTGTTTGCACACACTTTATTGTTGCAAAACACAGCACTCAGTGCTCCCAACTGCACTGAGGGGAGGAATTTCTCTTATTCCAGATTTAGAGCTGTGGAAATAAGGATGGGACGGGTTAGGGGCCACCTCCAATAGCCCCTGCAGTGCTCAGGCTGAGACCCAGGTCTCCTGACTGTATCTTCTCCAGCAGGCTCTCTCCTAATGCAACTGCCGGTGATTGACGCCAACACCAGCTACATTTATCAAGCACCTAACACAGGCCAGGTGCTGTAAAAGCCTTTTTTAAAAAATTAATAGGCTTAATATTTTTAGAACATATAGTTACAGAAAAAATTGAGCAGATAGTACAGAATTCCCATGCACTCTCCCATTCCCATGCACACAGTTTCCTTATAACACCATCTTGCATGATTGTGCTGTTATAATTAATGGAAAAACCTTGGTATATTATGATCGACTCAAGTCTGTAGTTTGCATTAAGGTTCACTCTTTGTGTTGTACAGTTCTGTGGGATTTGACATTTGACAAATGTAGCCACCATTACAGTGTAATACAGAATAGTTTCACTGCCCTAAAAATTCCCTGTGCTCCCCCTGTTCAGCCCTCCCCTCCGTGAGCGCCTGATCTTTTTACTCTCTATAGTTTAGCCTTTTTCAGAAAGTCATATTGTTGGAATCATATCGTATCTAGCCTTTTCAGACTGGCTCTTTTCACTTAACAATATGCATTTAAGGTTTCTCCATGTCTTTTATGGCTTGCCAGCTCATTTCTTTTTATCTCTGAATAATAGTCCATTGAACAGATATGCCACAGTTTGTTCGTCTATTCACTGACTGAGATACACCTTGCTTGCTTCTAGTTTTTGGCAATCATAATTAAAGCTACTATAAACATTCGTGCGTGGGTTTTGTGTGGACATAAGTTTGTAGCACGATTGGGCAATTACCAAGGACGTGATGGTTGGATTGTATGGTGCAATGGTTAATTTCAGGTGTCTACTTGACTGGAGTAAGGGATACCTAGAGAACTGGTAAAGCATTAGTTCTGGGTGTGTCTGTGACAGTGTTTCCATAGGAGATTGGTGTGTGAGTTAGTGAACTGGATGGCGAAGATTCACTCTCAATGTGAGTGGGCACCATCCAATCAGCTGGGGGCCCAAATAGAACAACAGCAACAAAAAGGCCAAGATGACTCTCTTTCTCTTTCTCTCTCTCTCTTGCCCACCACCTCCCCACTCCTCCCCCTTCACTGCTCCCTCATGGAGCTGGGACACTCTTCTTCTCCTGTCTTTGGACGTCAGAACTCCAGGTTCTCTGACCTTTGGAATCCAGGACTTACACCAGGTCCTCCCCTCACCCCCACCCCTCCAGCTCCAACTACTTAGGCCTTAGGCCTGGGACTGAGAGTTACACCATTGGCATCTCTTGTTCGTGGGCCATCAGACTTGGACTGAGCCACACCACTGACTTCCTAGGGTCTCCACTTTAAAGATGGTCTGTTGTATGTGGGACTTCTCAGCCCTGAGCCAATTCCCCTAATAAATCCCCTTTCACATATCCATATCTATGAATATCTATATCTATCTCTGTATCTATCTACATCTGTATCTATTTATCTCTCTGTCTATATATATATGCAGTGAGTCTTCCATATCCATGCATTCCACATGTGCAGATTTAAATCAGCCATGGATTGGTAGGTTTTTTTTAAGAAAAATAAAAAATAATATAACAATTTTAAAAATACAAATAAAAAATACAGTGTAACAGTTACATAACATTTACATTGTGTTAGGTATTATAAGTAATCTAGAGATAATTTGAAGTATACAGCAGGATGTGCATAGGTTATATGCAAATACTACACCATTTTATATAAGGAACTCGAGTATCTGCAGAATTTGGTAGCGGTGGGGTTACCTGGAACTGATCTCCTGTGGATGCTGAGGGACGCCAGACTGTCTTCCAAAGTAGTAGTACCATTTTGCATTCCTACAGTAATCAATGAGAGTTCTTTTTGCCCCACATCCTTGTCAACACTTAGTGTACTCAGTTTTTTGGATTTAGCCATTTTGATAGGTATATAGTGCCACCTCATTGTCTTACTTTGCAATTCCCTAAAGACATTTGATGTTGAGTATCTTTACATACGCTTATTTGTCATCTGTATAACTTCTTTGGTGAGATGTCTGTTCAGCTCTTTTGCCCATGTTTTAATTGAGTTTTTTTAATTGTTGAGTTTTAAGAATTCTTTGTATATTTTGGAGACAAGTTCTTTATCAGATATATATTTTGCATATACTTTTCTCCCAGTCTGTGGCTTATCTCATTTTCTTAACAATGTCTTTTCAGAGGAGAAGTTTTTAATCTTAATAAAGTTCAACTTAACAATTTTTTTCCTTCATGAATCTTGCTCTTGGTCTTGTGTCTAAAATTTTATAGCCAAACCCGAGGTCATCTAGATTTTCTCCCATATTATCATCTAGAAATTTTATAGTTTGTATTTTACACGTAGGTCTGTGATCCATTTTGACTTCATTTTTGTGAAAGGTGTAAGTTCTGTGTTTAGATTCTCTTATTTATTTGTTTTGCTTATTGATGCACAATTGTGCCAGCACAGCTTGTTGAAAAGACTAACCTCTCTACATTGAATTGCATTTACTCCTGTGTCAAAGATCAGTTGACTATATTCACAGGGGCCTACCAGGACTCTCTCTTCTGTTCCATTGGTCTAGTTACCTATTCTTTTACTAATACCATACTGTTTTGATTACTAGAGCTTTATAGTAAATTTTGGAGTTGAGCAGTGTCAGTCCACTGACTTGGTTCTTTTTCTTCTTCAGTGTTATGTTTGCTATTCTGGTCTTTTGTCCTTTCATATAAATTTTGAATTAGTGTGTCAATATCCACAAAATAACTTGCTGGGATTTTCATTTGGATTGTGTTGAATCCATAGATCAAGTCAGAAAGAACAATAATGATCTTCCTATTCATAAACATGAAGTAGCTCTTCATTTATTTAGATCTTCTTTTTATTTCTTTCATCTAAGTTTTCTAGTTTTCCTCATATAGATCTTGCACATATTCTCTTAGATTTATACCTAAATATTTTATTTTATTTTGGTGCTAATGTAAATGGTTTTAACTTCAAATATGTTTTTAATTTCAAATTCCATTTGTTCATTGCTAATATATTTTTAAAAATTGACTTTCCTATAATAACCTTGTATCCTTCAAACATACTATAGTCATTTGTTACTTCAGGAGGTTTCTTTGTCAATTCATTGGGATTTTCTACATTGACAATCCACTGAACACAGAAAATTTTATTTCTTCCTTCCAAATCTCTATACCTTTCATTTCCTTTTCTTGTCTTACTGCATTAGCTATGACTTCTAGTCCAATGTTGGACAGGAATGGTAAGGGGGGGGACTTTTTCTTCCTGATGTTAAGAGGCAAGCGTCTAATTTATTTCCATTAAACTATAAGATTTTTTTGTAGATATTGCTTTATCAAGTTGAGGAAGTAATCGCATTGGTCATGGTATATGATTCCTTTTTTTTTTTCTTTTTTTTTCCTTAGCGATAGGGTCTTGCTCTGTTGACCAGGCTGGAGTGCAGTGACACAATCTTGGCTCATTGCAGACTCAAAGTCCTGGGCTTAAGTGATCCTTCTGCCTTAGCCTCCTGAGTGGTTAGGGCTACAGGCATGTGCCCCCACACCTGGCTAATTTATTTTTAAAAATTTTTTGTAGAGACTGGGTCTCACAGGATTGCCCAGGCTGGTCTCAAACTCCTGGACTCAAGCAATCCTCCTACTTTGGCCTCTTAAAGTGTTGGAATTATATTGGTGCCCAGCCTGTGATTCAATTTGCTGATATTTTATTGAGGGTTTTTGCATCTATGCTCAAGAGGAATATTGGTATGCAGTTTTTCTTTCTGGTAATATCATTATCTGGTTTAGGTATTAGGGTAATGCTGGCCTCACAGAATGAGTTAGGAAGTGTTTTCTCTGCTTCTGTATTCTGAAAGAGATTGTAGAGAATTTGTATCATTTCCTTCTTAAACGTTTGTTAGAACTCACCAAATGAAGCTAGCTGGCATGGTGCTTTCTTTTTTGAAAAGTTATTGATTATTCATCTAATTTCTTTAATAGATAAAGGCCTATTCAGATTATCTGTTTATTCTCGTGTGAGTTTTCATAAATTATTTCTTTCAAGGAATGGATCTATTTTATCTAATCAAATTTGTAGACATAGACTTATTTGTAATATTTCTTTATTTTCCTTTTAATATCCATGGGATAAGTAGTGATAGTGATGATCCCTCTTTCATTTCTGATATTAGTAATTTGTAATTACTAATTAGTAATCTAATAACCTTTTCTCTTTCTCTGTTGTTGCTTTTTTTGTTTGCTTTTGTTTGTTTGTTTTTGGTTAGCTGGGCTAGAGATTTATCAATTTTATTGATCTTAAGGCTTTTCAAAGAACCAGCTTTTGGTTTTATAGATTTTCTCTATTGCTTTCTTCCTATTTTTAATTCATTAATTTGTGTTCTGATTTTTTTTTTTTTTTTTTTTTTGAGACGGAGTCTCGCAGTCTCCCAGGCTGGAGTGCAGTGGTGCGATCTCGCCTCACGGCAAGCTCCGCCTCCCGGGTTCACGCCATTCTTCTGCCTCAGCCTCCCGAGTAGCTGGGACTATAGGCGCCAGCCACCACGCCTGGCTAATTTTTTGTATTTTTAGTAGAGATGGGGTTTCACCTTGTTAGCCAGGATGGCCTTGATCTCTTGACCTCGTGATCCGCCCGCCTCGGCCTCCCAAAGTGCTGGGATTACAGGCGTGAGCCACCGGGCCCGGCCTTGTGTTCTGATTTTTATTATTTCTTTCTTTCTGTTTGTTTTGGATTAAATTTACTTTTTTCCTAGTTTCCTAAAATGGAAGCTTATTGATTTTAGATCTTTCTTCTTGTCTAATCTATTGCTATAAATTGTTCTTCTAAGCACTAATATCACTGGATCCCACAAATTTCAATAATTTATATTTTAATCTTCGCCTAGTTTAAAATATTTTTAAATATCTTTTGAGATTTTTTTGGACCTATATGTTGTTTAGACATGTGCTACTTATTCTCCAAATATCTGGGGACTTCTCAACCGTCTTTCTGTTATTGATTTTTAGTTTAATTCTATTGTGGCCTGAGAGAATTTTTTGTATGATCTCTATTCTTTTAAATGTGTTAAAAAGGTGTGTTTTGTGGTCTAGAATGTAGTCTGTCTTGGTGAATATTTCATTTGAACTGGGAAGAATGTATATTCTACTCTTGTTGGATAAAGTATTGTATACATGTCAATTAGACATAGTTGATTGATGGTGCTGCTATGTTCAACTATACCCTTACCAATTTTCTGCCTGCTGGATCTGTCAGTTACTGATAGAGGGGTGTTGAAGTCTCCACCTATAATAGTAGATTTATCTATTTTTCTTTGTAGTTCTATCAGTTTTGTCTCACATATTTTGACACTCCATTGTTAGGTGCATACATGTTAAGGATTATTATGTCTCCTTGGAGAATTGTCCCTTTATCATTATTACTCACCTTTATCCCTGATAATTTTCCCTGTTCTGCAGTCTGCTTTGTCTGAAATTAATATAGCTACTGTAACTTTCTTTTAGTTAGGGTTATCATGATATATCTTCCTCCAACCCTTTGCTTTTTTATCTATCTTTTTTTTGTTGTTTTTACATTTAAAGTGTGTTTCTTTTTATCTTTAAGCTGTGTTTCAGTTGGGTCTCGTTTTTTAATCCTCTCAACAGTCTCTGTCCTTTAATTTATTTAAACCATTCACATTTAAAATACTTATTGATATAGTTGGATTGATACCTATCAATGTTTGTAACAGCTTGCTATTCACTGACTTGTTCTTTGTTTCTGTTTTTACTTCTCTTTTCTGCCTTTTCTGGTTTTAATAGAGAATTTTGTATAATTCCACTTTATCTCCTCTTTTAGCTTAGCAATTATACTCCTTTTTAAAAATAGTCATTATCCTAGAGTTTACAATTAGTTTCCAGCTAATAAGTCCATTTTCAAATAACACTATACCCCTTTAACAGATAGTGCAGGTACTTTATAACAGAGAACTTCTGATTTCTCTTTTCCATGCCTTATAACATTGCTGTTATTCATTTCACTTATCCCCAAGCTATAATCACCCAATGCAGTGTTGCTATTATTACTTTGAACAATTATCTATTAGATCAATTAAAATTAAGAAAAAACATTTTATTGTATCTTCTATTATTTATTCTCTAATGCTCTTCCTTTCTTTATGTAGATCTGAGTCTCTGGCCCATATCATTTTTCTGTTCTCTGAAATTTGTTTTTAAATATTTGTTACAAAGCAAGTCTATTGGCAACAGATCCCTTCAGTTTTTGTTTGTCTGAGAGTGTATTTCTCCTTCATTTCTGGAGGATAATTTCACTCCATACAGAATTCTAGGTTGGTGGGGTTTCTTTTTCTAATACTTTAAGTATTTCACTCCACTCTCTTCTTGCTTGCATGGTTTTAGGTGAGATGGCTGGTGTAATTCTTGTCCTTAAGGCATTATATATACCTTACCTAAGGCATATATACCTTACCTGTATAGGTAAGGTATTATTTTTCCTCTCTGGCTTCTTTCAAGATTTTCTCTTTGTCTCTGGTTTTCTACAGTTTAAATATGATTTTCTCTAGGTGTAGATTTTTGTTATTTGTCCTGCACGGTTTTCTGTGAGCTTTCTAGATCTGTGGTTTTGGTGTCTGTCTGTAATTTTGGAAAATTCTCAAATATTACGGCTTCAAATCTATCTTCTGCTCCCTTCATTCTTCTCCTTCCGATATTCTCATAACATATATTTTGTACTTTTTGTCATTGTCCCACTGTTCCTGGATAGTCTCCTTTTTTTCAGTATTTTTTTTCTTTAATTCATTGTTTCAGTTTAGGACATTCCTATTGACATATCTTCAAGCTCACTGATTCTTTCTTTGACTGTATCCAATCTGCTGATGGGCCCATTGAGAGCCTTCTTCATTTCTGTTATAATGTTTTTTATTTCTAGCATTTCTTTTGGATTCTTAGAGTTTCCATTTCTCCTTACATTTTCCATCTGTTCTTGAATGTTGCCTACTTTTTCCATTAGAGACTTTAACATATTAATCATTATTTTGTATTCTCCATTGGATAATTCCAACATCTGTGTCATACTTGAGTTTGTTTCTCATGCTTGCTTTGTCTCTTTGCACTGTATATTTTCCTGCCTTTTAGCAGGTCTTGTAATGTTTTGTTGAAAGCCAGCCATGAAGTACCTGATAATAGGAACCAAGGTAATCAGGCTTTCAGTGTGAGGTTTTATATTTATCTTTCTAGGAGCTGGGCTGTGTTTAATGTTTGCTGTAGTCATAGGTGCCAGAAGCTTCGGTTTCCTCCAATTGTTTTTTTTGTTTTGTTTTTTTTTCTCTCCCTATTGCCTTCGTATTTCCTTAAAAACTCCTTAAATGGAATCTTTTTCTTGGATCTCTCTCAATTGGAATCCACTGTTATTGCACTGGAGTGAACCCTGCTGATGTGGTGATAAGGTGCTGGGTAGAGAAACATTTTACAATCTTGAGATTAAATCTGTTCCTAGTGGGCTTGAGTCCATGGGCTGTGACTTTCAGAAGTGCTTCTTAGCCCCTTTTTTCTCCCTTTATGTGTGAAAACTAGAAAGGCTAGAAAAGCTAGAGTTACCTAATTGCCCTTCCCCTAGGTCAGATCAGCCTCTACTAAAGTAGTTTCTGGCTGGGTGTGATGGCTTACACCAAGTAATCCCAGCACTTTGGAAGGCTGAGGCAGGAAGATCATGTGAGTTTAGGAGTTCGAGATCAGCTTACGCCGCACAGTGAGACACCTGTCTCTACAAAAAATTTTAAAAATAGCCAGGTGTGATGTCACACGCCTGTAGTCCCAGCTACTTGGGAGGCTGAGGTAGGAGGATGGCTTGAGCCCAGGAGGTCAAGGCTGCAGTGAGCTGTGGTTGCACCACTGCACTCCAACCTGGGTGACAGGGCAAGACCCTGTCTCTAATAATAATAATAATAACAAAAAATAAGTAAATAAATAATAGTTTCCCGCATTAGCAGGCCTTTGTTATGGAGAGTGCTCTAGGCATATTCCAAAATGGTTACCTCCCCCACCCCTTTCTGAAGCATGAGAAGATTTTCTCTAATCTTTTTCTTGAGAACCTGGTGGGGCTCCTGGAGCCCCACTCACAAAAAGGTGGGAGACCCCCTAAGACTGGCCCCCAGGCGTTTTTAACTCAACCTAGTTAAAGGTTGAGCCTCACACTGTCTCTAGCAACTCATCAATTACGAGTGAAATGTTCTTATCAGCTCCTGGCTCCAGAAGCTTCTGCTCCTGGTAAGCTGAACTCAGCTGTGATTCTCTATATTCACAGGTCTCAATGGTTTTTAGGGTGGTGGCTTGTCCTGTGACCTCAGTACTCATGGATCTTAGAAAAGTCATTGATTTTTCAATTTGTTCAGCTTTTTTTTATTGTTGTAAAGATGGGAGTGACTACTTCTCTCATTTTTTTTTTTAAATAAAGATGGGGGTCTCACTATGTTGCTGAGGCTGGTCTTGAACTACTGCGCTCAAGGGATCCTCCAGCCTCGGCCCCCATAGTGCTGGGATTACAGGTATATGTCACTGTGCCCAGCCAGGAGCAATGACTTCTAAGCTCTTTATGCGTCAGAGCTGAAACTAAAAGTCCTCTGTTAGCATTTCGCACATCTCCCAACAATCCTGAGATTTAAGCTCTGTACTCCAGGTTACAGAGAAGAAAGCTAAGGCTCAGAGAGGTTAAATAATGTGTCCAAGGTCACCCAGCTCGTGAGTGGTAGAGCCATAATTCTTTGTCTTTAGATTCTAATGGTCTTTGAGAAACTGCAGCAATGACCAACATTCCAGAAGTGTTTACCTTTCAGAGATTCTCCGGGGAAATCTGGGCTTACTCATTTAACCCAAGAGAGCAGAGAGAATCTCACAAACCATCTGATCAGTTATTTGTCATCAAAAAATGCCCAGGTTACCCAAGACAGAGACTCATCTGGCCCATAGGAGCCACCTTCAGAATTCATGGGTAACATTTCCTACATATTCACCTTATTCATCTTACTGACATGGAATCATAGTGTTCAAAAGTAGAAGGGGGCCAGGCACACAGTAGCTCATGCCTGTACTTTGGGAGGCCAAGGCAGGAGGATCACTTGAGCCCAGGAGTTTGTGACCAGCCTGGGAAACATAGCGAGACCCTGACTCTACACACACATACACAAAGTTACAAAAACATTAGCCAGGCAGGGTGGCATGCACCTATAATCCTGGTTACTTAGAATGCTGGGGCAGGAGGATTGCTTGAGCCCAGGAACTTGAAGCTGCGGTGAGCTATGATTACATCACTGCACTCCAGTCCTCCAGCCTGGGTGACAGAGAGAGACCACGTGTCTTTTTTTTTTAAAAAAAAGGAGAGGGAGCCCTAAAGATCATCTCTTTCAACCCCCTTGTTTTACATGTGAGGGACTCTGAGACCCTAGCAAAGTATTGGAAGAAGCACCGACTGTCCATTGACTTTCTACATCCCCAGCCTGCTCTTTTTCCAGATGTTTTAAGCAGTAAGTTAGACACATTCCTTTTTGAGATAGTCCACAAATATGTGATGAAATATACCCTGTCCTTTGCCCCCTGAGAGGTGGAAGAAGGCAGGCACATGCTCTCGGGGAGCTCTGCATCTCGCTGGAAGAATTGGGACACTTCCAGTGGTCAGGCATCCATGTCTTCCCTGAAGTCTAGAGAGACGAGTGGTTCTCAACTGGGGACAATTTTAACTCCCAGGGGGACATCTGGCCACGATTTGAGACATTTTTAGTTGTCATACTGGGGGAAGGGAGTTGCTATACTGGCATCTAGTGGGTCAAGCCGACGGCTGCTGCTAGACAACCTGAAATGCACAAGACAGACCCCCACAACAAACAATGGTCTGGCCCAACGATAATAATCATTGGGCTTTTCCCCTTCAGCTTCCTGGGCTGCTGTAACAGTTCTTCGTGCCCCACCACAGCCACACCATGCAGCTGCCACGTGACTCAGGGCAAAGATGTGTCCTCAGCCCGGGAGGCCCCAAGCAGCCTCTAGAGAAAGGGAGCTCACCTCGTCTGTTCCACGAGACCTTACATGACTGAGTGCGTTCTTCTTGGTAGCAGGTGGGAGTCTCTGCCCACACTTCCCCACTGATCACATCTGCGAAGGGAGGAGGAAGCCTTACATAAGCGCAGCCTCAGAGAACCTTCTGTCATTTTGGCAACACAGGGCCTGGAGAAGCCCCTCCCTTCCAAAATCTCATGGGGAGCACGGTTCTGTTCTGAATGGGCGCTGGAGGGTTTGCCTGCTACCTGCAGGATACAGGTACATCTGAGCTCTTTAGCCTTTGAGATTAGACTTGCCAGCCTCATCTCCATCCTCCACAACCACAGCCCCCATTCCCGCCACACTCTTCGCCCACACGTCCTGTGCTGCTTGGGGCCAGCCAACGTGCTTCCATCGTGGGGCCTCTGCTCATGGTGTCTCCTTCCTGTAACATCCCTCCCTGCCTTGATTGCCTGCACAAGGCCCATGGGTGAGACGGTTGTCTGTGAAGCTTCCAGACCCTTCTCCCTGCCCTCCCTGCCAAACAGCCATGCTCTCTCCTTGCTCTGTTGATTCCAGGCACACCTCCCCAGCCGTCATAGCTCGCTGGATCAGAAGTATTTGTAGGTGTCTTATCCCCTTTCCACCTGCTCCCAGTGGAGGCCAAGTGCCTCGTGCCAGTGCCTGATTCATGTTTGGGGCCCAGGGCCTAGCACAGGGAAAGCTTATTGAATAATCAAGCAAGTGAGTGAACAAATAGGTAGATGGGGTCTCACTAGGCTCCTTACTCTCAGAGTGACAACTTCCAGGACCTCATGGTTCCCTATTGGTCACCTGGTGTCTGGACACAGGCCACGTGGCCTCAACTCTGCCTCCTCATTGAAACTGTATGATCAGCTGGGCATGGTGGCTCATGCCTGTAATCCCAGCACTTTGGGAGGCTGAGGCAGGCAGATCACTTAAGGTCAGGAGTTCAAGACCAACCTGGGCAACATGGTGAAACCCCATCTCTACTAAAAATACAAAAAGTAGCCAAGCATGGTGGCAATTGCATATAATCCCAGCTACCTGGAAGGCTGAGGCAGGAGAATCGCTTGAACCTGGTAGGTAGAGGTTGCAGTGAGCCAACATCAAGCCACTATACTCCCTCCAGCCTGAGTGACAAAGCGAGACCCTGTCTCAGAAAAGAAAAAAGAAGCTGTATGATCTTGAACAAGTCACTTGCCCCCTCCAGCCTGTGCATCCATCGGTAGCCAGCTGTCACATCGCAGCGCACTGTGTTCCATGCATCCGAGGATACGTGGTGGTCCCAAGTTGGGGAGGTAATAGATCTTAACCGAGTTCAGGACTGTCCCTAATTCTTCTCTTGCGGTTGCCCTAACTGGCCCCCAGATAGCACTGCTCCTAGGCATGAATACAGTGAAAGAAACATTTTCGTGCACTAATAAAATTACCTTCTGTAAAGAAGGCAATTTGCATGTTAATGTTTTGGGTGATTCGATGCAGCTCCAGTGCCCTCCAGGCTGCAGTTTCTCTCTGACAAAGTGACAAAAATAAACTCCCGCATAAAAGAGCATTTCTCTTCTCTCTCATTTGTGCTCTAACGTGACATTCTTAATGTGAGTCAAGTTGAAACCCACTGCTCTGTCTTATTTTTGACACTGATCTGCCTCCTGTCACCGCTCCAAATGGCAGGCCAGCTTTGAAGAGCTCCTCAGAGGGGTCTCACCTTGAGGATAGGGCTCAGTCCACTTGGTGAGTGGGCACTGCTCTGCCCTGCCCAAGGCTGAGAAGGCTGAGGCTGAGGTCTTCTGGAGATTCTAGAAGGCCCCGCCAGTTAACTGCTGGACAGTCGGGGGGATGGGGAAGAGGGTTGCTGTTGGTGGCTGAGTTAGGGCCAATTTGCCCGTCTTCCAATTTGCCCATCTTTGGATAGAATGGGAATTCTGAGCCGCAGCCCTCCATGAGAATACTCTTTATTCTGCCAGGCTTGGCCCCTCTCATGACTTAAAGACAATCAAGAAAGAAGGCCATGTTTCCAGTGTGTCTTCCATGTGCCAGACACAGGCCCAGCCCCTTATGTCTGTTTTCTATCACTGAGCCCCCCAGAGCCGGGCAGGGTAGAAAGAAACTGAGGCTCCCAGCTGGGCAGTGAGTAAGCGAAGATCACCCCGCAATGTGTAAGAGGCCAACCCTGGATTTGAACTTAGGCATGTCTGATATCAAGCCTGGATTTTTTCTACCCTAAGTGGATCACCTAATGTTCAATGAGCCGCCCCTACACGCCAGGCACTGGGGGTGATGGGGACGTGCAGGGATGAACAGAACACCCAAGCCCTAGCACTGCTGACATCCGGTGGCCGAGGCAGACATTAAACATGGAAACGCAGAAATTGCATGTAATTAGACGTTGTGATGCGTTCTGTGAAATAAGTTTTAATGAGGAGGACAGAGAGGACCTCATTTATATTAAGAGGTGGATCAAAGAGATGTGTCAGTGAAGGTAATGCTGAGATGGAAGCTTCGCCAGGTGGGACTCAGGGTGTTCTGAGCAGAGGCCAGGGACCGGCCCCAAGGTGGGAATGCGGGGAGCAGGTTCTGCGAAATGAAGGCCCGCAGGGTGACGGGAGCAGGGGCGTGGGTTACAGCGGCAGCTGGAGAGGCGGGGCTCGATCCCTCAGAGCAGGGCAAGAAAGGTGGGCAGGGCAAGAAATGTTGTTGTTGAAGAGTTTAAAGTGGGGGAGTGCGTGGTTTGATCTATCTTTGCTTGCTTGCTTGCTTGCTTGCTTGCTTGCTTGCTTGCTTGCTTTCTTGCTTGCTTGCTTGCTTTCTCTCTTTCTTTCTCTCTTTCTTTCTTTCTTTTCTTTCTTTCTTGACAGAATCTTACTCTGTCACCCAGTCTGGAGTGCAGTGGCACAATCTCAGCTCACTGCAACCTCCGCCTCCTGGGTTCAAGCGATTCTTGTGCTTCAGCCTCCTGAGTAGCTGGGACTACAGGCACATGCCACAACGCCCTGCTAATTTTTGTATTTTTGGTAGAGACAGGGTTTCACCATGTTGGCCAGGCTGGTCTTGAGCTTCTGACCTCAGGTGATCCGCCCACCTCGGCCTCCCAAAGTGCTGGGATTACAGGCATGAGCCACTATGCCCAGCCCTGATTTGTGTTTCTAAAAGGTCATTCTGGATGCTGTATTGAAAGGGGCAATAGTGGAAACAGGGAGACCAGCGAGGAGGCTGTGGGGGCTTCAAGGGACGACAGCTGCTCAGGTGGGGGAGGGCAGGAGAGCAGAGGTTTATGGTCCTAGGGATGTGGAGGTGTTGAGAGGAGGTAAGAGAAGTCTCAAAAATGACCTCAGGCTTCTGGCTTGAACAACTAGGTGGGTGGAGAGACCATTTATTAAAATGGGCGAGACTCAAGGAAAAACAGAATTGGGAAGGGAAGACCAAGAGATTCATTTTTAACAGGCTAATGCGATATCCCAGTGGCAAAAAAGCAGGCTGGCCTGGAGACAATGATTTGGAGGGCATGGATTCATTGAAGGTATTTCAACCTGGGGAATGAATGACAGGAAGAGAGAGCGAGAGAGAGAGCCCTGTGGGGCCCACAGCAAGGAAAAGCAGACAGAAGCCAGCAAGAGAGAGAGAGCAAGAAGCAGGAGAGCGAGATGAAACAGACGTGGGAAGACCGTGTCTCCAGGAGGGAGGCTTCCACGTGGTCACATGCTGTGGGGAGAGAGCCAAGAGGAGCTCAGAGCTGACATGGGAGTGGAAGGTACCCAGGCGTTTGGCGTGAGCCCTTTGGGAGGAGAGACAGGGAGTGGACATCCTCTCTTGAGCTGGAAGGGAGGCTGTGGAGGCAGTGCCACCCCAGGAGGGAAGGGCAGTCTGGCTGAGAAGGGAACAGAGAGAGAGAGGATAGTGACAGGAAGGCAGGCTTTTCAACCACACAAGATCCCAGGGCTGGTTGATGGCAGATGGTGGCATTCAGGAGCAGGGGAGAAACTGACAAGCTGGGAGCATTAATCAGGACCGACTGTAGACAAACTCCCTTTCCTCCCCTCATCCCTCACCCCCACCCGCTCCAGGCCCACCTGCCAGACCGCCCACAGCACCAGCTCTGTTCCCTAACACCCTGAAAAAGCCCTTTCAAAGCACCAAGATTTTGTACTACTAGTTCCTCTCCTCAGAAAGATCTTCCTCCTCAGTGCTGATCCTTGAAGATCCCAACCCCAAGTTAATTTGGCAAGAGCTATCAAAACATACTAGTAAAAATAATACTTGACCCATAAGTTCCACTGGAAAGAGATGATTGCTCATTCAAGTATGTACTGATATATACACAAAGATGTTCATTGCACCATTATTCACAATATCAAAAAAAGAAGAAAACAGGAGAAAAGCATCCTAAGTGTCCATTAGTAGGGGAAGGATTTTAGAAACTCATGGTACATCTATACTATGGAATTCTATACAGTCTATAAACAACAGGGTAGATCTATATATGCTGACACGGAGAAGCGTCAAGGCATGGTTAAAATTGTGTAAGTGCAGTACGGTAGCTATAAGGTGATCCTATTTGTGTGCAAAATTATATGGATACAGATATTGATGCACACAGCAGTGCACATATTTCATTTTTATGCGTATATGCCAGAAATTGCAAACAGCATTCACTTCCAGCTCACAGGAATTGGAGGTCGCAAGGCAGAGGAGGGAAACAGGACCTTCACTTTCCACTACCTGTGCATTGCCTCTGTCTGAATTTTCTCACCATGTGCACCACAGGCACCCTGTAACCTATCCTGCCTCTTCCAGGCAATGACTTGCTTCTTCCTTTGTGTTCTAACACCCCCATCTCACGTTGGGTCATCCTACCCTCTCCCTGCTTCTCCCTGCCCTGCATCAGAGGAGGCTTGCCCATCTGTGAATCTGCACATTGAGGAGTCAGCCAGGGCTGGCAGAACTGAGTGGTCATGGTTACTGCCTTCTGAATCCTCAGATCCTCGTAGAGAAAGGCTGTGGTGATGGAAGAAGAGGTTGATTTACTCTGTGTTAAACTGGGGTGTCGGGGGAGGTTTTGCACATTTCAGCTCCCAGGCAGAGAGCAGAGAGCACATGGCAGTGAGAAGGGACCTCCTGGGGCAGTGGTGAGCTCCCCATCACTGGAAGCAACCAAGTTGGGGGGCTGGATGGCTGTTGTTAGCAATGTCAGGAAGGGCAACCCATGCCCTTCAGAATCTCACAGGGCAACTACAGAAAGCCACAGCGACAGGACCAGAAATCATGCTTTATCTGCCCTGGTTTTTTATCCCCACTACCAGCCCCAGCCTGGAGGACTCTGAGTGAATGGCTAGGTCTGCCCACACCCAACTAACACACAGAGCCCAAGACAAATGCAAAGCTTTGCCATATCACTAAACAAAGGCAAACAACCACAGACAATCAGGGGCCATAAAAGCATCTACCATCCAGATTTTGTTCTGAGGATTAAACAAAAGGTGCCCATAAAGTACTCACCACAGTGCCTGACACATATTAAGCACGTGTTGTATACAGACCACTCTTAGTAATCCCTCTTGTCATTCTGGGTGTTGTTGTTACCCTGCAAGGGCCTAGATTGTGTTATCTCTGAAGTCCTTTTTAAGCCAGAGATTTTGACCACTTGCTGAGGAATGAGTCCTGAGCCTCCAAAGGTTCTATAGGAGCCATTAATCTCTCGAGAAATGTCCACAACAGCATGAAGCAGTTGCAGGAAGCAGTGACTAGAACTGTGGCCCTGTCTTCCCAGATGGTGACTCAGGAACTTGTGTTCGTGTCATGATGGAATCAGGGGTGACGTTGGATGGGACTGGACTGAGACCTCTGGGCCACTCTGCTGTGGCCAGCAGTATGACCTGTGATTAATGAAATGATAGAAGAGTTGCTTTCACCTTTGATTATGTTTGTTATTTTGGTGCTGCTGGCTTCTGGGGGTAATGATTTTTCTGCAAGTTCTATTTATGGTCCAGTCGTGACACTTAATTAATTTCTCCATCCGGCCAAGGACAAAGGTGATAGTGACTTCTTGTTGCCGTAATGCTTAATACAATGACTGCACATGTGCAACTTCTGTTCCTGAGCTGGTGGGGTGGGTGGTGGCAGAAGCAAGGCTTTTTTCCTTGAGATTTCCATCTGGGTTGGGGGAGAACTGGTAGGGAGCAGCACCACCACTTACCACTCTCCAGTAGTGTGACCTTGGGCAGGTGGAGTGTGACCTTGGGCAGGTGCTTGGGTCTCCCTGAGCTCAGCACTTTCTCTAACAATGTGAGTATTGGCAGCCCAGTCTCTTAGGGTGGCAGTAGGACATGGTAATGCCGAGTGGGAATCCTGGTGGGCAGAATGTCCTCAGTAAACATGGACATTCCACTTCTTAAAATATTCAGAAGTCTACATCACTTCCAATACTTGTGGAATCCTCGGAGATCACTCCGTCCAGCCCCTCACTTTACAGAGGGGAAGCAAGTGAGGCCCTCTGAGGGAAAGTGACCAGTTCAAAGCCACACAGTGCACAGGGGTAGAGACCATGGAGATCCCAGGCCCCTTAACTCAGATTCCTGGCCTCATGAAACTCAGTCCAGCAGGGTGAAAAGAAATTGGCCAACTTCAGTAGGAGAAAATGAAACCACTATTGTGATAGCGCTCCAGGCCAGTGAGGTGAGAGAGCAGACTTCCAAGTGGGAAGATGATGGGAAGCACTTGTGCCACTATTTTTTTTTTTTTTTCCTGAGACAGAGTCTCACTCTGTCGCCCAGGCTGGAGTGCAGTGGCACAATCTCAACTCACTGCAACCTCCCTATCCTGGGTTCAAGCAATTCTCCTGCCTCAGCCTCCTGAGTAGCTAGGATTACAGGTGTGTGCCACCATGCCCGGCTAATTTTTGTATTTTTAGTAGAGACGGAGTTTCACCATGTTGGCCAGACTGGTCTCGAACTTCTGACCTTGTGATCTACCTGCTTTGGCCTCCCAAAGTGCTGGGATTACAGGCGTGAGCCACCGCGCCTGGCCTGTGCTGCCATTTTTTAAGCACTGTGTTGCTTTTTCTGTGTGGTACCTTGTGAAAAAAAAAAAAGCCACTCAGGGCAGCTATTACTATCCCCACTTTACAGATGCAGATACTGAGACCCAGAAAAGTAAAATGCCTTGACAGGCAGTAAGTGGGAGAGCTGGGACCCGGACCAGCTCATCTGAGTCCCTGTCCCTATTCATGGAGCTGAATGCCTTCTCCCTGGGAGATGCCCAGGTTTGATCTACCATGTGTAGAGTCCTTCGAGACCCCAGCCCCAGGCCTAGAGAGATTGTGGTCAAGTCTAGGGGAACCGTGCAGCAGCAGACAGGGAGCTGGGCTGCAAGATGCCCTAAGAATGGAGAGAAGGCTGAGATTCCTGTGATGAACCGCCTTGGAGTTTGTGCAGCCTTCACAGATAGCTCTTCTGGGGGCCATTTCACTACACAGATAGGAAGCACTAAGCTAATTCTAGTCAAGATCATTCAGCTTTATTTCCTACCAATGATTCCAAACAGCAAACTTGTATACTTATACATTTAGAATTGTACGATAAGACAGAAACATCTCTTCTAGGTGAGTAATAAGAAGGAGATTTAAAGACTGGGGAGAGAGAAGGGCTTGGCAAGTTTCTGTTTAAGCACCCCAATCCCAGGAAACAGAATTACTAGCAAGGAAGCTCAGGTATTTTTAAGAGGAAGAAAATATCTCATATTCAGTCTGGAATAATATCCCTGGCTGTCGACAATGATTTGGATTTAATTATATCATATATTCAAATGTGCTCTGTAAACTGTAAAATAATACATAAATGTCAGATGTTAAGAAAGCGTAATGTAGAAAAAAGAGTGTGGGCTTGAAAGTCAGCTACGCATGTAAATGCTGCCTCGCCCACCTAGACGATGACCTTGACAAGCCACTTAGCCTCTCTGGGCCTGTGTTCCTCAACTGTAAATGAAGAATACGCGTAAACATGTCCTCTTCCCACCATTACCCTGAGAAGTAGATGAGAAAAATGGATGTTCTTTGTAAACTGGAAAGTGCTATGCAGACGTAAGATAGGATTCTTGTTCCCATCCTTAAGCTGGTGAAGAGATGATGAGATTATTGGTGAGCAGCTCCCAGTGTTTTCATAAAGCCCTGAGTGCAACGATGCCTTCCCGGGAGTGGAGAGCAGGGGGCTTTGGCCTAGAAGGAGCTGGTGGGCCATCCTCACCCAGCCTATTGACAGAATGAGGCCATCGTTTGTCAGGGGCCGCCTCTTAATATCCAAGAGGCGGTCTCAGGTGAGAGACGTGCGGCTGGCTGCAACTGGAATGTTTCGAAGGCTGCCTTCTCTAGCAACATCTGTCAACCCAAATGAAGTTTAGAAAAATACTCAACAGCTTATCTTGTGGCATACAGGGCAGGTAGGGAAAGCCTGTTTGCAAAGACCAGCGAATCTAACTGCACCTTCTTGTTGACATCCAGCAGAGATAGATGAGGCTCCATCCCTCATTCGCTGCAAGGCCGGTATTGTTTTGTTCTAAATGACTGTAATTAACACTTGGTCAAATCTTTGAAAACTCCCCCCCAGTTTTTGTTTGTTTGTCTGTTTTTTGTTTTGTTTGAGATGGAATCTCACTCTGTTGCCCAGGCTGGAGTGCACTGATGCAATCTCAGCTCACTGAAACATCCGCCTCCTGGGTTAAAGTGATTCTCCTGACTAAGCTTCCTGAGTAGCTGGGACTTCAGGTGCGTGCCACCATGCCTAGTTAATTTTTGTATTTTTAGTAGAGACAGGGTTTCACCGTGTTGGTCAGGCTGGTCTCGAACTCCTGACTTCAGGTGATCCACCCACTTTGGCCTCTCAAAGTGCTGGGATTACAGGCATGAGCCACTGCACCTGGCCAAATCTTCGAAAACTCTCGAAGCAGCAGTGGAGTAAGGGACTTAAGAGCATGGTGGTTGGGGTCTGCCACCTACCAGCCATGCGATTGTGGCAAGTTTCTTGAATGTAAAATGGATTGTCAATACCCGCTTCCTAAGGTTTTTGTCTGATTAAATTAAATAATGTGAAGGCACCCCACAATCCAGGGCCTTCTACATAATGAGGGCTAAATAAATATGAATGATTACTGTTTACTTTCATTACTTTTACTTTTAAGGCAATGTTACCAAAGAGATCCTTTCAACTCCCAATCCAAGCTGTGAGGGGTTTTCTGAGTGCTGGCGAAGGGGCAGGGAAGAAGTGTAGGATTGCTTATATTTTTTTCTAAATGGCTCAGGTAAATTCAGAGACTTGAGTAGTAGTAGGAGAGTGTCCCCAAGAGCTAGGTGCACCTCAGCAGAACTGAGGGTTTGAGGGTGCTATGAACCAAATTGTGTCTCCCACCAAATTTATATGTTGAAATCCTAACTATCCTCCATGTGGCTGTATTTGGAGATGGAGCCTCTAAGGAATAATTAAGGTTAAATGAGGTCATAAGGGTGGGTCCCTTATTGAATAGGATTAGCATCCTGATAAGAAGAGACACCAGAGAGCCCAATCTGCCTCTCTGCCATGTGAGGACATGGCAAGAAGGCGGCCGTCTGCAAACCAGGAAGAGAGCCCTTACCAGAACATGACCGTGCTGGCACCCCAATCTCAGACTTTCAGCCTCCAGGACTGTGAAAGTAAATTTCTGTTGTTTAAGCCACCCAGGCTATGGTATTTTGCAGCCCGAGAAGACTAAGACCAGGAGCAGAGAGTGAACAGTGGGATTTCAGAGGATAAAGCTTGTTCTGTGTCCCCAAAGGCTCTTGATCACCCACAGCAGAGCCAGCCCAGTACCAGGTTTCTCAAAAACCATTCTTTTTTTTTTTTTTTTGAGACAGAGTCTCTCTCTCTTGCCCAGGCTGGAGTAAAGTGGCACAATCTCGGCTCACTGCAACCTCCACCTCCCAGGTTCAAGTGATTCTCCTGGCTCAGCCTCCCAGGTAGCTGGCATTACAGGCACCTGCCACCATGTCTGGCTAATTTTTTGTATATTTAGTAGAGACGGGGTTTCACTATGTTGGCCAGGCTGGTCTCGAATGCCTGACCTCATGATCCACCCACCTCGGCCTCCCAAAGTGCTGGGATTACAGGTGTGAGCCACTGGGCCCAGCCAGACCATTCTCTTAACTTCTTCACTCCACTGACTCCGATAGAGCCCTTCAAGAGATGGCCAAGTTGGCATGTTCATTCCATTTCCTGATCACTCACTGGGGCAGAAGCCCCAACGCTGCTGTTACAAATGCAGTTTCTGGGGCCTCATCGCCAACAGACAGAATCCCCAGGGTGAGGGAACAGGAACCTGCATTTCTGGCAAGGTCCCCAGATTATTTTATGTGTAAAATGTTTGAAAACCATTGACCTTGAGGGGAAGGCCAGTTTCCTCGGCCTGAGGTGTCAGAGGCCCTCCTGCATAAGATTGCTGGCTTGCCTTCACACCCACATCCAACCATGGGCAAACCTCAGATGCCACTGGCACTACCCTCGGACCATATCCAGTATCTAATCATCCCTCACCACCTCCACCAGTATCATACTGGTCCAAGCCACCATGTCAGCTCTCACTTGGACTGGTGCAGTAACCCCTGAATGGATCTCTTTGTTCTCACATGTGCCCCTACCACTGGGTTTCAACATAGCTTCCACAGTGACATGTCACTTCAGGACTCCCCAGTGACCTCCCATCTTCTTTATTTTGAAATCCAAAGTCCTGCCATGGTCTACAGAGCCCCCTGTGGCCTGGCCTTCTGGAACCTTCCAGGTCTCCTCTATCATAGCCCAGACAGGGAAGGGCAGGGCCTAGGAGATGGCATGGAGAATGTTCTCTCCTACTTAGTGGGCAAGCAGTGATGCTGGAAGAATCTGGGGCTGTGCGGTTTCTCAGAAAGGACTTAATGTGCAGTTGGAACCATTCCATGGCTTTTCAGCTCCATCATTAGTCTTTTAAAAATAACTGGTTGGGTTTGCTCTCAATCAGAGTGTCTTTAAAATGTAGACATTTTTAGCCCAAAGTCAAGCTTCTCTCAGTTTGGGGGCAGGTCCTTTTGCAAATAAGCCCCGCTTTGCAGATGGGCATTCCAAGTGAAGTTTATACAGACTGGACTGTGCAGTGGGGAGCAGGGAGGGGAAGGAGCGGGATTCAGCATCACCTGGGATCTTGTGAGAGATGCAAACTCCCAGCCCCACCTCAGCCCTCTGAATCAGAAACTGTGGGGCTGGACCCTCCATCTGTATTTTAACAAGCCCTCTGGGAGTTTCGAAAGTTCGAGAGCCTCTGGTCTGGATCATTGCGGTTTCATAAGTCTGCAAATCTTCTAAGAGAAGGGTTTCCATGGGTCTCTTTTCTCTTTGCCCCTTGGCTTACCTCAGTGTCCTCAGCTACAAAGTGGGCATAATAACACCTGCATCACACGACTGTTACAAGGTTCACATTCTATTCAGTGGATTAAATGCATCTTTATTGGTGCTCACTGTGTGCCAGGCTATGCTGGGCTCTGGGAATGTAGAGAAGACAGGGACATGGTCCCCACCTGTAGGAGCAGAGTCTCATTAGAGAGACAGCCATGTACCCATGGATTTATCCTAGTATATGATAAGAAACAAGAAGAAGCACCATGAAGGGTGATTAACTCCACCTGGGGATGGTCAAGGACAGATTCCCAGAACCAGTGACCTCAGAGGCTAGGTTGGGGGTATTTTTAAAATTGTGTGTGTGTGTGGTGTGTGTGTGTGTGTGTGTGTGTGTGTGTGTGTGTGTGTACTTGAATTATTATCAACAACGAGCATGCATTATCTTATTTGGAAAATTCAGAAAAGAATGAAGATATTAAAATACCCTATAAGTCTAGCACTGCCTTCCCCCATGCCCCGTGGTACTATAAATAAGTTTGCAATGAATACCATTGTATACATTGTTTTCCTTTGGAAGGAATATTTTCTTAGGGAAAATTCCTAGGATTGTGATCACTGTGTTCAATGATATAAACACATTTATTTTTTGTTTTTTCCTCCTTACCTCCCTAATAAACCTTTGAATGGCTCTTAAAACTTTCGCCAAATTGCTTTTCAAAAGTCTATAGCCATTTCACCACTACCTCTCATTATCAGTATTTAATACTTTTGTTAGTTTACTTGGTGAGCAATAGCCCCTGTGGCTTGGATGGGGCCGGATGTCTTCTCTTTTATTTGCCGATATATGTGAATTGCCCATTCATGTGCTTTGTCCATTTGGGTACTCTATGAGATTTTCTTTTTAAAAATTTTTTTGAAGACAGGGTCTTGGCTGGGCACGGTGGCTCACGCTTGTAATCCCAGCACTTTGGGAGGCTGAGGTGGGTGGATTGCTTTAGGTCAGGAGTTTGAGACCAGCCTGGCCAAGGTGGTGAAACCCCATCTCTACTAAAATACAAAAAAATTAGCTGGGCATGGTGATGGGCACCTGTAATCCCAGCTACTAGGGAGGCTGAGTCAGGAGAATTGCTTGAACCCAAGAGGCAGAGGTTGAGCCAAGATCATGCCACTGCACTCCAGCCTGGGTGACAGAGCGAGACTCCGTTTCAAAAAAAAAAAAAATACAGGGTCTTGTCTGTTGCCCAGGCGGGAGTGCTGTGGTGTGATCATAGCTCACTTCAGCCTCAAATTCCTGGGCTCAAGCGATCCTCCTGCCTCAGCCTCCCAATGTGCTGGGATTACAGGGTTAAGCCATCTCACCCAGCCTCTGTAAGGTTTTAGGTATTTTTAACATGAAGTCAATTACTAAACTAACCTTACATTTATTAAAAACAAAAACAACCACCCAGGTCCCAAGGGTTTTATTGTAAGGGAATAAATGAATCATAAATAAAAACAATGAAATACCAAGTGTTGATTATAATATTCTCAACAATAGTGAGCAAATGTAAATAGTCTTTGTGTTCAACAGGGACGGGGTGGTGAAATGGCATAGAAGGCAAAAATTTGATGGACAGTTATGCAACCATTAAAATAATGGTTATAAAGGCTGCATAGCAACATACAAAAATGTTAATGATATAATTTTAAGCAAAATGAAGTTCCGTGTGGCCAGCCATGGTGGCTCATGCCTGTAATACCAGCACTTTGGGAGGCCAAGGTGGGCGGATCAGTTGAGGTCAGGAGTTTAAGACCAGCCTGGCCAAGAAGGCGAAACCCCCATCTCTACTAAAAATACAAAAAATTAGCCAGGTATAGTGGTGCATGCCTGTAATCCCAGCTACTCAGGAGGCTGAGGCAGGAGAATCGCTTGAACCTGGGAGGTGGAGGTTGCAATGAGCCGAGATCTCACCACTGTCCTCTAGCCTGGGAAACAGAGCGAAACTCCATCTCAAAAAAAAAAAAAAAAAGTTCAATGTGTGTTATCACTAAGTGACAATACATCTTCCTGTGGACAAAGAGTAAGGGTGGAAGGTCATTCCGCAAGAACATGTAAGTGCTGGAGGGAAGGCCATGCATGGGCTCTATGGCACTTTCTGCTAAGACTCTCATTATATGTTGTTATAATAAATAAAAAATAAGGAAGGCGAAAGCCCCAGTTCTGCCTGGCAGAACGTCAACCATTGTGGAGGCTCTGGAAAAGGCTGGAAACTGCAGCCAGAGGGGACAGTCCAGAGCCTGAGCTTGACTCTCAGGGGGAACCCCAGCAGCCCTGCTCCTGCAGCGTAACTTGAATCATCTGAGTGCGCTGACTCCTCCTCCCCGCCCAATCCCCACCCCCTTGAAACCTTCAAAAGGTTACGTTCTCTGAAGCTCAGTGAATATTGGCCTGGGTCTGACCACCGTTTCCTGCGCCACCTTGATGAATTGAGGATTAAAGCCAATATCTAGTCAAACTCAAAGGGCTATTAGAATGGGCCATTGTGGGACCAGAGGCCCATATGCTCATGGCGTGCAGTTTGGGGCATCCCCGCGTCCCCCCACACTCACTGGCACGCATTCAATAGGACCGTCTGTCAGTGGAGACAGCCCATGGCCAGAGAAGTGATTGGTTTGATTTTGCGTTCAGTTTCTTTTTGGAGGGGGAGATGTGGTTTGAGGGTACCCTGGGCTCCAGTCCCAGAGCTGGGGTCGAGCCCTGTTCCTGTCAGTTGCTGAGTGTGACTTGGGGGCCTCAGGTACTTCCCGTCCCCACCCTTCGGCAAAATGCAAATGCTAAACAAGGGTTCAAGGGCCTCAGGGTGACGGTGATTGTGCTGCTTGTGAAGATCCAAGGGCCCCGAGGGGTGAGGGGCTGTGTGGCAGGCCTGTAAGCCACCATTCACCTGACCTAAACAGAGAGGGGAGAAGGGTCCCTTTACCTGTCTGGCATACTGGACTCCCTCGGAAGATTTCACTTAAGAAATAAAACAAGAGAAGAAAAAGAAAACCCTCACAGTTTCTATCACTATAAAAAAAAATGGTTAGAAATCATCAGACTAGAAAATGTGATCAGACTGTTATGGGTCCAAACCCATGGGACTCGGATCACGCGGGCCTTGCCCAGCACCTGCAGGGGCTCCCAATGGCTTCATCTGACATTGACCCCAGCCCCACAGTGACCACCGGTGCTCTCTGGGTTTAGTCCCTTTGGCCTCTTCCCCAGCCTGTCCTGTGGCAGGCCCCTGGGCCATCCACCCTGCCTCCCTGCCCCACAGGTCCCTGCTCTCAGCCCAGTCGACCACCCCCAGCACATCTCTGCCCATCCAAGCCCTCCTCATTCTGCAAGGCCCCACTGTCATGCCCACTTTGCCAAAAGCCTCCACCGATGCCCCCAACCCCTAGATCCTTCAAGGTGCTGGGTTCAGTGTTTCCTGCAGGTTCTACCGTTTCCATCCTCAGGCACCCTTGGCACGGATGCTCCAGAGGGTTTCTGGGAATAAGGTGCAGAAGCAGCAGTGCATGAGGATTGGGTTCAAATCCCAGCCCTGCCAAAAGTAACCCTGGTATAAAACCATATACATATATATATATATATATATATATACACACACATATATATATATACACACACACATATATATATATACATATATATATATACACACACATATATATATATACATATATATATATACACACATATATATATGGTTTTACCCATATATATGTAAAACCCATATATATAACCCATATATATAAACCCATATATATATACACCCACACACTCATATATATATGGGTTTTACCATATATATAACCCATATATATAAACCCATATATATATATAAACCCATATATATATATACACCCACACACTCATATATATATGGGTTTTACCCATATATATAACCCATATATATGTGCGTGTATATATATATGTGTGCATATATATATATATATATATATATATATATATAGGTTACTGGTTATATATATATATATATATATTCTACTTTGATAAAAAGTAGAATATATGTGCAAAAAGTTTGCATTGTATTTTTTTTCAAAGTAATACATGTGCCTGACTTCCAATTCAAATAGTAGTAAGGGGTTCATAATTAAAAGCATCTCCCCCTCCATCATCTCTTTCCACACACCAGAATTTCCCACTGCAGATGTTTAAATTGCATCCATGTTTACTGTAGAAAATCACAAAATGCAGACAAGCAGAAAGAAAGCCAAGGCAGCACAGTGAGATCCCACTTCTCGTTTTAGAATGTCTTCTAGATGATGTTGCTGTGCTTTTTTTTTTTTTCCAAATTGGCCCTCATTGTATGTTTTCTATGCATATAGCTCTAATCACATTCTACCATCAACTAAGGGAACGAAACTGACATTTGTTGAGTAAAGAGGTGCAGTGAGTGGCTAGATCCTTGCCATTCAAAGTGTGGCATCAGCACCACCAGGAAGCTTGCTAGAAATTCAGTGCCTTGGGCCCCACCCCAGGATTCGCATTTGAACAAGCTGGTGATTGGAGTGTGCATTACAGCTGGGAAGGGCTTTGCAGAGCAGAGTTACTCAAAGTTGCAACCCACAGATTGTCACAGTCCTGGACAAGACGCCTGAGCCAGAATGTAGACAGCACGCTGCTTCCTTTATAGAGGAAGACGTGCTATTATACTAAATACTGTCAACAGCACTAAACAATGTGATTGATGAGGACCATGATTAACATTCTGGCCCAAGCGCCTTATCTTGTCAGGGACCAGGGACACACAGTTCATGGGCTTGGCACTGTCAGCCAGCCACACTTTGAGTGGCGCTGTTTAGATCACACCGTTGGGAAGTAGGGGACTGGGACTGGGTTCCTCGGGCCTTAGATCCTAATCTTCTCACTCTGTGTGTATCTGACCCTCCCACCCGACCATCTCACACACACACACAGATGCACATACTTGCACGGGCACACGCCCACCCTATGAGAGGCCTGGCCCAGAGCTGGTGATTAGGAAACATCTGTCTCTTGAGTCAGACCAAGGCTCCTACTCCCCTGTGTCTTTGACCATCCCAGGCCGCTGTTTACATTAAAAGTAACCCTGGTGTAAAACCCATTTTATCAACTCCTCATATCAGGATCAAACAGAGCAGCGCCCTTGTAGGATGTCTGCAGTCAAAAGAACCCAAGGCCAAGAGCTCTGATGGACTATAAGGGAGGCAAAACACAACTTCTTTGCCCAGCTCAAGTTCCCAAGGCAAAAATAGCTCTGGGATCCCAGGGTCTGTATGTAACCTGTAATCTACAAACCCTAGGCCAGGCTGCTGCCCCCAGTGCCAGAAGCAGGTAAATAATGCACAGTCACCAGGAAGGTGTGGATTTCAGAGTTGACACCAGCCTAATCTAAAATGCCACGTGGTGTTCAGTCCAACCTTACTGTCACCTTTCCCGAAGAGCCCAGGGACTCCTATAGGTTTAGATCCCCGGGTTCCAGTTTTACTTGGACATTGGGAAGACTCAGACCCTTTCAGGCAGTTGAAACTTTTAACTAAGTTTTTAACAACTTAGTTAAAAAACATGGGAGTCAGTTTGAATTTCCAGGCCACTCTTCCCTGGCTGTGTGGCCTTAGGGAGGTTACTTAACCTCTCTATCAGTTTCTTTTTTTCTTTTCTTTTTTTTTTTTTTTTGAGATGGAGTCTCGCTCTGTCTGTCGCCAGGCTGGAGTGCAGTGGCGTGATCTTGGCTCACTGCAACCTCTGACTTCCTGGTTCAAGCGTTTCCCCCTGCCTCAGCCTCCTGAGTAGCTAGGATTACAGGCATGCACCACCACACCCAGCTAGTTTTGGTATTTTTAGTAGAGACAAGGTTTCACCACATTGGCCAGGATGGTCTCCATCTCCTGACCTCGTGATCCGCCCACCTCGGCCTCCCAAAGTGCTAGGATTACAGGTGTGAGCCACCGCACCCTGCCATCAGTTTCTTAATCTGTAAGATGGGGCATAATAATATTTACCTCATAAAGGTATTGTGAGAATTAGTGGCACTGTTGGTAAAGTACCTAGCGTCAATGCACCCATTCATTCATTCACTCATTCATCTATACTGAGCACCTCTGGGCAGCACGGGAAGCGCACAGTCCAGAGAGGAGGATGGAGACCACACAGACAGATAGACACAGAGCAAGTCGCAGCCGGTGCTGCAAAGAGAAGTGCAGGAATCCTGTACCGGGGCCGGGTCTAATCTGGGGATCAGGGAAGGTTTTACTGAGTCAGTGATTTTGAGCTCAGGTCCCAAAGATAAGTAGACGCTTATAAGACAAAACCAGGGAAGAGCATTCCAGGGGTGTCGTAGGGATGACTATTTATTCTTTCCAGAATATGGTTTGGGCCAGAGAAATGACAGTTGGGTTTATTTTACTTTGGGGGGTAAAATTTACAGACAGCAAAATGCATGAGCCTTAAGGCACAACTTGAGTTTTGACAAACGCACACACCCATGTAACCAGCATCTCTGTTATCAGATAGAACTTTGCCGTCAAACCGGGTTTATCTTCATATCTTCATAACCTTGTTCCCTGATTATAAAAGTTAAGAAGCTGGGTTTTTTTGTTTTTGTTTTCTGAGATGGAGTCTTACTCTGTCACCCAGGCTGGAGTACAGTGACACGATCTCAGCTCACTGCAACCTCTGCCTCCCAGGTTCAAATAATTCTCCTGCCTTAGCCTCCTGAGTAGCTGGGATTACAGGCATATGCCACCACGCCCAGTTAATTTTTGTACTTTTAGTAGAGATGAGGTTTCTCCATGTTGGCCAGGCTGGTCTCGAACTACTGACCTCAAGTGATCCACGCACCTCGGCCTCCCAAAGTGCTGGGATTATAGGCATGAGCCACTGCGCCCAGCCAGGAGCTGGGTTTTAATGGGGGCATTTCATTGTGGACATTTTACAAGGCTTTGAGCTAGGTTTAAATCTTATATAACTTTCCCCAGCTCTCTCCGTGTCTCTGAGACTCAACTTCCTCATCTGCAAAATAGGGTTAACCGAACTTCCTTCATAGGTCTGTGTGAGAGATTTGGTCTGCACATGGCCATAAAATGCCCAGCTAGTGCCTGGTGGGCACAGTGGGCACTCTGTGAGTGAGTTAGCCCTGTTAGGAGTTTCTGGAATGGAGACGGTGGTGGGGAGCGGGGCTAGCTCTTGCTGACATCCTTGTGGCTGGAGGTGGGCCTTCCCAGGGCAGCGTAGGGCAGCTGTGTGCACCCCCTCATCCAGTCTCTTTGTTCACAGGGATGTGTCTGCAGGCCTTCGTAGAAGCTTTCTTTTTCCTGGCTCAGAGGAAGTTCAAGATGCTGCCACTTCATGAGCAGGTGGCCTCACTGATTGACCTTTGCGAGTACCACCTGTCCCTGCTGGATGAAAAACGCCTGGTGTGTGGCCGGGGCGTCCCGTCGGGGGGCCGGCCCCCACACCGTGGCCCTCCCCAGGAGCCCTCCCCCTCGGCCCAGCCAGCAGGGGACAACCCCCCACCCCGCACCAGCTGTGCCAATAAGCTCTCCCATCCCAGACATACCCTGTCCTGAGGGCCACTCTGTCCTCCTGGAAAACGGAAGACGAGAGCAGCTTTCAGGGCTGGAGCGCCCCAGGCATTCTGCCTGCAGAGGAATGGCAGGCAGGCTGCCGAGGGGCCCAGCTGAGGTCCCCACGAACTGTCTCTGTGTGCGGCTGAGCTGTGCTTCACCAGGCTGGCTGGTTCTCACCTGCCTTCCTCCTCACACCTCCTGGTGATACACCCTGTTTCTGAGTCATCAGTCATCGGACATATGACATCTAAAACGTGACAGATGGCACCTTCTATTCTGGGCTCACAGGAAGCACCAACTGGGGCAAATCTGTTGTATTTGGGGCACAGGACACAATCGATCCCAAGGCCCGGAGCTGTGGAGAGGAAGCCGAGTGTTAGGATCTGCTGCCGGGGCCTCCACGCGCCCACCGGGAAAAGCCTGAGAACATCGTGTTTATTTCCTGCCGCCCGTTCCGAGAGAAGGAAGTGGAAATATCAAGTAGGCATCTGCGAATCTCCCATCCCAGTCATGTGCTACATGGGTGTAGTGAACAGATTAACCTCATTTAGTTCATTAGCTTGCCTGTTGCTGCAATATTTGGTTTGTTATTAATTAAGAAAAAATTAATTAAGAAGTAACTAAGACTCCTGGAGCCTCAGAGCTGGCAGGAGCCTCAGAGATCATTTTGTTTGATTTTGTTTGACTGTGACCCCAAAGCAGGAATCCCATCTTTAGCCTCCCTGACCAGATGGTCTGAGTGGACCCCTGCATAGGTGGGGTGCTGGTCATGTGGCCAGCGTGTCCACAACAAGCACTGCCAGGGGTCCCTGCATGCCCAGCACTGTGCTGGGAGCCCTGGGTGAGGGAAGGAAATCAGACATGGATAAGAACCAGAGCAAGAGGAGTAGTGTATGTCAGACCTGGTGCCAGGGTCAGGGGAGCTCACACTGTCTTCCATGAGACCCTTTCCTTGTCTCCATCTGTATCCCCAGGTAGCCCCCCTCTCGGAGGAAACGCCTCACAGGCAGCAGAAGGTGGCATTTTGGAAACAGCCTTGGGCATGCCAAGGTCCAGGGCCTATTGAAGACAGGCAGGCAGGACCTGGCAAAGCCAAGCTCTCCAGAGTGTGGTTGGATTTGGGGTTAATGTGGCCCTTTCCTGGAGGATCCCTTTAAAGGATGCTGAGGAACCTGGGAAGAGTCAGTCATCGTGCTCCAAGCGAGGTGCAGGAAAGTATTTGAGGCGCTAGTACTGTGCCTGGTGTGGTGCACTGTAGGACTCAGAAAATGCTCGTAGTGCGTGGCAAGGGAGGGTTCTGGGAGGCAGAGGTGCATCCCAAATAAGCTCCTGCAGCTTTCTCCTCCTTCCTTCCAACATCCTGTCCCTGACTCCTGACCCAAACTGATAAGAGCAGTTGACCTGGTTCATAACAGGTACTCAAAAGCATCTGTGGAAACAAGTTACTTGAATCCGCCCTCCCCAGATATTTTTAAACCCAAAGGCAAGATTGTTAATCCAAGATGTCTCCAATTGTTGGCAAGCGATTTCAGAGCAGGGGCTGCTCTGTTCATCCTTGCCTGGAGCTCCTTCCTGCCAGGAGTTCACCCTCTCAAAGAGGAAAACCTGTTTCCCCCACGGTGTGGCTGCCGCGCAGCACCCCTTCCCTGCTGCTAGCAGAGCCCAAAGGCCGCTGCCCTTCCCCAGCCTAGAGGGGCCGTGGAACTGAGCCCTGCAGAGCCCACTCTGGGGTGTTCAGTGAGTGACAGCAGACTTCTGCAATCACTTTATTTTCCCAAGCAGAAGGCAGGACAGGTGGGAAGGTGGCACTGGCAGGATGTGCCTCCTGAGGTGTGTCGAGTGTTCTCTACATGGGGCACTGTGGAGGTGTCATCGGCTCAGTTCCCCAGGTAGTAGGGCAGGTCTGTAATGCTGCTCCCCTTTCAGATGAGGAAAGGAAGGCCCAGGAGGCCATGTAGTCAGGACTTGGTCCAGGTGTGTCTGTCTTTGGCTCCTTGTCCCTGGGTGAGAATGAATTCAGCTCCAAGTAAAGACCCTGCAGCTACCCCGCTCGGGGCTGCCTGGGGTCCGTCATGGTCTGGTGGCATGGGACAAGGCAGTCAGGGCTCCTAAATGGTCCATTGTGAGAAACAATGTTTGAAGCCCCCATGCAGCTCTCCCAGTCCCCTTTGGCAGAACAAATGGATTTCCCAGAGAAAGACCAGAGTAAGCATGTCTGGGCACACTTGTCATCAGCTGGGAGCCACCAGAAGTCTTAACAAAGCTCTCACGTGACACCATTTCTTGAAGTTGGTCTTCAGAAAGTACTCGCTTGCCAAAGTGGAGCGCAATGTTCAGGTCTAAAACCAACCAAGCACATTGAATATTTTGAAAAATAAAATCAAGAGGTTGAATTCCAGCCACCTTGTTTGGGGTGATATGAAAACATCAGCTCTCCTGGTGAGGGCCTCTCCCACCCCATGCCATCATCTGGAGGCGGGCTGCTCCGCCCACCATGGCCCCTCTGTCCCGGGAGCAGCCCCCTCCTCTGCAGACAAGGCCCCGATAGCCCCACCCACCCGCAGGGCACAGAGCCTCCCTGCTGATTGTTAGGGAAATGAGGCTGTGGTTTTATGAGAGGCCAGTCCTGACAGATTGGCCCTTTTCAGTTTAACTGAAAGCATTTCGAGGCTGCTCCATTGTCAGAATGAGTGATAACTGAATCACCCCGCCTCCTCCATTCCTAATAAGAAGCACCACTGTGTTTACCCCTTTGGTAATCGGCCACTCGTTTTATTGGATGTAATTGAAACGATAGCAAAAGCAGATGGTTCCTTCCTCCGAGAAGATAGGAAGTAGAGCCGGGAGTCTGGCTGGCCCAGAGGCACGGCACACATAGCTGGGCAGCCCCTGTGCTTTGCTGCAGGATAAGCCCCATCCCTGCAAGCGCCCTCAGGATCCATCTCCAGCGTCTTCTCCCTCCCGCTCTCTTGCCCCTTCCCGCTCCTCCTGACGCCTGTCTCTCCCCACCCTCAATGCACACACAGTCCTCTCCCTAGTCTGCTGGCTGAGTTCCTGGAGAGCTGGGCACTCCGGGGGCTTGGAATGAACGGGTAAGAAGATCAAGCTCAGCCTGTGCTCAGTTTGGGGGGTTCACATCCAAGTATGACAAGTTAGTGGGACCAATCTGGGGAGGGAAGCATCAGGAGAACAGGACAGACCCACAGAACTGGGCCCACCTACCCTTTCTTTGGGTGTGCCCCGGGGCAGCCTCCTTGCTCCTGCCTTGCTGACACTGCCTGCTCCCTTCCTTCCAACCTCCTAGGGGGACGGGCTCAGCATTTCTGTTGTTAGGGGCGGGAGCTTTGTCCTCACGGCCTGGCCAAAATGGAGCCTGCAATAGGTGCTTATACTTATAAAGACCCGCTAGATTCAGTGCAGCTGTTAGCAAGTGCTGGTCCCAACAGACCCCTCCCAGTGGGCAGAGGCAGGGCCTCCAGGAGAGAGCAGCATCCATCCCTAAAACAAACCACCTGGCTTCCTCTTACTTCTCCTCCCAGCCTCTGTCCAGTCCCCCAAACTCGGACACGGTCTCTCGCCTGGGCTTCCGCTGCCTCCCTGCCTCTCACCCCTCCACCCTACCCTCCATCTCCATAGGTCTGGAAGGAACTTGGAGAGCCACAGAGCTGACGTCCAGTCACCTATTGAAAGCAGCCCTTATCGGCACCCTTCCCTTCTTTCCATCCTAAGGCCCGCACCTGACCCCTGCACCTCAGGACCAGGCTCTGCAGCCTCCCTGAGCCCCTGTCCGACCCCTGCTCCCAGGACTGTTTGTATCTGTTGTCATGAGACAGGAGGAGGATGTGCTATTTCCCACCACCCTTGTCTTGCTGGCCCCTCTGCCTGGAATGGCCTTCCTCTGCCCAGTGGCAAACAGACTTTCAAGGTTCAGTTCCAGTGTCCCCGCTGCAATCCCCCAAACAGAGTGAGCGGTTCCTTCCATCTACTTCCAAGAACTGGAAAGTTCCTGTCTTGTCGCGCGCACTGTGGGACCACAGCATTGGTTCCCACCCAGCTGTGCGTTCCTGCAGGGTCAGGCATGTGCTGGGTCCACGTTGGCACAGAGCAGGGGCCAGCAGGTGCTTGCTGTGAATAGGAACGTTTAGCAGAACCCGGGAGAGGAGACAGTGTTACCACACTTGCTCTCCACTTTGCCTGCGGGTGCCTTTAAGAAGCACAGATTTCTAAACCTTGCCAAGCCGATCCGCTGAACACCTCTACATTCCCGGCTGCCTTGTTGGCTCCCTGGGACACGGCAGCTGTCCTGTGTCCGTAAACAGATAATAGCTCCTCCGACTCTAGGTGTCTCTCCATGGCCCTTTGTGGCCAGGCCTGGGCTGCGTACCCATGGGCACCCCCTCCCATTCAATCTCACAGACAGGACACCAGGCTGGGCAGTCCTCACCAACACCCCTCCAGCCGGCTAGCCAGCCTCCTTTCAACTCTGCATTGCCCTGAGTTTGTGTGGGGTTGTTGAGTTCCCAGCAGGTCCTCCGGATGTGCATGTAGGTAGTCAGGGGAATGGAGTGGGAGGATAGGAGCCCAGACACTTGAAATGGTGTTCCATGCCTTTCTAGACCCCAGGCCCTTTCCTGCATGATTTTATCAGCACATGCTCAATCCTTCACAGTTTACAAAGCACTTCTAGATCCATCCAACCCACCAAGGATGAGGATCACTGGCACTCTGTTTTCCCAGGCAGGGAAGTGGCTTCCAGGAGGCTTAGTGACTGACCAAGGTCTCGAGGTCTCGTGCTGGTGAAGTGCAGAGCCAGGATCCACCTGAGCCCCCCGGCTGGCTCCAGATCCCACACTCCTTCCTCGGCACTTCCTCGGTTCTGCACGGTGCCTCAGCACTCCCCAAAACATCCCATTTTGCAGGTGTGGAAACCCACGTCCCGCAGAGGCTGGGTGTTTGCTCCACTCAGTTCTGGGGACTTAGCTTGAGGCTCTCTGATCTGTTCTCCTGCTGAGCACCCCAGGAAGGGCTCCAGGTCTCCCAGCCACTTAGTGAGAGTGGCAAGTCCTGTCTCACTTGATCTTTGGGAGCATAAGACGAGATCACAGAAAATGTCATCAATGTGAAAGTGTTTTGTAAACGAAGGCGCTGCTCAAACGTAGTGTTATCTTCAGCCTGGCTACTGGCTTCCTACAAAGTGTGAAGGGATGAAGGTAAAAGCTCTTTCTTGAATAATGTTATCCATCAAGACAGATGAAACCACACTGGTCAGCTCCTCCTGCCCTCCCCCCAACGCCCCACCTCCCCTTCATTCCCACATGTTTAAAGACATTCGTAGGCTGAGAAATGATTCCTGCTGCTCCTCTGACACCCGGAATGTGCCTTGTGATTGGCAGAGTGTCCCTCCAGAATAGCTTAATTTTTTCCCCATTTCTTGACTAATGTCCTCTACTCCTTGGCCCTGTAATTGAGAATTGGGCTTGCAATGGCCAGCACACGAGCATCTTCCCTGAAAGCTCAGAAATGATGGCTCTCCCGGCAGGGAGCTGGCATTCCCCATGGCTGAGAGCGCTGTCCTCCTCGCACGGAGGGATCATTCACCACCGTGTGTATTAACCTGAAATCCACCTCACCTTGATGGATATTTTTGCCAATCTCCCATTTGGTTTGATGAATGTGAGAGAAATTTTCCCCTATGGCATATGAATTTCTCCCTCACAAAATAAGTCTAAATTTTTTTCTGTTCCTGGAGATGAAGGAGCTCTGCAGAATAGGCCACGTCTTCATTTACCTTTATCTCTAGTAGCCAAAAGTCTTGATTTTTATATAACTGGAAAAACCACGCAGCATAATGCTTATACACACACGCGCGCATGCATGCACACACACGCACGCACACACGATGCACACGCATGCACACACGCACACATGCACACACACGCATGTGCGCGCACACACCACACATGCACACACGTACACAATGCACACATGCACACACGCACACACATGCACACACGCACACGCATGCACACACGTGCGCACGCACACACACACACTGAGCACCGTTGAGCTTTGGTAGAAAATGGCAAAATTACGATGTTTTTCTCATTTCTGGTGATTGGCTTCCGAGTGTTATTTAGAGAGCGGAGTGGAGAGGGCTCTTTGCAGCCCTGCGGTAGTGTCTTGTGCTCACCAAGAGGCTCACGGGAAACATGTCCTCCAACATGAAGGTGTTTGCTAAGATTCCAACCAGGACCCAGTCTTGGGCCACAGAACACTGACTGCTCCCCCAAGCCCCTCGCAGACCGCAGGGATATTTTCCCTTCAGAACCTGTTGCATCAGAATGGGGAAAGCGAGGGCTGAGAATCCCAGAGGAGGCCGTGAACTGTTCTGGAAAAGCGAGGGCTTTGCAGTCAGACCTTCATATGCACTTTGTTCTATCTGTTGCGCTCTGCCTAAATGACCACGGGCCAGTGACTTTACCTCTCTGATCCCTGCTCCTTGCCTAGATAGTGGGGATCACGTCGTAATGTATGTAAAGAACCGGGTGCGGGACTTGGCACCTGGGAAGTGTCTTAATACATGTCTGTCGAGAAAAGGAAGGGTCTCGACGTGCGGAAACAAGACGGATGCCAGGAAATACGTCTGCCCACCTCCACGCCCCTGACAGCGGAGGCTCCTGGAGGTCTGGTGAGAGGCCCCACGTGCTCCAGCCCCCTCCGCTCTGTGCTGAGCTCTGCCTTTAAGAGACTGCAGCTCCTGCCTCTAAAAAGCCTTTCAAAATTCTTTATTAAATTTTCATGGCGCATAAAGTCAAGGTTCTGTTACTTGGCCTCAGTTGTCTTGGCAACTTCATAAAACGCAATAATAAAACGAAGCTGAGTGTTGCTAAACACAGGCTCATTGTATAAACGACTGCGAAGTATTGACAGTTTGTTCTGCATGATAATTTTTGACAGCAAATCCACCGCGGTGGACAATACTTGTTCACTTGGGGTCAATTGTTGAGAAAAAAACACCTTTTAATTTTTTTTCTCCCTTAAAGCTTAGTATTTGCCTGGGAAGCTAAATATTGCCTCAAGGAAACTGTGAGATCCTGGGGGAGGTAGAGGGAGGGGTTTGGAAAATCTTTCAACCATTGATCTGCTGGGGACAGTTTCCCGTATGGAGGGAGGGATCTGTCCCTAGAGTTTGGTGAGAGACTCTGTGGCTGCCCTGGGAGACAGGATGGCCCCCTTGCAGCTCCCTGTGTGCAAGAGGGGCCACAGTGCTCGGCTTGGGCTAGACCGGTGAGCATTGCATGTTTCACCCTCACGGGGGAAGCCAGAGGCAGGTGCCTCCCTAGAGAACTAAACCATTCATCCTGCACCAAAGAGGTGATTCCTGGGGCTGCTGGTCCAGCTGGTGGCTCTGTCCCTCGGAACGGAGGCCCTGCCCCCTCCTATCACCCCCTCCTCCCCTTCTACCCTTGGGGAGCAGCATATATCTGCTCTGAATATTTAAGAATATTTGGCAAGTGGAAAGCAGATGGCCTTGAGTTAAAAATAAAGTGAGACCCCAGCTCCCTGGAAATCCCCTCACCCATTGGCGTCAGAGAAATGTTCATTTCACGCAGCCCCCCACGCCCAGGGAGGCCACTTTGGCAGGCCCTGTTCCCGCGGGTAACCCCTGTGGCCCTCTGGATCCCAGTTCACCTTTTGATGACCCATTCAGATTCTGCACATTCCTCAGATGTACCAGCACCTCCGTCCCAGGCTCCTGTGTCACAGGTCACGGCTCTGCAGTGTGGCAGAGCTGTTGTGCCACTCTGCTGGAGAACCCCGGGTTTGCCTGCCCGAGGCCCTGCAGCCTGGAGGGGAGGCAGCTAGGGCAGCATGAGAGCTTAGGGCTGGCTTGGGCCAGGTATGTCTTTGGGGGATCGAGTGGGGACTGTGGAGGCCACAAGGGCCCTTTCACGCTGCTGCCCGCCCCCCAGGATCCCCTCAGGGCTCAGACCCCACCTCTGTCTTTAACCCAGGCAACTGCGGCTTTCCCATTCTGACGTGACGGGCTTTACAATAAGGTTGTATCCGCAGCTGCTGACGCCTGCCTTTCAATATTACGCATGAGGCAAGGGAAGCCCAGAGAGGGGAGGGGTCTTGCCCCAAATACCCAGCAAGTTAGGACATGAATTAAGGCCTCTTCAGTGAAGGAACCTGTTTTGCCCTGTGTGATCAGAGGGATGGGGCAGAAGCCAACACCACCCTCAGCCCATCACCTCGCCAAATACCTACAGAAGGGAACCCAAGAGAGCCTCTGGCCCAGGGGTTTTCAAGCTAGATCCCATGAAACCTTAGAGCAGCTCAGCTAGCTGTTTTATATATTGGGGCTGCATGTAAGGAAAAAGCTTCAAATGCCATCATCACTTCCAATTTTTTACTTGTGGGGTAAATCCAGGCTTTCACAAAGCTGGGGGCCCAGGAGAAGTAACTCATCCAAGGTCACCTGAGTCCAGCTGGGACCCCCAGCCCTGCCCTGGAGTGTATGTCATACTGGCACCGGTGCTCAGGTGCTGGGCTGGCTCACACTGGGGCCCAGGGAGGAGCTGTGAACCCCCTCCGGAGATTGGCTTGGTGTCTTAATCCATTTGTGCTGCTATAACGAAGTACTGTAGACTGGGCAGTGGATAAACAACAGAAATTTTATTTCTCCCAGTTCTGGAGCCTGTGAGTCCAAGATCACAATCCCTGCACGGTTGGGTCCTGGTGAGGGTTCTCTTCCAGGCTTGCAGACCGGTTGTATCCTTACACAGTAGGAAGAGAGTGACAGCTCTCTAGGGTCTCTTTTCCCAGGGCACTATTCCTATTCACAAGGGCTCCGCCCTCACGACCTAATCACTTCCCAAAAGCCCCACCTCCCTAAATGGGGCTAGGATTTCATCAGATGAATTTGGGAGGGACACAGACATCTAGTCCATCGCCTGGCTTCTCTCGCCCCTGGTAGAACGGTTGTTGGAAGCCTCCGAGGCCTGCCCTGGGCTCACCTGTCACTGGGCGCTAATCATCAGATACCCAGGGTGGATGACGGGATCCACTGAAGAATTTCCACCGTCACAGCTCCTCACCCACCACTTAAATAAACCTGCTTTGAGCTATTTCCAGAGCCAGCGGCGGGGGGTTGGGGGGTGGGTGGCATCAGTGGGTCACTGGATCCATCACCAGCTATCCTGGGAGGAGACTGACCCGCAGAGATTGACAGGTCAGAAGTCTGAGAGCATGTCCCAGAGAGGCCAGCTACAAGCAGCCATTTATTTGAAGCCATTTGTTTTAGCTTTAAAAGTCCTGTAAATACTGCATTCTGCTCTATATGACATCCGCATATTAGCCAGGCTAGGTTAGGCTACCCTGAAAAGATAAACCCACAGGGCTCCGTGGCTTAACACAGCGGAAGTTTATTTCTTGAGAATTCAAAGGTTCACGTGGGTCTGCTGGCTCTTAGGATGCCTCTTCGCAGACAGGCTCTGGTCTTTCTCCTCAACCACGCCTCCCAGTTGCTTCTGGCAAGATGAGGGGACAGGAGGGGTCCTCAGGGGATGTTGTTCAGGGAGGGGCTGACTCCACCGCCTCCCACAAGCCCTTGGCCAGAACGCAGTCCCATGACCCCGACAGAAGTGCTGGGACAATGGGACGTGCCCCCTTCCTGGGCACCCAAACAGACAAAAATAAAATGGGATTTGGCGGACACATAGTATTGTTTTTGCCACAATTCCTATTTGTTTCAATAAAAGAACGTTTTTCTCTCCTTCAATCTTCACATAAAATGGCTGCGCCAAGGAAATGACTGTGGTTCTCTCCCAGCCGCCACAGTGCCCCCGCCCCCATCACCTTCTCTCCGTTGAGTTGGAGCAGATGGAGGTCACGTGGATCTCCTGACTCCAGAGCCACAGGGGAGCTAGGGGGTATCTTGTGCCATCCCACCAAGAAAGCCAATCCTAGGCTGTGTGGCCTGGGTGCCGCTCAGCTCCAAACTCCACGGGCAGTTTCCCCATCACCTGGAAAACTGAGTCCAAAGCCAACTGACATTTTCCCTTGAGGGGGTAGGGGCTGAAGGTCCCAGAAAGAGTGCCGACCCTTCCCAGGCCGGAGCAGAGCACTGAGACCACGCTCCGGGGGCCATGTGGCCTAGAGAGGGGGCTCTGGCCAAGTCCTCTCCAGCTACCCTGCGTTCATGAGCCGGGCTCCCCTGCTGCTTGCTGAGGAGGGCAGGCCTTGTGCAAAGCCAAGGATTCACAGGCAGTGAACCCTGTGACATCGGGCTGCTCCTGTAGCTGCTGGAAGTTGTGTCACAATTAACATAGACAATGGGGGTAGGGAAATGTAAAGCACCTTCTCAATTCATGGCTAGGGTCTCTCACACACAAGGCCAAGACTCATGCAGGGCACATTATGGCGTTAGTTCATTTAATCTGAGAAACAGGCTCGAGTGGTTACTCCTATTATCACCTTGCTTTACAGTAGAGGAAGCTGAGGTTCAAAGCTGAGGTGCAGTGGCATGCCCAAGGTGGCGCAGGTTGTCCGTGCCCAGGCGGGTTTTGGATTTTGGCCTCACAGAGCCCGCTCTCCAAACAGCTGTGCTGTGCCACGGTGTTGAAGGCCCCCTTGCAGCAGCAGGCTGCTCTGCAGAGGGAATGGGCGCCGGCCACATGTGGAAGTGGAGGCTCTGGGGGAGATCTTGAATAGCAACCTGTCTGCAAAGCTTTGAACTCAAAGTCCTGGAGGAAACGCCCCAACTCAGTGAGGTTCACACAGCAGGCAGGCCTCAGGGTCGCCCAAGAGGATCCAGCCTTTGTGAGCTGTTGCGCTTGGCAGCAAGGTGACAGCAGAAGGGACATAGAGAGCAACACTGAGATCACTGAGATGGCCTCCATCTCTGGGGTAAATGGGCCAGGCAATGAGCGAGGGGAGGCTTGTGGGGAAAAAGGTGACCGTGTGCTGAGGACCAGCTTCGTCCCAGGCGCCAGCGTCACCGCAGCCATCATGGAGAGGCAGGTGGCATTGCCCCCCTTATACAGCTGAGGAAACAGGTTTGGAGAAGTTAGGCGCCTTGCCCGAGGCCACAGAAGGCCACCCTGCCCAGGCCACATGGCCACCGTAGAAGCTCTGAGGCCAGGGCAGGTGCAGAGCCCCACAGAATGGAGAAGGAAGCAGCTGGCCACATGACTGCAGGTCAGAAAGTCCCTTGGCTGCAACCACCTGGGGCCACCGACTTGCAAGCAAATGACATCCAGAGGGGCCGCCCCAAAGCCTGGACTCCCGACCCCATGGTTGGAAGAGAGGCTGCCCGGGCAGCGCCAGGCTTCAGCTTGGTCCAGAAAGGCCACTCTTGTTAGCTCTTTCTCTGCACTCACAGGCTGCATGCGACCTGGTGCCTGACAGGTGGGGAGGGGACAAAAGACTTATTAAGAGAGGGGCCTTCAGTGCAGGGGCAAAGAGCTCTCTGCTTCAGGGCCAGCCAGAAAATGTTCACTCCCATTCCGTATTCTTTTTATCTTTTAAAAATTGAGACGGGGTCTCACCATATTGCCCAGGCTGTTCTCGAACTCCTGGGCTCAAGCAATCCTCCTGCCCTGGCCTCCCAAGGTACTGAGATTACAGGCGTAAGCCACCGCGCCTGGCCAGGGTCTCCATTTTATAATGATGTCATGGCATGCCATTATACGATGTACTCTAGTTATGTATAATATTGTAGTTAATTGGTCCCCAGTTAAGTAACATTTAGATTGTTTCTAGTTTTCTGTTATTACAAAAAAAGTGTTGCAAGGACTCTTCCTGGTACATGCATTTATGTGCATGTACAATGTGTACTAGAACTGGAATCAATGGGTCAAAGGGTGCATGTATTTAAAGTTGCAATCAATATTGCTGTTATATTGCACTCCAAATAAGTTGCACCACCTTTTGGCCCCACCAGATGTGTGAGAGGGCCAGTGCTCTGTGATTCTCGCCCTCCCCAGCACAGCGTATTGTGAAAATGCCAACTTTTACCTGTTGATAAATAAAAAAACATGGCAGCATCTCATCACAGATTGAATTTTCTTTTCTTTTTTTTTTTTTTTTTTTCGAGATGGAGTCTCTCTCTGTCACCCAGGCTGGAGTGCAATGGCGCGATCTCGGCTCACTGCAACCTCTGCCTCCTGAGTTCAAGCGATTCTCCTGCCTCAGCCTCCCGAGTAGCCGGGACTACAGGCACGTGCCAGCACGCCCGGCTAATTTTTTTTTGTATTTTTAGTAGAGACAGAGTTTCACCGTGTTGGCCAGGATGGTCTCGATCTCCTGACCTTGTGATCCGCCTGCCTCGGCCTCCCAATGTGCTGGGATTACAGGCATGAGCCACCGCGCCTGGCCTGAATTTTCATTTCTTATATTATGAATGCAGTTGAGCCTCTTTCTTCACCCATTCTTCTACTGGTCCTTTTCTTGTTGATTTGTAGCATCTTTGCAGATGAAAAGAATTAGCCTTTTGCCATCGTTTTTAAAAACATGTATTCTACATGGGCCATTTTCTGGTGGCCAACTGTCTCTCCACCTGCAGCCCGTTCTCCACAGGCTGCCAGAGTAGCCTTTCTGGGATGCCAAACTGATCGTGTCACCCCCACACAGATAGAAAACAGCTTCCCGTCACCGGGGTTCAGCTCGACTCCTCACCTGGTTTGGGGGGTCTTTTCCATTTGGGGCCCAGCCTCCTCCCTCCCCCACCAACAAGACCAACCTCCCTCCCCAACCAACAGGACCACCACATGCAGCCGTGAAGGCTGCACTCTGCACAGAGGACAGGGACACACGGATAACCTGAGTTGCGCCCCTACAGGGACCCACCAGGCAGCCCTGCCCAGCTCTTGTGAACTCCTTCATGGCTCCTCTCTCTTTTCGCCACTCCCCAGATGCCCCTTGCTCTGTCATCTGGCCAGCACTGCATCCGGGTCCTTCTTCTGCCCGTAATGCCCCTCCCCATGTGGGCTTGTTGGTGTACACCACCTCCGCTCTTGCAAGTGGTTCCCCCACCCCTTGGTGTGTCTCTTTAAGCCACTTCATGGTGACTCTCTACCAGGCACACCCCAGAAAGGGCTGTGCCCCCTCATATCTGGATCCCACCCCAGCCAGGGCCTGGCGCAGAAGGGGCCCTCAGGACCTGCATGTAGGAGGAATAAGGGAGGGAGGGACCGAAGGCCCCACTGATGGCCGAGCTCAGCCAGCACAGCAGAGCGGGGAAGGCCTCAGCCTAATTTAAAGTCACGCATTTACCCAATAGGCTGCTCTTTCATATAAATATCCATTAAACACTTTGTAAAATGCAAATTTGAAAAAATGCAGCTGACCTGCCCTTCCCAGGTAATTATGGCACGCCTCTCGAGTCTGCAGTGGAGACCTTTTTATTTGGAAGGTCTAGCGCGCTTTTCAGATTATCAATTGAGGCCTTTCCAGAGAGCAGGTTCCCTGCCCGCCCCTGACCCCTCACAGAGGGGCATCCTAGGAGGACCTTGGTGGGCACCAACACCTCTGCCATCAGGATCTCCCAGGGGCTCAGGGCCCCAGGACCCTGGTGTGGGCACAACCAGATGTGGCCCCTGCCTGCCCAGAGCCAAAGGGCCAGGGAAACTTGCTGATGGACAGGCAGGGCTCAACTACCAGCAGAGGGAAGGGCCAGGACCTGGGGCAGGGGGAGGCTGGCAGGAGAAGAGCCAGGCCCCACAGGCCCCGTTGCAAATTTTCTCTTTGCCATTGGAGAGTGCACAGAAGATGACACTATTGGGTTTGTGTTTTTAAAGGTAACCAAGCTTACAATTTGGATGGGGCAAGCGAGGACATGGAGGGGTGGGCTGGGAGTGGGTGCAGGGCTCCAGGCGGGAGGGCTGGCAGCTCCAACTTGGCATGGCCCTGGAGATGAAGGGCACACACTCAAGGGGTTTTAAGCAGGCCAGGTTGACAGCACTTCTCACAGTGGCTGTTCAATTGCCATCTCACCTCCCTGCTGGATTGAAACTCCCTGAGGGCAGAGCCTAGTCATTTGTGTTGGAAGCTGCATCAGTGCATCTAGAACATGGCTCAGCACACAAAAGGTGGAGTGTTCTGGGAATGAATGAATGACAGGTGAGAGGGAATAATGGATGGATGGATGGATGGATGGATGGATGGATGGATGGATGGATGGATTTAACAGATGGGGAAACTGATGCTGTGGGTGGGGTAGGGGGAGGTGAGTCGCCCAGGTGGGACATCATGTTCCCAGTGCACAGCAGACTCAGCAGTAGGGCCAGGAGGGAGGCTCTGGGGTAGTGTGGAATCCCCGGCTCCTCCGCCCTTGCTCACGCACACCTGTTTTCATAACTTGTCATTACCCCACAAACCCACAGGCAGGAGCGCTGTCCCAATAAATAAATCTGGGCCACTTTTCAGCATCGTTTAACGTCCCCAGGAAGGCTGGGTCACGTGGCGTCCAGCCGCAGGCCATTAGCTGACAGGCTGAAGCATATCATATTGAATTCCACGGCCCGCAGAGCCCGCGAGCCCCCGTGCTGCTCTGAAATCTGTGCGGATTTCTCAGAATGCAATTGTGCTGCTTATTTCCTATAATGAACATGTTGCCCCCTCCCCTTGCCAGGACTATTTTCTCAAACCTCCAGGGAGACAGGAGTGGGAGGATCTTGAGCTTACTCCCTGCTGCAGCTTGAGAGGTGCCCGGTGCTGTGGGCTGTACTTTGGTGCAATTTGCAGAGATGGTCTCAAGTCATTGTACTGTCTTCCAGCCTCTACCCCTGTCGTCTGCCCTGTGTCTCCCTGCCACCCTGCCCCTGTCCTCCCGTCCCCTGTCCCTTGCCCCACCACGCTGCCCCCTGCTATGGCAGGGCTATAGATGGGCCAGCCAGGAGGGACTCAACCCCGGAAGCCCACAGCCTGGCCACATTGCAGCCAGCTGACTCTGCCGCACCTCCTGGAAGACACAGGCCTTGGCTTCTGCCTACTGCGGGTGACACACCACACCTACCACGCCTCTTCACAAACTTAAATGGGACAGATGCCCACGCTGGTATACAAACCACACCTTGACAGAACCACATGCAGAAACACATCCGTACATACCCACTCGCATCCCAAGGTAGAGGCTATGCCTTCCCACACCAACTCACAACACCTTAATCACAGCTAGCATACCTGATACACATTCACACACACATCCATACACATACCCCCTCACACATATCCGCACATACACTCAGGCACATATACACACACACAAACACCCCCACACAAGCACACATCCACACACATATCCACACACACACCCTCACACACATCCACACGTACACTCACATCCACACACCCACACACAAGCATACACACAAAGAGTACACACATACACATATACACACATCCACACACACACCCTCACACACATCCACACACACACCCTCACACACATCCACCTATACATTTATACACATATCCACATCCACATACCCATACAAACATACACACACAAAGCACACACACACACATCCACATATACACACATCCACACAAACACCCACACACAAGCACACACACAAGCACACACATCCACATATACACACACTCTCACACACATCCACAATTCATTCATACACATATACCCCCACACACACAGAGCACACACACACCTAAACACCCACACACAAGTACACCTACACACACAAACACACACATCCACATACACATCCACACACACACACAATCCACATGGACACTGATATCCACACACCCACACACACAAAGAGCACACACATACACATATACACACATCCACACAAACACCCACACACAAGCACACACACATACAGCACATGCGCATCCACATATGCACACACATCCCCACACACAGAAACCCTCACACATCCACATATACACATCCACACACACATCCCCCCTCACACATGTACACACATACACTCATATGTATATACACACAAATCCACACACACACATCCACACACATAAACACCCACACACACACATATACTCATACACATGCACATACATCCACACACATTTCTACATGCATTTTGAATTTCCAAGCAGCAGGTAAGCTTTTTTCAATGCAAAGCTTTTTATGCTTATTTTATTCTATTACAATTTTATATATAATTCAATCTACTTTTGGCCTCTCATCTTTTCTCTTTATTTCTAATTGACACAATAATTAATAATATTTATACAGTCTGATATTTCCACAGGTGTATAATGTAATAATCAAATCAGGGAAATTTACACAGCCATCATCTCCAACGTTTATCATTTCTTTGTGTTGGGAGCACACAAAATCCTCTCTTCTAGCTATTTGAAAATATAGAATAAATACTTGTTAACTATATAAATTACTGTCGACTGTGGTCACCCTGTTATGCTATCAAATATTAGGCCTTATTCATTCTTTCTAACTATATTTTTGTACCCATTAATTATCCCCACTTGCCCCGTCCACCCTCACCCTCAACACCCTTCCCAGCCTCTGGTAACCGTCATTCTACTTTTTATCTTCATGAGTTCAACTGTTTTAACTCTTAGCTCCCACAAATGAGTGAGAACATGCAAAGTTTGTCTTTCCGTGCCTGGCTTATTTCATCTAGCATAATGACCTCCAGTTCCATCCATGACATCCAGTCACCCTACAGTGAGCACTAGAACTCATTCCTCCTATCTAGCTGTAATTTTGTATTTGTCAACCATCCTCTCCCTATCCTCCCTTCCTCCTCCCCTGCCCAGGCTCTGGTTACCACTATTCAACTTTCTATCTCTATGATATCAATTTATTTAGCTTCCACATATGAGTGAGAACACACATTACTACTATTTGTCTTTCTGTGCCTGGTTTATTTCACTTAATGTAACTTCCTCCAGGTTCATCTGTGTTGCCAAAAATTATAGGATTTCATTTTTTTATGGCCGAATGGTGTTCCATTGTATATATGTATATGTATATATGTGTGTGTGTGTGTGTATATATATATACACACACCATATTTTCCTTATCCATTCATCTGTTGATGAGATTTCTAAGCAGCAGGTAAGCTCTTGTTATTAATTCCCACTTTCATTGCTCTGTGGTTAAGAAATATGGCCTTTCCTTTATTGAGCTTACCACAGGCCAAGCATCATGTTAGGTGATAATTATACTAGGTTGAATAAAATTTGAGCCCCACAGCCTAATAACAGAGAGCATAAATAAATCTACATTTACAATCCCAGGAATATAAGGATGGTTCAACATATGTAAATCAATGTAATATATTGTATCTTCAGAATGAAGGACAAAAACCATATAATCATTTCAATTGATGCTGAGAAATCATTTAATAAATTCAACATCCTTTCATGATAAAAACTCTCAAAAAACTGGGAACATACTCCAACACAATAGAAGTCATATATGACAGACCCACAGCTAGTATCATACTGAATGAGGAAAAACTGAAAGCCTTTCCTGTAAGATCTGGAACAAGACAAGGATGTCCACTGTCACCATTGTTATTCAACATAGCACTGGAAATCCTAGCCAGAGCAATAAGACAAGAGAAAGAAATAAAGAGCATCCAAACTGGAAAGGAAAAAGTCACATTATCCTTGTTTACAGATTATATGATTGTATATTTGAAAAAAACTAAGCAGTTCAAAAAACTATTAGAACTGATAAACAAATTCAGTAACATTGCAGGATACAAAATCAACATACAAAAATAAGTAGCATTTCTGTATGTCAACAGAACAGCCTCATAAAGAAATCAAGAAAGCAATCCCATTTACAACAGCTACAAATCAAAGAAAATACCACCAGTAATCCGATTTACAATGGCTACAAATCAAATAAAATACCATCAGAGAAATACAAATCAAAACTGCAATGATATATAATCTCACCCCAGTTTAAATGGCCTTCATCCAAAAGACAGGAAATAACAAATGCTGGCAAGGATGTGGAGAGAAAAGGGAACCCTCATACACTGTTGGTAGGAATGTAAATTAGTACAACCAGTATGGAGAACAGTAAGGAGGGTCCTCAGAAAGCTAAAAGTAGAACTATCATACGATGCAGCAATCCCACTGCTGGGTACGTACCCAAAAGAAAGGAAACAGGTATATCAAAGCAATATCTGCCCTCCCATGTTTATTGCAACATGGCTATTCACAATAGCCAGGATTTGGAATCAATCTAAGTGCCCATCAGCAGATGAATGGATAAAGAAAATGTGGTACATACACACAATGGAATACTATTCAGCCATAAAAAAGAATGAGATCCTGTCATTTGCAACAACATTGATGGAACTGGAGGTCATTATGTTAAATGAAATAAGCCAGGCACGGAAAGACAAACTTTGCATGTTCTCACTCATTTGTGGGAGCTAAGAGTTAAAACAGTTGAACTCATGAAGATAAAAAGTAGAATGACGATTAGCAGAGGCTGGGAAGGGTGTTGAGGGTGAGGGTGGACGGGGCAAGTGGGGATAATTAATGGGTACAAAAATATAGTTAGAAAGAATGAATAAGACCTAATATTTGATAGCGTAACAGGGTGACCACAGTTGACAGTAACTTTTTGTACATTTAAAAATAACTAGGCCTGGTGCAGTGGCTCACACCTGTAATCCTAGCACTTGGGGAGGCCGAGGTAGATGGATCACCTGAGGTCAGGAGTTCGAGATCAGCCTGGCCAACATGGTGAAACCCTGTCTCTACTAAAAATACTAAAATTAGCCGGGCGTGGTGGCATGTGCCTGTACTCCTAGCTACTCAGGAGGCTGAGGCAGAAGAATCTCTGGAAGCTGGGAGGCAAAAGCTGCAGTGAACCGAGATTGCGCCACTGCACTCCTGGGTGACAGAGCAGGATTCCGTCTTAAAACAAAACAAAACAAAACAAAACAAAACAAAACAAAAGACCCTAAACTAAAAGAGTATAATTGGAATGTTTGTAACACAAATAAGTGAGAAATGCTTGAAGTGATGGATACCCACCACCCCCAAAAAAAGTTTGCGATGCAATGTGACATGCAGTGGCAGAGGGAACCCCAGCCCCTATATGTTCTTTAACAAATCTCATATATTTTTCTCTATTTAGGTTGATTCCTTTTGTGTTTCTATTACCTAAACATTCCTGGACCAAAAAATATAGATATTTGTTATTTTTATTTGCTTTTCTTGAATTATTACCATGAATGAGATATTCCCATTTATTTATTGTCCCTTTAATTTCCAATTATTTCTCTTTTGCCTTATTCTTGGATGCTTCAAGCCGATGTTCTAGAATGGATCACTGATTTGACTTTTCAGCACACACATTCTGTTGTCCACCATCAGCAATGACATTCTTTCCTTCCAAGTTCTTGTTTTCAGCCCGTTCCTTTCTCCTAGCAGCACACTCCTGTTTATTGAGGAAACATCACTTGAACCACTCCAGCATTTATTTAAGACCCATTAAGAGGGTTCTGCATCTCCGACATGCTCTGATGGGGAGCAAAGCAAGACTCACCATTGCCCTGTGTTGCAGGTTAGCGGGCTCATCTATTCCTGTAGGGTGCCCTGCTCGGTGCAGGGAGCAGGGAGCAGCCCCACCTCTCCCTCCTGTGGGTTGCTTTCTCCTCTGATGAGCATTTGCAGGTTCTTCCTGATTTGCCTGATGCAGGAGCTTGCTTCCCGGGGGTGCCTGTTAAACTTCAGATTCCATGGAATTGGAGGTACAGATGCAAACCCATGATTTGTAGAATGTGTATATGCACTTTTGTGTGCACGTGGATGTGTATATGCACATATATGTATTTATTTCCTAGTTCTGTCTGCTGACAAGGTCAAGAAGAAAAGCCATTCTACTAGCTCGCAGATCTTGGTTCTTAATACCATTACCCAGGGTTTCTCGGAGAAATGACTAATTTGAGAGCTTGGGCAGGGTAGGTACATTGTGAGCCTGGGACGTTTTGTTACACCAGAAAATAAGGAATGATCAAAAGCACTTTTGGGGGAAATGTCAGCAGCTTAAAGGGGCTGCCGGTGGCAAAATCTAGGACTATTTGAGCACCAAAATAATAAAGTAATGAAATATAAACCCTTAAAAATGGAAATTTCTGAATCTATACCAATAGTAAATAGATTTATCAATATGTGGGGGAGAAGGAGGACCTATGCTGACGAGAGAATTCTGAGAGTCAACCGGCGAAGTGGAGAGATTGTTAGAGTTGGAAAATCATCTTTTGCAACTATCCTAGTAAAGATGGGATCAATTAAGAATCATTCATGGTTGCTAAATCTAGGGGAACATTCTGATGAGGAACAGAATGTTTTCATGGTCTCAAAGTGTCTCCCCACAGACTGCTTATTAGTTGCAAAGAAGATCAAAAAACTCCAGTAATTATACAGTGAAGAAATTGGACAACGCCTTGATCGAGTGATCAAAATTAACATCACCAAGGAAGGACAGATGGCTGTCTTGTGCCTCCAGATGTGCTCCTCTGAGAAGGACTCAATACGCTCTATGCAGGATTTTGGCTAAGAATGAAGAACCAAAAACTAGTCCCAAGGAAACATCAGACAAATGCTTTTCTATTTTTGAAAAAGGTGGGTGTGCTTGGTCGTATTCTTCTCAAATGTCAATGCCATAAAAGATCACAAAAGGCTATGAAAATGTTCCAGATTAAAAGAGGCTAAAGAGATATGACAGCTAACTGCAGCCCCTGCCCCTAGGCTGCCTCCTGTACTACAGGGGAAAATTACTGAAAAAGGACATTATTGGTTCGACTCAGAAAATTGGAATGTGAATGTTGAGAGTAGATAAAAATGTATACCAATGTTAAATTGACTGAAGTTGATTATGTAAGAGAATATTCCTAATCTTAGTGAAAATATACTACTGAAGTGTTTAGGTTAGATAAAGGGCTATGATGTATGTAACTTAACTTCAGGCAGTTCAGAAAATAAATTGTGTGTGTATGTGTGTGCATGTGTGTGCGGAAAGAGGGAGACTGAGAATGATAAAGCTAAGGGGGTAAAAATATTAATAGATTACAGGTAAAAGGCACACGGTATTCCTGGTACCATTGATTTTAGCAACTTAGCTGTAAGTCAGAAATGATTTCCAAAGCAAAAGGCTTTTTAAAAACTTCTAGGCTGGGCGTGGTGGCTCACGCCTGTAATCCCAGCATTTTGGGAGGCTAAGGCGGGTGGATCATGAGGTCAGGAGTTCGAGACCAGCCTGGCCAACACGGTGAAACCCCGTCTCTACTAAAAATACAAAAATTAGCCAGGTGTGGTGGCAGGTGCCTGTAATTCCAGCTACTCGAGAGGCTGAGGCAGGAGAATTGCTTGAACCTGGGAGGCGGAGGTTGCAGTGAGCTGAGATCATGCCACTGCACTCAAGCCTGGGCGACAGAGTGAGACTCTGTCTCAAAAAAATAAAATAAATCTGTTTCCAGGGATTTTAAATTTTTAGACCATGTGCAAGTATAATGGTTAAAAATAAAATAATAAAGTAACACACAAAAAAGAATTATATCTGTAGTGTTATGTTCATGATATACTGCCAAGTGAAAAAAAGCAACTATTGATCTGTGTGTAGTGTGATTCTATTTTTGTCTTTAAAGTATCACTTTGTGTGTGCAGGAATCAAGCCTGTCAGAAACCTTGATAAACAGTTAACAGTATATATCTACAGGGGGGAATTTGTAGGTGAGGAAATCCCTTTTAACTGTATATATTTCTGAGGGTTTTTTGTAAGCAGAAAAATGTGTGAAAGTCTTTAAACTAGGAGGGGCCAGGTGCAGTGGCTCAAGCCTGTAATCCCAGCACGTTGGGAAGCCAAGGCAGGTGGATCACTTGAGCCCAGGACTCAACTTTGGCAACATGGTGAAACCCCGTCTCTACCAAAACCCAGAAAAATTAGCTGGACATGGTGGTGCATGCCTGTAATCCCAGCTACTTGCGAGGCTGAGGTAAGAGGACCCCTTGAGCCCGGGAGGCGGAGGTTGTAGTGAGCCGAGATCGTGCCACTGCACCCCAGCCCAGGCAACAGAGCGACACCCTGTCTTAAAATAAGTAAGTAAATAAAATAAAATAGGCAAAAAGGATTACTGGATGTCCTACATCCACTACTTGCCTTTCATTGTCTTTGAGCTGCTTTTTAACTCCGTTAAGTCATGAAAAGCTGATCATGGTGCGTGTGATTCTCATCCATAGGAATGCAAACAACAGGATTCTATTCTTTTTTTTCTGGCTGAATAATATTCCATTGTGTACCTTGCTATACAACAGTTAATTTGTATTAAAACATTCATGTATGTATTCAACGTAAGTGTTCAGAATTTATGGTTATTTTTATAACTCTGTTAGCATTTCTTTATTTTTATATATCCTTAAAACATCCAGAAAACAAATTAGTCGAAGATTCCTGTCCTCTGAGAGGCCCAGCCAGTCAGAAACAGAAACAGTCTCTTCCCCAGGGGATGGTAGTCTGACTTTGGCCATGCCCTTCTTGCCTGCCACTGGTACAGTGGATACGAGGGGACCAGAGGAGCCACTCACCTGAGGTGCAGGATCCCTGAGGAAGCCTGCAGTGTATATGTGCCACGTTTTCTTTATCTAAAATAAAAAAAATTAAAGAAATGCAAATACGTGGTATTTGGTGGAATGCACTTGATTATTGCCCTGAAGAGAGACCAATTTTGCATCTATTTGTAAATTTGTTTCAACAATTGTGATTGCCTATGTAAGAGTGGTTTTTTGAATTCTCCTTTGAATTGGTTTCGACAACTGACTGGTTCCCTCATCAATTAATGTGTTGAAAATACTAAATATATGTTCATTTTATATTTGCATGAGAGCCAAGGTTTACTGTTTTAAAAATGTATTCTTTAGCACACGCATTTGTTATTTTTATCACTGAGGGTCATATCTAGGAATATTTTAAAAAATAAAAGTAGGCTAGGCACGGTGGCTCATGCCTGTAATCCCAGCACTTTGGGAGGCCGAGGCAGGCGGATCACCTGAGGTCAGGAGTTTGAGATCAGCCTGGCCAACATGGCGAAACCCCATCTCTGTTAAAAATACAAAAATTAGCCAGGCATGGTGGCACATGCCTGTAGTCCCAGCTACTTGGGAGGCTGAGGCAGAAGAATCGCTTGAAGCCGGGAGGCGGAGGTTGCAGTGAGCTGAGATTGTGCCACTGCACTCCAGCCTGGGTGACAGAGCGAGACTCCATCTAAAAAAAAATTAATATAAATAAATAAAATATTCCTGAGATTCTCCAGGGTCCCTAATTTCGAATTCCAGGGGGGTCCCCCTACCTACTGACTCCATAGTTTGAACTCCCTCCTGTCAGTCCATGATGGGCATGAAGCCAAACTTCACGCATCAGCAAAGACTGGACACTACCAAGTGTGGGCCCCCAGGGACTCCACTGCAGGCTTCCTCAGGGACCCTGCACCTCAGGTGAGTGGCTTCTCTGGTCCCCTCGTATCCACTGTACCAGTGGCAGGCGGGAAGGGCATGGCCAAAGTCAGACTACCATCCCCTGGGGAAGTGACTGTTTCTGTTTCTGACTGGCTGGGCCTCTCAGAGGACAGGAATCTTCGACTAATTTGTTTTCTGGATGTTTTAAGGATATATAAAAATAAAGAAATGCTAAGAGAGTTATAAAAAAACCCCATAAATTCTGAACACTTACGTTGAATACATAACATGAATGTTTTAATACAAATTAAGTAAACTGTTGTATAGCATAATTCCAATATTCACCAGATAATAAGATCAGGGTCTTGAAGCATTGTGGGGTGTGCACTGGAGACAGGCTTTCCACCTTGGCCAGGGGTCTAGTGACCATCCAGACTGTGTGTGCACCCTCACTGGGTTGTCCAGATTTTCGGTCCCCTATCCACCCACCTCTCCTGGTAGCCATCACCAGCCCACCCCCACCCTCTGCAATCTCACTAACAGGCACCAACTGGTATCTGGGGAAGCAATCTCGATTTTGTATATTTATTGTGTATTCAGGCCACTTTACCTAAAAGGGGCCATTTTTCTGTTGGAAAAGTCTAGGAAGACAATTCCATCTTTCACCTCTCTTTCCCAATAACCATAATTAGTTTATTTCCTGCCTTTTTGCATTGAAATGTGGCAGAGACCTGCATCCAAGTCTTGTTTCTTACCTCATTGAGAAGGTTTTGCTCTTAAGGATGATGTTGAATATGATGTTGAATATAAATACTGGCTTGAGATATTCTTTTTTAACGTGTTTTTATTACAAAAGCAACAGTATGTTAATGAAAAAAATTAAGTGAAGAGAGAAATAAAGGCGTTTATTATCTCATTATCCTTAGGTCAGTGTCTTATTACCTTAATAAGATACATATCAAATATATATCTTATTTATTTGTGATTTATATCATAAGTATATATCAAAGTGTTTTGTGATTTTATTAGAAAATTATTATTACTCTTATAGGTCACACGTATTATTTATATGTCAATAACTGTGCTAAGTAGAGGGTTGAAAAGCATTATTTCCAAATCCTTACAGAAGACCTCTCTATAGTAGATACTGTTATCCCCATTTTACAGTAGAGAAAACTGAGACTTAGAGGCTTTCCCAATTTGCCTAGGGCTCTATGGCTAATCAACAGCCATTAAGACTCAACATCCACATCCCCTTTCTCCCCAAGCTCAAGCTCTTACCTACACTCTACTCTCTCCTAATCCAGACCTGATTTTGCAAATATAGTTCAAAAACTAAACTAGAATCCTCCTGCACATACAATTCTGTTATCAGCTTTTACACTTAATATATTATTAACATCTTTCAATGTCATTTATTATTATTCTACAAACTTAATGGCTACATAGTGTTTCATTATATGGGTATGTTTTATTTATTTTTAAATGGCTCCATAGCAAAACAAGAAACAAAAACTGGTTGTAAAATATTCAAGCAATACTAAAGAATATAAAGTAGAAAATACGAGTCCTCCTTCCCTATCCTGCTGAGCCCCACGACCCAGAGGAAATTGCCGTGAACAGGGTGATGCATCTGCGTCCACATTGTTCTTTGATGTAATTTATTATATGTAATTTATTTATTTTTCCTTAAAGGAATGGGACATACTGATCTACTGCTTGCTTTTCACCCACAATGTATCATGAACATTGCTCCAGACCTATAAATCCTTTTTAATGTGCAAGAATCAAGAAGTCACACTTGGCTCTTGGCTGGAGCAACGGGGAGGAGAGTGGAGCAGTGTTTTGGGATTGGTTGGGATTGGAAGATGAGAGGAGGAACAGGTTCAGGGGTCAGAAAAGTCAAGGGTTCCATTTCAGACATAACAAGTTTGATGCCTGTGAACTATCCAAGTGGGCATTCAGCCCTGTGAATCTGCAGCTTGGGGCGTGGTGGGGCTGGGTATAGAAATGGAGGAGTCAACAGAGAATGGATGGTTTGTAAATCCACAGCAAAGATTCCCTGCTGCCTTTAGTAAGGGCATATGCTTTTCAATTCCCTCCAGTCTCCACCCCTCCTTGATGTCCCCGACACTGGGTCTGGGTGTCATCTCAAGCAGGGCTGCTTCAGTTACTCATTTGCTGCCAGGTCACCAAGGCTTTGGGGTTTGTGACTATGGCGTATTGTCAAGGCGTATTAAGGAAAAAAGCAACCCCAAAGTTGGAACTAAGGCAAGAGGAAGGCAGGCTGTCATTCCAGCATATATATATACATATATATATATACACACACACATATATATGTGTATATATATATATATATGTATATATATATTTTTTCATGCGCGTCCGTGTGAAGAGACCACCAAACAGGCTTTGTGTGAGCAACATGGCTGTTTATTTCACCTGGGTGCAGGCGGGCTGAGTCCGAAAAGAGAGTCAGCGAAGGGAGATAAGGGTGGGGCCGTTTTATAGGATTTGGGTAGGTAAAGGAAAATTACAGTCAAAGGGGGTTTGTTCTCTGGCGGGCAGGAGTGGGGTCGCAAGGTGCTCAGTGGGGGTGCTTTTTGAGCCAAGATGAGCCAGGAAAAGGACTTTCACAAGGTAATGTCATCAGTTAAGGCAAGGACCGGCCATTTACACTTCTTTTGCGGTGGAATGTCATCAGTTAAGGTGGGGCAGGGTGTATTCACTTCTTTTGTGATTCTTCAGTTACTTCAGGCCATCTGGGCATATACGTGCAGGTCACAGGGGATGCGATGGCTTGGCTTGGGCTCAGAGGCCTGACATTCCTGCCTTCTTATGTTAATAAGAAAAATAAAACAAAATAGTGTTGAAGTGTTGGGGCGGCGAAAATTTTTGGGGGGTGGTATGGAGAGAGAATGGGCGATGTTTCTCAGGGCTGCTTCAAGCAGGATTAGGGGCGGCGTGGGAACCTAGAGTGGGAGAGATTAAGCTGCAGGGAGGTCTTGTGGTAAGGGGTGATATTGTGGGGATGTTAGAAGAAACATTTGTCGTATATAATGATTGGTGATGGCCTGGATACGGTTTTGGATGAACTGAGAAACTAAATGGAAGATACAAGGTCCGAATAAAAGAAGGAGAAAAATGGGTATTAAAGGACTAAGAATTGGGAGGACCCAGGACATCCAATCAGAGCGTGCCCAAGGGGGTTCAGAGTAATTACTTGCTTGGTTGGCAAGTTTTTGGGCTCTATCCTTGAGTTTTTTTATGTTGTCATACACCAGGCCAGATTGATTTAGGTAAAAACAACACTCCTCATTTAAGAATATGCAAAGTCCTCCTTTTTCAGCAGTGAGTAAGTCAAGGCCTCGGCGGTTTTGGAGGACAACTGCAGCTAAAGAGTTAACTTGGGCCTGGAGGACTGATAAAGTTTGTGATATGTCTGTGATGCTAGCACAGAAGTCATTAGACAGGCTACAAAATGTCGTGACAGGTTGAAATGCCTGCTATTCCAGTACCGAGAGCAATAGTGGAGGCAGAAAGTCCTAAACCGACCATCAAGGGAATTAGTGGAATAACTCTTTTTTGTCGTGTCGGTGTCATGAGGGGAACAGGGAGTTCTTCGGTCCCATTTGCAAATTGAATTTTGGGGGTAAGGAAGACTAGTGTACATGTGCCTGTCCAATTAGCAGGTAGACACATGTAGGTAGAGGATCCACAGAGGAAGAAGAGACCTTGTGCGAGGCAAAACTGGAGATGTAAAGTAAAAAGATGAGAATGAGTGCTGAAAGGGGTGTTTTGTACCCAGACTCCTAGGGATCCAGCTAGGGTGGCAGCTGTCAGAGGTTGTAATGGGGACTGATGGGGTAACTGCGTAGAGGAGGAGGTTCGATTTTCATGGTGTATGAGGAAACGTTGAGTATCTACGAGCAACCTTTCACTGTTATTTTCGGGGCTGGGTATAAGTAAACAAGAGGGCCTGGGAGGAACAAGAACTGATCGTCCAGCTAGGTTGTCTTCATAGGGCTGGGGATCTGGAGTAGGCAAGAGAAGATTAGCAGCCTGGCGAATTTCCTGTCTAGCCTGCTGGAGGACTGGAAGATAGTCGCCTAGAGGGCTGGTGTCTGGGATGAAGTTGGGGCCAAGCAAGAAAGTGCATCCACGTAAAAGTTCAAATGGACTGTACCCTGCAGCATCTCGAGGACAGGCTCTGATTCTGAGAAGAGCAAGAGGTAAAAGTACTGTCCAATCCTTTTTAAGTTGGAGGCTGAGCTTGGTGAGGTGTGTCTTTAAAAGACCATTAGTCCGTTCTACCTTTCCTGAAGATTGAGGATGGTAAGGAATATGAAGGTTCCACTGAATACCAAGAGCCTGAGGAACTGCTTGGGTGATTTGGCTAGTAAAGGCTGGTCCGTTATCAGACTGCTGTGTAGAGGTGGGAAGGCCAAACTGAGGAATTATGTCTGACAGAAGGGAAGAAATGACCTCGGTGGCCTTCTCAGACCCTGTGGGGAAGGCCTCTACCCATCCAGTGAAAGTGTCTATCCAGACTAAGAGATATTTTAGTTATCTGACTCAGGGCATGTTGAGTAAAGCTAATTTGCCAGTCCTGGGTGGGGCAAATCCTCGAGCTTGATGGGGAAGGGAGGGGGCCTGAATAATCCCTGAGGAGTAGTAGAATAGCAGATGGAACACTGAGAAGTTATTTCCTTGAGGATAGATTTCCACGACGGAAAGGAAATGAGAGGTTCTATGAGGCAGGCTAGTGGCTTGTACTATAGCATAACCTGCCTTTTCTGGTGTGTGGCGATTAGGCCTGGTGGAACCGCCATCAATAAATCAAGCGTGATCAGGGTGAGGAACAGAAAAGAAGGAAATTTGGGGAAATGGGGTGAATGTCAGGTGGATCAGAGAGATACAGTCATGGGGGTCAGGTGTGGTATCAGGAATAATGTGGGAGGCCAGATTGAAGTCTGGGCCAGGAACAACGGTAATTGTGGGAGACTTAACAAAGAGTGAGTATGGCTGAAGGAGCCGGCAAGCAGAAAGTATATGCGTCAGGTATGAGGAAGAAAATAGATTTTGGAAGTTATGAGAACTGTAGAGAGTGAGTTGAGCATAGTTTGTGATTTTGAGGGCCTCTAAAAGTATTAAAGCAGCGGCAGCTGCTGCACGCAGACATGAGGGCTAGGCTAAAACAGTAAGGTCAAGTTGTTTGGACAGAAAGGCTACAGGGTGTGGTCCTGGCTCTTGTGTAAGAATTCTGACCGTGCTAACCATGCCTAGGAAGGAAAGGAGTTGTTGTTTTGTAGAAGGTGCTTGGGTTTGAGAGATCAGTTGGACACAATTGGCAGGGAGAGCACGTGTGTTTTTATGAGAATTATGCCGAGATAGGTAACAGATGAGGAAGACATTTGGGCTTGATTGAAGTAATGGGGGCTGTCTGTGAAGCTTTGCGGCAGTACAGCCTAGGTAATTTGCTGAGCTTGATGGGTGTCAGGGTCAGTCCAAGTGAAAGCGAAGAGAGGCTGGGATTAACAGTGCAAAGGAATAGTAAAGAAAGCATGTTTGAGATCTAGAACAGAATAATGGGTTGTAGAGGCAGGTATTGAGGATAGGAGAGTATATGGGTTTGGCACCATGGGGTGGATAGGCAAAACAATTTGGTTGATAAGGCGCAGATCCTGAACTAAATTGTAAGACTTATCTGGTTTTTGGACAGGTAAAATGGGGGAATTGTAAGGAGAGTTTATAGGTTTTAGAAGCCCGTGCTGTAGCAGGCAAGTGATAACAGGCTTTAATCCTTTTAAAGCATGCTGTGGGATGGGATATTGGCATTGAGCAGGGTAAGGGTGATTAGGTTTTAATGGGATGGTAATGGGCATGTGATCAGTTGCCAGGGAAGGAGTAGAGATGTCCCATACTTGTGGGTTAAGGTGGGGGGATATGAGAGGAAGAAGGGAAGGAGGCTTTGGGTTGGGGAGAAGGGCGGCAATGAGATGTGGCTGTAGTCCAGGAATAGTCAGGGAAGCAGATAATTTGGTTAAAATATCTCGGCCTAATAAGGGAACTGGGCAGGTGGGGATAACTAAAAAAGAGTGCATAAAAGAGTGTTGTCCAAGTTGGCACCAGAGTCGGGGGGTTTTCAGGGGTTTTGAAGCTTGGCCGTCAATACCCACAACAGTTATGGGGGCAAGGGAAACAGGCCCTTGAAAAGAAGGCAACATGGAGTGGGTAGCCCCCGTATCGATTAAACAGGGGATGGACTTACCCTCCACTGTCAGAGTTACCCGAAGCTCGGCGTCCGTGATGGTCCAGGGGGCTTCCGAGGCGATCTGGCAGCGTCAATCTTCAGTCACTAAGCCAAGCAGATCTGGGAAGGAGTCAGTCAGAGAGCCTTGGGCTAGAGCTTTAGGGGCTCTAGGAGTGGCTGCCAGGCGAGCTGGGAAGTCTGATTTCCAGTGGGTCCCTGCACAGATGGGACATGGCTTGGGAGGAATCCCGGGCTGTGGGCATTCCTTGGCCCAGTGGCCAGATTTCTGGCACTTGAAGCAAGATCCTGATGGAGGAAGTCTTGTAGGAATGCTTGACTGCTGCGGCTTAGGCATTTTGAAGTTCCTGTATGCAGGAGGTGTGGCTGGGTTTTGTCTCACAGCAGAGTCAAGTAATTGTAACTCAGAAATGCGTTGCCGTCTGGCTGCTTCCTCTCTATTATTGTACACCTTGAAGGCGAGGTTGATTAATTCCTGTTGTGGGGTTTGAGGGCCAGATTCTAATTTTTGAAGTTTTTTCCTAATGTCAGGAGTGGATTGGGTGATAAAATGCATATTAAGAATAAGGCGGCCTTCTGGTCCCTCTGGGTCTAGGGCGGTATAGCATCTAATGGTTGCTGCTAAGCGGGCCATGAACTGGGCTGGGTTTTCATCTTTACCTTGGGTAGTTCTTTAAGTTTGTCATAATTAATAGCTTTGTAAGCTGCTTTTTTAAGCCCTTCAACTACGCAGGAAACCATGTAATCTTGCTTAGCTATACCTGGGGAATTTGCCTGGTAGTTCCATTGGGGATCCTCTCGGGGAACTGCTCTAATGCCTTCCTGGAGGTCTGGCTCATGAAGCCGGCGGTTATCAGCATGAGATTGGGCTAGAGAAAAAAACTCTTTCCTGTGCATCTGGGGAGAGGGTAGAAGTCAGGATGACATTAAGTCACTCCAGGTTAAGTTGTAGGACAGAGTTAGATACCGGAATTCCTGTATGTATTTAGTGGGGTCTGATGAGAAAGAGCCTAAATGTTGACTGATCTGAGAGAGGTCTGATAGAGAAAAAGGTACATGTACCCTGACTATGCCTTCAGCTCCAGCCACCTCTCTAAGAGGAAATTGCTGGGCATGTGGGGAAGAGCTAGTCGCGGAACTAAACTGTAAGCCGGACCGGGTGTGAGGAGGGGAGGTGGTAGAAGGACTGTAGGGTGGAGGAGCAGAGGCTGAGGAAGAATTGGGACTTAGGCCTGGGGAGGAGGGGAAAGGTCAGATGGGTCTGTAGAAAAGGAAGACTAGAAAGACTCAGTGACGCTTGGGGTTGGGACTGAGGGGACAGGTGGGAGGGAAAGAAGGAGGTTCTGGGAGGAATCGCATTGGGAACAGAGGCTAGGGAGGGAATGAAATGTGAAAAATGCCTGGACATAAGGCACCTCAGACCATTTGCCCATTTTTCGACAAAAATTATTTAGGTCTTGTAGGATGGAGAAATCGAAAGTGCCGTTTTCTGGCCATTTAGAGCCATTGTCGAGTTTGTATTGGGGCCAAGCGGTGTTGCAGAAGAAAATAAGGCGTTTAGGTTTTAGGTCAGGTGTGAGTTGAAGAGGTTTTAAGTTCTTGAGGACACAGGCTAAAGGAGAAGAAGGAGGAATGGAGGGTGGAAGGTTGCCCGTAGTGAAGGAGGCAAACCTAGAGAAAAGAGAGCGTAGAGACACGGAGGGAAGGGGTTCGGGGGATCTTACCCTCCAGAAAAGTGGGAAGAGGGGTCGGGGCATGGAAATAAGGGATTGGGGCACAGAGATAAGAGGTTGGTGTGCAGAAATAAGGGATTGGGACACAGAGATAAGAGGTTGGGGCACGGAAATAAGGGATTGGGTCGCAGAGATAAGAGGTTGGGGCGTGGAAATAAGGGATTAGGGCACAGAGATAAGAGGTTGGGGCGCGGAGAAAAGGGATTGGGGGTTCTTGCCCCAGAAAAGCGGGACTTGCCGCTAAGGGTGAAGGACCAAGGCAGGCGTCCCTGAGTGGTCTGACACCCTTGAAACGTGAGTGTATAATCAGAGAGGCGTCCCTGCAATGATTAAACACCAAGGGAAGGCTGCCTTCCCAGTCACTGACCGGCGCCGGAGTTTTGGGTCCACAGATAAAATGTGTCTCCTTTGTCTCTACCAGAAAATGAAAGGAATTGAAATTAAGAGAAGGGAGAGATTGAAGTGTGGCACCAAGATTGAAAGGAGAAAGAGGTTGAGGGATAGTGAGGGAGGTTGGAGAAGAGAGTAAAGAGGCCGCTTACCGGATTTGAAATTGGTGAGATGTTTCTTGGGCTGGTCGGTCTGAGGACCTGAGGTCGTAGGTGGATCTTTCTCACAGAGCAAAGAACAGGAGGACAGGGGATTGATCTCCCAAGGGAGGTCCCCTGATCCGAGTCACGGCACCAAATTTCATGCGCGTCCATATGAAGAGACCACCAAACAGGCTTTGTGTGAGCAACATGGCTGTTTATTTCACCTGGGTGCAGGCGGGCTGAGTCCGAAAAGAGAGTCAGCGAAGGGAGATAAGGGTGGGGCCGTTTTATAGGATTTGGGTAGGTAAAGGAAAATTACAGTCAAGGGGGTTTGTTCTCTGGCGGGCAGGAGTGGGGTCGCAAGGTGCTCAGTGGGGGTGCTTTTTGAGCCAGGATGAACCAGGAAAAGGACTTTCACAAGGTAATGTCATCAGTTAAGGCAAGGACCGGCCATTTACACTTCTTTTGTGGTGGAATGTCATCAGTTAAGGTGGGGCAGGGCGTATTCACTTCTTTTGTGATTCTTCAGTTTCTTCAGGCCATCTGGGCGTATACGTGCAGGTCACAGGGGATGCGATGGCTTGGCTTGGGCTCAGAGGCCTGACATATATCATATACACACACACACACATATGTGTATATATATGTGTGTATATATATCATGTATATATATGTGTGTGTATATATTGTGTATATATATGATGTGATGTGATATATGTGTGTGTGTATATATATATGTATATATAAATATACATATATATATATATAGTTTTGGTGATGGAGTCTCTCTCTGTCACCCAGGCTGGAGTGTGGTGCAGTGGCATAATCTCACTGCAACTTTTGCCTCCCTGGTCCAAGTGATTCTTGTTCCTCAGCCTCCTGAGGAGCTGGGACTACAGGTGCGTGCCACCACGCCCGGCTAATTTTTCCACTTTTAGTAGAGATGGGGTTTCACCATGTTGGCCAGGCTGGTCTCCTGACCTCAAGTGATCTACCCGCCTCGGCCTCCCAAAGTGCTGGGATTACAGGCGTGAGCCACTGCATCCAGCCAGTTGTGGGTTATTTTTTTAAGGCTCATCTCTTCCCTGCATTGCCTCTGTTTCCTTTTACAGGCTGGTTAGGTTGGCCTCTCCTTTTCACACTGCAAGCTTTCCTCAGCGGTCTGGGGAGTCCTCAACTATCTGTGTTCTTCGTGTGTGTGTGTGTGTGTGCGCGCGCACACGTGTATGTGTGTGTATGTGTGTATGCGTGTGTGCATGTGTGTGCGTGTATGTGTATTTGTGTGTGTATTTGTGTGTATTCGTGTGTATGTGTATGTGTTTTGTGTGTGTGCGTGTGCGTGTGTATTTCTGTGTGTATTTGTGTGTATTTGTGTGTATTTATATGTATTTGTGTGTGCGTATTTGTGTATTTATGTGTATTTGTGTGTGTATTGTGTATTTGTGCGTATTTTTGTATTTGTGTATTTGTGTATGTGTGTGTTTCTGTATTTGTGTGTGTGCGTATTTGTGTGTGTGTGTATTTGTGTATGTGTGTGTGTTTCTGTATTTGTGTGTGCGTATTTGTGTGTGTGTGTATTTGTGTGTGTGTGTGCGCACGCGCGTGCAGGGCATGTTGATTGGGGGGTGCCACCTTGGGATGCTCAGACAGTGACTCAGGTGGGGGAAATACCTGGGAGCTGGTTTTTCCAAAGGATGTTCCAATCAGCTCCCTGGGGGCTGGACCCGTGGGCCCTGGGCACTTTGGGAGCAGTGATGGGACTGCGGGGGTTGGAGAGGAACATTGTTGGCAGCCTCACCCTCACAGAGCCCTCTGCTTTGCCTTGAGTCCCCAAGTCCAGAGTATACCTGGCTCCATTTCTCCAGAGACTAAATATCCAGTCCCTTGCAAGGAGATGAGGGGGAAAGAGTAGTTTCCTGGCTGTGCAGAGGAGCGGGAGGAGGCTGGGCTCTGATCCCCATGTTTCTGGCCTGGTGTACCTCCCCACCCCCCGACTCCTCCTCTGCCCCCCACCACAAAACACACAGGGGGACCTCCCACTGCTGAGCCTCTGGGGGTTCCTTGGGACCTGATAAGCTCATTTCCGGTTGGTTTCTCCCTCTGCTCTGCTAAATTCGCCTTCATTCCTTCCTTCCTTCATCCCCTTCCATCTGCCAAGATTTTCCAAATTCTCTTATCTCCCAAATTAATTTTGTCCTTATAGAGGTTAACGCTTTTATTTCTTTTCTGTCAGTACAGTGGTTTGCGGAGGAAAGAGAGAGAAATGCATGTGGTCAATATAACGATACACCTGGTTCAATTAGAAGACAATTTTCTTTTTGAATCTATTGATTCTGTATTTATTTTTTAAAACTTATTGATGGTAGTTTTAAAAAATTCAACATTTGTTACCAATCTCTGGGTTTTGGGATTTTTGTTTGTTTTTGCTTCAAGACACAGAATGTGGCCCGAATTGGTTCTTTGGGTAACTTTCTAAGGTTTTCTTCATACCTCAGTATACAGTCAGCTTCGGGTAGTCTTCCAAATTATAATTGAAAAAAGGGTGTGCTCTCTCTAGGGTAAGAGCTTGATGCATCCCAGGTTATTAAACCTTATTAATTATTAAAATCCTCTTGGTTCTTATTTTTTTGCCTCCTTGATCTGTAATAAGCTAATACTAGTGGTGTGTTACTCTCAAATGCAATTGTTTCTGTCAATTTCTTCCTTTGCATTTCTAGCAGTTTGCTTTCTAGTTGATGCTATTTTATCCACAAATAGAAGTTCATGCCTTTTATGTCTTCATTATAAATGCCTCCTATCAGAAAGAACTCAGAGAGTCAAATTTGGCATTTTCTCTAAGTGGAAGCTAAATAATGCGTACACATGGAGTGTGAAATGGTAGGCACTGGAGCCTCAGAAGGGTGGAGAGGTGGAAGGGGGGTGGGTAATGAGAAATTACTTAATGGGCAAATGTACACTATTTGGGTGATGGATACACTAAAAGTCCAGCTTCTGCCTCTATGCAATGTATCCATGCAACAAAATTGCACCTGTACCCCTTACATTTATACAAGTATAAAATAGATGCCTATCAACATCAAATGATTTCTTTGTCCCATTCCTTGCTGTCTCCTTGAGTTCTGTGTTCCTTATGAGCATCTCCCCAGCAGAGGGATGGTGGTCCCTGAAACCCAGGGACGGGACAGCAGTGCAGAGGCAATGGGGCGGTGGAGGAGCGGGAGGTCAAAGTCAGGTTTTGATGGGTGGGGGGAGAATGGGGGTTGAGGCTGTGGAGATGGCAGGCCGCTGCAGGCAGTATACATTCAAGAAGTTTGGCTGAAGGGGAGAAAAGCAGACAGCCTGAAGCAAGTGGAGACCTAGCACTTTAAAATGCTGTAGGAAAGAGCGGGGTGGGGGCGGGGGAGGCTGGAGGTTTAGAGGCCACGGAGGCAGCAAGAGGCAGGGATGCAGGAACTGGCTAGGGGCTGCCTTGGGAAGAAACAGGTTGCCTCCTCTCCTGCCGCTGCTGAGAGCTGGGGTAGCTGTGCTGGTGGTCGGCCTGAGGAGAGGGGGTGGTGGTTGGGGGGGTCACCCAGTGTGGGAGGAGGCAGGGCTCAGAGAAGGGCCAGTTGGCTGGCTGGGAGATCTGAAAAGAGGTACGAGTTTGGATTAACTGGGGTGGAGAATGAGAGAGGAAGGCCTAGCTGAGAATGGAGATGGGAACAGACCCACAGGGCAGTCAGAACTGGGGTGTTTTTTAGTTTTCTCCTGCAGTGCTTGGTGGCCTGGAGATCACGGCTGTTGGGTGGCCCCTAGGCCGAAGTGGTCAAGGAATATTGTCAAGATGGGCTGAGGAGGGAGCCCACAGGGTTTAGGCTTGGTGGGGGAAGGCAGAGAGAACACACAGGCTGGGGAGGAAAGGGGCCGGTCTGCAGACCAGTGCTGATGTGGAGGATGAGCAGGGAAGGCTTGGCAGCTGTGCCCGCTGTGAGCAGCACGGATGACACTTTCCTAGGTCAGAGGTGATAGCAGCCCAGGGTGGGCCCCAGGAGTGGCTGGCTCAAAGGGGGTCCTGGCAGGAGGCTAGAGATGGACAGCCTGAGAAGCCAGGGTGCTGGAGGGTGGGAGGTGGGACACAAGGGCCACCGGTGAGGGTGACGGTGCAGCCCTGCTCCGGTGTGTGGCTCTGCCGTACTTGCTTCCAGCTGGCTGCAGGGGCAAGAACAGGGACAGGCCCGAGGCTTCTCTCTGGGGCCCAATCCCTAGCTGGAGCCAGAGGCACCTGTCTAGGTGACAGACCCGGAGCTCCATCTGGCTTTTTGACCAGAGGTATCCTTGCCCCCAGCAGAAGCTCGGCCCAGGCAGTATCTGGTTTCTGAGGGGTTTGGGCTAGGGCTGGGACCAGGACCTGTCCCTTGGAGCGTCTGGAGTTACTGTGCACTGAAAGACCAGATCCTGAGATGCTGAAGATGCAGGGCAGGACCCAGGGCTGCAAGGTTCTCTGTACAGGTGCAGCTGAAGGGGCTTGGGGGCTGGTTATTTCCCAACAAGGGCCTGAGTTCAGCCTTGCAGGTGGGTCTGTGTTGGGAGAGCCCGAGTCTGACTTTCAAGGTGTTGAAAGCTTGGAAATGTTTAGTCCAGCCCTGCCATGACTTGCTGGGACCTGGGCCCACCTCTTCTCCCTGGTCTCTTCCCTCCCAGAGCCAGATTTCAGTGGATGAGAAAGCGCTTAATGCAGGGCCTGGCAAGAGCCAGTGTGTGCTGCAGTGAAGGTGCTGGGACCACCCTGTCTCCCAGGAGGTGGTGGGACCAGCAGACTTTTCTTCCAAACGTATCAGAGCCAGAGAAGAGCCTTTAAGAGGACAACTGCTCTACTCCCTGGTGCAGAGACCCCTCAACCCAGAGGAGGAGGGGGCAATCCCAGATCTCCCAGTGAGCCAAGCTGGCCAGACCACCACCACTGGCTTTAGGGGTATCCCCTGCCCACGAATGCCACCAGAGTGAACCAGATGCTGGGGTCCCCTTGGTAAAGGACAGTGTCCGCTCCGGACTCAGGGTCATCCCTTAACACACAGCTGAATGGAGACACGAGTCGGGCTTAAAATAGCTAAATAAATCTTTAATATTTCTAATTGCAAATGTACAGAAATTGCACAGCCACACAGAGTCTTAGAACACCAACAGCTTCCTCTGTACATTATTACATAGTTAAAAGTCGCAGCTGGAGGGAGGAGCTCCAGCCCAAACTCCAACGTTTGCATTTTTTCCTTTTCACATACTTACAAAAGAGGGGAGCTGGGACGCGGTGTGGGAGCTGGGGGGCTTTGTGGCTGAGTGTGTAGAAAAGAGAGAGGCTGTTTCCCTGGACAGTCTGGCTCCCGCAGTCGTGCGGGGCGCAGGGGGAGGTGTACCTGGGGCAGATGCTCTGGGGGACCGGGGCGTGTGGAGCTGTAGCCTCGGTCCTCCACCCCCACTTTCTGGGCAGTCGGAAAGAGTCCTCACTGACAGGAGGTTTGGCAGTTTCCATCACCCAGAACATGGAAGTTAAGCAAAAAAGTCAGTCAGGCCTCTGTGCTAGCAGGGAGGGCGTGGCTTTCTCCAGCAGAGGCTGAGTCTCGGTGACCAGGGGGCCCCGGGGCTGTTCTTCCCCAGCAGGGACTGTCCTTCCCTCCAGGGCCTCTGGCAACCCCAGCCCTGGCTGCAGGCAGGGCCCAGCTCCCGGGAACTCAGGTTCTCTGTGGCCTGGGCAGGAGCCCCCCGTTGACTGGCCCAGTGAAGGCACCCCAGTGGCCACTACTCAGACAGCAGCTGCAAAGCCAACACACAAATGCCACAGGCAGGGAAGACACCCCCCGCAGACACCAAGCCTTTTCCTCCTGCCCAATACTGTTCTCTAGATTCAGAAATAAAATAAAACCCTTGGGAGAGCAGCAGTCCCGGCCAGCCCTCGGCAGCACCAGGACCAAAGGATATGTACAACCATTAGGTGAGATAGTTACATTACAGTCAAACACCAAGAACATTTACAAAATCGGCAGACTTGCAATTAAGATAAAAATCTGTGAAGAGTCTGTACACTTTTACAGTTTTTGCACTAGGTAAATAAGGCTCTCGGCCTGAGAGCTCACCCACCCTGCAAGGGCAGCTGGCACCGGCCACAGCGGGTAGCCTCCGAGCCCGCCTGTCCAGGCCCCGGGAGCCTCCCTGTATTGCTAGGGGGGCTCTGTCCGAGGTCACTCTACGAGGCAGCGGTGGGAGGGGGCTGGGGAGAGAAGAGCAGGGCTCACTGGGCAATGGGAGGATGAGACTGGAGCCAGGCCCTGCCTGTGTGGCCACCCTGGTCTCAGGCACGAAGGCGCATGGGTGGGGACAAGACAGAAGAGTGAGACAGGAAGGGGTGGGGGCAGGGCCTCTGCTTCCACCTCCCATCTTCCTGTGGTCTGTGATCCCTGGTGGCCCAGCCCTTCCTCCACCAGCATCTGTCTCTAGCCTAACTGAATTGTAGGTTACATCTAAAAGCCCCTTCCCAGAGCAGCCACTGTCACCTGTCCCCGAGCTCAGGGTGGACGCAGTATGGCTCTGGGCCACCCCTCCAGCACATCCACCCTTCAGGTGGGGCCTCTGTGGCACATTCCAGCTGCAGGGGCAGAGGGGTGATTCCTGCAGCTCGCCCTGCCCTGGCTCTGCTGGCAAAGGCCCCACTCCCACCCTTCTTACCCAGGGCCTTTGCTCAGAATCTGCAGGGGCTGGGAACAGACAGGGGCCGAGAGAGACCCAAGCTCCTGCTCATCTGTCTTGAAAGTGGGGGAGGGGCAGATAAGCTACAGAACAGCCTAGAGCTGAGGAAAACCGGCCCCAGCTGTGGGGTGCGCCCCTCCCCTGTATGCAGCGCCTGGGTCCTTGGCCGGGGGCCGGGAAGGGTGAGGAGGAGGCCGGCCACACACACGGGGCAGGTGCAGGCTGCTGCTGTCTTGGAGAGGGAGCAAGTCTAACATCCTCCAGGGCCGCTATTTCCCATGCAGTGCGCACGCTCAACTTAAAAGGCCCCTGTGTTCCAGCAAGCGAGCAAGCGGGCTTTTGTTTCTAATGCATACTGTGAAAGGAAAAAAAATCACAGTTATCCACCTTCTCAGGGCCTGCAGGCGTTAGAATCTTTTTTTAAACCATCACTCAGAGGAAGGATCACCTTTTCTTTCAGGGTGAGCACCAGGTGGCACTCCCTACAGGACCACTGTGCCCTGGGTGTGCTGGGCCCCAGGAGAAGGCAGATACAGTGCTCAGAGCCATCTGGCCAGATCCGCCCAGATCTCTGGCTTCTGGGAGCCCTAGAGCATCAGCCTGGGCCTGTGTGGGAGGTGTGGGAAGCTGTGGGTCCTCCCCACAGGGACAAGAGCTCACAAGAAAAAGCCATGGCCCTCACTGGGTCTATCTGGCAATACAACTAAGGCAGGGAAGAAGGTAGCAGGTGGTGCTCTGGGGACAGGTTCAGAGGGGGTGGGTGGGTAGGAATCCTCAGTTCCTCACAGCCAGGAAGGTCCCAACAGGCTGCATGCAGTGGCAGGTGCTTCGGATGGAGACAGGCAGGGGACACTGACCTCCTGCTCTGTGTCCTCCTATCTTCCTGCCTGCCAACTGATCTGCCAAGTGCCAGGTCCCACATGACAGGGCCTGGCTGCCAGGGAGTCCCGGGCCCCCCAAGGAGGCGAGGGGAAGCCACAGGTGTAGGCCCCTAGCCCTTGAATCCCCCCTCCAGGAAGCCCCCTCCCTGGCACAGGTGTGGGGGGACACATGCACTCGGCCAGATCCAGGAGGACAAGGACACACCACATTCAGGAACCAACAGACATATTTTTGGCAGGCCCCCTGCCCCATCAGGCTGTCCCCACTCCCCAGCGTGCAGTCTCTTCTGCCCGCACCCCACAGGGAGCGGCTGGTGACCTCGCCTCACGCTGCTTCAGTCTCTGGTGGCTCCCTCTGCGGCCGCCTCCTGGACAGCGGCAGGGAGGGGAGGCTCGGCCTCCTGACACCCGCGCTGGGGCTGCAACCGTGGGTGCCTCCCCAGGCCGAGACCCTGCCCTTGGCCACCATAGTCCCCCTCTCCTTGGGTAGCTTCCTCCCTCCTCAGGCAGGTTAACAATTGCTGCTGTTTCTGAACTCGCCGTTCTCAGTAATCTGCAATTTGGTGGGGTTGGTGGGGGAGATGCCGTTACGGGCTTGCATGCTGTACCTCTCTTTCAGCTGGGTCAGGGCACTCATGAGGCGGGCATTGGCGGCATCCAACGAGGCAATGCGCTTCTCCTGTGGACAATGGGGATGTGAGCGGGGGTCATGGGACAGGCTCCTTAGGGCTGTGTATACCTACGACAAGCATCGGGGAAGGGGGTGGCCTGGAGATGAGGGTGGCAGGCAGGCTCCGGGCTGTGAGCAGCTGGCAAGAGAAGGTAGGCAGAGGCCTCTGCAGCATCATGGACACAGCCTCGCTGCCTGCTTATCAGCCCAAATGCAGCAGCTCTAGTGCTGTCTATGGGCTGCCTGCGGCCCCTAGGGCAGGCACCCTTGCTCACATGTGTGTGCATGACACACCAGAGGTCACAGCTCCTGGTCTGTGCAGTTTACAGCCTGAGCAAGGCCCAGCCTACTCCTGGGTGAGTGAAAGGAAAGCGGTGCAGCCCTGAGTAAAGGAGGCTGGGGCCACAGAGCCTTTCACGTCTCCCCTCAATGCAGCCCGGATGCCATAGTTGTGAACGAGAGCCCCACTGCTCCCTCTGACCAGCCTGCCTTCACTCCTACCCCCACTGCCCTCCTGGTGGCTTCCACTCTTTGGTCAGCAGTCCTGGTGAAAGACAATGCCCGCCAAGAGCCCTGGCAGGGGAGGAGCTGCCTCTCTCCTTTCACAGCCTGTCCTAGTGAGCTTGTGGCCCACTAAGACCACAGGTCTGACTTCTCAGGGCAGATTCTGGTTTCTTATTCCCCTCAGTGTCTGCAGTGAGGTATGACTGAGGATGGAGAGGCTAGTCACCCCTCCTAATCCCAGGCCCTTTAACTCTTGTGGCTGACCAAAGGGCCGGAGCCCCCACCTGGGCATCAATGATCTTCTGTTTGGAGTCCACAGCCGCTTGCATCTCTGCGTGGTCCTTCTTCAGTTCTTCCTCCACGGACATCAACCTATAGCCAGAGACAGAGACAGTCAGACTGGCCCTGGAGGCAGCAGAGGTGGGGAGGGTGTGAGAACAAGCCCATCACCCCCGCACACAGCAGGGACACACTAGGAGAGCCCCTCCTTGGGTCAGAGACTTGCCTCCCATACTTGCCTGGGGCAGAGGCCCTCCAGCCGACTCCCAGCAACTGACACTGCTGGGCCTCCTTCCTCACCTCCACATCCCACACTCGCTGCTCCTAAAGCCCCAGAGGCCCCCGGGCTGCCCCTTTCCCGATGTTCTTCCAGGAGCCAAGATGGGTGGAAATGGGCATTAGATCTTCAAACCCCTAGAGCTAGGCAGGTGGTGGAAAGACGAAGGCCCTGAAAGGCTCTAGAACTTTTTCCACCCTGCCCCCGCCATCTTCACAAAGTTGTACGCGAGGTGCCAAGATGAATGAACTCTAGTCCTTTCCCTCAAGGAGTTCACAAGGCAGGAGGCACGAGTAACTAACTACACCCTGCACGGAGCAGCTGCGCTAGTGGAAAGCTCAGGTCCCTGGAACAAAGAGCAGGAAGCAGTGACGTTCCCTGGAGGGTGGGCTGGGAGGTCGCACATCAGTAGGAGACATCTGAAGGACAGGTGTGCAGGCAGAACAATGAGCAGTAGCTGGGGGACATACCACCCGCGGAAGCTCAGTGGGCAGGAGGCCGGCTCCGTCCTGCTGCTCCCTGCCTGGGAGCCCTCCTGGCCCCACCTGGCTGGTTCCTGAGACACTCTCACTGCTGGGCACTCCCACCTTCCCACTCTCCTTTGGCTTTGAGACCCCACACTCTCTGGGTCTGCCTGTCTCCTAGATGCCTTGTCCTGTCTGCCTCTGGACATGGGGGTCCACAGGGCTTTGGCCTCAGCCTCCCTTCTCCTTGCTCCACACACTCTTAGATGAGCCCTCCACTCCCAAGGCTTCTCTCCATCCCTGCCCTCTTGATTCCTCCAGCCTAGAGCAGCCACCGCACACTGGGCAAGCACTTAGCCCACTCACAGAAGACACACAGGGAGCCACTGTGCCGGGGCCGGTTCTGCACGGGACTGTAATGGGGGCAGCAGGGCAGCAGTTCAGGGAGCACTAACTGGGAGGAGCGGTGGTGGCGGGGGGGACCCTCCGGGGCAGGTTCCCCAGTACAGGAAGGTATCACTCTGAGGAAAGCTTGTGCTGGGGGTGGGGTGGCAGGAGGGTATTTGTTTTATTAAGGAAAATTAGATTGGAAGGAGATTGTATTTACTCTCTTGTCTTAAAAACAAATAGGGCCGGGCACATTGGCTCACGCCTATAATCTCAGCACTTTGGGAGGCCAGGGAGGGAGGATCACTTGAGACTAGGAGTTCAAGACCAGCCTGGGTAACATGGCGAGACCCCATCTCTTTATTAAAAACCAACCAAACAAACAAACCAGAAAAATGGACACAATACAGGCAATGCAGTACAATAATTTCTAGGAGAACAGAAACCAACAAGGAGAGCCCAGTGAACGGCCTGGAAGCAGAGGGAAGGCGGAGTCAGCAGCCTCACTGAGTTGAGGAGACAGGCAGGTCAGGAAGGTCAAGAGGTGTGGGATTTGCAGGGCAGAAGCCAGAGAGGAGCAAGAGGCAGAGAGAAACTCCACATAGCTCCCGAGTGGGGGTTCCCCTTGTGTCTCTGACTGAATAATATCCGCATGCAGATGAGAAAATTACCAGGCTAGGCAAGAACCGTCAGAAAGGAGAACACGAAACAATCGCAGAAGCAGTTCATGTTGTACCAGTGAGAGTGCAGTGACGCACCAACACTGGGAATCACAGAGGACCCGGGGAAGGAAACCCCCTCAGAGCAGGGCCACGTTAGGCCAAGACTAAAGGCTCTGCAGGACGCAGCCTAACAAAACTTAAAAGGAAACCCTGAGAGGATTGAACAGATTCCAAGTAACCTCACTGTCTCCCAGAATAAAGCCCCCAGAAAGGATTTAAAGGAACACAAAAACATTCAGCACCTCACTGTGAGATTCACAATGCCTGGCATCCAACCAAAAATTACCAAGTATACAGAGAGAAGTAGGAAAACTCATAAGCAGGCGGAAAATAAATCAGTAAAAACAGACTCAGATGTCACAGATGATAGAATTAGACAAGGACATGAAAACAACAAGGTATTATAAATATATTCTACATGTTTCAGAAAACAGAAGTAAAAGCACAATGAGAATTAAAACTGATGGAATTTAAAGCAAAATGAAATTCTAAGAGGTGAAAAATATAATTATCTGCTGTGAAAAAATACTGGATCAGATTAATAGCAGGTTACACACAGAAGAAGAAATAATTAGCAAACTTGAAGACATAGTCATAGAAACTATCAAAGAGAAGAAACAGAAAAAAAATGAAGAAAGAAGATAACAGAGCATCAGTGAGATACGGGACAAAATGAGTCAGCCTAATGCACGTGTGCTAGGAATCCCAGAGAAAGAAATGGGGGGAGGTGGGACTGCAGACATACAAATCCAAGACCCAAGAAATTAGAAGAAAACCACACCAATGAACATCACAATCCAACTACTGACAACCAGTGATTTAAAAAAAAAGTATCTTATAAATAGCCAGGGAAAACAGATACATAAAGTACAGAGGAACAAAGACAATGACAGACTCCCTGTCATTACAGCCTCAGGGTGAGGGCCAAATCTGGACCATTGCCTGTTTTTGTAAATAGCCATCTCACACAAATAGTTCTGCTGTAACAGCAGAGCTGAACAGTTGCAATAGAGACCATATGGCCTACAAAGCCTAAAATACTTTTGATCTGCTCCTTTGTAGAAAGTTTGCCAATCCCTGCCCTAGAGCAACAAAGAGATAAAGCTAATAAGTCAATAGGAGAGAAAATGGAATCATAAAAAAATACTCAGTCCAAAAGAAGGCAGGAAAAAAAGAACAGATGGTACAAATAGGAAACAAGGCAACAGATTTAAATATATCAATAATTACATTAAATGTAAATGGTCAAAACACTCCAATAAAAAGGCAGAACCATTTAGACGAAAGCAAGACCCAATAGTATGGTGCCCGTAAAATAAACCCACTTCATATATATAGATGGGTGCTATGCTCTGAATGTTTGTGTCACCTTCTAAATTCATATGTTGACACCTAACCCCCAAGGTGATTGATTATCTTAATAGGTAGGGGTTTTGAGAGGTGATTACATCCTATGGGCTTTGCCTTCAAAAATGGAATTAGTGCTTTTATATTATACAAGAAGCCCAAGGGAGCTTGCTCACACCCCCTACAATGTGAGAACACAGCAACGGTGCACTATAATATGAAGCAGAGAGTCACTATACCCTGAATCTGCTGGCATTTTGATGTTAGACTTCAGAACTGAGGGCAATACATATTCTGTTGTTTATAAATTACCCAGTCTAAGGTACCTTGTTATAGCAGCCTGAATGGACCAAGACAATGAGTTAAAAGCAGGAGGATAAAAAAAGCTATACCATACCAACACGAATCAAAAGGAAGTTGGGGTGGCTACATTAATAGCAGACAAGGCAGATTTCAGAGCAAAGAATATTTCAAGGGATAAAGAAAGTGATTTTATAATGACAAAGAGGTTAATTCAACAATAGTACATAAACAGCCTAAATGTATATGCACCTAAGAATAGTTTCAGTGTACATAAAGCAAAAACCAGTTGGAATTAATTCAACAATAGTACATAAACAGCCTAAATGTATATGCACCTAAGAATAGTTTCAGTGTACATAAAGCAAAAACCAGTTGGAATGAAGGGAGAAATAGAAAAGCCAGTAAGGATATGGAATACTTGAACACTATCTACCTAACTGACATTTACATTAAGGAGGAAATATTCCAGGATTGGTTAGTAGAAACGAACGTGTTAAGCAAGTCTCTGAATTCAGAACATGCAAATATCAGAGAATACACACAATGTAGAGAAGGCAGTTAAATTGAAAAGCATTTCCATTCTTGGAAACACACACAAGGTGAGCCAAGAGCAGAGCTGGAGAACAAGTGAACAGCAGGTTTCTAGCCACCCTGGTTTCACTCATGTTAACTATTTCATAATGAACCAAACTACAAGTAAATGGAGCAAACAACAGTCAGGAACAGAGAAACAGGTGGTCTAAATAGGAGGAATCTGGGAAGGGCTTATGTCATAGACAAAACATGGAGCAGAGGCCTTCCTGGCTCTTGCACACCTGCTTGGTCTGTCCAGCTGATGGGGTCTTAGACCAGGCCAATTCAAACAAGACACACTGTCTCTCCTCCCGTGCCTGGTATTACTGAGAAGGAAGTAAACTCCACGACTGGGACCCTGGGGTTGATTGTACTCCCTGCCTGACACCAAGGTAGGGATGCCCTACCCATAGGCAGAGCCAGAGACAGAGATGGAGGCACCAACATGGGGCCTGACATAAGCCTTCAAAAAGATGAGAGTCAGCATTAAAACCCGCTGTTCCTCTGAAGCCCTTTCCCAGATAACCCAGGCCCCTTAAAACTCAGGATATCAGACTGGCACCATCCCCCTCTCCCTCCCCACTCAAACCACTCCTCTTAACAGTTCCCAGCTCAGTAACTGGTACCCTGATACGCCCACACCCAGACACTCTTGGTAGGAATCTGGGGGCTACGCTGTGTCTTCCACCTTCATCTACTATACGTAACTGAGACTCATTCCCACTTTTCTTACCCTGTATTGGGGTCCTCCCTGTCTTTCCTGGCACCCCCCAATCCAGCTTCTCAGCGCCCCTGAGAGTGCTTACTAAGATGGTATGGCTCCTTGTAGAGGCTCAGGCCCGTCGGGAGCCAGCTGTCATTGGTCCAGCCTCATCCCCAGCTTTGTATTCTGCATGGGCTGCCCACCCTCCAGGCCACCTCCTGCCTCCAGGCCTGTGCTCACGCTGCTCCCACTGCCCAGACACTCTCTTCCCTCCTCTCTCCACATTCAGCTTATCCTTTGAGGAGGCTCCCCGACCAGGGGCCTCCTCGAAGGCAGCGATGGCTGCCCTGCCTGTGCCTGTGGCCAGGCCAGGCAGGTGTGGGCCCCACCTGCTGATGATGCCCTTCATCTGGATGTCCTTGTCCTCCTGCTGCCGCCGCAGCCGCTCCTCGCCCTCCTCCAGCCGTGCCTGGTACTCCAGCACCAGCTTCTGCGTCGTCTCCTCCTGGCACTTGAACAGGGTCTCATACTCCTCCAGCTTCTTGGTGGAGATTCGCAGCTTGTCCTGCAGCACCGCCAGGTCCTACCAGGAGGGCAGCGTCCACGGGCACAGCACCCAGGACACAGAGAGCACAGCTTCGTCAGCCCGAGTGGGAGGAAGGGTAGGAGGGAGCCCCACTTGAAAGGCCCCAGTGGCTGTGACCCGCCCACTTCACATAGCAAGGAGATGCCCAAGGAGCCCAGCTGGTGGGGGCTGCAGCCAGACGCGTGCCTGTGCCCCACCGTGGGGCCTCCACTCCAAACTCCCAGCCTGACCTGTATGGCTACAGCGGGGATGAAGACTTAGACCCAAGTCCCAGGACTGAGGGTGTAACTAGGGCTTTGAACTTTTATATGACAAAGGTTAAAAAACCCTTGGATACATGAAGGACATGTGACAGCACCCTGAGAGGTGGGAGCTCTGCAGGAGGGGAAACTGAGGCCCAGACAAGGTGACCATGTCACATGAAGAGCGACTGACTAGCAGGGTAAGATCCCAGCTTCCCAGCCTCTGTTTGAATCTAAAGCCAGGGGGTGGCAGTGGCATGAGGAAATGGAGAGAGAGAGAACTGAAAGGCAGGTGGTCCAGGCTCTGGATCTGCCTCAGTCCAGCACAGACCCCAACCATCAGGGAGGAGCAGGGATGTGGACGAGGCTGGGAAGCGGCGTGGCTGCAGAGAGGAGTCAGGTGCTCTGCGCTGAGCGAGGAAAGGCCAACGCCGGGATCGAGAGGGGCCAGACGCCATGAGGACACAGGGATGCAAAAAGCCTGGAGTGAGGCCAGTCCTCCTCACTCCCCAGCCAAACTCTGGCTCTGGGAGCACTGTGTTCCCTGTCCCCCGGTCCCCTTCATGTAACTATGGTGAAAGCAGGTGGATGTAGCGGACCGGGGATGGTGGCGGTGGCAGGATGCAGCATGGAGACGGGCCTCGCCTGAGGCCGGGGAGAAGGAGTTCTGCCATTCTGACCCCAATACCCTTGCTCGAGAGGTTGCCACAGGCTTTCCTGGGGCCCAGCGGGGCGAGAGCATCCAGAGGGGAGTGGAGAAGCGCCTGCCGTTCTGGGGCCTGCGCTGGTTCCTCCGTCTACATGGACTGCAGCTGGCAGTAGGAGACAAAAACTACCCCCAGATCCAGAGCAGCTGCCACAGCTGGAAGGCTTGGGAGACCAACGAAGCATCCCCTTGCCCCAGCAGATGGCAGAGTGTGTGGCAGAGTGAGAGTTTCATTTTTAGAGTAGATTCTTTTCCCGGGGGTGGGGAAGAAAACATCTCAATGGCAGCCTGACCCCACCCCCCAAGCTGGTAACTGCTGTTTCTTTCCCAGGCCCTGGTGGAGACCAGAGGGGTGAAGAGCCAGGCCGTGGGCAGGCACAAGCCTTGGGGGCCAGGCTGGGGTGGCTCTCCCAGCCATCCTGGGGACCCATGCCTCTGCCTCCTCAGGTACCAAGTTCCCTCAGGGGGGCTTCTATATGTCACTTGGGCACCCTCAGCCCTCAACCCCCAGGTCCTCAGGAAGCTCAACTGCCTCAGTTGCCTGGGCTAAGGAGCCTTCCCAGAGGTCCCAGGAGTCTGTATCCAAGACAATTCCCTGGTGATTCCAATCTGCAGATGGGAAGCCTCAGGTCTAAGCTGCTAATCCATCCCTCTTGTTGCTTTTCTTCCAGACCCCACTGACTGCTATTCTCACAGGGAACAGGGGCTCAGAGGTGACGGGCCCTTCACAAGGACAGCAGCACCCGTTGCTGGGGGACCTGGGGGAGAGACTCCTACCAGCTGCTGCCGGGAGGCAGCCCCGCCCTGTCCCGAGCCGCCAGGGTCCAGTTTTACCTTTTCTGCTTGGCTGAGCTCGTCCTTACTCCTTAGCCTATCCCTGTGGGGGGGGTCTGGGCCCAGGCCCTCGTCTTCTAACAACTGCGCGTTCATGGTCAAGAGCCAAGCGGCTGTGCGGTCCAGGGCATTGGGGCTCACAGGTGAAGGGCCCTACAATGAAACACAGCTGTGAGGGGCTGCAGGGAGGTGGAGGGCAAGCAGGAGGGGCGGGAGTGGCCCAGGTGAGCCACAAGGACAAGCAACTCTGGGACACGGTGGGAAGAGGGGACCTCCAGCTGACTGAGCGCCTACCGAGGCAGTCCCCACCCGGGAACTGTCTCTCAGACGGCAGCCAAAGGCAGAGCTGACAGGTGCCAGGTGGCCTCCTGAGCACCACACTCTGCTGCCAAGAGGACAGTGAGTGACCCTGCCACTGGGGGCACCGGGGCAGGCTGCACTGAGTGGGGGACAGGGCCAGGCTGGGCTGTCAGCCCAAGGCACCTCCACTCCAGACACTGCCTGCAGCCTTTGGGTGACAGGGTCATCCATGCTCCAGGTGGTTGTGCCTGAAGGCCTGTCCAGCCTGTGAAAACATTTTGGGAGGGGCGTGTGGGGGCAGAGCTGGGTAGGCGCTTCGACAGGCTTGGAACCGAAGATGAATGCACTCTCCTCCTCTTTCTCTCTGACCCCAGCCTGCCCCTAGGGGCACTGACAGAGGAGCCTGGAGTTCCCCAAGGCTACAGTGTCCCTGGTTCACAGGATTCAGGAAGAAGCCAGGGGGAGGGGGTGGTGGCGCATGTGGCAGGCTGGTGGGATGGGATGGCAGCTGGGTGAGGGTGGAGGTGAAATGACCGAGAGGAGGAGCATGGTATGGGGTATGACAGCCCCAGCTGGGCCCAAGTGCCCAGCCCTGCCCTCTGACTAGCAGCACTGACCTGCTTGTGCACTGCCCGTGGCTTCAGTTCTGGGCTGTCCCCCTTGGAGGAAGAGGACTGCTGCCTCAGGCGGGTACTGGGGCCCACCCAATCAGGTGAGGCCGACGCCAGGGTTCCGCTTGAGGGTCTTGGGTACTGCAGGGTGCTCAGCAGGTTGGGGGGCGTCCGGCCGCGGGGGGCAGGAGGTGGCGGCGGGGGTGGGGGCGGAGGCTGGTCGATCCTCCTCTGGGGGCCAGCACTGTTCTGCCGTGGCACCGTGGGCTGCCCGCCTTTTTCAGTCAGTGACATCTGTCGCCGTGCCAGCTCACCGGGCCGCCGAGCCAGCTCCTCCGCGGCAGTGCTGAAACTTCCCAGCTTGGCAGCAGCCGCCAACTCCTCGCTGTTGCTGTGTGAGCTCAGGGAGCTGTGGCCCTCAGAGCCTGAGTCGCCAAGGCCACGGGGTGACAGCGGCAGGCCAGCCGCCATCTGGTACACAGGGTTCTGGAAGGAGAGCGGTGCCAACAGCTGGGGCCGGCCTGGCGCGCCCTCGGAGGTGCCTGGTGTGGTTGGTGTCTGGCCTGCCCGCCGCACCGTGGCCAGCCCTGCCAGGTTCACTGGGGTTGCCCGGGCCGGCCACCCGGCCACCAGCTGAGCTGCAGCGGCCTGCCCATCTGTGGGGAGGACGTCGGGGCCCGCCGGGGAGCCTGCCTCCCCATCCAGCGTGCGGGCGTCCTGGAGGTCCACCATGGAGAGGCTCTTGCCACCGTTGGCCATCTGAAGATCAGGCTCGTTGGCTTCCGAGTAACTCGAGCTGCGGGCAGGTGAGGGCTGGACCCCGGAGGACCTTGTGACAAAAAACAAGTCCTTGTTTTCGGGGGTTGGAGACGGTAACCGGGTGAAATCTATCAGACTGCAGGGAGACAAGCACACACAGGGAAAGAAGGGGAAAAGAAGAACTGTGAGTGCAGCCAAGGCGGGTCCAAACCGACAGCACCCGCCAACCTGCCGGGGCCTGGCAGCCTGAGCCAGCGCTGGGGAGATGGATGCGCTGGGGTGGCAGGAGTGGGAGAATCCGGGGACCAGAGGCTGAGGCGGCTGCTCCTGCACAGAACCTCTTCTTTAGGGGCCAGCACTGCACATTTCAGGCCGCGCTGCCTGGAAGACCCCTTCCCTGTTCAGCTGCATCTTGGGACAATGGGTACTGGGGCCTGGCTTGCTCTGGAAAACTCCTCCTTAGCTAAGCCCTAAGCCACAACTCAGTGGCTCTCTGCTATCCACGGATCCTGCATTGAGAACCCCAACTTCAGAGTCACTGGGTTCCCTCTGCCTCTTCCCTCTTGTTCCTAATCAGACTGGTAACTGAAGTGGGGGCCCGGTGAAACCTCCTCTTGCCCAGCCTCCTGCTGCCGCTCCCTTGTTTGACTGGCAGGCGGGGGCTGGAGTTCCTGGCAAAAACAAGGAATGAGAGCAGGCTCTGTGGAGAGCATGACTTGGTGGGAGGGCTGCACTTGCCCTGGCCTCCTCCTCATTCTACGCTTTTCTCTGGCCTCTCCCTGGCCCCTCCCCAGAAGCTAGCTCCTTGGAAGAAAGCACAACTGTGGCGGGGTCCAGGGGGGCTTTGGAGAGAAGAATGTGGGTGGGGGGAACTGAAGGCTGCAAGGACTTGGGGGGCTTGATATGGCTTGGAATGGGGAATGGGTTGGCTTAGCCTCAGACGGAGAGGAAGTGCCACTCCCTGAGATGGGCTGCAGTGCTCACGGGCCTGGGAGAACTGGCTAGAGCAGCAGATGAGCCAGGAAAGACGGAGAGCAGTGGGGGCCTGGCTGCCCAGGCCACACACCAGGTCAGTCTTTTCAGAACTCACGGGCCCGGCTGCCTCTCAGCCTCTCAAGGGCTGTCTACTGCACCCCCCACTCCAAACTCTTGGCATGTGACTCTGCTTGTCTTCACTTGGCACACTCACTGAACAGACCCAATGCAAGACTCAGTGGACCTGCATCTCTGGCCCCTCCTGGGCTCCCCTAACCCCAGGTTCTTGATCTCAGCACCCTCCCCTGCTTAAAAGCCTGCCCTGCCACCACCTTGGGGGAGACCACACTCCCAACTCTGCTGCTACAGCTGCGGCCTCACATGCTGGGGTAAGAAGGATCACTGGCGGGAGAGGGGAGAGTAGGGGTAGAGCAGAAATGCTTCAACATGAACTGATAGAAATGTCTCTATTTTGACTTAAACAAGAACATTTTGCCTTCCACTCTGCCGTGTGTGTCTTATTTAGGCAGAGCAGACCCCAGGACTGGGTCTCAGCATCACTTTATGTTTTCTGCTGTTCCCAGCCTCAAAGCCTGGCAGAGCCACCGAATTCCTATTGAAAACACCCCCAACTAAACACTTCTGGAGATTCTGACTCAGGCTCAGGAAATACCAGGAACATGTGTATTTTTAACAAATATCAGGGGATCTGGAAATGCTGGGGGTATTTGGGACCAGCAATTATTCTCTGACACATCATGTCTTTGCTTGTGCTTGTCCCTCTGTCTAGAATGCCTTTTCCACCAATGGAAATGCTACTTTTCCCAAAACAAAACAAACCTATAGCATCACCTCCTCTAGGAAGGCTTCCCTGATTTTTCCCAAATGGAGGTTCACCACTTAGGACCTGTACAACTCAAGTCTTGCCAGGCTTGTTTTATAAACACTATGTAGGCATCCTCTTTCCCCATCTGAGATTACAGATGGGCTGTGCCTAGTCTGCACACGCACCCACCACACCCAACATGGCTGGCAGCTCTTACCCGGAAAGATCGTTCTCAATCACCATCTTCTGCAGCCCAGCTGAGATGCTGCTGCTGCCAGAGCCCGGTGTGGAGGCCAGGTCATTGGTCCCTGGGAGCTGCCCGCTACCTGGGGTGCTCAGTGCTGTGTGGACGTCCCTCAGGATCCGAGGCAGGGGTCCCAGTTTGGATACTATGCTCTGTAAAGGCACAGCAAGAGGCAGGTGTGACCTCCTGGGACCACATGGGTAGGCTGTATGTGCTGCAGCCACTATGGCTCAAAACCACTGCGGAGCCTGTCAGAAGTGCAGATCCCCACCTGCTGCCAGTCAGAGCCACTGGGTCTGGGAGGGGGGTGAGCCCAGGAATCGGTAAATCTACATTTTTAACCAGCTCCCGGACATTTCTAGGGCAGGAGTAGGAGGCCCACAGTGGGAGACGCTGACCTAGTGCAAGCCTCTCCTTCAGTTTGCCCTGCCCTGGTGCCTCCGCAGAGAGGAAAGCACACATGGAATCCCAGCATTTCCACACCTCCACCTCTCCATCCAGAGGCTTCTGTGACAGCCCCTCTCACATCACTTACTCCACGGGATGGGCTGGGGCCTGACCCACCTTGGCACCTGAGCCCCAGTGGAGATGGTCCAAGCACACTGCAGGCACCCTCAGGTGCTGGTCAGGCAGAAGGCAGTGCCTGAACCCATCTGAACCTTGCTGGCACGCTTTAGAGAACTTAAGGGGCAGAGGATTCTAGGCTTTGGGGACACTGCCTTCACCTGTTTATGCACAAGCTTCCACAGAGGTCTCTGTGAGAAAACAAAGTGTGAAAACTCATGCAGGCAATAGAGCACGCAATTGAGAGGCAAACAGTTGAGTTTCAAATCCCTGTTGCACCCTATCACCGATGTGACAATACTGATCACCTTCCATTCTTCCTGCCTGGTTGTGCAGATACGTGGACAGCACAGGGGAAAGGTAAGTGGTGGCAGTGACAGTGACTAGTGTTGGCTGCAGTGCAGGGACTGGAACAGGTGGAATGTAGGGTCTCAGCCCTCATTTCCATTTCTCCCTCCTGTGTCTCTCACAGCCAAAGGCAAGTGGATACAAATGAGCAAAAATGATGGCCTTTGATTGCAACAGGACCTATTTCTAGTGAAAAGTCAGGACTAACCTAAGTGTCCATCAATAGGGGACTGGTGAAATAAATAGCATTCATACAATGCAGTCATTAAAAAGTCCCTGGGGGTGGTGGAGATTGCACTGACAAGCAAAGAGGCCCACAACACAGTGGTAAGAAATGCACACAGCAGCATACACAGTATGTTCTTGCTTTAAAACAAACTGAAGAAGGAAAAGAGCTCTATGTGTGTGCGCCTGCATGTGTGTGTGCGCTTACACATGCACAGATCGTGTCCAGAAGGCTGCATACCAGTGCTCTGAGCGGTCACCTCTAGGGAATGGGACCAGGAGGCATGAAGGGCCTTCCAGGCCAGTTTCAGCACCTTACAAAAGTAAGGTGGTCCCTTGGAGCCCTAGAAAGCAACAGATATTCGGGAAGTAGTTCCTGGTAGACCCAGCCCTTAAGTCCAAGAACTAGTTGCTCACTGTGTGGGCTGAGGCTGGGGGTCAGTGAAGTCTCGGGCTAGGGAGGGCTCACTTCAGGTGACTGCAGCAGTGTCAGAGGTGTCTAGGGAGTAACCTTGTCAACTGATGGTCAAGGGCAATCCTAGAAAGGTTTTCGACTTCCTGCTGGACAAGTGGAGGTACAGGGTCTTGAGTCATCTTCTTCATACAGGCGGATTCACGATCCAATTCTATTTCTCACATGCTCTGGCAGGCAGCACAGTGGCGCTTGTCCACTAAAGGCTGAGTGCATGCGGAACACCCCAGCTCTAGTACCCAGAGTGGGGCAGCCTTGGCAGATACTGCTGAGTGAACATAGCATTTGCCCACAGAGAAAATGGGGCCCACAGATCCCCAGTGTGTTCTGACAGGACCTGGCCTGATCATGCCACTTGGGCAAACTCTCTGCCCTCCATGGTTACTCTGGAAGGGGGAACACTAAAAGCCTGATGGCAGCTTTTGGCCCCACCTCCGCCCCACGGCAACAGGCACCTGCTCCAGCTGGCTGACGGCCTCCCAGAGCAGTGAGTGCAGGCTGGAGAGCTCGCGGCCCAGGTCGATGTAGCCCTCGAAGCCGGCTGTATTGGAGAGGGTCTCGGGGTTGGAGATCTCCAGCAGGAAGCGCTGCATGTTGGTCCACTCATGCTCTAGGAACTGGTTCATGAAGGACATGTATTCCTCCTTGCTGCCAAATCTGGAGAGAGGGCAGTTGGGTGAGCACTACTGGGCCCAGGCAGGCCCTGCCCAGGAACTCCCTCCACTGGGACACCACCACCCGCTTTCCCCACTATGGCAGGCTCCCACTCCATTCACTCCCCAAGTCAGCTGAATATGCTCTGACCCAGGTCACCAGGGCCCTCCTTGCTCATGGTAAGTCCAGCGATCCTTTTCTGAACCTTTTATCTCAGGACCTGGAATGTTCTGTGTCCCCCATACACTGCCTGTTAACAGTGTCCTTCGGCTTTTCCTCCAAGTTTCACTGCCCTGGTATGCAGATGATGCTCAATCCCTGCTCAACCCAGGTCTCCCAATGAGCTTTCAGGCATGTATTAATATATCTGCAGGCACCACCCCTGGGAGTCCCTCCTACTCAGCCTGCCACACCTGAAGTCATCATCAACACCCAAACCCATGCCCTCCTCCTGAGCTCCCTACCCTAAGTGGAGACCCCACTACCCATACAGATACACCTGAGACAGAATCTCTGGCAGCTGTCAACTCCTCCCTCTTCCTCATTCCCAAATGGCACGGCCCACTGATTTTGCCTTCTAATCACCCCTAACCTTGTCCCTTGCAGCCACTGCCTCCTGTACCCGCTCCCCTCCCTGCGAATTTTCTGCTATTGTTGCTGGAACCACAGCTATGCTCTCCTTTCACGTCTCCTGGCTACCATCCTGCTCCCTCCAACCCATCTGCCCACTGCTGTCAGGGTGAGCTTTTCAGGATCCAGAACAGAGGAAGGCCATCCTCTCCCTTGTTTAAAACCCTCTGGTGGCTCCCACAGCCCTGTCTGGCCTTCAGGTCCCTGCTGTCCTCTTAGGTCTCATCGCCCGCTTCTCCTGACCTGGCACAGTGCATGGCCCTCCCTGGGATGCCCAGCCTCTGCTCCTCTTGAGACAATGAACGCCTCACCCTGACATGCAGTTGGGGGATCATGTCACCCTGGAGGCTTTCCTGTCTCCTCTCCCAACAAGCTGAGAGCCCTCCTAAGAGGCTCGTGTGTGTCTATCACTGCTCTCCTGCTCATTCCACACGTCTCCCTGGCTGAAGTGCTGAGCGCCACCAGGACTGATTCATCTTGGTGCCGTCAGAGCCCAGCACACAGATGGCCCCAGGATGGGGCTCAATCTATGTTTTGAGAATGAACAACAGTGAGACGACCCAGCCCTTCTACTTCTGCCCACTTGCTCTAAGGATGCAGCCAAAAACACCAATAGTGCTTTATCAGCAAAGACATCCTGATAGCCTGACACCAGGATGGTGGTGCCCAACCCAAGTGCCCAAGCACAGGGAATGGATTAAGGAAATATGGGCCAGTCCCCCTTGGAGGAATATTAGTCATTTATTTCAAAACAGGGCTTAATGAATGTTAAGGGATATGTGAGAATCCTTATAATAATACATTAATTCAAAAAAGCAGAAGGAAAAAAATGTCTCATGTCGTCACCTTTAAAAATTAAGAAACATACCAAAATGACATATACCTTGAGTAGAAGGACAGGGTGTGGAGATTTTATTTTTTAAAAAGCGGGAAGGAGAAGGACTGAGGATGACAGGGACAAAACCAGGGCCTGTTTATGGTCTCTGCTCAGCTTGGGGGCAGAAACACCCCCAGGGCCTGCCCTGTGGACACCAGCCCTGCCCAACTCTGCCTGGTGAGGGAGGAGGCACTCACTTGGCAAAGTTGGCCAGGTTCTGGGTGACCTTGGCGATGAGGGTGAGGGTGCGGGCAGTGCGGTCATCAGGGTACTCCTGCAGCAGGTTGAAGAGTGAGGGCGACATGATGGCTGGGCAGAGGAAGCGCAGGAAGAGGGAGGCGCTGATGAGCCGCTCACTGATGTCCGGGCGGCCGCGACTGCTGCACTCCTGCCTCCACGAGGCAAACACCTCTTTCAACTCCCGTGGGAAGACACTGTGTAGGGACAGACAAAGGTGGGCTTGGCTGTCAGGCAGGGGCCCAGGACAGGAGTGCACAGAGCAGGAACCTGCATTCCAACCTTGGCTCTACCCCGCCAGCTGCGTGAGGTCAGCCCCGCTGTCTGAGCTCTGAGGACACAGCCATCTGGGGAGAGCAGTCAATACAGGGTGGCTGGAGCAAGTGCCCAGGCAGGAGGAGGAGCAGGGAGACCCAGGCTCCCATCGGGCAGTGGGTTCTCAGTGAAGGGCCGGGCAGGTGGGATGGGAGGAGGCATGAGGAGCTGGCTCTCCGTCCTAACCGGAATTAACTGCCAAGGGCCAGTGCTGAACCACCTCTCCAGCTTCTGGTCTGGGCCCTCCCCACCTCTCTGCCAGTGTCTACTTCATTTTTCAACCCAAACAGCAGGCATCTGGGTCTAGGGGGAAGTGAGGAAAACAGGAATAGACCACTATTCCTTGGGTTCCCATCACTGGCTTTGAGACTAATTTCCTTTGCTTGAATAATGTCACAGGAATCCAGGATTTCCTAAAAGCTCAGAAAGATCAAGAAGATGGGACTACCCCTGAACACGGTGGGACAACACAGCTCTCCATTCTCTACATGGGGAGGGAAAGGGAGGTAGTGACTGCCCCAGGGTGATGGAGCAAGCCGGCAGAGCTGGCCCTAGACAATGGGGCTCCTGGTTCCACTGGGCATCCTGGCCTGCCATGGTCAGGCCCACCTGGCCAACCCTTAAGTGGGTTTCCTATCTTTTTTCCCTAAAAGATGCATCTCCCAGCCTGGGGCAGGCCAGGCCCCAGTGGTCCGTGAACTCAGTCTACACTTGGCTCTGCCATGAGCTCAGGGTGATCTGACCAAGGCCCTAGCCCTCCTGGAAGGCTTGGGTTTTCTCTCCCCTAAACTGAGAGCAAGGCCTGCCCTGCCAAGCTCACAGAGCCATCGTAAGGCTAAAACCCCAAGGCTACAACAGGCTTGACCAACTTGAAATTTCTTCCCCCACAGGCCCAGCAGCCTGCTCAGCAGGCTCTCCTGCAATGCATGCTGGCTGACCCATCAAGGGCACACCTAGCGGGGAATGAAGGTGAGCCACCTTTAGCCGTGGCTCTCACAGTGCCTGGCACAGAACTGGACAGGGGGCAGGTGTTGAGTGGTGACATCTATCAATGGCCTTGTCCAGAATGGAGAGGTGCCTCTGATAAATGCCAGAAAGAGGAAATGGAAAATCACTGTCCACAAATATGTTTTCCCTGAGTCACATGCCCAGCCCCCCTGGAAGAGGGGGAGGGGGAAAGCACAGCCCAGCTGGGAATGGGAAGTGTGTTCCCAGAGTTCAAGGCCCTACAGTCGCTCTCCTCCACCGGCCCAGGGGTGTGGAAAGCTGCACATTTGTGGCCCATCTTGAGGTGCCCATTTGGCCCAGGCAAGCACCTTGTATAGCCCAGGGGCTAAGGCCCTGGGTGCCAACCCTCCTGGCCTGCCCATTCCCCCTGCCTTTTCTTGTCCTTGGGGAGCAGCAAACACTTCTCTGGCCTTCCTGTGTGCCCAGTCCTGAGGTGGTGGGCTCACCTGCCCCCAGGGTGCCCCAGCATTCACAGGAAATGTTTTAGGCACAGGCACAACCCTATCCTGATGGGATCAGGGCTGCGACAGAGGGTACCAGGTGTGGCCTCGGAGCAGGAAGGGCAGGAGTGTATGCAGGGGAAGGTGCAGGTGAGTGAAAGAGATGAACCTAACAAGGAGTGAGGTAAGGCCGGGGAGAGAGTGGTGTCAGAACAGGCTGTGGACGGAGGCTTGGGTGGGTGGGGGCTGTAAGCCCTGAGCTGGAGGGGGACACAGGTTAAACCTGGGCAGCTCCTCTGGGGTGAATATGAACCCACTGCTTGGGCTGACAGCAAGGCCCTCCCGCACAGTCCTGTGTGCCACCACAGAACGAGGCTATACTCGGCACCAGGCTGGCTGGCCATCACACACATATATCCCAGGAGCAAGCTGGTGGCCGTGAAGTCGGCCTTACCGCAAGTTTCTCCGGGACTGATTCCGGTCCTGCTGAGGGGCCTGTCTAAGCAGCCCACTGCTGCATGCCCTGCTGCTTTCTGGGGCTGGCAGAGTCTGCAGACCCCGTTCTACTTCAAAGTCTAGTCCTTTCTGTTTATTCTCTAGTCCCAGCAAGAGGCCTGCCTGGTGCTCAGGCCCCCAACGTGCCCCTGCTTGGCCCCATCACAAGGCTGTGACATGAGCACCTTAGCTCCCACGGACAGGTGAGGAGCCTCAGGTGAAGCCATCCGCCCACCCCAAGTGGGGGCCCACACAGGGCCTGCCAGTCTCACTCCCGCTGCAGCCCAAGCACCCACAATAGCCCCCGGCACATGAAGGGCGCTCCCTCATCACCAGAGACGGCAGACTGGCGTGTCCAGGTTCTTTCCATCACAAAACCACAGCAACATGCTGAACGCTGCCCCACCTGAGAGCTCAAAAGGGACTAGGCCAGGGGACTGGCAAGTCAGTACAACTCAGGGGCCAGGCAGCATCAGGCACACTGCGGGTGCCAGACACTGAAGGACAGGATGGGGAAGGCGACAGGGTGGGGAGACCTGGGCACCGCACTGACCAGTAGGAGTTGATGATCTTGCAGAAGGCCAGCTCGCAGCACATCTTGAGGTTGCCCTGGTGCTCTGGGAGGTCAGCGGCCGAGCACTTGCTGGGATCCACTTCGCAGTTCTCATCTGACTCATACAGCGCTTTGATGAACTCACCTATGGACAAGTGGGCAGGGAGTGGGGAGTGAGGACCTGGCGGGCCCTGCCCCACCCTCTGCCCTGCTGCTGGCCCACTCCCTACCTAGGGCGTCCTGCAGGTACTTCTGGCCCACTAGCTTGAGGTACTCCTCAATGGCCTTGGTGGCCAGTGTGTTCTCCCGGAAGATGAGGTGCTCGTTGTCCCCGCAGCGGTCCACCTCTGACATCATCAGGTCTGTCAGGAAGTCCTGGGGAGGCAGGAGGTGGAGAGAGCAGGACCTGAGCTGGCCTGGCATGGAGGGCCCTAGGATTCCAGACCTAGCCAGAGAAGTCCTGGCATTTTGAGGCTGTTCCATCACCAAGCTGCGGGGGTCCCGGAGAGGAACAGTGTGCCCACCTTTGGGGGCTGCTGGGGAGTGTGGGCAGGGCAGGGGCCCCCAGCCAGGGTAGGAGCCTAGAACTGGTGACAGTAGAGCCGGGTCTATGGATGGAGGCAGCCTGAATGAGAGCATGCCACGTGGAGCCACAAGCCCCCACCACCACAGAGAATGGACTCATTTCCATGTACAGCCCTGATCAGGCCTGGCCTGGTGACCACAGCAGGACTCGCCTCTCCCCGCACCATCAGTGCCAAAGAGGACAAATGAGGCTGCCCTGTCTCATGGTAAGAATGGCCATCAGTATCCACCTATGACTCTGGTGGGGGCTCCCACACCAGACACAGATGCCTTCTGTGCAGCCCCACTGCCCGGGGAGGTCGTGAGCCACCATGCTCAGGCAGGTGAGAGCAGGAAGTGATGTGCAACTGGCTGGAGAGGGAAGGTGGAGGCGCCACTGCCCACCTGGCAATCCAGGGTAGCAGCCCCAGGCCCATCAGGTCCCACACACAGTGTTGTGGGAAAACCCCAGCACAGGAGCCCGAACCCACACCTTCCCCCTACTCTAGCAACCATGCAGATACTAACACCCTCCCTCAGAAGCCCCCACCTCCTTGTGCTCACAACTAACCTGTGGCTTGGGGGAGGGGAAGAAAATAGGAAAAACTGTCATAGTTTCAAGGGAGGGTGACAGTCAGGGCAGGGGGCCACCTAGCACAGAGCCTGCAAGGTGCCCAGGAGGGGTGGACCCAGGCATCTGTGCTCAAGAAATTCCTCACTCCGACATGCACGACCTTGGGGTCCTTTAAAACAGAACTGAGATCTAGACACAGGAACCCAGGGTGCACAGCAGAGGCACAGAGGGACAGCAGGGGCAAAGGGGAAGCTGTCATTGGCTTCCTGGGGATCATGTGGCCTGAGGACCCCTTCCTGACCAGCAGGCGACCTCCAGGGTCTCATTCTCTGAATACACTAAAGCGGGGGTCAGAGGTGCATCTCCCCCGGGGCTCCTCCAGGGCTCCCGCTCAGGACTGCAGCCTTCCTGAACTCCCGCAATGAGAGCCAGGCCCCAGTGCTGGGATGAGAACTTCCTGAGAGCCAGGACCCAATAAGGGGGAAACCAATGCACACACAGCAGGAAAATGACTTGTCCAAGGCCACACAGCCACCTGGGGCCAGATCTGGTCCAAGTCCCTTGCTTCCCAGACTCCGTTACTCCTCTAGCCGTGGAGACGGAAGAGGGGCTAGTTCCCAAGTATTCCAGGGGTGGGGGCTTAGGTACCTGTCACCCCAGCAGCACAAGTTACTTTCTATGCTTCTATCTACTGCTCCCCAATCCCACTGAGGGCCTTTGGGGTTGGCTGCAGCCCTGACTTCACCTCCCTCCACGAGCACCTGGACATACCTATCATTTCAGGCTGCTTCAGGGAGGAATCCGCTTCCCAGGCCAGCCCCAGCCCAGCCCTGGGAACCAGGTACTGAAACATCAGACACAACTGCAGAAAATAATGCAGCCTCTGCAGCCCCCATCACTCCCTCTCTGGTGCCCATGGGTCCTTGATTCATTCCGTTTCCCAGCATACGTCCCCAGTGTTGACCAGCATGTTAAGGACGGGGCAGCCAGAGCTGGCCCAACGTGCAGCCTAGCCAGCCAAGTCTGAAGGCTGGGGGAGAAGGTGAGGGAGGAGGTAGCTGAGCACTACAGAGGAAAACTGCTCCCCATCGCGGGTCCATGGGGAGGAGGTCCCCGCCCCAGCCCTGCACTTGCAGCATACAGCAAGTGCAAGAGGGAGGGGGGCTGCAGAGGCTGCTGAGGCTTCCAGCCATGGCCTCCCCTTCCAGGGCCTCTAGGAACAGGTGAGAGGGTGAGGGACCTCCACGAGTCTTGTGCCCTGGACTCTGCCCTGGGGTATGGCTCCCAACTGTGCCTCCCCGACCCAGAGCTAAGGGCCTAGGACCTTGACACAGGGTGCCCCTCAGCCACCTGCCACTTGGCTCACAACACGCCACTGTCCAGAGGGCAGAGGCCCAGTCCTTAGCCCAGCACCAGGGTCCATCCACGCTGCAGAGGCCTCAAGTCCAGCCCCTTTTTCCCACCCTCTTTGGCCAGCTTCCTGAATGGCAGGTGGCAAATGTAAAGAGAGAAGGTCGCCTTCGAGGCCCACAGACCATGCTCTACTGCCTTCCTAGGGGCACCCTGGTCCAGGAGCCCATTTGTCCCCAAACCGGGTAGGTGGGGCTGAGGCACGGCTTGCATGGTGGGCTGCTGGGCCCATCTTCGGGAGCGGAAGGTGAAAGGGGTCATGGAGATGGACATTGAGCACCTCTGGCCCTGAACTAGGACTTGCCTGGGTGGGTCTCAGACGATTCCCGCTTCTGTGAGGCTCTGGGGTGGGGCTGGCTAACCCTCGAATAGTACAATTTTGACTGTGTCTACCTGTGTGACAATCTGTGTGTCTGGGTGAGAGTGTGGGGTGAGGTAGAGCTGTGAGGGAGGCTCATCTGTGCATCGTGCTGGGGAGGTCTGCCGAACTCCATACCCCACAGGGGACGTGTGTTTGGCTCACTGCGGCTGGTGGCGTTGTGGGACCTGTGTGCTGGGAGAGCCGTGGCCACCCAGCCTGTTCCCCTGGCGCCTCAGGGGGTCGGTCCTCTGCAGCAGTGGTGGAAGGCACCTCAACCCAAGCCCACTCCCTCACTACCAGCTGCAATCCCATCCACTGGCTCCACACAGGCCTCAGTGATCAGCTCCAGCCACAGAGCAGGAGTACAAAACCCCCAGCCCACGATAGAACTTTTGGGTTTAGGGAGCCCTTCTGGTAGTGACCGGTGCCTCCAAGGCCTCTGTTAGGCCTGAAATGTACGGATGTGAGGAAGGGCAGGTAACCCAGTGCTGCCGCCCAGCCTGTGTCAGGAGCCGAGGGGCCTGCACGCACCTTCACCTTGCCCGTGCTCTGCAGGATGTGCACCAGGGCAGATGCCATCTCCTCCTTGGTCTTGGCACTGAGGATGGGCTCGAGGGCTGCACACAGCCCCAGGTAGTGGTTGGTGATGTGCTCAGCGAACTCTTTGTACATCTCCATGGGCAGGATGGTGATGGTTTGGTAGCGCGCCTTGATGCGGATCATGGGTCCAGGGCCCTTGCCGCCCTTGGGGTTGGGCGTCACCACCGGGTACCACTTCTCCACGAACTGCCGCCCGGCCACCGAGGCAGCAGGTAGGCTCACCAGGCCCAGGTAACTGTTGCGCTCCTTCTTCTTCTTCTTGTCGGTCTCCCGGTACAGGTGGACAGTGACCGTGCGCAGAGGCGGCAAGTTGTGGAACTCGAAGTGCTCGCCCCAGAAAACATTGTCCGTCTTGAGCTTGCCCGTGGTGCGGGCATAGAGCACATCGTCCAGGCACAGCTCGCACAGGTACTTCTTCTTGGCTGGCAGGTCCTTGGCCTCGATCACCCACAGCTTCAGGATGTGCTCCACACGCCGGCTGTTGTCCTGTATGTGCACGGGGGTCCAGGGTGGTCAGCTGGGGGTGCCACGTGCAACCCCCAACCAGCCCAGAGCCTGAGAGAGTCCTCAGACCCAGGAGGAGCTCTGAAGGTGGAGGCGGCAGCGGGCGCCTAGGCCCTAAGTCAGGATGAGGCAGGGCATGATGGACAAGGGCTGGATCTCTGGTCGACCTCACAGAAGCTCACTCACCTTGGGCAAGCAACTTAACTGGAGCCTTGGGTTGCTTGTCTATGAAACGGCACTAAGGTAAAACCCCCATCTCATAGAGGGCGAGACTGAGAGAGGCCAGCACAACGCCTGACACGTCACAGGCTATGCCATTATTAACTCTTCCTTAATATGCTGGTCTGTACTGTAACTTAAGAGATGGCTATGGTGACCAGGACTTGGTCAAGCCCTCAAGTCGGCTAGGGAGACAGATACAGAAGCAGGGATTACAGTGGGGGCTCCCAGGACCTAATGGGGGAGCCCAGGGGCAGTGGGAACACAGAGGGCACCAGCCTGGGACAGGGGTCCTCACCTGGAGGAGGGGCAGACATCTAAGGTGGAAGGGGAAGATGAGCAGAACTCAGCCAGGGGCTGGGGAGTAGGGACAAGGGGTCCCAGCAGAAGGACCCCAGGGTCCAGCACTCATTTCCCCAAGCCCAGCCTCAATGTGTAGCTTAGAAAACAGAGGCACACAGCACCTGTCTCAACCTGGTCAACTCAAACGTCTCTTTCAGAGTCCACCAATATTGTCCACTCGGGCCCTGCCTCCATGCAGGCTGACCACCCCCAATCCCAGCCCACACCACAGAGATAGTCTCTCTTGTTTCCTCCTATCTGAGCCTACCTTCAATCCCCCATGCTTTGGTGAGAGGGGCGCAGGCTTACCTTGTTGGGATGCACCGCTCGCCGGAGGTTCTCCATCCACTTATCCCGCTCAGCTGCAGACCGGCAGGAAAAGCACTTGCTTCCTGATGACGTCGTCACCTGTGGGGAGCAGGCAAGACAGTGTTATGAGGGAAGGGACCACAGCAAGGGCAGGCAGTGATGGAAGAAGACCTTGGAGGCTCAGGGGACTCTGGCCATCAGGTCTGCATCACAGCTTCAGGAAGGAGCCAGGACAAGGCTCATATGACGCCTCTACTTCATGTTTTGCAGGTGGTACACTTGAGAGCCACTGTCCCAGGGCAAGTCAGCAGCCGGAGAGTGGCCCCATCCTGCACGAGCAGGCTCCTCACTCGTCCCTCAGTGCCCTCTGTCCAATAGGAAAGCATCTTCCTAACTCTAACCTCCCTCTCCCTGAGATGGGAAGAGGGAATGAACGAAGACCTTGCCCAGGTCAGAGGGCAATGCTTAACCCGAGCGTACTTTCCCTAAAGGCGGAACCACAAGAACCAAGGAGACAACTAAAGGTAGGTACCAGAATCCCCTCAGTCCTCAGCTGACAACTCTGAGGGTTCTCTTCCGTCAAGCAGCAGTGACAACAATGGTAATATAAGCCTGATATTTTTTATGCCAGACTGGAGAAATGAGACTCGGACTGTCTGGATGTGCCAGGCCCTAGGGTCCCCAGTCCCTGACCCTTCTCCTTCCCTCTCTGTCTGACTCTCACTCAACCTCTGGTCCAGCTTAGACATCTCCTGCCAGGTAAGGGAGCCAGTCCGGGCAATTCCTGCTGTGTGTTTCCACTGTCCCCAGCAGCAGACCCGGGTCTCTGCAGGGGAAGCACACTCCTCACACGGCATTCGAGGGCCTGCACCCTCCACAGAACCCCCTGCTGTGAACCAGCAGACAGGGCCATCTTCACCCTATCCCTGGCAAGGAAGTCAGAACCCAGATCAAGCCTGGCTTGGCCAGGAGTCCTGAACCAGAAATGGTCCCCAGTGGGCACAGGGTATGGGGCAGGTGCCAGGCACCATTCTGTTTTTTCCCCAGGGCTGGGGGTGCCAGGAGATTGTCACACTAGTCCCCAAGTGGCTGCTTTTCATTACCAGGCTCATTCCTCTACAAGAGAGCTCTCCTAGTTATGCATGATTATTGGGGGTAGGAATCTTCCCAGAAACTGGTAGGAAGCAATATGAATAACTGCAGAAGCAATTAGTAACTCCCAGGAACACCTGCAACAATAGTAACCCTGCTCCCGGCTTGGTCTCAGCCTTGCTGTGTGACCTCTGATGTCTTTGTGCCTTCTCTGGGCCTCAGATCCCCCATTTCCTATGAGGGACTGGACAGGTCATCCCCAGGTGGGTCACTGGCTCTCTGCATTCAAACCTCAGGTCGCAGAATGCCAGGGCAGGACAGATTTGGGCTCTCATTGTTCACAGTGGGAAACAGGCCCAGACAAGGGGAGACTCTCTGCTATCCACACTGCATTTGGGAGGTGAGCAGGCTCTAAGACATGGGCTCTGGTGCTTAAGAAATTCAGGCTTTTCCCCTACTCACTGTCATCCACTGGGGGCCCCAGCAGCTTCAGGCTAGCATGGAGAACAGGTGCTGGCCCATTTCCAGAGAACCTAGAGAGTAGGAAGGACAGCCTCCACCCCAGCTCCACCAGGTCTCTTAGGAGCTGAAAGCTATCGGTAACTACTAGCCACTGTCCCCAAGACCCTGGCCCCTGCTGAGGCCACAGCAGACTGGACTCCAGGAGGATGTCTGGAGGAGACCAGCCAGGCCAGGAGAGGATGGGGTGTCCACCCCAACCCCTGTGATGGGACCCACCTCGAAGCAGTAGTCCTGGCCAAGGATGCTGCTGTGCACGGGCTTGATGACCACCTCTTCCTCCATGCTGAGGTCCAGCGCCTCCACCGCACTGCTGGGGCTGAGCAGGGACTCGTGGGAGCGAGACTCCTTCAGCCTCGGCATCAGATGGGACCTGGGGTGGCAGTAGGTGTGTCAGGTGGGCCCCCACAGCCCGGGTCAAGCTGGTTGCCATGTCCCACCCATCTGCCCTGGCCGTGCCCCTTCCAGCAGGCAGCCACTCCTCTCCACTCTCTCTCCTTTCTGTCTTAAGACAGATCTGGGGGCAGGGCTGTCACAGAGACTGGTGGGAACCTCCTCCCGACTGCAAGAGTCTGGCTGGGGGCTCAGCCTCTCAGAGAGCAAGAAGGTGAGGATTAGGCGCCACTCCGGGGTTAATATTTGCAAGTGAGCCTGCGGGGCCTGGGCCAGCTTGGCTCCTGAGAAGTCTCAGAGACCCAAGGAAAGCCCGCCTGACCCAGGCAGCTGTCTGCAGTTCTGGGCGCTTTCCCATTTCCCCTCTCTTTTGCACTGGTCCTTGTCCAAGACTGAGCAGTCACTCTGCCCCAACATTTATCCAGCATACCACTGCCAACAGCCCTTCCTCATACACTGTCCCACACCAGCAGACCCACACGAGGGAAAGCCACAGGGACCCTGCTGCTCCCATCTTACAGATGAGGACAGCGAGGCGAGGCGAGTCTCGAAGCAGAAGGGATGCAGCAGTCTCTGCACAGTACCCAAGACACACACTCCATCGGGGTCCCCATGCTGGGACTCAGGGCCCAGGTCAGTGGCTCCGACACAGGCACAAAGAGCACAGGGCTGATGCCACCCGGCACCCAAACGCAGACCAGACCTGGGCCCGCTGCTCCCCTGCTGTGTGGCCCTGGGGAAATCGTTCTCCTCTGAGCCTGTTTCCTCAGTGCATCACAGGGAAAGCACCGCAGATGACACCTGCTCTAGGGTTAGGTAAAGTCTCTCCAAAGTCAGCAGCACAGAGCAGTGTCCTCTTAGAGCCCCCAGCCCCCACGGTGGGACAGAGGAAAAGCGTGAGGACAGGCTGGGCCTGCTAAGACCATCTCTGGTGCAGAAGCTGAGCCCTGCTTGTGTCCAGGGCTCAAACCCTGGGGTTGGTGAAAAACCTACTCCAGGCTTAGCCCACATGGACCTCCTACCCCCAACGCCCTATGCCCTTTGGCTCCTGGTTCCAATGGTCCAAGTGCTCAGTCCATCATTCTCTCCCTGCCTCGCCAAACCAAGACCCCTACCTTGGGCTATGCTGAGGCTTGGTCCCTGACCTTGAGGGGCTCGCAGCTTGGCAGAGCCACCAGACACTTCCCTGTAGGATGCATACCCTGTACACTCATTTCTGCGACTGCCCCGGGTCAGCGGGCTGAGGCCCACTCCATGGGTGCTCAAGAATCCAGAGGTGAGCAGGAAGAGCCCTGCTCAGAGGGACTCAGGCTGACAGTAGCCACCCTCCCACCCCAAGCTCCACATCTCCATGGCAACAGCCCTCTGAGCATAAGAGCCCTCCCCAACATGGAGTCCCATGCTAGATGCCGTAAGGAGTCAGAGCTGAGGGAATCCCAACCCTTAGATACCCCACAGAGGCCAGCCCAGGAGCCCCAGTCAACCGGCTCCCTCTGCCTCTCCACACCCAGCACGAAGCTGGCCTCTGAAAGCAGAGGGAATGGGCAGAGCCAGAGGAAAACTGTGAGACAAGTTCAAGACAGGGGGGAACCCTCCCCAACTCCCACAAGGACTCCCACCTGGGGCTTCCCGTTGTGGCCTAAGCCCATGGACAAGCCCAGCATGTGCCTCTGCTCCTCTGAGGCACTCTCCCTGGGAGGTCCAGTTCACAAAGGGGCACTGGCCTACCTGCCACGCCACACCGCCACACCACCACATCACACCGCCACACCGCTGTGTTGGAACAGGCCTCTTCTCCTGATAATCCCTCAAGGCCTTGCTCGAGCGGCCTGGCCTCCTCCCCATCACGGCAATGACCAGTGCCGTGGGTGGGCCTGCCCTCCCTGGGCTGAGATTCCACCTGAGCCGCCCACCTCCCAGGGTGGACTCCAGGCCTCCCTCCCACATGGGGCTTCATACCTCAGTGGAAGAGACGCCCTGCCTGATAGTAGGGAAGTCACACTGGCTGGGATTGGGCTGCTTTCTGGCCTAGCTTGGAAAATCTCTGCCAGGTAAGGATGCTGGGAGCCAGGGAGGGTGGGGTAGGGACCCAGGAAGTACAGAGCGGGGAGCTGGTGAGCTGAGGCCGCCTCCTGCCTGGGGCGCATGAATGAGCTGGCTGTGGAGAGGAGAGGCGAGGCATGCTTCAGCAGGCTGGGCCTGCCCAGGGAAACCCAAGGAGACCCTGGTCCTGCAACCCCAGGAGCCCAGCAGGCCCAGGCCAGACCCCAAAACAGCCAGATCCTGGAGTCTGTGGTTGCAGAGCCCTCCCCTTCCTTCCCCACCATGTCCCACAAGCATGCTCTGGCTGACCTGGAAAGGATCCTGGCAGAAGAGAGGGCTGTAGGGAAGCTCAAGGCCCTTAAGACACCTTGGACTGGCCCGGCCTACCTGGGCAGCCATGACCCTCCCCGCTTCCCTGGGAGCTTCTCCACGGGGTGGGATGTAAAGCAGAGGCTGCATCCATCCCTGCAGCCCAAGCTCTCTGGGAGGAAGAGGAATAGGGGCAGGGCAGGCCCAGGGAGGCCCCAAGTGGTTCCCGCAAGCTCTCCCAGGCTACTCCTTCCTGGATAGTACAGCAAGCGGGTGGGTGGTGGAGGCAGGGCCAGTGGACCCGTACTCTCTCACTCACGTTCCTATGCGTTTCCTTCCTGACCAGCCTGGAGTCTACAGGCCCTGAAACACAGTGTCCTCGGTCCCTCCCTCATCTGGGCCCAGAGGGAGCTGGTCTGCTGTGACCCTGCCAGGGTGTGCCCATGGTGGTAGCTGATAAGATGAGGGGGCTAAGGAAGGAAAAATGGTCATTTGGTCACTTCCTGAACCCAGCAGGACCAATTCAAGGCCCAAGAACCACCTCTCTGGGAAGCCAGCCCTGTCCTGTGCTTGCAGCAGTCCCTGGCCACTTCACAGCAGGGACTGCTTGCTCCATCAGTCACCCAAGGCAGGCTTCTCCCCTACCCTGGCTTCATCCCATGCTGGCATTGTTGGGCCACTTCCTTTTTCACCTCCAGCCTCTGCCTTGCCAGCCTAGGGAAGCAGCGCATTAGAGGCAGGGCAGAAGATGGGTACCAAAGACTGCCCAGGCTCCAAAGGGGCAGGGATAGGCTCAGCTTCCCTACCCGGGACGCTCAGGTGAAAGGAGGGAAGCAGGCACTGGTCTCTACCTCACTCCCATTCCACTCCCAGGAAGGGATGCCTGTAGGCACCCACCTCTAGTCAGCACAAGGTGAGCGCCCAGCTGGTCACTTGCACATCCCTTTTTTCATATTTCAACAGCACACAGCCCTGCCAGGAGTATTCATCTACCCATTTTACAGAAAGGTATGACAGGCTCAGGGAGGAGCAGTTACTTGAGCCGCCCAAGGCCCCCTGCTGGGATGGGAACCAGGTCAGTCCAGGAGCCATGCCCACAGCTACCCTATGTGGTGTGGTATCTGGGGGCTGATGCCCCTGTATTCAGGGCTTCTGCCGTCCCCCAGCCCTGGGTCAAGTCCCTCTCTGCTGCCCAAGGCTGGGGTGGAAGAGAAGGTGGCCCAATTGCATGGCCCACGGCATCCTCCCGACCCTGTGCCTAGCTCAGTCTCATGACAGCTTTCCCCTCTGACCTCTTGTGGTCCTTGGAGACTAGAGCTTTGGTCCCCTAGGCGAGGTGGCACCAAGGAGGGCAAAAGGCCTTCACATGGGGATTCCACCCCTGCAAATCACTTCCACGGCCCAGGTCTGAGCTACTTCTTACAACAACCCTGCCAGGATGTGGCACCTCTACTACCTACAGAAGCAGGTCTCAAACCAGGGCGTGGACTCCACACTGCCTGCCTCCCACCAGGGTGGAGCTGGCGTCCCCAGGCCGGGCTTACCTTGGGCCATGCGTCACATGAACCACCACACAAGTCACCTCACAGAATCTCCACGAGCCCAAGAGGCAGATGCTGACCTCACCCCGCTTTACAGGGGAGAAACTGAGGCCTGCCAGGGAGGGCAAGAGATGTGCCCCAGCATCCCATCTTTGATCTAGTGTTGCTGCGACACCCAAACCTCTTGGGTCCATTTCCTCATCTGAAAAAGGAGGAAGGTGGCTTGCTTCACCCAGAAAACACTGGCAGCCGGCACATGCTGAAAGTGCTGTGAAGACAGCGCCTTCACGGGGAGGTATTTCCCAGCCCTTTGAGTTGTGGGGGTGAAGGGATCCCCTCTTGAGACCACACGGGATTCAATGCCAGCCCCAGAACTTGGCACTCTGAGCCACTGGCTGGCATCTACCTCCCTGCTCCACCTGACCAGGCCCACTCTCGCAGCGGCCTGCCTGCTGGGCCCCTCCATCCCAGGAAGCAGGAGTCTCAGGCAGGGCCCCAGGCACATGCTGTCCTTCCCCTTCCTACCCAACCTTCAGCACCCAGCTTCAGTGCCCCTTCTTCCCTGAAGCCTTCCTGGGCTCCCTGGGCAGACAGCCATATCCAGGCTGTGCTGGGAAGGTCTGTCACAGAACTGGCTCCTTGTCAGGCAGGGGGCTCCTTGTGGGTAAAGTTGGGTCTGGCTGGCTCCAAGGTCCAGAGCCTTAGAGTTCCTGGACCAAAACCCCAACACACCAGCAGCCAAGGTCAGCTAAGCTCAGAGGGAACGGGAGGTCAGTGGGGATAGGGATAGCCCTCCCTCAGCCTGCAAACCCTGGTGACGTGGTTGTTCCCTTGGAGGAGGGACGAAGAAGGCCTGAGGGTGGGTCGTCAGGGCAGCTGCCTGTTCAAGGCCAAGTCCCAAGAGCAGCATTCCAATGTTCATTCCAGAGTCTCCGGGAAATGCCCCTGCCCTTGCTCTGTCCAAGTATGGGCCGCTTCCCCCATCCCTCTCAAGGTTAGGAGGCTCATCCTACCCTCTGTGGCTGCACACTGCTCCCCACGGCCCCAGCCGAGACCCTTCTAAACATGGCAGATCACTAGCCCCATGACAGCGCTCCAGGGACTAGAGACCCTTTACCTGTCCTCCATGGCATGGAATCCTTACTGCTCCCAGGAAGGAGGTGGCACCATGACATCCAGGTCACACACGGGACAGCCAAGGCCATGGCTAGGGTGACCTGCCCTGGACTCCGCTGCTACAGAGGAGCTTGGCCAGGGCATGGGAGGGCAGAGGGGAATGGGAGTTCCACTGGCCTTCTCCTGTCTAGACCAAAGCAGCACCCTCCACTGAACAAGCCACTCCGCCTGGCATGGCCTCACTCCTGTCCCTCCTCTCTCGCCTCATGGCCTGTAAGATAATCAAGTCCCAGATGCCTCAAGCTGGTGTCCGAGCCCTCCTGAAAGGCCCCTCGCACAAGTGACCTGGACTCTCCTCCCCAGCTACTTCCTGACAAAGCTGCAAACTCTTATCCTCCAGGGGTCCATGTCCAAGCAGTCTCCTGAGCCTGTCCATTCTGCCTCTCCCTCCACTTCTTTGCCAAACAAAGTCCTTCCTCAGTTTTCAAGGGCCAGCCCAATGTCACCACCACAAAGTGGTCCCTGGTCTCTCCAGACAGACAGCTCACACTACGCTACCTAAGCCCGGCTCAGGGCCACAATCTCCCACCTGTTCCACTTAATTCTCGTGACAATCCTGTCAGGACTAAAAAGGTGCACCCAGAAAGTTGAGGTGACCTGCCCAAGATCACATGCATAGCAAGTGGCCGAGTCAGATGTGAACCCAGTTCAGCGGAGTTCAAGACTAACTGCACCAGCCTTGGCTTGGCCTTTCCATCGTCCAGGGGTGGCCCACAGCAGCTGGGCAGCAGGGAAAGGTCCATAGCAGCCGGGCAGGGGGAAAGGTCCACAGCAGCCGGGCAGCAGGGAAAGGTCCACAGCAGCCGGGCAGGGGGAAAGGTCCACAGCAGCCGGGCAGCAGGGAAAGGTCCACAGCCAGCTAACCCACTAGCTGTGACCCACTCACTCCAGGTGGGGAAGGAAGGACCGGGGGATACAGGGATGGGGCAGCCCCTGCCCAGGGCCCAGGAAACGTGGGCACAAGGCACGGGGAGCTGCTATGAGAGACAGCGCCAGGGCCCAACAGCAGCTCATTGTGAGGGCTGGTGGCAGAACAATGGGGACACTGTCCTGGCTCCTGGGGCCTAGCCTTATCTGATAGCGTTCCAGCCAACCCACAAGCTGTTTTTCAACTCTGATCCTTTTTTCTCTTAAAAGGTCGGTGACACAAAAGCTCAGCAAACTCATTATTCCAAGGAGGGAAAGGACCCCAAACCGAAACTTACAGTAATTAAAAATCCCTACTTGACACAGCAAGGGTGTTCCCAACTATTGGGTGGGGGGAATTGAGAGTGGGATTGTTTGGTCGGAAAATAAGGGGCTCAGGGTCACCCTCCAAATCTCGAAAGCTCAGAGGGAGCTGCCCTGTGTGGCCCCAAAGGGCAAGGCTGGGACCAGGAGAGGCCACTTCCAGCTCAGTCACAGCTGTCCTTGAATGGGCCAGGCTCGTCTGGTTTTAGAGAGAGTGGGCTCCCTGTCTCTGAAAGTGTGCAAGCAGGAGCCGGGGGGCCCCTTTAAGACATGCTGCATGGCTAGGGCTGCCAGGGTAATGGGCTGGGCAGTACACAAAGGCAGGCAGTGCAGTGGGCCCTGGGATTAAACACACACACACACGCGCGCGCGCACACAAGTGAATGCTACAGAAATGCACCTGCAGCTGCGAGCGGGCAGGAGGACAGAGGGCCTAGTGTCAAGGGTGCCTGGCTGCAGAGCAAACCGAGTCTCTATTCCTTATGAAATATACAACCTTGGATACTTTAAGTCATTCGACTCTCTAGGACTCAGTTTCCCCATCCGTAGTGAGGATAACGACACACCTTCCTCATGGGTTGCTCTAAGGATCAAATGAGACCATGCAGGCGGGAGGCTCAGGAGGGCAGGGGTGTCAGTGACTCCCATCCATTGCTCATAACTGTTCATGCCTCTTTGGTCTGTTCCATTCGCCCACCTCATTGCCAGCCACGATGTCAGGAGCTGGAGACACAGCTATGAACAACACTGGTGAACGATGCACACGCTGCTATCAAGGCTGACATTTCTGGGATAGGTCACACTTTTGACAATTTGGAGTGACAAGATATGGACTTCCCAGGCTGTTTCCTGTTCCTGTCCCGTGACGACTCAAACGCTTTACGTTCTCCATGCCTCAGTTTTCCCCATCTGCAAAATGGGGATCAATCATATCTGCCCAAATGCTCTGGGATGCCTCAAATTTCTTTAAAAAGCCCTTCATTTCCTGAGGCGAAATGAAAGGAGAAGAAGGTGTGCCTAGCAGTGGGCAGTAGACCCCCGTGAGGAGGCCCCTTTAGCCCCTCTGCCTGGGACTCCCAAGCACAGCCATCTCCAGCCCCAGTCTCCAGCCCACCAGCCTGTGTGGTCCCAAGCCACTGTCCACTACCCCAACCAGGTCTGGAAGGAAGAGAAATCCTGGACAAGGTTTGTCTCCACAGAGTTGGTGCCCACCCAAAGGCTGGCAGGACCTGATGGTTCTGCAGTCAGGACTTCAGCAGACTCTCTAGGCCTCATCAGGTCAGAACATGCCAATCATGCTTCTGCCTGTCATAGCCAGGCAGGTCCAGAGGCTGTGCTAGAAGCGTCTGCCCACACTGGAAAAAAAGAGAGTCTGGACATGGTCACAATGAATGCACTGACCTGCTGGGAATCAAACGGCAGGACATAAACAGGGCAGCGCCCTGCCTAGTATGTCCAGCAGAGCTCTCTCCCCAAGCCCAGCCTTGCCCCGCTGGCCTGGGAACCGGCTGCTCAGAAGGCCAGTGCTCACTCCTGGCCCAGCTGGGATCCCAGGGGAGAGGAGAGGAATGCAGCCGCCTGGTGGCTCCCAGGGCCCTGGGGAGACAGAGCCTGTCCTAAAAAGGCAGAAAGGTTGGCTGCCCTGCCTGGGAAGTCTTCCAGGGATGACAGGGCCCAGAGGCGTGGTCCCTCTCAACCCAGGGTTCCCTCAGGCCAAGGTAAGGGGTAGGTCCTAGCAGTCACCAAGACCCAGTTGTGACGCCCCCATACACACAGAACGCCCTGGGCTGTGAGACAGGGAGACACGTGGCCTTCTGCCCTCACCCCTGGGAGCCTGTGCTTCCCCCCACATCACAGGGCTGAGCTGGCAGAGGAGGGTCCACACCCTGCAACCAAAACAGGAGGATGGGACAGCTCATGCTTGCTGTGAGGCCTGGTGTCCCGTGGTGCCCAATATAGGCTGACTAAATGAATGACACTGTGGCAGCCTGGACCTAACAGCCACTTACTAAGCACCTACCATGTGCCAGTTGCAGGTGTTCTCACCAAAGTACAAACATCATCTCATGGCCTTCTCCCAACAACTCTGCACAAAAGGCAGCACTGCCCCAGAAGAAAGGGAGAGTGGGTATTCAAGCTCAGGTCCCACAAGCCCTGGCTCATGGGGCAATACATGAGCCAGTTAATCCAAAAGGCTCAATGGAAGCTTTAGGACGTTCTCTAAAGAGGAAACTGAGGCTTAGAGACAGGGAGTGGCTTGGCTAGGTCACATGGTCCAGAAGTGAAAGCTGGGGTTCTAACGGCCTGGTCACCCTCTGTGGGACACTCTTGGCACCTACCTCACAGTGAGTCAGGCCTGGAGGCCAGGCATCCAATCAGCCCAGCACCCCAGCAACGGCCCGTTCCTCTCCCTGAAGGAGTCTTTGGTCTCTATCCCAGCTGTATCTAAGGTCTATCACAGACCCTGAACGAGTTTCCTCCCCCTTCTAGGTGCCATTTCCTCACACGCTGAGCTACTTCAGAGAAAGCCACAAAAACCCTACGTCAACTCCCTAGAACATAAGGGACCATAAACTATCATAACTGCTACCAACACCACTACCATCACCTGTAATAATGTAATAGCAACATCTCACTGCTGCCTGGGGTGACTTGGGCCAAAGCTCCGGAGAGACCAGGGATTCGAGAGGGCGCTGGTACTGGCTCCTGAATGAGAGGCAGCCTTCAACATCCTCTCCCCGTATAAACTGTGCAAGCCTAATGGAGTTTTCAAAAAACATTCAGGAACACATTTACCTTTCCACATCTTATTTCTTTCTTTCTTTTTTTTTTTTTTGCGGGGGAGGAGGGGTGCAGAGAGAGAGAGAAGAAACAAAAAACTTTCCATCTAATCCCCCAAGTCATCCTGCAGCCTGAATAATTTCGGGTTTTTAATCAATAGCTGTCAGACTTGTCAAATTACTTTGGGGACCGCAAAGCAGTTTTTAAACATTCATAAACCTCAGCAGAACAGCGAAGTGCCCTGAATTTTAAAAGAAGAGCATCTAGGCCGGGCGCGGTGGCTCACGCCTGTAATCCCAGCACTTTGGGAGGCCGAGGCAGGTGGATCATGAGGTCAGGAGATCGAGACCATCCTGGCTAACACGGTGAAACCCCATCTCTACCAAAAATACAAAAAATTAGCTGGGCGTGATGGCGGGCGCCTGTAGTCCCAGCTACTCGGGAGGCTGAGGCAGGAGAATGGTGTGAACCTGAGAGGTGGAGCTTGCAGTGAGCCAAGATAGTGCCACTGCACTCCAGCCTGGGCGACAGAGCGAGACTCTGTCTCAGGGGAAAAAAAAAAAAAAAAAGCATCTAAGGAACACTCATTGACGAGGGTGAGTGGTGGGCAAATCAGAAGTGAGCTGTGGGCTAGCTGCCCCTGCCCCTCTTGCTTCTGAGCAGGGACAACCCTGCAGCCCTCCCTGGCCTGTAGGAAAAACTATCAGGCTTAGCCTGGCTGCTCAGAAAGTTTAGGGAGAGTGACAGTCCCCCTACCCCCAGCCCCAGGAAAAGAGCCCAACCTCCCTGCACAGCACCTGGGGCTCCAACCCCAGCCACAACTGCAGCAACTCTGAAGCTCCCAAGCTCTAGAGCCCACCACAAACATGCTAGCCCACTGCCCTCCCCCATCTCTCCACTCAGCACCACTCCTGAGAATGTTTCAAGGCCCTGACCCATGCGTTCCCTCTCCTTGAGCTCAGTCTGTGCCTGGCTCCTCCTCACATGTGAACACACCCATGCATCATGGCCTGAGTGGGACTGGTTTCTAACTGGTCCCTGCACCCCACCCGGGACCATAAATACCTCCAACAGCCACCTCAGGGCCCTGGGGATGCGAGACCCAAGTGGGAAATGATAATGAAACAAAAGAATAAATTAGCTGAAAAGCGAGTATTTCCATTCTCCAGGAAGTGCTTCCCCTCTGGCTTATCTAATTCCTCCCAGCTCTCCACATCCAGGAAGCCCTCCTTAGCTCATGCTGGGCCCCCCCTAGAATGCGGGGGCAGAGGCAGCATCTTCTTCCATCTCATCTCCTCCACCCAAGACCTGGGCGCCATGCCACGTTACTTCCTGGGACCAGGTGGGCCATTCATGTTGGGGTGATCTAGGGATGGCCTCCTTCCCTCATCCTTGAGGGCCAGGTTTCCTGCCTCAACCAAGGACCAGCCATTTGTCCGCAGAGCCCCAGCTCCTGGCACTATGCTGGTTGAAGGTGGTAAGCAGGCATGGTTCCTTAAAAACACACACACAAAACTCTGTGACTTTGGTCAAATTAATTAACCTGTGTGCCTCAGTTTTCTCATCTGGAAAACAGGGACACCACCACCTTTGGCTGTAGGGCTCAACTGACCTGCAGCGAGCTCTCCATACACAGCCTCAGTAACCAGCCCTGGCTGCCCCCATTACCATCCAGGCTGGGCTGAGACTGCCTTCCCGGGGCATTCTGTCCCTTCCCGCACGCCCTTCCTGCCAGCACTTCTCTGGATGCTCCTGGCTTCTTCCTGGGCCCAGGACATTTCCAAGATCTGTCTCTCACTCTGCCCAGCAGATCCTTCCTGACTCTCCCCCCACAGCTGAGCTCTCAAAAAGCCCCTCTGCCAACTGACCCCAGACCACCTCACCTGCTCTACCCCCTTACCTCAAGAGCAGGCTCCAGAGTACAGGCCGTTTTAAGCAGGAATCTGAAAGACCCCCATTTAAGAAGAGATGGACAAATCTACGAACAAATGCTGGCACCCTAGACTCCAGCCCCAGTGGTCACTCCAGCTCAGCTATCTCTTCAATTCCAGCCACCATTTGGGACAGAGGCTCCCTCCTTGTTGGCAGCTTGAGCTCAGAGAGACAGAAGAGGTGAAGATGTGAAGGGAAGGAGCACTGGGCCAAAGGAGTGTGGACCTCGGATGGGCCTCTCCTGCACCTCAGCATCCTACCCCGTCAAGTGGGTTGCCCTTGCCTCCTGGCACAATTTGCTGAAGATGTATCATGCTAAGGCACCCCACCCCCCACCCCCGCCCCGCCCCAATCCTGGGCAGAGTTGATCCAGCCACCAGCACAGCCACTGAGCGCCTCCACTATGTCTGCAGGAGCATGTGGGGCTATGGGCCTAGGGATGTCAGCTGCCCATTCCTCCCAAAGCCTGAGGTCTGGAAGTCTGCGTGGGGCACCAGAGCAGCTGCTTCTCAGGCTGTAACTAGCAGGAGACAACCAGGAGTGTTCAGCAGCAGCAAGACAGCAGGAAAGTGGCTCTCAGTAAGCCACAGGGTTCCAGGCCACTGGCACGGGCAGAAACTCAGACACCATGTCAAAGAAAACCAGGAGTGTGGCTGCTGAGTTCCTCCTGCTGCCAGTGACCATGCACCAAAGCCACCTGTGGCTCTCAAGTACCTGCTCACCCACCACACCACAGTGAGCCCACATACCTGGGAAGGGCACGTAGGGCTGTCTCTGCACCTCTGACCCTCACACAGCTAACTGCAGCAAAGAATGAGGCTCTGACACCTCCAGGGGCTTCCCAAGGCCAGTGTGTCAGACTTCACCGTCTGCCCTTTTCCCCCACATTCCACACTGGCTGACTCCAGGCTAAGCTAGCCCTGTCATCTGCCACCTGGCCCACAGGATTCCAACTGAGAAAGCAACATACTTAAAATCCAGCTTCCCAAGCTACGTTTCCAGGTCCCAACCCAGCCATGCCAGCCCTGCTTGGCCCTATCTGGCTCATCATGCTAAACTGCACGCCTCTGCTCAAGGGGTTGCACTCCAGCAGCCTATCCGTCTACGCCTGGCTCAAAGGCCACCACCTCCACAAAGCCTCCCCCAGAACTGACAACTCCCTCCAGGGTTTGCGCCTATGCACACGCCCTCTGCTCTGAAGCAGAGGCTCAGAGAGGTCAAACAGCTTGCCTGAGGTCACGATTCACAGGCACAAGGGTGGAACAGGACACCTGGCACTTCGGCTCTAACTTCAAACTCTCTTCACTGCCCGTCAATGCCTCAGGTTTTCACCAAACCTACAAAAATCCTATGACCAAATGCACCAACTTTTAAGTAACTACAGGAAGCCTGGGTCACCAGAAATGTACTGAGCCCTGCCTTTGTCACCTCCTGGGTGGCTGTCTGTAAAACAGTGAGGACACCTACTGGCAGGCAGTCTCATCCGCCCCCAGCCGTGGCAATGAAGGCGGTTAGGACCAACCTGCACTGAGACTTGGCTGTAACAAGCCCAATCCTTCCTCTGACTTTTTTTCAGAAATGGGTACTTGCCCAGTAAAGACGCTACCACACCAAAGTGATCTGGCTTCTGACAACTGTTTCAAATATTCAAGCAGAGCCAAAACACGCTCCTGGCCCAGACACAGTCTTCCCAGTCTCCCACCCGCCTCCACCCCACCCAGTGGGCCTGGGCCCCATGGACTAGGGAGTGGAAGCAGGAAGGGAGAAGAAAAAACAAAGTTCTGCTGAGGAGCTGGGGCAGAGATACCATGGCCCCCAAACCCCAGTGCAGCCCCACCCAGCCAGCCAAAGGTTCGGCCACTCAGAGCAAAGGCCAAGCTCCTCAGCTCAGAAAACTTGTCAGCAGTCCCTGGCATTTCCCAGTTCTCAACGGAGCACACCACAGGGGACACCGCGCCTGGGGGACAGAGCAACTCACACTGGGCTTCCTCTTATTTTAAAAACTAAAAACAGCAACAGTGCTCTTCTTGGTGTCCCGCTTTTTCACAGGTCCCTCCTAACCGTTTCTACATTCTGGGCCGGCAGTGGATGTCTGCGTAGAGGGGCAGGGTGCTCCGGAGTCCCTCCTGGGACCAGCTCCTGTGACAGTCACTCACTGAGGGTGTCTGCTGCCGCCCAGCTCATTCAGGTCTCCCTGGGCTCTGGGGCTGCCTCCCTCCTGGCTTTCCCAGCCTCTCTTATTCTAAGCTCCGCTCAGGCCACTCACCATCCCTCAGCATAGCCACCAGGCTCGGGAAGCCGAGTGGCCGGGCGAGCCTTCCTGCTGTCCGCTGCTCCTGGCTGGCCCCGGCCAGCCTAGCCCCGCCCTGATCCCAGACATGCCACTCCAGCCCTGTCCGCTGGGACTAATCATGGCTAGTTCAACAAAGGCTATGTTCCAACTCTCTGTAATGTGCTTTTAAAGGGCCAGTGTCCTACTTGGGCCTGCTGGGGTCTTAAAGGTACAGGTCCCTTTTTCCTATACAGGAAACAGGAAAGAAAAAAAAAACAAAAAACGAAACTCCAAAATTCATGATCAGGTTAGAGGCCCTCGGCTTCTGAGGAAGATTTTAGACACAATGAACAATAGTAAAAATTCAAAGTCCACGAAGGTCCCAAAGAGCTCAAAAACAAAACAAGGAAGCTAAATCTCAGGAATAAGAGATGAGATAGCAGCCCTCTTTGGGCACTATGTGCTGGGCACAGCACTGGGTACTTTGTGGCCCAGTCTCATTTGTTCCTCACCACTCCACAGACAGGCATTACCATTGCCCCATCTTTCAGATGAGGAAGCTGAGGGTGCAAGGGCTCCCCAGCTCGCCAGGACTTCATGCAAGTCAGCTGCAAAGCTGGGCCACACCCCGTGAGGTCCATCCCAGCCAGAGTATTCCTCCCACCTGCTCCCTCCACGAGGCCCTGACTGCTCCATCCCACCTGGACCACAGGCCCCAACTGCTCCACATCCTCCAGTGTCTCTTCTTCATGATGAAGAAAGAAGGGGGCAAGATGAGGAGTCTCACCTGTCACAGGTGCCCCACCACCAGGCTTTCAGTTTGAGCCTCAGAACCCTGTGGGGTCGGGTCTATCTTTTCCTTCATCTTCCAGATGAGAAGACTGGAAATCATGGCTTCTGACACAACACGAAAGAAGAGGAACACTAGGGGAAGGTGAAAGCAGAGAAAAGCGGGCAGTCAGAGGGAGGATGCGGGGAAGAAAAGGCAGGTGCAGGGAACCAAGGCAGATGGGGGCAACCGTCCTTCCAAGCCCAGGACTCAGGCAAGCTGGCCGAGGCCCTTCCACTGTCCACAAGAGTGGAGCTTCTCCTGGGGCAAGGGTGGGCAGGGCCTGCCTAGTTACTGGAATAGGAGTGGGATGGGGAGAGGAAGGGAAGAGAGACTGGACTGTCTGCGTCTCAGCACCTGGTCTACGGCACCCTCAGAGAAGCGTGGGCCATTCTGGCACCTGGAGTGGCTGGGCCCACAGTAGGTGCTGTGTGGCTATCTTCTTTTTTTGAGATGGAGTTTCACACTTGTTGCCCAGGCTGGAGTGCAACGGCGCAATCTCAGCTCACTACAACCTCTGCCTCCCGGGTTCAAGTGATTGTCTTGCCTCAGCCTCCCGAGTAGCTAGGATTACAGGCATGGGCCACCACACCTGGCTAATTTTGTATTTTTTTAGTAGAGACGGGGTTTCACCATGTTGGTCAGGCTGGTTTCAAATTCCTGACCTCAGGTGATCCACCCACCTTGGCCTCCCAAAGTGCTGGGATTATAGGCATGAGCCACCGTGCCCTGCCCAGTGTGGCTATCTTTGGTCAGAAAAGCCAAGGCCAGGAGGCGTCTTCAGGTCCAACTCCACAGGGGCTGAGTCATTCAAGGATTTAGCACCCTCACTCTGTTTCTGTGATGCCTGGAAGCCAAATAAGTTTCAGAATGTGTAGCCTGATGGTAAAGAAAATGAGCTCTGAAGCCAGGCTATGTTCAAACCCGGACTCTGCCACTTGTAACCTGTGTGGTCTTGGACAGGTTAAGTCACCTCCCTAGGCCTCTCTGTTTCCTCCTCAAAAATGGACATAATATTATTTACCTCATAGGATTGCCGAGAGGATACAGAACAAAGCCTTGCTGAGAGTGAGCGCGTAACAAAAGCCTGCTTTCAGCTGGGGTGAAGGAAGCTGCCCCAGGATAGCTGGAGGCACAAACAGGAAACTAGCCTCTTGGGTAGTGACTGTGGCCAAGTCATTTCTTTCTCTCAGCCTGTTTCTTTCTATAAAAGGACCCTCAGTGATTTCCAGGCAGGATCACCCCTCTGCCACCTTCCAGATGCCTGCTCCGTCCCATAAGGAGACAAGGACAGAAGGTGAGAAACACTGAGAAAGGCTGGGCTGTGGCCCAAATCCTTTGAGGCCTGAAAACAACCTGTCTCGGCTACCCAAGCCCAGACTAAGCAAGTCTGCTGGGTGAGTAGGAGGGGCAGAGCAGGAGGGAAGCGAGAGCCTAAAGCCACACAGGCTGTCAGGAGGCAGCATAAGTGGCTTTGCCTCTCCGGGAGGGGCCCTGCCTCCAGACCTCTCTGGGTTTGTCTTCCATGCTCACGTGTGGTCATGGCATGTGATCCGGCTGAGCTCACCTTACCTATGGGGAGTTCTGCATCAGCCATAGGGCCACCCTACACGCCTGTTGCAGAAACAGCCTCCCCAAAAGCTACAGGCTTTGCCGCAAGCATCCCCAAGGTTTGACAAGGTTCAAGGCTTGCCTCATCCTATCTTCCTGGAGCCGAATGCATCTGGTGCGCATGTGGGGAGAGGAGGGGGTGTCGAGCATCAGAGGAAACAGGTGGGTGGGAGGCAGAAGGAATGCCTTGGAGCCCTGGCAGAACATCTGGCCACTATTCTTGAGAGGTAGTAGGAGACCTGGGTGCCTTAACCTCCACCCTTACTACCTCACCCCCAGGATTAGTCAGTAAGAAGAGGCCCAATTTGGGGGTTTTGCAGGCCCAGGCTCCAATTCTGGTCGTGTCATTTAGCAACTGTGGAACCCTGGACAAATCCTTTTACTTTCCTGAGTCTCAGTTTCCTCATGTATAAAATGAGGTAATACACTATCCCCTGCAGATAACAGATGTAAAAACACTGGTTAACCAGGAAAAGCATTTAACAAAGCAACTGGGAACCCCAAACTCAAATATCTGAGTGCCATTCATTCAACAGACACTGAAACCCACCAGGCGTCTAGCAGACATTATGTTATCTCCAGCTGTGTATGCCAACCCTGCACCCTCAAGCCGATGCATTCTGAACCCTCCCCAGAGCCAGCAAAAAGTCTTGGGGCAGGGTTGTTGGGGGTGAGGGTTAGAGCTCCTGGCCACCAAAATATTGTGTAAAACATCTCAAACTTCTCCAGAAGCCAAACACATAAAGGAGCCTTCCAGAGAAATACCCTTGGTGTAAAGGAAGTCTAGCTCTGCTCTGGGAAAGACACTTGAGGTAAGCCAGGCTCCAGGATACTCTTATTTAGGGGCCGTGGACCCAGAGAGACTGGTGTAAGGAAAGGGGCTGACGGGGGGAACACAGGGTCAACAGACTCAGCATTCAGTCCAAAAACGTGACAGGGCACAGTGAGCAAGCCTTCCAGAGAGTGGGTGGAGAGGGCTCAGAGAGCTGGGAAAGATCACTGTGGGGGGCCTATCGGCGCTCCTGAATCAGAATCTCCAGGCTGAGATCCACTGGGTCAGCTGCTGCTGGTAAACCTACGCTGTGGACAGAGAACATTCAGGCCCCTCCCTGGCCCTCCCCTCCTCAACATCCTGGGCCAGCTGGGTCCTCACGCACTTCTTTGCTCACTGCTGTCCCCGCCACCTTCTCACCTCCTTTTCCTACTCAACACACCTGTCTGTTCCGACCCCACTGGGTCTCCTTGAGGACACCAAAGGCCTTCATGTTGCCAAAGTCAACCAGTTTCTGTGCCTTACTACCCCGTGAACCCAGGCCACCCTGCTCCAGCTTTCCTCTGTTCTCACAGGCTGCTAGCACCTCACCTCCTTTCCTCCCAGTGCTGGAGCTCCTCAGGGCTGTTTCGGAGACACTTCCTTAGCACAACACTTTCCTTTGGTGATTCTTTCCACTCCCATAGCTCTAAATACCTCCAGCATGCTCACGACTCCTAAGTGCATCCCCAGCCCTATCCTCCTCTGAGCTCCGGACCCATGTGTCTCCATGCTTGCCTGACAGCGCCTCTGGGACACCTCTCGGAGCTTCACGTCTGAAATGTCCAGCGTGGAGCCTCAGTAGCAAAGCCAGGAGCCCTTCCTTTCCCTGGCCTTTGGAATCCAATCCAACACAAATCCTGCTGCTACCCCCTCTGAAATCCCTCATACCTGTTTACTCCTCTCCATCTTCCCCAGGCAGCCTGCTGTCCGGGCAGCCTCCCCAACCACTGGGCTTCCCCTTACCCCTACCAGGGGAGTCAGAGGGACCCTTCAGAAATGCAAATCAGATTACTGAACTCCTCACCTTAAAAGCCTTCAATTACTCCCCACTGCACTGAATAAATCTGAACTGCTACCCAGGTGAAAGACATTGGCAGTCATGACCTACCTACTCTCTGACCTCATCCAGCAACACCCAACGCCCCCCACCACACACACCAAAGTCTCTGTTTCCTGCTCAAGGACTTTGTACTTGCTGCTCCCTAGGCTAGGAGTTCTTGCTCCAGCACACTCTAACAGCAAACTGGCAGGCTTCTGGCATCTTCTGCAACTCAATCCTTCCCTGACTGCTCCATCTACAACAGGTCCTGCCCTGCCCCCATTACTCCCTAGTGGAACACTTGGCTTGTTTCCTTCATAGCATCTTGCTCATGCAGCTAGCAAATATTTAAGTGCAAACTATGTGCCAAGCACTATTTAGGCACTGGGAACACAGGTGCTGAACAAAGCAGACAGAAATTCCCTGACTCACATTTCAGTAGGGGAACTTCACTATGTTTCCCAAAGCAGAATCACTTTGTTTCTCTGCTTATTTCTTATCTGCCTCTCCCATCACAAGGTAAGCTGTGTGTGGCCAAGCTCTACGTGTTGTATTTCTGTGTCTTAAGAGAGGGTCTGACACAGTATAAGAGCTCAGTAAGTCCTGATGAAATCAAGATGCAAAAACAAAGACCAGAGCAGCCAAAGAACCAAACCCCAAACCCTGAGAGACACAAGAAATCAAGAGCCAGGTCTTGAATGCCTCCCATGGCGTCTCTCCCTAACCCTGGGGACCTCAGGTGGGAAGGAAAGCTTCTGTGACAGCCCAGCCTTCTGGGGTCAGACAGAGGCACATGTGGCAGTTTCGTTTAACTGCTCTGGAACAGGTGGATGACTGCAGGCCTGAGAAGTTAGGGAGGCTTCTTGAAGAGGCTAGATCTGAACAAGGCCAACCCACAACTCCCTCCCAGATCTAGGGAGGAGGAAAACACATTTGTGTTTTAGGGCTCTGATGTCTGATGTTCTTTGCTCTAGCAGGAAAGAAGAAAAAAAAACCCTTTACTTTTATTAGTGTCTGGATCAATAAAAGTTTTAGAAGTAAAGCTTCCCTCCTGCAATACTAACTGAGAGAGAGAGAGACAGACATGGATTATTAAATCTGTCTCAGAGAGGCAGGGCTGGGAGAGCGCGAGGGCACAGGGGCACCGGCAGTTTCCCCCTCACCTGTGCTGGGAGCCTCTGGCTAAAGGCCCTCATTAGCCCTGCAGCCTAGGGTCAAGGCCCGTTCCTCACAGCTCACCCACCAAATGCTGGTTCCCTGAGCCTAGGTCAGCAGCCAGGCCGCTGGACACCCACCTTCCAGGTGCCCCACAACCTTGCCTGCTTGGCCTTCTCTGAGCTGTGCCCTAAAGCTTCCCCCCAGCCCACCTCCCCACCTCCAGGTTGGAAGCTCCAGGAGGGCAGGGCTTGCTTCCCTGGAGGAGGAACCAGTTTAGCAACCCCAGCCCCCACCTTCACTCTTCCTCCCATGTCCAAGGGAGTCCCCCATTCAGTCCCCCAAGCCTTGCACTTTCACAGCACACCAACAAGCCCTGCCCACTGAGGACTCAGTCCTGGGACCAGGCCTCATTGGAGAAACAGCTCCTCACCCTCCAGCCCGACCAAAGCCTGTCTGACCCCATACCTGGCTGGAGACCCACCCACCGGGGAGGAAGTTTCCTTGTGGTGTCTGTCCTCCCTCCCACAGGACTTCAAACAGACCTTTGTGGTGGGAGCGCAGGCCTCTCTGCTGACCTGGTTCTGGGCACTTGCAACCCCCGAGGCTCTGGAGCCAGATCTGGCTTCCGAAGATGGCCAGGTCTCCAGTGAGCAGCCCCTCCGGCCCGGCCCAGGATCTTGCCGAAGTTGTCACTAAGAAGTCCAAGGCCACAGAGGCCCATTCCCAAGGGTGGTGCTCACCCAGGCAGCTCTTCTGGACAGATTAGGGGGCCTCTCGGCCGGGCCGGCATCTAAGAGGTGAGCCTAGGAGGGCTTCCCCTTCCCGAAAGGCACGTGCTGAATCTGTGTCTTCCAAGCTGAAATTTCAAAAATGACTTAAATAAACACAGTGATGACAACATCTAAAGGTTTCCGTGTCCTTCAGGAAACAAGTGGAAAATTACCGTCTTCCATGCAGGTAACCACATGGCACAACCTCCAGGTCCAAGAAGACGAGAAACACTCCTGAAAGCAAACTATCGCTTCCAGCCATGGCAAGTCGCCCTCTGGGGCCTCTGGGCAGGGTGCAGGCCAGAGCACAGAGGTCTGGGTCAAGAAAGAGGGAGGAGCCGTCCCTACAGGCTCCTCCCCTAACATACTGACTCCGCCCAAGGTCATATCCTGCCCCAAGCCCCGCCTCTGGGCCTTTGTATTTGCCATTCCGTGGGCAAGGCTGGTTCCTCCTCATTCCGGTCTCAGACCCAAAGTCCCGTCCCAGGAAGAGGCCTTCCCTGATCTCTCTAGCTAAAGGGGCAACTCCCACCTCCCAAGTTATCACCCTGCTTCATTTTCTCCACAGAACTACCCTGAAGTCATCTTGTTTGTTTCTGTCTTTTACCTATCATGAAAATGTCCGGTCCACGAGAACAGGGACCTGCACGCCCCGGTAAGCCCAGCACACCTCGAACCAGAGCCTGGCACAGAGTAGACACTCGACAGATGTACTGAATGAATGAATGCATTTTTCAAGCTGGTCTGAGCCAGGTCAGCCAGAGCAGTGGAAGGCAGGAGCGGGGGAACCAAAAGATTTGGGGGCGCGCCAAGGTAACCTCCCCCGAGCGCTGCTCCCAGAGCATTCCGGACTAACGTCGGGCTGCGCCACGCCCCAAACCCTCTCCAGCCCGGAAGCGGCCCGCCCCAGCCCCAGCCCTCCGGGCCCTCCCACCCGCCCCCCACCCCACAGCAGTAGGCCCAGCCCTTCCCAGGCCCGGCAGCGGGTGACATTCCGCGGCCAGCTGCCTCCAGCTGCAGCCACTTCCCGCTAGCGACCCGCCGCTGCGCTTCGGCACGCCGGGCGGGCGGGACGCGCAGGCCCTGGAGCAGGGGTTCGGGGGTCTCTGCCTTGCAACTCCTTCCCCACCTTCGTGCGAGTCTGGGTCCCCACCGGCCCCGCCAGCCCCTCACTTGCCCGCGGCCCGGCTCTCGCGGCGCATTCCAGTTTGGCCCGCTGGCCCCACCCCGGGTTCGTCGGGCTTAGACCAGCGCAGCCCAGAGACCCAACCAAGGCAAACGCTCTCCCTTCCCCACATTTCCATTCCAACATTTTAACAAGTGAACACAACTGAGGTCCAGACAAGGCCAGGGGTTTGTCTACCATGATCCCCTAACCCGACTCCCCACCCCGACTTGGGTCTAGACAGCCTAAGCTGAGAAGGGCACTGGGTTCCCAGGCAGCAGTCCCGGGTTTTCTCTTCTGGAAAGCACCCGGCTAGTCCGGCAGGACAGAAGGGAAAGGTCGGGTGCAGGGAAGGAGGAGACAGGCTGGTGAGCTGTGTGAGCTGCCCAGGTTCCCGATTGCGCCCAGAAGCCTGGGGGCAGACAAACCCCTGCCCCACCTGCTGGCCTGGAGATTCATCCTTGGGTCATTTAAACACGGAAACAAAAACCCCTAGGGGAAAGGCACACCCAGCCAACCAGGTATTTTTGCCTGGGGTCACCCTTTTTCCCATCCCACCAGAGAAGCCACCGCAATGGTATCCACTTACTGAGTCTCTACCACATGCAGGGTATCATACCGTCACACCTCCTTCCCTTACAGCCACCAGCAAGAGGTGCTAATCCAGCTGAGGCCAGGAACCCGAGGCTGCACAGCCTCCCGATGTAAATATGAACAGAAGCCAGTGGGAGAACAAGAGCCACACCCTGGAGTCCCACCTAGGTCCTGCCCAGCTCCTCGCATCCTCCACCCTAAGGCATCACAGACCCCAGGTCAGTCCTTGGCAGTTGCAGCCTGCGCCACTGTTTTAGCAAACAACTACTGAGCTCCTACTAAGCTGCAGACTGTGTCAGGCACCTACTGTGTACAGGCAGGCAGGATACTGTCTGGGGTTATTGCAGGACTGGTGAAGAGGTTTTACTGTGTCCCCAGCAGCAGCCCCCAACCTGGAAAGTCCCTGACTCATTCCATCCCCTGCTGGGCCCTAGGCTCCAGGCTCAGCTCTGCCGTGCACACAGGCCAGGCGATCCAACACCACCCCGTCTGCCCACATTTGCATCAGTCCACACCACCAAAGCCCCAAGAGCTACCCAGCTCCCCCTACTGCCTAAAAGGCTCCCAGCCAGAAGAGCACTTAGTGTCCTGTCCCCTTCCTTCTGAGAAGTTTTCCCTCAGAGCTGTCATCTGTTTATCCAATGTCTTAATAAAATTTCCTAGCAGGGGAGAGGTGAAGATAGAGTCTCAGAGAGGTCCTGGGGCCAGAGAAGCCCCCTTTGGCTCCAGAGCAGCCAAACCAACAAGGAAGGCGAAAGCAGAGTGCATCCTCTGAGCACCACCTCCCTCCAGGGTGCAGGCTCCAAGCCAGGTCTGCTCCCACTGATTTCATGATCATGGCAACAAACAGGCAAGGCAGATACTGTGACCACTTTATAGATGAAATCAAGTCTGGAATAGCTAAGTCATTTGCTCAAGTTGACCCAACTACATCTGAAAGTGTGCCTCACCCCTAGACAACTGTTTTTGCACCTTTTACTAGCCCCCTCATTTCCCTCCTCAATCTGAATAGTCCTTCCTCCTGGAAGCCTTCCTAGATTTCCCTCAGGCAAGAAGCATCCCCTTGTTGAGTCATCCCCACTGTTATAATATCTTGTTATAAGAAAACAGGGCCCCATAACAGGGCCTTTTCCTTTGCATGACAGCTCTCATAGTAAGGAGTCACGAGCTAACAAGAAATGAGCCTGCATCTGAGGGTCAGAATATGTCCATCTCCAGTGGGTCTCCCACCCTCACCAGCTGTCTGCTGTTGCTTCCTCTGTGCCCTCCTTCCTAGCCCCTGCTCAGAAGTCTGCATAACCGCTTGCAGGCTCCTTTCAGCAACATCTTTTTTTTTTTTTTTTTTGAGACGGAGTCTCGCTCTGTTGCCCAGGCCGGACTGCGGACTGCAATGGCGCAATCTCGGCTCACTGCAAGCTCCGCTTCCTGGGTTCACGCCATTCTCCTGCCTCAGCCTCCCGAGTAGCTGGGACTACAGGCGCCCGCCACCGCGCCCGGCTAATTTTTTGTATTTTTAGTAGAGACGGGGTTTCACCTTGTTAGCCAGGATGGTCTCGATCTCCTGACCTCGTGATCCACCCGCCTCGGCCTCCCAAAGTGCTGGGATTACAGGCGTGAGCCACCGCGCCCGGCCCAGCAACATCTTTAGTAACACATAAAAGTACAGAGTACACAGTGACCATTCTTGGCCACGTGTAGCTGGGGGAATTTCAGAAGCTGCCCTGATCCAGTCACTCCTGGTTTCAGCATCTCCTGTGGCCACAGAACAAGTCCAGAGCCTTGGGCCTCGCCCATCAGTAGGTCCTACCTGTCCCTGCACACTCCTCACCTTTATACCTGGAGCTTATCACAGGGAACAGTCACAAAGCCCGCCTCCTTTTTTACTCTTCCCAGTGCATGCCCCGCCTTTCTCACAGTCACACACTTGCTTCCACGAGGCTCCCCTCCTGCCCCCATTTCTAATTTTCATTCACCTTTCAAGGCCCAGCTCAACTGCCCCCACCTGAGGGAAGCCTTCCCAGTGGCCCCGGGCACAGGAAAGTGCACAATCTCTCCCTTTCTCTGCCTGAATTCCTGGTCTGACTCCCTTCTCCTGGCTACTGCTGCCTGCCCTGCCAGGCCTTCCTTGGGGTCTGTTCATCTCTGGTTCTCAGGGCCTAAGGGATTCCATACGTGAGTGATGGAGAAACACACACTGCAGGCCGTCTTCTCCCCAGAGCTCAGGATGCTCCTGTCTTATCTTCTTTCAGATCTGAAGATGTCCTCAGCAACTGGGCTAGGCTCTCTGGGGGAGTCTGAAACCCTCCCACCTCAAAAAGCTTCCCATTTCTTTGAATGACAAGAGAGTCTGGGCCACGACTGTCAAGGAATACCTCCAGGCAACGCCTGTACATCCCGTGGGGAGAGATGCATGCATCCTGGGAGAGGAGACATCTCTTCTTTCTAGAGACTGAGCAGACGACAGAGGCTTTTTCTAAAGGAGGGTGCTGCTAAAACCCACCAACTGCCCCAGGATCCGTCTGTAGGACAGAAACAGGTACAGGGCCAGAGACGGATGCCCTGTAGCAAAGTCAGCCCAGGGCCTGGCTGTTCATGAATAAGGGCTTCTGAAGAGACCACAGTTGTACCACAAGGTACAAGAGACCACAAGGGCTTCTGAAGAGACCAGTTGTACTTAGCTGAAGGTGAGAAAACAAACTTGGTATTAGATTGAGGGCCAACTCAGGAAGTAGTTTCAGTGCACCAGCTGTTAATTTATGTGAGTACATCTATACTTGTGTGGCTTTATCATCACCAACAAACAGCAAATGTGTCCTGGCACCTGCTATGTGCCAGGCCCAGCGCTAGGTATTTTACAGACATTATCTCCTTTAATTCTCCAAAGAGCCATAAGCTGTGGCTATCCATGCTACATTTTACTAAAAATGAAGCAGAAGCACAGAAAGGTTGGAAAAGTTGCCCAAGCTCACATCGCTAGTTACTGGTGGGAGCTGGGATTCTAGGACCCTCAACAATCTGGCCCCAGCCTGTCCCTCGGGTCTGAGCTGCCAGTGTTCAACACTTCAGAGCCTCTGCTCGCTGTTCCTGCCCCTCAAGCTCCCCACTCACCTAGTTTTGAGCTGTGTGGGTGGTTAATGTATGTCATCAGCCCACAGCCTCCCTACTCCCTTCCTCCTCACCACCTATTCAGTTCCCCCAGCTCAGATCCCCTTCTCCCTCCAGACCAGCCAGGCAGACTCCTACCCATCTGGCTACCTCTGCCCCACTACCAGCCTGGTCGCATCACCTCCGCCTGCCAGGCCCCCAACCAGTGTCTTATGGTGATGACTTTGGCTGGCAGAGAATCCTGGAACCTTTTCTCCACAGTGATGTTGACACATGTTCACTCCAAAAATGTAATGTTTCCATCAAAACATTTAGTGGGAGTAAATTCCCACCCATGCGACATCTCTAAAAAATATAGAGTAAATTTACTCGAACAAGCAGTGAGACATGGTCAGCATTTTTCTTTCTTGGTTGTCACAGTGCCAAGTACTAGGCAACACCCAGCATAGTGTGCCAGGGGCTGAATGCTACCAAGAGGCAACGGAAAGAGGACGGTTACAGTTTATGAGCCTGTGACTGCTGGTTCTATTGTACAAGACGCCGGGATCAACCTGGGCAGTCCCCTCAGCCCTGGCCCCCCAGAGAGTCCAGTGCCACTCTGGGCTCCCACCAGAGCCATTTCTGTGTCTGTGGCTAGGTCACTTGCTGCTTAGTCCCCAAGTCCTGCGTCCACCCCACCAGAGTAGGGCCCAGCCATCACCACACCATGTCTACACGAGGTCCGAGGCCTAAGTTCACATGCATGCTTCCTGAAAGGTCAGGGAACTCAAGCCTCCCTAAACACTCCCCAACCCTGAGATCAGCAATAATATCGTGGGGTAGTGCAGGGAGATCCTGCTCTACACCCAGACCCCAAAAGAAGAGATCTAATGCCAGGTACTGTAACCCGGGCACCTGGAGGTCAGTGGTTGTGGGTAGGTCCCAACCAGCCCCAGCCCCAGCCCCAGCCCCAGCCCCACTGGGCAATCTGAGATGACCGTGAGGCCAGAGCAGTCCATTCTTGGGGCAAGCCCAGCACTCTGCAGCAAGAAGCTGGAGGAGACAAGGAAAGGCCCACTGGCCACCACTCTGTTCCCACTTCCCCATGTAACCAGACAGCAATTCTATAACAAGACAGCATTTATAACCACTATGCCTCGCCTCCTTAGATACTCCCTACTTCAAGGAGGGCAGAGGGGCAGCCTCTGCTTTGGTTTCCTCCCAATGTTTCTCTAGACTCCATTCCGTCAGCCATCTGGCACAGTGCTGCCATGTGTGATATTAACCTCCTTGCCGTGACATGTGCCAGAGGGAGAGAGATCACTGTTCCCATTTTACAGATGTGAAAACAGGTGCACCGGGTTAAACAACCAGTCCAAGGCCACCCAGCTGGGAAGGAAGTGACACCAGGAGCCAAACAGGTGAACAAGACACCCGGTCTGTCCTCAGGAAACTGGCAGTTTAGTAGAGAGGGGAAGGTACACAAATATTAGGACCAAACAAAAAAATATATATAACAGGCTGTAGGCCCAGAAGATGTGGTGAAAAGTGTCCAGGGCAGGGCCTGGACCAACAGGGGACCTAGAGAGACTGCAGGAGCATTTCCAGTTTGGGAGCAGGGAATCAGGAAAGGTATCTGGAGAGAACGATGTCCAAGCATATCCTTCTTCAGAGATCTGTGTCCCCAACAACTTCTGTGCCCCCACCAACTTCTGTGCCTGGCACATGGTGCACACTTCTCATTGCCAGGAGGGTTAACCCTGGGCAGGCTGCTGGCATGTACACTGCAACCCATCTACAACAGGACAGCCCAGCCCTGTGAGGTATGTCAAATTATGCCTCCTTTACAGGTGGGATCAGAGGAGCAAGGCAGTCAGGTTCTTTGCTCCCAGTCACACAGCTAGAAAGTGCCAGCTGTGCCTGACTCTAAGGTCTGCTTCTCCCACAAGCACTTCATTTCTCTAAGCCTTAGTTTCCTCATCTGCAGAAACTCTGCTGCAGATGCACCTCCCCTACAGATAGGTGTTGGACATTAAATGTCTAATACCTGAAGCCTAGGTCCCTGGAGGTGCTGACCACACAGTTACGGAGCCTGGACCCACACTGGCCCAGGGACCCTGCCCCTGCAGCCTGCTGGGCGAAAAAGGAGAGGGTGATAGGTTCTATTCACTGACTCCTCTCTTCCTGAGCCAAGCTTCCCAAGGAATGGCTACCAATATGGAGCTATAATTGGTGAGCCTGGCAGTGCAGGGCCCAGCAACAGACCCGGCGGGTGATGCTGTTGCAGGAAAACAGCTGAGCACAGCAAATATAGCCGTTGACCCAATTCAGTTCTGTTCTGTCTTCGAGAAAATAATTGAGTTTAAATGAATAGGTTTCCCATGTCCCTTCTGGCCTCGGGAAGGGTGGAAAGGGAGAGGAGGGAGATAGGAACAGTTCTTCAGGCTTACTGTTGCTTATTTTTGAGTCATTAGGCCTGTGAAAAGTTTCTTTCTTTCCTTGGCGGCCAGTGGGGGTTGGACATGGCTGGGAGGCAGCGAGGTGGAGTGAGAACCACAAAGCGTGGAGATGAGGATGGAGGTTCAAGTCCTGACCTTACCAACAGCTTTGTGGAGTGGCCCAGCTGGTCCCCTCTGGGCCCCAGGCTCCTTATCTGCAGAATGGGAACACTATAACCCCACACACACCCACACACCTCCCAAGGTTGCTGGGAGGAGCCTTCCAGGGAGAAAAGGAGTCTGAGGTGAACTGAAGAAACCAATTATTTGCCCTATAGGAATATAGGCCCACTGAAGCCACATCTGTCTTAAAATAGAAGCCAGAAACCTAGATTTTCAGGTGAATGTTTAAGGTAAATGTTCTAGTGTTGGTGAATGATTTTAAACAAACAAACAAAACAAAAACTTTCCACCCCATCGGGCCAAATGAGACCTGTTTGTGGGCTACATCTGGCCACCAGCCATCCATATACTATCTCTGATTTAATGACAACCTATGTAAAGCAATTAATGGTGTGCTAGAGTCCTCCCACCTGTTTACTTATAATTTCTTTGATGGAGAGGCCAGGCCTACCCCGCTTGATAGCAGAGGTAAGGAGCACCCTCCTCCTCAAGGCTGGACTCCTTCAAGACTTCAGAGGAGAACATGGAGGAGCTGCTGCCCTCCATCCCTTACTGCAGGAAGGCAGGTGGGTATGCTGGGGCTGGTTTTGTCATAAAGTTAAGGGGACCTGGGCTCACCTCCTGCCCAGCCCCAAATTCTCTCCTAGGGTCTCAGCTTCCTCTTCGGTAAAATGGGGGTTTCTGAGAGGAGCAAATGAGAAAGAGAAGGCTTAGAGATAAAGGGTGAGAACACATGTCAAGTGTCCCCAGAGAAGTAGTGCTAGCCAGTGGAAAGAGCCTGTGAGCTGGCATTTCCCCCTTGGCTCTTGGCTGTGTGAGCCCAGGGAGGTTACCTAACCTCTCTGCACTTCAGTTTCATCCTCTGTACACAGGAGATAAGAATCTTTGGGACACAGAGGTGTTGTGAAGATTAAATGAGCTGATGACTGTCAAGTACCTGGGAGGAAGCCTGGCACAGAGCAAAAGACTAAAAAATGACAGGCATTATTACTATTGTTGTTGTTATCTTTAGTGAAAAGCATGCCAGAGAATTATGATTGGGTGATTACAATAATGTAACTCAACCAGGCAAACTTGTCGTTAACAGATGAGGCCACCTATAATTAGCACAATTATTACATATGCAAATGATGCTGCTTAAATACTGGAGAAGGGTGTTCTTTGAAGTGTGTTTAAATAACCCCTTCCCCTGGCTGTCCCCCCCTCCCCAAATCTCATTTACACTATTAATAACATTAGCAAACATTTTCTTCATAAAGCTAGATAGAATTCCACACTAGTGCATGTTGAAATCAAGAAGCCCCTGCCCAGCCCACCTGCAGTCATTCTAGAGCTCCTGGGCCAGCTGCAGGCCTCCCCACCCTCACTGGCTCCTCTTAAGTTGGGCACTAATGCCCCTCTCTGATACAAGGAGCTCTGGAGGGTTGGGTATGTATTCTTGGCATGGAGCAGGCCCTGTATCTGAGAACAGGATCTCAGTAGCATTAATAAGACCCGTGAGTTCCCTATTGGCAGGCATATCACAATGCCTACCTTACATCTGAGAAAACCCAGTCTTTGAGTTAAGGAACGGGCCCAAATTCACGCAACTAGCAAAAGCTGCAGTGGAACGGGACTCAAACTTGGATCAGACTCCTCCCTCTGGGGTCTGCTGTTCTCACTATGGCCTGAAACTGCAGTTCCCACAGACCTCTCTAACTGATGAGCCCACAGGGTGTTACTCCAAAACTGATCACAGGATGCCTCTTAGAACCAGGGGCATCAACAGACTGACCTGGGTTTTGAGTTGAAGAAACTGAGATTCAGAGAAGTACCATGAGTTGCCCAAGGTCCCAAGGGAAGAAAGGAGAACAAGGGCCTAGAACCCAGGGCCTCCTGCCCTGGGATCGCTGCTTTTGCATTCAGATCTTTCAAAACAATTCCATAATATTCTCCCCTATAATAGCTGGGTTGGTACTTTAACCATCCCCTGTATGCCCTGAGCCCAAAAAAGACCCAGGCAGACAACAGGTGCTTATGAAATGTTTGCTGAACTGGACTGTTTTCTTACAAAAAAAGACAACACTGAGCAGCTGGAACAATGAAGGCATGCAAAGGATGATGGGTGGTGGCTCAGGGACAAGGGAGAAGGCAGACAGCCCTGTGTGGGAGAAGGAGATGGAGGTGGGAGAGCCTGGCTACCCTCAGCTTGGGAAGGCTTCCTTCAAAGCATTTCCCTGCTGGATGCCTGCCCAAGAGAGAGGCAAGCAGCTGATTCTCGGCTTTGAGGGAAAAGGAAATACACAAGTGTTAACAGATACATTAGCTCCTCACCTGCCCCTGCAGTGGGGGCCCCCAACATTCCTTTTCTCACCATTTCTTTGGGCCAAGAAATTGAGGCTCAGAGAGATGAGGTCACAGAGTGGTGGAGAGGAGGGCCCAGTCTCTTTCTTGCTCCGCCAAACAGGCTCTCCTGTTGGGCCTTCCCATCACACCTCCTCACTCCTCTGATCCCTGGCTTTTTGAATCCTAAGGGAGCCTTGGCAATTATGGTGAAGACAGTTGCCCTCACCCTTGCCACACCCCCACTGCCATGCTAAGGCACGCTGGCGCCTCTATGTGTAGGCACTCTGCTAAGCCTCCCTCTTAAAACATATGTTAATCCTCACAAGTATCTTAGGAAATGGTTACACTTTTTGTCCCCATTTGACAGAGAGGGAAACTAAAACTCACTACAGAGCAAGTCACCTGCTAGAGGCCACAACGCTGGGAAGCAGCTTCACCGCGGGCAGTGCAGCTCAGGAGCCTGAACTGTTACATCAGTGTCTCTGCTTCAAGGTGGGGCTTGAGGGATCTCCAGATGGGGAATGGAGGTGAGGGGGTAACGAGTGTCCAGGCCAAGAGCAGGACACAAGGTATCACCCCTCAGAGTGCTTTATCCTGCTGGCACTCATTCAACTGTCCCCCTGCCTCCAGGCAAAGCTATACATAAGCCTGCAGTAAGTCCAGCACAATATTTTTGAGAGACCACCCCACATCCCTACTCCTCTCCACCTCCCATCCCCAGCCCACCAGCATTCCAGGGTGGGGAACTGAGCTCCTGGCAGTTGGCTGAGCTCAGCTGGCCTTGGCACCAGTTCCTGAAGTACAGTATGAGGGAGTAGGGTGGGGAAAGAGACCCTTCCCCTTGAAGATAAAGGGGAATACAGGGCTGAGCCCTCAGTCGCCAGCTTCTTCCTCCCTGTCCCAGACACCTTCTGTAGAAAAAACCCAACTCAGTTTCTCCCCTTTCCTTTTATACTCTCACAAAGCAGAATACTTCCAACACCAGATGTGGTGGGGGCGGGAGGGGTTGTCCCCACACACCAAGCAGGCGATTAGTTGGGCAGCAGACACCAGCCCAGATGTCTTCTAATTTTGTTCCATTTTGACATTATCTACCTGGAGATAGCATCAGATCCACAGGTTGAGGGCTCAGTCCCCAAGACTATCCCCCCATCCTTCAGATGCCAATTGCAAGCCCCGTGTTGGTTTACCAGTGCTTCCCACCGACTGGCTATCAACTGGGTTTCCCATAAACCCCTCTTTGGGTTTGATTAATTTGCTGCAACAGCTCACAGAACTCAGGGAAATATTTACTTCTGTTTGCCAGTTTATTATAAAGGGATACCAATGAAAAGATGCATAGGGAGAGGTATGTGGGCAGGGGCGTGGAGCTTCCATGCCCTCCCTAGGAACCCTCCAGGAACCTCCAAGCATTCAGCTATCTGAAAGCTCCCCAAGCTTTGTCCTTTTGGGTTTTTATAAAAGCTTCATTTCATAGGCATGATTGATTAAAGCACTAGCCATTGGCGACTAACTTAACCTTCAGCCTCTCTCCCTGCCCCAGGGGCTGTGGGGTGGGCTGAAAGTTCTAACCCTCTAATCCTGCCTTGGTCTTTTCTGTGACCCCTTTCTGAAGCCACCTAGGGGCTGCCAGCCATCAGTCAACTCATTAGCAAATAAGTAGACATCACTTTAAAGAATCTAAGGATTTCAGGAGTCGTGTGCCAAGAAACCAAATACTGTATATATTTCCCAGTGTCACACCTTTCCACACCTACCCTTACACACAGCCAAGGACTTGCTTCTAAAATCGCTGATCTATCTAGGTCCCATCTCTTCTTAAAATCCTTCCCAGCTACTTTCAGGATCAAGTCCATACCCTGCTGCCTTCCTGCTACCTTCCCCTCTATTCCTTGCACTCTCCAGGCCCAACACATAGCCGCCCCGTGCCCAGTGATACCCAACTACCTGGCATGCCCAAAAGCCCTTTCCCTCCCTCAAGGGAACCTTCACCTTCACCCTGTGGCCCAACCACCAACTCAGTGGAGCCTTCCTTGAGCGCTGGTAGAGTCCTCACTCCCTTCTCTGTTCACGCACAGACCCTCTAAGGTGAGGTCTGTTGACTCATCTGCATTGTCAGACAGCAGGAGCCCTTGAGGGCAGAGATTGGCGTGACTGTCCCCTACCCCCTGCCCACAGCAGAGCGTACACAGAGGAAGCACACAGGAAACAATGGCTGGAATTTGCTGCACTGGGTACCCCAGGGTCAAAGAGGCCAAATCTAAGGGTGACCCTGGGCAGTGGAGTCTCTTGGAGATAGACCTGACCATAAGCCCCCGAGCCAGGTCAGACCAGGGCCCGCCAATTGGCTCTCCCAACCTGGCTCGTTAGGGGAATATGGACACTGCCAGGCCCAATCTTTCCATGGACGCCTGACAATGGCTGTGTCGAGAATCACAGGAGATGAAGTCATCGCTCCCAGAAATAGGCTGATTAAGAAGACGTGACGACAACGCAAACAGCAAGGCTGGACACACACACACATACACACGCGCGCACACACACTCACTCACCATGTGTTTCTCCACCCTGGGAAGCCGGGCCAGGCCTGAGCTCCTCTGGGAAACAGAAATCGTGCCAGGAACCAAAGCCAGCACAAGAAGCCTGGAGGCGGCTGGTCTTTGGGAGTGGCTGGTGCCGGGGGTGCTCTCCTCAGAGACTGTCTTGCAAGGGTTCCCTGTCCTGACCCTCACTGAAGTCCCCGACCTGCCCCTGGCCCTCTCAGACCCTCATGGTTCACCCCCTCCTTGGCCTCACCCCTCAATCCCCAGGGTAAAATCCTACCCACCTTTTTGGGCCCCCTCCCATTCCTGTCCATCCTAGATTCTGGGGAGGTGGGAGTGTCTACTGGCTGAGACAGGGCTCAGAGGCCACAGACACTGGGCTAAAATCCTGGTTCTGTCCCGCTGCAGCTGTATGACATTGGGCTAGTCAATCCACCTCTTCTTTGAGTCTAGTTTCCCCATCTGTAAAATGTAGACAGCAATGTGTCCACATTATGGGGTACAATTAAATGTTTGTTTGTTCATTCACCAACTTTCTGTCAGGCCCGATTCTAGGTGCCAGAGACACATCAGGGTACAAGACATAAATGTTCTACTTGCATGTGGCGTACAGTCTAGAGTGTGGGAAAAGTACACGAAGTATGTAACAACATCAGGTGAACTCAACAGCTAGAGACAAATGCAGAGCCAGGTCCTGGCTAGAGGATGGGAGGGGGCTGTGTTTGACCGGGTGGTTGGATTCACACTTGAATGAAGTGGGGCAGCAAGCCACACAGGTATCTGAACAAAGAATGTTCCAGGAAGAGAAGAAGAGGGAACAAGGACAAAGATGTATGCTGGAGCACTCGTGGGGCAGGGAACGGGGAGGGGTGGGGGAAGTGCAACTGGAAAGGTAGTCAGGTGCTCCCCATTCAGGGTCCACAGGAAGGAACCTGAGTCATAACAAGTGAGTCCTGGGCAGAGAACTGACTGAAAGGGGAGCAAGTCTAGGGCTCGGTGCAGGGTCCAGTGGGGAGCCATGACGGCAGGGCACACAGCACACAGTGAGGGTGTGTCACCTCAAGCGCCAGCATGAGGGAATCCTCAGTAAACAATCCCCCATGTTGTCCCTGTCACTATCCTCGTTACCATCAACATCCTCATCATCCCCAACATGGGCCCAGGCTCTGCTGCTCCCAAGGCAGAAAGACTGTCAGGCAGACTCTCAGAGAAGCCCTGGGAGGTGGGCAGGGCTCTCTGCCCCATTTGACTGATGATGAAGTACCTTGATCAAGGTCCCCCAGCAGCAGTGGGCAGGGCCAAGGTGCCTTAAGCCAGTGCTCCACCCCGAGTGGGCTCACCAGCCTAAGTAGACAAATCTTCACCATGCACCCTCCTCTCCGCCCTACCCCCTGGGCCCAATCCTCAACCAGCTCTGTGTCTTCATCCACACAGGGCCTCTAGGGGAAAACACTGTACTCTAAATGAAACAACAGCTCCAAGTGTCTGCATTGCACAGATGTCAGTTCTTTCCCATCCAGTTCTTTGCTTACTGAGCAGGAGGTGCTGCAAGACCCATCAGGTGAAACCAGGGTGGGGAGAGTTCCTCCCAATCTTAGCTTACAATCCACTTCCTCCAGGGCTCCCCTGAGCCCAGACCACACTCCTCCCTGGACCTGGTTCCTGGCTGTCCCTTGTTCTGAGCAGCAGGGAGAACCTGAGGTAGAGACAGTTTCATCAGGGGTGGCAGGCACCTCTCCCACCTGACTGGGAGCTCCTCCAGGGAGGCAGGGACTGCAGCTGATTCCTGTCTCTGTCCCCAGGGCCAGGCACAGGTGAGCAAAAACAGAAATAACTCAATCCCGAGGATCCCTTGGGGGAGCCCTGTGTGCTCTCGAAGTCCTCAGCCAGCCAGCCTGCTTGTTGCCTCCCTCTCTGCTGGCTGAGGCAGCCCACGGCCTGAGTCTGTGTGGCACTGCTGGGAAAAGACCATGCCCTCTTCCTTCCAGAGCCACAGACTCCGTCCATGGAGGGCCACCCAGCACCATAGCTATGGGACTAAAGGCTGTGGGTGCTGGGAGAGAGGGCTCTGGGCCATGGCAGCTAGGCTCCCTCAGTCCTTCTGCAGGCCAAGGAAGCAGGAGCATGCTGGGTGGCCTGTTCCAGGCACAGGGACGTGGATAAGATCATTTCATTGGCCACAGAAAAAAGTCTGCAGAAAAAGTCCCCGACCAACAGTCCACCGTGGCTTTTGGTGGAGTAAGAGATTCTATGGTGGGAGTGGCATAGAAGTTTTGTTACTTTTTGCTTTATAGTGCCTGGAATTTGGTACTCTATACTTGCAATTTTTTTAACTTATCTTGTTTTGAAACATAGTCTCATTATATTGCCCAGGCTAGACTCAAACTCCTGGGCTCAAAGGATACTCCTGCCTCAGCCTCCCAGGTAGGCCTGCAGTCATAACTTCCCTTTTTCTGTTTCTTCCCCCTGTCTGTCACTCCCCCTATGATCCACACTTGAGTTTCTTCTTCAAACCCACTGGCTGTCTGTGTGGCTGTCTACTCTACCAGTCAGTGGGAGCCCTGGGTTTCAGTCCCCTCTCTGGCCCAAGGCCCTGCATACAGCAGGGGCTCAATGAAAGTTTCCTGGGCAAATCTCTGGGACAATCTGAAGGACCATTTCTGCAGGTGATCATTTAGAAGAAACTCAAATATGGATCATGGGGGGAGTGGCAGACGGGGAGAAACTGAGAAAAAGGGAGGAGTCATAACTGCAGGCCCCGAACAGGAAGACACCCAAACAGGCTTTGGCCAGAGCCGTTCAAACCCTCTGAACAATGCAGGACTCCTGCAGGGGAGGAACAGGAAGAGGAGAAGGGAAGAGCCCCTTTCCAAGGGTTTTTAGGTGTTCTTGCGAAAGCCCTCCTGGCCCAGCCCAGAACCTGAAGGAGCTGCAGGAGAGCAAATGCAAATGGCAGGGGAGGTCACATGCATGCATGGACAACGGAGAGATCGACAGCCCCCATTCCATAGCTTTCCTGGAGATGAGGATCGTGTGTCCTGGAGGTTTCTCTTAAATACTCATGACCCTTCTTCCTTGAGCTCCTGCCTGGCCAAAGCCTCATTTATGTGACGGTGTTGGGTAAACGCTGCTGACTGGAGGGATGGACACAGCTGGAGGCTCTCAGGGCAGCCTGGGTCAGGCCTGCAGCACATCTGCACGTCCAGGGCATGCAAGGATTCCATGACTGGGCGGGGCCCCATCAGTTCCGCCCCTCACTTCCCAGTTCCCAGCTGCCCTGAAAATGCTCAGGCAGATTCCCACCACCACCCCTCTGTCCAGGTGCCCCCTCCCCAGGAAGACCTTGCCTATTGCCCTCTGCCCATCTGGGTTTTATCCAACCTTTAAGATAAAGGTCTTTAACTAAAGAGTATGAGCTGTATTTGGTCAACATTCATGTTTTGTTTAGCCCACACAGTGTTGACATTTTTAAGTTTTGAATCAAATGCCAACATTTAAAGATGTGAAATTTTAAAATGTCACAAAAAAACCTCTAGATTTTTGGCTTCTCTTATAAATCCAAAGGCCTGCCACCAAATGCCCAGTGCCATGGTGCAGGGGCTGCTGCCCCCCTTAGCAGAACATGTACTCTCCAGATGGACACAGATGCCACTACAGTGGTGGACTGTCACAACAGGCAGGACATGGCAGGACCCACAACACATCAATCCTTCTCCCAGGATCCCACTCAGTGCCTGGCACACAGCAGGGACTTGCTTATTGTTTGTGGAATAAGGAATAAATACACAGCCCTTCACGGTGCCCAGGATTTCCTGAGTGCTATGCTGCTTCCCTGAGAGACTCCCACAGCAGGGACAGAACAATGCCCTTCCTTCCTGGGGTCCTGGTCCCACAGCTGGGCACACCTGCAGCAAGACACTGGGGTGAGCCTTCAGGCTGCATCCAGATCTCCCTATTGTTATTTGATCTTTACATCAGAAGCTGTGCCACCTAGAGCCCAACCAAAGTAAGAGCAGTGATCCTGGCACCTTCCTGCCTTCTAAAAAAGGTGGCCGGATTCCTCCCCAGCCCATGGACAGTGATCCCCAGGACTTCTGTTAAACTGAAAAGGAGAAATTTGGCAGCAATAACTCACAAAGCCAAGGTTTCCTCAATGCTCGCCTGCAGGAGGTCTGCCCCTCTTTGAAGCTGGTAACCAACTCTTCCCTTTTTCTTTCGAGTAAATGAAACCCCACAGGGTTTTCAAGGTCAGAGTGGCATTGGCAGGAAGGGTTCTCTTTGTTCTCCTGCCTCTGACTTACCCCAGACACAGACAATTGTCCCCAGCAACCAGGTCCTTGGTAGTGGAAGAGGAGGCCCCTGCTCCTGCTGGGTGGAGCCCTGAGGATGAGCCAGGTGCCTACTGCAGCCCCCAGGAGCCCTGCTTCCTGGGATACGGATTCTCTGTTGGCCTGGCTTCCCTGCCAGCCAGGGTGCTCTATCTCTTGCTTGCAGGGGTTGGAAAGAAACAGCTGTCAGCCTCCAGGGTGTGCTCACTGCCCAGGGAGCAGGGAGTGGGCAGTGGCTGGGGCTGGTTCTGCCCCTCCCTGGCTGACAGATGTGACCTGAGGCTACAGCCCTCCTCTTCCTAAGCTTCAGTTTCCTTGTTTGGAAAACAGGGAAATAAATACCTGATCTGAGACAATCAGACTCCTAAGGGGACTGGGAGGAGCTCTGTGAATCATAAAGTGCCATGCCGAAGTTAATTATTCCAGGGCCTGGCACAGCACCCGGCACGCAGTAGGTGCTCAATGTATCGTTCATGGTACAAACATTTACTGGGCACCTGTGCTGGGCCAGGCTGTATGCTAGGTGCCAGAGGCCCAGAGAGGAGGCCTGGGCCCGGTCCACAGGAGATCTGCCACTCAATGAGGCACACAGACAACTGCCACACCCTGAGAACTGCAAGGAAGTAAGGACCGAAATGCTACAGGACCCAGACACGGGGTGAGGGGCTCAGGTCTTACAAGAGCCCCACCTTTTGGCTGCTGGGCAACAGAGGCCAGAGTTGGAGCTGCCCAGCTGTAGGCTGCCTGGCATCCTACCCATTTTCCAATAGGGCCTAGTTGAAGAGAGTTGCCAGGCTTGGTGAACAATCTGGTTCACTGAAGGTGTCTATGTGCACCTGGACACATGCCTAGGACCTAACAATGAACCTTGTGGGCCATACACTCTCTTAGTGGCCCCCACACCTGCTTGGGGAGTAGACTACAGGGCCCCTGCCCTGAGAGGAGCTGCCACCCCATCCCAAACAGGTGGTGGCCACCAGAGGACTTGAGAGTCATGTTGCTGGTGGTTCACATTTTGGCTCTGCCTCTTACTAGCCCATGAGACCTTGGTCAAGCCACCAAACCTCTCTGCATCTGGTTTCCCCATCTCTAAAACAAGCACACCTCTCAGGTCACTGTAAGCACTAAGAGATGAAGCACCTGGCACAAAGGGATGCTTATCCTTGGGCCCTCCCTCCCCCAGTCTAATCTGGCACATACACGGGTCTGGGCCAAGCCTCTAACCAGCTCACCTTCTCTATCTCTGCCTCTCCTTAATGCTGGCTCCTGCCCTTCCCAATGATTTCTCACTCTCCCGATGCTCCAGGCCCTTTCCCACCTCTCACTGCAGTCTCAATGACTGTCCCAGGAAGAGAGTAAGGTTTTCATCCTCTGAGCACTAGGCTCATGGGGTTCCCTCTGCCTAAATGCCCTTCCCTGCCTTGGTTATGTGATGAACCCATCCTCTTTCAAGCCTTAACTCCTGTCACTTCTTCTGTGAAGTCCTCCCGGATTCCTTGAGAGATGGCCCGACTCCTTCCCCAACCCCCAGCAGAGAGGCACAGAAGCAGCAGGCCAGGGTCTCCAACTTCTTACGTGTCCTTGGGTACATCCCCTCCTCATTCCTGGCCTCAGCTGCCCATCTGTAAAGGGATCACTATGACTTCTCATCCTAAGGCCTTGCGAATGGGCTTGGTCATGTGCTCCACTTTGCAGGGAGTAAGGGGACCATAGCCAGGTTTGCCCGGAGGTTCTGAGGAGCTATGAAGGAGCTAGATTCTTGCTTTGTTCTACCAGTGAGGGCAGGACATGTATATGTCAAGAGATCCCATCCAGTGCCCTCATGAAGCACCCCCTTGCTACCAGGTGGAGTGGACCCAAAAGTGAAGCACAGAAATCAGGCACAAAAAATGAGGAGCAAAGTGAAGGCCTTGAAGTCCGCCTAGGACTGGGGGAGGGGGAGCAGAGCCAGCTTTAAGCAGAAGGAGCTAGGATCTGAAAGACAGGTATGATCAAAGTAGGAATCACAGGGGAAAGAGAAGGCAGCATTCCAGAGAGAGGACACAACACGAGCCGGGGAACTCCATGACACAATCCCGGTTAACTCATCTCCTGCGCTTGCTCTTCGCCAGGTGCTGCTAAGCATTTAGCTGCAAATCCCATTCATTCCTCTTGACAATGCCATGAACTGATACTATCCCCCATTTTGCAGAGTTAGCTAAGTTCTCTAAAGTCACAGCTGACAAGCGGCAGAGCTGGAATTTCAACCCAGCATTTGCCTGCAGTGTCCTGTGGGTCAAGAGAGGAGACCAGGGCCTGGTGGCTCAGGGGAGTGGGTGATGCAGTGTAAGGACTCGAGTCTGGAGACTCCCGAGGGACTTGTTAAGACCTCGAAGTCGGGTTTTGTTGTCCCTGCAGATAGATCTTGAATGGCACCAAGCCCATCCCAGCGTATGTTGATGACATCCCTTGGGCGTGACCTCACCCACACATGGGGGTGTGCAAGCAGAGTCCGAGGACCCCCGCCCACGCCTCCCTTGCACCATCTGCCTGAACGCTGCCTGAGCTGCTGCGAGCAGCCAGTGAGTGAGTGAGTGAGCCTTGGAGGGCGTGAGGGAGCTGGGAGAAGGCAGCCAGTCAGGAGCCGCGGCTGCCGGCAGCCACACAGACAGGCTGGCGCAGAGCTGTTGCCAGGGCAGGCAGGAGAGTCTGCCTTCACAGGCAGAGGGACTGAGGATGGGTCGCTCTCTCCTGGGCCACCAGCATGTCCATCCAGGGCCTCCCCACCAAGAGCCTGGCCATTCTGAAACCTCGACACATAAGGACAGCAGCCCCACAGGGAGACCACCAGCAAGGAAAGCCATCGAGACAGAAGGCATGGTCACACCTGACATGCCGGAAACAAGACTGTCATAACGCGGCCCAAACAGGGACCTTGGCTGGGGGCTAGAGGCTTCTGGGCCAGGAGTTTCAACAACCCAGGCTCAGCTTGCAGGACACCCATCACTGTGTGGTACCTGCCCTCCCCCTGGACCAGGAACAGCAGGAAGTCCAGGACTGGAGGGGGAGGGGAAGAGAGAAAGAAGAGGGAGGTGGTGCTCAAAGGAGAATGCTCCCAGGAAGGCAGGACCCTGACCAGACTCTCACCCGGGCCTCCTCTCAGTGCCCGGCATGTGGTTGCCACATGGCAGGGTGAGGCACGGCAGCCAGAACTATGGGTAGAGAGGAGTAAACACGCCAGGAGGGGCAGGTCAGAATGCCCAGGGCACTGCTACGTGGTATGCTGTCCATATGCACACATACTAAGGTCAATTACACACCGTGTGATAAACAAGTGTGTGACCCGAGTGAATCTGCCCAGGGGCGGATTCTCAGGATCCACATGCCAGGGGTAGCTACAGCAAGCGCGTTAAATAGTTTTCTGTAAAACTGCACCGAAAAGGATGCAGTGTTTCCTCTCATGTGTAGAAACGTGCTTCTGCTAGTACAATGAGTGGCTTTTAGCTAGCTGGATAAAAAGGGCTTGTGGGCACCGCCATCCTGTCTGTACCTGCCCTGAGATTCAGGCTAAGCAGCAGGCCAACTCTTAGGAAGCCACTCAGAGTCCAGAATTCTGCTTGACCCGAAGTCCCACCACTTAGAAGATCCTGGCCCCTGAGCCGATGTGGAAGTTGGTAATTCCTACCATGAGGACTGCATAGCATCACCTAGGGGTGAATCTATGGTGAAAAGTGCTTCTCTGAGGGCAAGATTCCCCCGGGGCTGCCCCAGGCTCACAAGAGACCCCGGCCCATCTTCATGAGTGCTTGCTATGACACATGCGTGCACAAGGCCCAGCTCCGTATGAGACTTGCCTTCGCTGAAACAGTCTTCCTGGTAGATGCTAGGAGCAAAGGAGACAGAGTTCCCACTCACTACTCATCATTAGAGGCTACAGAAATTCACCAAATAACCTGACAACAGCAAAGTGGACACTTTGACTTAGCGGGAAGAGTGACTGCAGGGTTGACCATGGGAAACGTGTGGCACTGAATTACCACGCCTACCTTGGTGCAATGGCTCCCATCTTGGTCTTTGGCCAATCTGGGAAACTTGTTTCCCCATCACATTCCTGGGCCTCAGGCATGTGGCTCCTGGCCTCCAAGGAGGCAGGAGCAAGAGCAGAAAGCAGAACACTGGGTACCAACCCCAGGATGCCCACTGGTGTCTCCTGGCAGCACACTGGGGTGCTGGGACGGGGATGGATCCCCTCTATACTCTCAGGGCCAGTCTCTAAGGGCCCTGCTGTTTATGTGAAGAACTAAGCAGAATTATTTTGGAAATGGAACCTGAGCAGGACAAAGAGCTGGGCTCTGCAACCAGCCCACATAAACACTTAGCCTCTCGCCAGGAAGGGCTGCAGTTTATATTTCGCAAGGGACAGGGCACAGCCAGTCAGACCTAAGTTTGGGATGAAACTCAGTTTCCGGACAATAGCAGTAGCAAAGCATCCCAGGCCAAGTTCCTGCCTCACCTGGGGTTCAGCTGAGCACCAGGCTCTGCCTTACATGTGGCCCTATGGGCACAGTGTGGCCTGGCTTCCTGAGCTGGCAGCAGGCAGTGTTACATCCAGCCCAGGAAGATAAAAGTATACTCCACTACCACCATCCCTTGGAGGCCTGTGACCCTCTCAGAGACGGAAGAATCCAGAGCTGCTAACTGGGGATCTCAACACTTGAGTGGGTCTCAGAATCACCTGGGGCTTGTCAGGAATACAGATTCCAGAGCCCCCCTTAGACCTGTGACCCTGACCCTCCCAGGGTGGGGCTCCAGAATCTTTTTACCAGGTTCTCATGGCACTATGATGCTCAGCTACAACCAGGCACCAAGACAAAGTGGGATGCCTCTGGTGCTCCTTCATAATGCCCACAGGAAATGCCTGGACTCTCCTTATCTGCTGCTGCCACTCCTGAAACCTTGGGAAGTTTACAAGAACTCACAAGCACCTTCCTTAGAAGCACCTTCAGGTGACCATACCTCCACCCACCTCTGCAGACAACTGATAGGCCCTACCTGATGACAGTCCAGCTGGGATTAGAGGCAGGGAATAAACCAACCCATTTCATGGGGAGAGAAGTGTGTTATTTACAGAGCCTTTTGAAAGAGGAGTCACTAGTTGACCTGGCATTTTGATCATCAGAAAACTACCCAAGTCATGGCCGGGTGCAGTGGCTCAGGCCTGTAATCCCAGCACTTTGGGAGGCCGAGGCAGGCAGATCACGAGGTCAGGAGATCGACACCATCCTGGCTAACACAGTGAAACCCTGTCTGTACTAAAAATACAAAAAAATTAGCCGGGTGTGGTGGTAGGTGCCTGTAGTCCCAGCTACTCGGGAGGCTGAGGCAGAAGAATGGTGTGAACCTGGGAGGCGGAGCTTGCAGTGAGCCGAGATCCTGCCACTGCACTCCACTCCAGCCTGGGCTACCGAGAAAGACTCTGTCTCAAAAAAAAAAAAAAGAAAGAAAGAAAAAGAAAAAGAAAACTACCCAAGTCACGCTGTCATTAAAAGGAAGCAAAGACCCAAGAAAGCAAAGAGGCCTGGCTGTGGCTGTTGAGGGTTCCCCCTTTCTAGAGTCCTATAACCCTCTCTCTAAAGACTCTCAGGCAACCACCATGAAGCCCCCTGCCCTGCAGGAGCAAGGTCCTTAACCCTAGCTAAAGAGACACCCTCAGGGCAGCAAGTGCCAAGGCCAGCTCCCTGGAGCAACGGGGCATGCCCCTTGGCATGGGTTCCCCATGTTCAAATCTGGACTCTGCCATTTAAGGGTTCTATGACCTCTGGCAAGTCTCTTAACCACCTTCAGTCCTGGTTTCCTCGCTTGTGAAACGAGAAATATCCACTTCTTAGGATGGCTGGAGGGTTAAGGCCATACAAGTCCCGTGGCAGCCCCTCCTATAAGACCCAACAGGACTGCACGAGTTCTCCCACTGCCCAGAAGGTTCTTCCCTGAGAGCTCAGCTTACTCCTTTTGTCATCGGGGAGGCCCTCCCCACCACCCCCACCAGATGAAACCCTTCAGATCTGGGCTCTCACTGCCTTCAGGACACATGCCTTAATTGCAATTACACAGTCACCTGTAGGACAATTGCACTTCAGCCTGTGTCCTCCACTAGGGGAGGAGCTGGGGCTGGTTTTGCTCACCATTACATCCCTCAGCTTAGCACCATGCCTGGCATGTAACTGGCTCTAACTGAAGAGTATCCTCTTCTTTGAGACCAGGTTGTCAGAGCACCTGTCCCATTGTTGGCTCCTGACTTCATCACTCAGTAACTCCTGAGTCCAGCCTCTATAATATTTGAATCGGTGCCCCGCCCTAAAAGGGAGGCTCACAGCGCCAATAGCTGCCTGCCTGTCTCCCTGCTGCTCAGGACTCGGCCTTGCATGGCTCTGCAGATTTCACGTAGTAACACCTTCTCAGAGTTTCCGAAGCAAACCAAAGTCATTTGCCAACCATTTTCTCCCATTAATCTCACAATGCATTTGCTATTTTCCCTCCATAATGACTCATTTAGCAGCAACAGAGCAATTAGGCAGACCACAGAATATTGATTTTCTAAGTGGGAGAAATGTCAGCACAAACATCACTTCATGTGTCTTGGGCCATCTCTTGCTATATATATGATGAGGTGGACCCTGGGAAGACTGGGTTGGATGTGCTGGCAGGTTGTGGGATCTCAAACAAAAAAGCAAAAGCATGGTGTGTGAGAATGTGAGTACATGTGTGTGATGACAGAATATGATCAAATTACCATGTAACATGATCCCATGTAGACCTCAAAACCCTGGGAGGTAGGCACCACAATCATGGTGCCCATTTAAAAATGAGGAGACAGAGGTTCAGAGATTAGGTGACTTGTCCCAGATCATGGAGGAAGTCAGGGCGTCGGATCTGGATCTGGGTCCATGTGTCAGCAGAGCAGGATTCTGTTCATCAGAGAGCCCCCGTGTGGCTTGCTTTGGGACCAGAATGGAAGTGTCAGGTGTGGCAATGCAGTACCTTTCATGGTGTATGGTATAACCCAAGATTTTTGAGATATAAAACAGTTGGCCTGAGTCCTGAAGTCACATCTCAGCCCCGGTGCAGCCTCTAAGCCCAGCTGCTGTGAACAAATTCACCCCAGGCTCCCCTGGCCATCCACCAAGCTTGTCCAGTAACTCTCAGGAAGGCCTGGAGAAAGACAAGCCAGCTGGAACCCCCTGCCCTGCTCCTTCACCCCTGCACCACCACTACTGGCCAAAGTTGAGTGCATACCCAGTTTCTGGGGCACCTCAAACATTCCCACCCTACAACAAGAGGGCAGGAGAAGGAAAAGGGTGAGAGTCGGGAATGGTGTGATAAGCAGGCATCTGGCGGTTTTAGGCCCCTGTCTACAAATGGCTCCAAAGCCAGGCCCCACAGCTTGGAAACCCTGAAGGAAGGCTTTCACTCACTCCTGCCTCCACCCTCTAGACACTCCAAGCAAGCTGGGAAGGGCACTGTCAGAGCAACAGGTCCTAAGGCCCCACCCCAGCCAACATACTGACATCTATCCAGGGAGCAAATGGTTTCTTGGTGGCCAAGAGGAAAGAGCTGAAGGCCCAGCTGGCAGACGTGGGTTTAAATATCAACTCTATGTGCCCCTGGGTGAGACAATTACCCGCTCTGGGCCTCAGTTACCTTATCTATAAAATGGAATAATCCCTGCCCTGCCACCTTCCTAGCTGGTGTGAGGGCCATGTGGGGAATGACAAGGTGCCACATAAATGCTGCCTGGGGAAGCTCCACAAAGGGGGAAGTTTACAAGAGTTGGCACTGTCCTCCAAGGGCAGGGGCCGCTCCAGGTGGAAAGAGCTCCCCATTGCTGGAGATGTGCCAACACTCTGGAGTGCCGGTGTGGATGGGAAGCAGAGCATCCTGTACGCCCTCCCAGGGGCTCAGACACACGCTGGCACATTAAAGCCTCTAAGGAGCCATGCATTAAAGAAACTGACTGACTTGGTTCACTGGACCTGTTTGGACTGTGGAATTCCCTCATCCCAAGTACCCATTAACATCTGTAAGAATATGTTCAGTAGAACCCATTTAAGAAATACTCCTACAGAAGGTTTGGAGCAAGGCCTTTCAAGAGTACTCATGGCGTGGCGAGACTCTAGGACTTTCCCCAATGTCAACCACATGTTGGGGGCAGGCCCACCCCTTACTCTCCTTTCTAGCATGAAAGGGAGACAAGGCCATGCGTCAGAGGGAAAATTCACGTCAATGAAACACCATCAAAAGGGATTTAGAAATCTCAAATAGGAATCACTCCCAGGCTACCTCCAACTTTAACAAGCCCAGAAACTGGGAGGGATTGAAGAAGGGCCCCAAGCAGAAACACCTCCCCCTCCCCTACTTGTCTGAAAACTGGCCCTCATTGCTCTTACCTGCTGCATAAGCATTGCTCCCTTTGGGCTGCCAGAAAAGAGGGCTAAGCCCCACAACAGCTGATCACACTTCAGAGAAAAAGGGTTAGTGGGACCACAGAAAGCAAGAAGAATAAGAATCCTAAACCATCTGTGTGCTAGAAAACCCATGTGTGGATCCTGGAAGAAAGCACACACTACCCCTCACCTGCCCTTTATCATGCTATGGGAGCCATGTGGACACACCAGAGCCAGCCCCCAACCCAGTGCCCTCTCCTCTCTCTGGGGGCTCCATGCCAGGAAAAGCAGAGGAGTCCAGGAACCATCGGCTCCCCTGGAAGAGCTCCGGCAAACCTATCCATGGCAAACCCATCCATAACGGTGCAGACTTTGCTCCCAGCAAGGACAGAGCTTTATTAATTATTCAGGAGACGGTGCAATTATGCAAATCTGTGGGCAGCCTCTGCCTGACCACTGCCTTCTGCAGAGGGAGTCTAGAGGGGGATGGGGAGGCCCAGAGCCCAAGCTGCCAGGTACATGGACGCCACCCAGCCTGCAAAAAGGGGAATAAACCCCTACACCCTAGGCCTAGGCTGGTCCCAGACAAACCACCTCCCCACAGAGGGCTCTCTGACCAGAGCCAGGCCCCATCCCACACACAGGAGAGCTGGTAGCTGCTTTGAGGAATGATATTGAGGACCTAGGATGACTTTTTTCAAATACATATGACCCACTACCTGTTGCTGAGCCAGCAATGCCATCATTCAAGGCTTACTCCTGCAGGTACTAAGGGCAGGGAACACTTCCAGAGTTTCCTCCAAAACATGCTTCTGAGGAGACATAACACCTCAAAAGAATGTTTACCAAATAATGTTCTGCAAAATACAACTGCTCCACAGATGTTAACAGCTGCTCCTGGGGTTGGGGGACAGGAAACCCTGGATTAAACAAAGCAAAACTGACTTCTTCATTGCAGGACCTCTCAGGGCCTTTCATCTCCTGGGTCACAAATGATTTCCCAAGAATGAGGAAGCAAAATTTGAGGATGTAAAATGTATTTGAGCACACAATCACCCCACTGGAGTAAAACATCAAGTCTCACCTCCAAGAACCTCTGACACTGAGTTTGAGAAACTCTGGACAGACTGCTCCCCAGTCCTGTTTGGACTATGGAATTCTCTCATCGCAAACGCCCATTAACATCTTTAAGAATGTGTTCCATGGAACCCAGTTCGGGAAAACACTCCTATGGGTGCTCTGAACAATAAGCAGCAGAGGTACGAAAGACAACAAGGCCTTTCAAGTGCACCCCTGGCTTGTACAGACTCTAAGACTAAGTTCTCTGCCAGCTCCATTTTTCCTTAATTCTGAAACTCTCTGGAATAGGTTTTCACTATCCTCATAAACAACCATCAAATTCGTGGACTTTATGATCCTAGGGCAACTGAGCAAGACCACCTCAGGCAGGCTGGATGGGCTCCGGGCAGAACATCTGGCCCTGGCACTACCACTTCCCTACGTCACATCCAGTCCACAGAAGGTGGTGACACCAGGGCAGTGTGGCCTGCAGCACAATAGGCAACTCCCTTGGTGAGTCTGCTGTAGTACTGCCTGGGGTGGCTGGGGATTTCAGCGCCAGCTTCACCCATCTTCCCACAGATCCTGAGCAGAGGCTGGTGGGGGAGTCCCTGGCCACCATCATCATCACCCTGTTTGCCTTCACCCTCCTGGGTAGTGATGGAAGTCACCTCTATGTTCTTCTGACCTTGGAGGAAGGGAAGTGCTATGGAAGGCCACTTAGCCTAGCCACGACCCCTTCTTGTACCTGCCCCACCTCACCCAGCATTATAAGTCAACAGATCCAAACGCAGCCACAGCTCATCAGCTCTGCCCAGGTGAAAAGAGGTGTGGGAGCCCAGAACCCTGGGGGAGCCACAGAAAAAGACGCTTGAGAATAAGTGATAAGTTGCAAATAGGAGGGGCAGTCACTGAGCCGAGCCTGCCCTCACATCCTGATGACTCTTTCTTAAGGCCTGCCTCCACTGCCACCCCTACCACCTCAGGACTTGGGCACCCACAGCAGCCCCCAGCAGAGCCCCGGGTGCCCTTGGGACATACTTCCAAACCGCCTGGCAGCAGCCACATTCTCTCACCTGGGAGACAGAAAAACATTCTAGAAAGACCTGGATGCAAATCCTGTCTATGCCACTCACCTGCTGTCCGACTCAGGGCAAGTGACTTTTACCTCTTGGAACCTCAAATTCCTCACCTGTAAGATAGGGAGAGGGCAGTACTGTGGGGTGGTTAAAAACACTGATGTGGGAGCCAGACGGCTTGGGTTTAATCCCAGCTCTGCCATTTCTGGCCATGCAACTCACGCTTCCTTGGCTGTGAACCAGGGACTGCAACAGTATATATCTCACGGGCTGCTGTGAGGGTGAAGTGAGTTCAGCTCAGTGAAGTGTAGAGAGCAGGGCCTGGCGCATAGGATGTGCCCAGCCATGTCAGCTAATATACTAGAGAGGGCCCTGGCTGTGGATACAAAGAGATCTAGATTCTAAAGGTAACCTGAGGCTAATCCTGGCTATGTGATTTTATACTCTAAGGCCAGTTTCCTCACCTGTAAAATGGGGGAAGGATAAAATGAGGGTAGTCAAGAAAATCAGAGATGATGCACATACCATGCATAATGCCTGCCACACGGGTGCTTCTTAAGTGACCAGGTGGTTTATCAGTGTGATCACTGACAGAACATGTAATGTGAAACAGAGCACATGAGCACAGGCTATGTAGAACGGTGCTTGACAGGGGGCCTTACATAATAAAGCCAACCGCCTGGGTTTGAAACCCAGCTCTGCCACTTATGAGCTGTAGGACTTCAACAAGCTGCTCAGTCTCTCTGTGACTCAATTTTCTTCTCTGTAAAATGGGGACAGTAATAGCACGTATCCTTCAAAGGGCTATAGTAAGAATGAGCTGAGCAAATGCACGAGAAAGCACCAGGCACAGAGCCTGGCCCATCCTGAGTGGCCACTCACGGGCAGTGGGTGGGGCAGTGGGTGGGGCTATCACAGCATCAGAAGCAGCTTGCCATGAACAGAGCAGGATGAAAGGCATCTCCGTCCCCCGCCCCGCTACGATGGCTCCATTCTCCAGCAGCTCCAGGGGCTTCATGACCTGAATGCAGTAAACCAAAGCCCAGGAAAGACTGGGCCAGCCCTGTGCCAGGAATCCTGGGCCCCGAGACACTAGTTTCTGTTTTTGTTTTTGCTTTACTGAAATAGAGAATCTCAAGCTCAGAGGGAAGCAGTTGGTGGAGCTGGGCCTTGGACCAGCTCTGGGAGACTGACTCAGGAACGCCTGCTATTAACCTCCATGGCAACTGGCGGTGTGGGGGACGGGGTTTTAGAGTAAGGCAGCCCTAGGTTCAGATTCCAGCTGCCCACCTCACAGGCGCAGATCCCCCATCACCTCCCACTACCCTAGCAGGTGCCTGGCCTCCTTAGTTGGGAGTGCAGCCCACCCCACCTGGCCTAGTCTCTCCAAAGACAGTCATTCTCTTCCCTGAGCCGAGACCTTCCAAGGGGTCTGGAAGACTTCCATTCTCAGGCGGGAGCCAAGGGTACAAGATCCACTCCTAAAATGCTGACTAGTCCTGTCCTGTGGAATTTGACTTGGCGGACCTTGAATTGCATTACTGCTGCTCGCTCAATCCTAAGTAAATGGGTACACTTCCCTGAACCTCAGTTTCCCCACCTGCAACCAGGAAGTCAGTGAGAAGAGCAGGCCTTGGTGGCACAGGTGGGCTGAGCACTGGACCTGGAGTTAGGAGACAAGTTCCAGCTCCCCTTGCCTCTGCCCCTTCACCTCTCTGAGCGTCACCCACCACAGCTGCAAAATGCAGATCAGTCATGAATGCCCTGACTGTTCCAAGCACCCTCAGGAGACCCAGGGCACTGGTGTGCAGGAGCTTTTCACAATGGGAGCCTAGTGCAAGCACAGAAGGGGGCTACTGCTACTTCTCTGAGGAGGGAGAGGGTTTATTTCAAAAGGCATCACAGCCTTAATGAGAAAGGACATGACATGCTACTGGTGGGATCTTGACATCAACCAGGGAATGGACTTGCCTGGTTACTGGGTTTCCTCCAGTGTGTGACTTTGGGCCACTCACACATCGGGTTTCAGTTTCTACACCTGTGAAATGGGAAACAAAAAGCCCTCTTGCTATGAGAAATCAGTAAGAATACAGCACAGGAAGTGCTTAGGCAAGTCACTAGCACACAGCTGGGGCACAATGCCTGCCCCTCTGCAAAAGGAGCAAACTTTGGGGAAGCAAGACCACCCCACCCAGAGGGTATAATTCAGAAGGTCTGGGGTGGAGTCCAAGAATCTGCATTTTATCAGGTGTCCTAGGCAATTCCTCCTCATACAGGTCCTCCTCTGCCCTGGGTTTCTAGTACAAGAGTAGGGATTTAGTCATAGCCACTTAGTTTCCTGACGAAATGTGGTGAAGTTGGAAAGAGGGAAAGAAAGCACAAACGGGAGTAAGAAGCAGAGGGGGTGGGGCTGGGAACAATCTATTAATCAATCTCCTCCCAAGCCAGAAACAGTAATTGTTGAGGCTCACACATCCTTCACCTGCTAACAATCTGCAGCTGCAATACAACGTTCTGATTATGAATGTCAAAAAGGCAGAGCATGAAATTAACTTCCCCTTAGTCATTGGGCACAGGGAGACACTACACTAATTCACTGCCCTTGGTATGAAAACTTCCCATGACAACGTCGCATCAAATTAGGGCCCATGCTACCCTGGTGCCATCTCTATCTCTCCCCAGTGCACTCTTTTACAATCAGGCCCAGCCTGAAAACAAGGGCCCTGCTTGTTCCAGAAAAGTTAGGGCGACAGGCAGGAGGTGATGGTTAACTGGGACAGTAGGGAGAAGGGCTGCTCTGGTCCCCCGTGGGGGCTGCCCACTGAAAAGTGGAGGTGGGATCTCATTGTGCTAAGGAGTAACTCACTCGGCAGAGCATCTGATGCAGTAATGTACCACTAGCCCCACCTGAGAGATGGGAAAACTGAGGGGGGCGGCAGAAGGGTGGAGGTGGCAAAAACCTTCTCAGGCTGCCTTTTGCGCAACCTCTAAAAAGTACAGTCTCAGGCTGCCCACCAGTCAGTCCATCCCTCTTAAAAAATTTAAGCACACTCAGTTATTCACAGGCCAACTCTAAATGCCTCTGGCACAGGGCGCAAAGTGCTCTGTTAGTGCCTCCAAGCAGCCCACCGCCAAGGCACTGTCATCAGCTGAGGTCTACAAGGGGATAACCCTAGGGGTCTGCAGAACGCAGGCCTCCTAAGCCAACACAGGGAGGGGAGGAAGGGAGGTCTTACTCCTTGGGCAACCCTCAAGATGGGGCCTGACCTCCAGCCTTGGGATCACTTCTTACCCCTCCCCCAATTCTCAGGCAGGGTGCCAGGAACCTTTGTGGGTGGGGATGGACCCTGTTTCCCTCTCCCTCCCGTAGGTTTTCACCCCATCGCCCCTGTGGCCCAGAGGGGATATCTGCTGCACGCTGGTGGCTTCCACAAGGACGTGCATGTGTGCATGCCCAGGTGGTAGGTGGCATGGCCTGTATACACAAGGGAGGACAGCCACATGCTCACAGAGGACAGAGACGACCTCTATCTCAGGAGGGGATGGTAACACAGGCATGCCCCAGCTGGGAGGGGAAACTCCCCTATCATTTCCATCACTAAAATCTCCTGCGAGTTTCCAGCCAGCCCTTTGAGGTAGGTGGGCAGGTACAATCACTCCTCTTGATGGATGAGTGGAAGGAGGGGCAGAGAGGAACCACGGCTTGCCCATAGTCACACAGAGGCAGGGCCTGACCAAGAGCCCAAGGAAGGGGTGTGCAAGCAAGCTCTCACATCACACATGGGCCACAGGTGACTCCACCGCGAACTCAGAGAGAAGTGGAGGGGAGGGAGTTGGGCCCTTGGTGGAGAGTTGGCTGTGAGAAGCTGCCTCAGGCTCCCAGGCTCTGACTGGGGGGTGGCTTCCCTGCAGCGATAGCCCACAGGCCCCTGGAGGGGTGGGAAAACAGAGTGGCCAGTGACTGTCCCTCCCACAGCCCAAGCCTTGGGCATGTCACCCGGCTGCTCTGAGGTTGGTGCAGCCCCACCTCAGCCCAGGCTTGCTATCCACACATTCTCACCCCATCCCCAGGCAGATGCTGCCCTGGACACACCTCGCAGATGGATGCACTGATGGCCAAGAGACTAGAACCACCAGAGGTTCTTCGTGCAAGGGGAGCATTCACTCACCTACAGCCAATCATCACAAGGGAGCGGACTGGCAGCTCAGAGCAGAGAGAAGCTAAGCACACCCTGCCACCCTGGAAGGAGTCACCAAGCCGACTGGGGGAGCTGGATGCTTTTCCCTCTTGCCTTTTTGGTCTCTTATGATCTCCTCCAGTTTTGTTCTGTGGCCTTCTAAAATAGCCATTAATTAGAGCCTGGTAATTAACTTACTGGTTCAAGTAATATTTTGCAAAGGAATTCCATTAAAGAGTCGATTTGCATATTCTAATATGGGGCCTGGAAATAGGCAGGGCTACCTGGAGGAGAATGAAAGCAGTCCCATGGCACCTGTCAGGCCTGGCACCTGGGCCTGGGCTCTGCCTGGTAACCGAAGGTGAGAGGGGAGGCAAAGAGTTGCTCTCTGGGAAGTTCTCCCCAAGAAGGTGGGGAGCTTATTCACACACCGGCCAGCTCAGTGTCCATGCACCCAGACAGAAAGTGCACACATGCACACAAGTATGCACGTGAGTGCTCACAGAACACACTATACACATGGGCACAACAGGGTATACGTACACAGACATGTACAAACAACTGGCAGATGCATACCCAAGAAGAAAACACACGATAATAACAATAGTAGCCAACACTTAACCTGAACACATAGATTGAATCATATGCAATTGCCTGTATTTGGCCTCCCAAAACAGCAACTTTATACAGTCTCACCCCATATGATGTACCAGGCACTGTTCCAAATACTTCACCTGTATTAACTCAATTAAATGCACAGACATGTATAAGGACATTAACATATAATGTACACACATCTTCATGAGGACAGGTGCACACTTGCAACACATACAAAAGACGTACACAGACAAACATATGCTTGTGCAAAGAAAGGCTTCTCCAGCCTTTGAAACCCCAGCCTTGCTGATCCCATTCTCACTAGCTAATTTCCACCGTTCCTAAAAACATTGCCCAGCTCAGATCTTGGGAAGGTACACAAGGGAGCTCCAGATCTAAAGGAGAGTAATAAAAATGAGAAAGCAAAAAATAAATTGATTCTTCTATACGTCCAGGTCGTATTCTGTGGCTCTCCCCTTCCTCTCTAGAGATGAGACTCAGAATCATGTGCTCCTGGGCCGGTCAGCCCTGCCCCCAAAGGTGCCCATGGGGCTCAAGTACAATGCTGCAGTTGAGAGGGGATCTGGTTCCAATGCCTGGCTTCTGCATAGGCCCCAGCTCCATGCCTTTGACTGTGTGCCTCAGTTTTCCTGGCCATAGAGCAGCCCTTTCACTGCCTACCTACCCTACAGGGCAGAAGACCTCTTAAAGTGCTGTGTAAATACAGGGCATCCTTATGAATGATAGGATTAGGAATTAAACCTGATTTCCTTATGGAGAGGAGAGGACGGGAGGAAGGTGGAAAGAAGAAGGGAGGGGGAGGAGGAGAGGACAGCCAGGTGAGCCTTCCTTACAGGTAATTAATGAATTCCTTGTCATACCTCTTGGAAGGCAGAGGCTCATTTAACGTGTAGGATCCACCTACATGGGACCTCTCAGAGCTGAGGAAGACCAAACAGGGCAACCAAGAATCCTGCAAGAGGCTTGTCAGAACACTCAGGCAAAGGACAGGAATAGACAAGTCTCAAAAGAAGCACTGCCACTGGCCATGAAACTCAGGAAAGCACTATTCGATCACCAACAAGCAAATGAATGCAAATAACAAAAAAATGCCCTTTTTCTGCCTATCCAAACGATAAAGACTGCTTTAATGATGACATCCAATGTTTTGAAGGGTGTGAGGAAACAGGTAAGCACTCTCAAAAATCACTGGGGAGGGGTATGAATTATTACAGGATTTTGGTGGGTGACATTTTTCTAAGAAAAATCTCAAACTCTTCATATTTTTAGACCTAGTAATTCTGTTTCTAAGACTTTATCCTTTGGGAAAAATCAGAAATGTAGGCAAAGATAAATATTCAAGGATTTAAATCCCAGTGTCATTTTTAATAAAGAAAACCTAGACATAACCTAAATGCCTAAATGATTAAAAACAAGTATGACCCAAACGGAAGATGGAACAATGAACTTTTAAAACTGATTATTAAAACACACATGAGAGCTTTGCTTTCCCAGGTGTAAGCAGGAATCCCTAGGAAAACATCCTGTGCTCTAGGTAATAATGGCTGTTTCTTAAGTTTAAGGCAATAATGACCCATCTTAAGCTCGAATCACCTTACCAGGCACAGCAACATCTATTATCTCTTGAACCTCAGGATGAGGCCACATGATTGCTTATTATTCCCACACTGTGGATGAGAAAACTGAGGCTTACCAAGACGAGGTGACTTAACCCTACCAATATTAACTGAAAACCTATGACATATTAATCTAACCTCTTTCACACATTATTTAATTAAATTTTAGAAACATTTAAGAAATGTGCAAGACCCAGTGTTAAATGCTAAGAAAACAGCACTGAACCAGAAAATTTCTATGAAAAGTGTGCTAAATGTATTAATGTTAATGTCTTCAACAACATGATTATCATGATGCCCATTCTGCAGATGAGCAAACTGAGGCTGCAAAAGGTTACGTGACTTGCCCCAGGAATGCTTGGCTTCAAATCCAAAGATCACATACATCCCATGACTCCTGGCAATTGTCTAAACTGCACTATCATCTTGACATCACCACACTAGACAGACTAGTCCCCAAAAAAAGGACCAGGCCCTCCCTGTCTATAGTAGGGGAGGGAACAAGGGCAAGAAACACCAGACTTGGGTGCCCAGTCCTGCCTGCACTTACTGTCAGCAACTAAAGCAGGAAAATAGACCCTAACTTCCATTTCCCCTGTTCCTCATCAACCTTCCTCACTCTCCCTCCTCCAGGGACTGTCTCACCACAAGGGGCAGAATTGATTCCTGCCTACCCAGGTCCAGGTGAGGGTCCCTGGAAGCTGCCATCCCCAACATCCAAGTACTGTATCTCCTTCCCTAGTCCCTTATCACTTGGAATTCCACCATTAGTAACTTTCAGGTGTGGGAACGCCAGCCAGCACACACATACTCTGGAAGGGGGAATCGATCCCTAACTCCACACATAGCAGCCTTGCCTACCTGCCCCAGAGCTGCCTGCATTTATGAGCTAAGCTCCGCACCAGGATGACTGGGAAGAGCTTGATGGGGGTACAGACACTTTAGAGTAACTACTGTGGTAAGTTTAGACAGGTAGCATGCCAAAGGAAGCATATTCCCAGCAGGTGTGGAGGGCTAGAGTCACCCAGAAACAGCATCAGGAGAGAGAAGGAATGAGGAAAGCATAATATTGCCAACTGACCCTCCTAGCTCCTCAGTAACATTAATAAATAAATGAATGACTTGGAAATTATCCTCTGGGCTGACAGAACCACATCCTCTATATCACTTTTACCAACATTAAAACAGCCCTGTAAATGAAGCAGCAGCATTTCCAGTGTGCAAAATGAAAATGCTTTTGCCGGCACACCTTTCACCTGGAAAGCGCTCCAAGCAGCATGTGTTTGTTACCCAGGAGAAATGATCACCTGTCCTTGGTGCTTACTGCCAAAGCTTCTGAAGAAGAAATGAGTGTCTGAGGGACCCAGAGACTGTGGAGACCAGCTGGCAACCTCCCCTGAGGCCGTTTCAGAAGAATAAGTCCGAAGGCTCAAGCCTGTCCTACAGCCCCCAGCCCCCAGAGCCCAGCTGTGCCAACCAAGCACTGCCTGGCCTGACCCCAGCCTCACAACCAGATAGCAACCCTCAATCCCAACCAGCCAGGTTCGGCATCCCCACCCCTGAAACCGACTCCTTTTCCAGGGAGCCAAAAAAATCCCAGCACAGAACCAACTGGTTTCCAACCTCCAGATGAGAGAATTCCAGCGCAAAAAAACCACCTCCCCAACACAGCAGCTTGCGGAGCACGCAGACAGCATTCAACAAAGCCTCTTCAGCAGCCATATAAACCAGATAGATTCATCCAAAGTCAGAACTCAAGTGGCCGCCCCAGAGTGCCCTGTGCCGCTCATCTACACGGGAAGGCCATGGGGACCAGGACTCCCGCTCGACACCCTAGAAGCCCCCACCGTCCTTCCCACTCGTGTCCCACCCACTCACTGAGGCTAGCGTCTTGGCACTTACCCTCTCCCCAGCCAGAGGCATGGCAGCCAGTGGGGGTCCCATGGAGCCAGGACACAACCCTTCCTTGCTGCTAAACCAAGCCAAAGACAGCCCATCCTGCCCTCCCAGCCTTCAACATCACAACCACACCACATCAGAGCAGGGAGAGGCACTGCTCCACTCATCCAGGTTTGGCCATGAGCTGGGGGGCGGGCGGGGTCACCATAGTTGTTTTTACTCACTGAACTCCAAATAGGATGACTCCAGGGACAGCCCCAGAGAAATTTCTGCCCATCCATCCCAGCAGCAGCCGACGAATCTGTTCCTAAGCAAAGCAGCAAATCAGGAGACCCCAGTCCTGGGAAAGCCTATTTCAGCTCCAAGGCTGGGTAGAGAGATTTCAAACCCAGTCTTTCTGCCTGTCCATGGGAAATCTAGGCTCCCTTCCTGTGCCAGAGAGGCCACCAAGCCATATTTTGTTTATAGAAAATTAATAAGACAATTCCACACCGCTGCCAGTGACATTCTGCTCCAACCGCTACCGTTTCCTACTGTTTCCAGAAACAGGCTTGTAGTTTCACTCCCAACCCCCACTCTGCGCCCCTTCAGCATGTGGCAAGGCTGACCTGAGGCCAAGTGGGGCAGGACCCGCACGAGGTCGTCTTGGCCATGCCCCGACCTCTGGCTAGGGTGGCCAGCCAGCACTTGCCGGCTTCTAGGTACAGGCTTCCCGCTGTAAGGAGGTAAACATGACATGCATGCCGCCTGCTCCCGGGAGAGCAGACACACTCAGAAGCCGGACTGCCTGTTGTCTCTCCTGCTCCCCGGACAACCACCACATGCACACAAAACGGGGTACGTACACAAGCCCCCGCATGCGGGTGCAGAGGGTCCTGACCCCCGCCAAGGAAAGCGCGGAGAAGGGCATGTTCCTGGGGAAGACAGCCGAAGGCAGGGGCCCGGTGGAGGGAGGAAGGCAGCAAACCGGGTGGCCTGCCGCCCAGACAATAACAAAGATGGGAAGCGAGATTTTCAAAGACGCAGTGACTGCACCCAGCGCTGAGCTCTGGCCTGGCTGCATCTTCCTGCCAGGGCACGCCTGGTCCCCTGGGGCACCAGGGCCATCAGAGAAAGGCTGAGGGTCCCGCCTCAGGCTGGGCTTGGCAGCTGGGGCAGGAAACCAGCTGCAGGCAGTGGTGAGGATGCACTGGAGAGCGCGGCTCTGGGACGATGGAAATTAAACGTCTAGCCATTCTACTGGGAGGTGGAAGTGTTACTCTCCAGGAAGATGCTAGGGGTCAGTTAAACAGTCACTCAACCTTGGGCAGGAGTTGGGCTGTAACTTGTACTCCTCTGCCCGCTAGAACCAAGGGGGAGGGGAGAGACATTTTCATGCTACCTACGCCTCCCCTACAGGGAGTGCCAACACGGACACAGCCCTACGAAGGCAGATGCCAGTGGTCTGAGACGTTCGGGCTGAATGCTGAAAAGGCTCCTCGGTGCCTGCCCGTACTTTCACCTCCACAGGCTGGGCAGGGACATGTTCTAACTGGCACTGGAATCCATCACCATGCCTGTGCCTAAGTGGAAAGGTGCCTGTGGCTGGCACCACTCGAGGAGGACCTGGGCCCTGAGAGGCTGTGTCCGCCCAGTGCCCCCTGGAGGACAGGATGGCTTGCCCTTGCGAGCTGAAGCCTGCTCCCTGGCCAGCGTCTCCCGGCAGGTTGAACCACCTCCTCCTCCCTCTCCCCTTCTGCCCCACCAGCCACCTCCCCGCGGAATTTCCACACCTGCTCCCGGCTGGCCCAGGAGAAGGAAACAGAAAGCAGGAGACACCCCTGAGAGTGGAGAGGTGAGGGAAGGAGAGAAGCAGCTGCCTAGGCTGGAGAGGAGATGGCCCTGGCTCCCCAGCCTCAGGCTGTGCCCCCAGCTCAGGGCCTGGGCACTGCCCGCTCTGCTAGCGCCAGCCCCCAGTGGAGCACGCGCCCTACTTAGAGCAGATGTGCCCCCTAAGTGGCCCAGCCCCCTGCTCCTCCCCTCCAGATGTTCACCCTTCCCCTCACCACGGGCAGCGCCCGGTCTCGGCCAAACCCGGCCGAAAATGCCTTTTGTATCTGATACCCAGGGGCTCCCAAGGCAGGGGGATGGGTCCTGGCGGCAGAGGCCCCACTTCCGTCCCCGGTTCGGGCACCGCACGGCCCGGGAAACAATGCCCACCTCGGACAGGCGAGGCAGGACTTCCCTGCGAGGGGACTTCGCGCCCGGCCTCGCCCGGGCCGCCGCGGGCACCCTCTGCTCTCCTCTCTTCTACTCACCTAACCCCGGAGGGAGGCACAGGGTCCTCCCCTCGGGCCCCCTAGTCCGGCCGAGGTGGCCCCATAAGTTCCCGGCGGGCGGCGTGGGGTCCCCCCACCGCCGTGTGGCTCGCCCCGGGCCGGGCTCGCGCTTTGTCCCCGCGTCCTCAGGGGCGCAGCCCGGGGCGGCGGCGCGGGGGACCGGGCGGCGGCGGCGGGCTCACCTCTCATTGTCCGCGGCGGCGGCGGCGGCGCTCCGGAACCCCGGCAGGATGTGGCGGAAGCTGTGGTTGCGGTCCAGCTTGGGCTGGCTCTTGGTGCGCTTGATGGAGCCCTTGAGGCGGCGGCTGAGGAAGCCCTGCGCACGGGGGGACAAGAGGGGGAAGGGGAGGCGGGGTTAGCGCGGCGGCGGCGGGCCGGGACCCGCGCGGGACCCGCACCCTTGCTGGGCGGCCGCGCGGCCGAGGGCGGGCCGGGCTCGGGCTCGGCCCCAGCAGCTCGCGGCCCGCGCCGCCCGCCCGCCGACCGAGCGCCGACGGCCCGGCCCGCGCAGCGCGGCCCAGCCCACCCCGCCCGCCACGTCGCCCCCGCCCCCTAAGCCGCTGTTGCCTTGGCGACGCCGAGCCGAGCCGCGCCGACCGCGGCCGAGGCTGCCCGAGCCCCCCGGGCGCCGGGGCGAGGGGGAGTACCGGGACGAGGGGGCGGGGCTGCGGAGGGGCGGAGACCCCCGGGGACCGCCAGGGCCGGCCGCCCCGCTCACCTCCCTGCCGCCTCCGAGCTTGTCCTCCCCGTGCGAGGTCACACCCCCCACACCCACCTGGAGGAATCCACGCCCCCCCACCCCGTCGGGGATTGACAAAGCGCCTTCCTCCGCTGCGAGGTCGCTGCTCTCCAGCCCTCGGTGGTACCGATGAGAGCGGGCGCGTGGTCGGCTGAGGCGCCGGCTGGCCTGCGCCTGGCAGTGCCCTGGCCACTTAGACCCCGATTCCGGGCGACTTTCCTTCCCAGAGCGGCAGTAGCTTGATGTCAGGGTGGGGCCCCTCCCCGGAACCGTTGTATGTACCCCAGCAAGGACAACCACCTTGCGGGACGGGATCCCTAGTGCTCAGCTCAGGGAGGGGCCCGAGGGGCTGAAGGGTTTGCTGAGTATCCCCATTAAAAGCTTCAAGATTTGGGGAACCTTATTCACGCCATTTATCCACCTAACAGGTTGCACTGACTGAAAACAGAGCTTAATCCCCCACCTCCCCCATCCCAAGAGCTCCTGGTCTAATGGCAGAGACAGAGGAGACAGGCGTTCAATACACACAGGTCAAACCAATCTTCCCTTTACAGGTGACGGGATAGATGTGGGGGCCCCAGGGGACACAGCCTGTGTCCTGCCGGGCTTGGAAACTACAGGCAGCTTGAGGGAGAGGAAAACTGGAGGAGGGGGAGTCCTCTAAAGAGGGGGGTGTTCTGGGGGCTCACCCACCCCAGTCTCAATTCCAGGTGGCAAGTGGGATATTAATTTAATTTGAGGTTAATGTACATAATCCAAATACCACATTCCATCCATCACAAAATAAAGGGTCAGTTTGGCAGCCCTCTCTGTGTTCAAGAGGAGCAGTGGATGTTTGGCACAGGCCCTGGGCTGTATCTGTCCATCTTCAACATGACAAGGTCAAACATGGGCTGTACAAGTCATCTCATGTCACCCGCACAGACAGAAAATGACAGAAAAACATTTGCTGCAAATGAAGAAGCTTGCTCAGACAGGTAAAGTGACTTACCCAAGGACACCCAGCTTCCGGGCCTGGCTAATTCAAGAGCTTTCAAGATTTCCCTTTTCCTATCTTTCTCCTTCTGCCTTTTCCTCCTTCCTCAGCCATTCATATCCACAGGAGACATACCCCTGTGGCCACCTGTTGGGATTCTGCGTGTCCTTCAAGGCCCAGCTGAAATGATACCTCACCAGAAGGCCATCCCAGGCAGTGGAGTCCAAATGCCTCTCACCTCTGCAGCCTGGAATTATCCATCAGGGTATTCTAATCAGCCGCCACAAATATCTCTTAGGTATTAGGGGCTGCAGGAGGGACCCTTCTCCAGAGGCATGACCCATAGACAAGGCAATGCTTAATGCAGAGGGACCCCAAACGGTGGCAGGTCAGGAGAGCACTAGGCTCTCCAGGACACATGGCATGGAGGCAGAGGCCTGCACCTCTGCGTGAGCTCTGAGCTCTCCCAAACTCTGCCTCTTGCCAGCTATAGGAGAGGGGGCTGCACCTGGCTAATTTGGATGGGTTCTCTTCTCCCAGGGGTTGTGGTCAAGCAAGTTATCCCAATGGGCTTGTACCTTTTCTTGGTTTTTATTTTCTACACTGATGAAAATTTCACAATTTTTGCAATCTTGAGGTATGAAGAACAAAGAAGCATGTTTCACAATTTATGTAGCTCATTCTGGAGCAATATTGATGGCTTTATCCTATTTCTGAGTTTAAACAAAAAAGTTTTCTCCCGTCTAGGAGGTTTGATGCACATGTGCCACTTCCTCTTCCCCACTCCACCCCCTGTGACTCTACTTAATGTTCCTCTGACAAGCAGCCTCCTCCTTAAAGCCTACTCAGAATGGTAACTCCCCCACCCAAACTGACAATGACCTTGGGGACTCCTAATACCCTGTCATATTCACTCTTTCACCTTAATGAGAGCCATTATGTGCTAGACACAGTGGCCAAGATAGCCATGAACATTATGGAGTGAGCAGTATATGGATATTCAAGAGGTCAGGGAGCTCAGATCATGGGAAAAGAGATTCTTCCAGGGAACAGAGAGTGTTCCCGTTGACCCACCCACCGATCACATCACACATCCACCTAGAGACCTGTGTCCCCCAGAGAACTCAGCTCAGGACCCTGCATATGACAGACTTAACAAATACTCATCATCTTGGAAAGCCACTGCCAGAAGGGGACTCAGATGCAAAGGCTGTATTACAGGGTGACTGGGGACCAGAGTAGGGAAGGCCCTTCCCCAAGATCACAAAGCAAGGTTAATCAAGGACCGTGGACTCCAGTCCTCTGCTCTGCTCTGCCCAGCCACACAGCTTGTTGCTCTCCTTCATGGGGGTGGAGGGCCAAGGGCGTCCTCTCCCTCTTCGCCAGATGAAGGGAGGCAAACCTTTTCTGCTGTCCCTTCAGAGGCAGCTCCTGGGACTTGATTTCTGGAGGCAGCTACAGCCCCTAACTTGGGAAGAGGGGCTGACTGGTCTTCAAGTCAGAAACTCTTATTCTAGACCCAAGACAACCTTTAATTGAGGGGCAGTGGGCAAATCATTCAGTCAAACAGGGTTCTTGATACCCACTTTCCGGGACCGCAGTGGAGCCCACTGACAGCCCAGTGGCTAAGAACCAAGTCAAACCCAGCTCCACAGACCCCTCACTGCAAGAGAAGACAGCTAAGGCCCCTTGCCTCTCTCTGAAGTGGGTGGGGGGCTGCAGTGAGGATTAAATTGGCAGATAAAAGTGGATAAAGTTGCCAGGCATGGTGGCTCACGCCTGTAATCCCAGCACTTTGGGAGGCTGAGGCGGGTGGATCACCTGAGGTCAGGAGTTCAAGACCAGCCTGGCCAAGATGGCAAAACCCCGTCTCTACTAAAAATACAAAAATTAGCCGGGCGTGGTGGCACGAGCCTGTAATCCCAGCTACTCGGGAGGCTGAGGCAGGAGAATTGCATGAACCCAGGAGGTGGAGGCTGCAGTGAGCCAAGTTTGGCCACTGCACTTCGGCCTGGGCAACAAAACAAGATTCCATCTCAAAAAAACAAAAAACAAAAACAAAAACGAAAAACTGATAAAGCTCTAGGCTCAGAGTGTAGCCGACAGTAAGTGCTCAACAAAAGCCATGTGCAATTCCCATATACATGTACAGGACTGTTAAAAACACTCCGTTTGTAGTGACATGTGTCGGGCCTAGCTCATCTGCAAAGATTATAGGTGGTCCCCATAATCACTCCCTTGCCTAGGGACAGACTATGACCCCCTAGCCACACCCACTAAGGCCTGGCTGTATCCCACTTCTCCTGCAGATGGCGCTGGACCACAGGAGCCCACGCTTGCTGACCATTCCCACTGGGCAGCTCTAGCCCCCTCACATCGCTTGGCCTCAAATCTTCATTCAGACAAGCTGTGGGCCGATTACTGGACCTCTCTGAACCTCAGTGTCCCTATGTGTAAAATAAACTGATGATGATACCTACTTTATGGGACCTGGGAAGGATGAAATGAGGTACAATGTCGCCAGAAAGACAGTAACTATTAAGCAACTACACAGAGTAGTAGGTTTATTGCAACCAATACTGATGTTGGCTGAGCACCACCACCTCTTTTTGCCCAAATGGATAAATGACAACCAAGGGTGGGAGTCAGTCTGGGCTCTCCAAGGAGGCTGTGGGCCGCCCGGCAGGGGGACAGGGACATGAATGAACATGCTTGCAAAATGATTCTGGAGCCGCAGAATGTCATCCAGTTTGGTAGTTTTGAACTCTCTTAAACAAGCACTTTTTTTTTTTCCTAAAGCAACCTCACTGAGACTCCCGATGCCCAAAGTGCACGGGGCAGGCAGGGCTGCTCAGGTGGAGGCCTCAGCTTTCATTCACTGGAGCAAGGACTGATGTCTAAAGCTCAGCAAGCAGCCTACACAGTCTGCAGGGACCCGCGGCTCCCTCCCCAGATGGGGCACTCTGCCTCTATTAAAGCAGCCCATGTCCCCATCTACTTGTCAGGCAGCTGTGCCACGACGCTGAGGTCAACCAAGGCCCCAGGGCTTTTGCACAAGGCTGCTGCACAAGGCTGCTGCCTGGTGCCACCCCCCCAGCTCATTCCCTGACGGCTGGGCGTGGATAGCTGTGTAGCCCCCGCCCCTCTCTGTGGATGGCCCATTGCCCATCTGGACACCCTTCCTATGCCAGCTGATCCCCTAGGCCCTAGGCTTCCATCATATCACTGAGCAAAGCACAGGGCAGTTTGAGTGGGGGTCAGAGGCCTGGGGGGTCTTTGGCTGGAAGGACCCAAGTTCTTAAGCAGCTCTACTACCCCAGGAGTAGAGCTACACCACCATCCTGACATCTGGCCCACAACCCTGCTGCTTCTCCAGAAGGTCCTGAACGACTGTCTCAAAGGCCTTTCAGAATTCAAGACACGTGATTTCTTCATTCACTCATTTCAATGAATTCCACATGATGATGATGATATATTACCAGCAATCAAGCTTCTGTTCTGACGAATCACTCCCACCCTAGGAGAGGATGCCTAGGAGCGCCCAATGCCTGTTATCAGGAATCCTTGGGAGGATAAGAGCTTCAGAATTCAGGATGTTTTGGATTTCCGGGTGGGGGAATGCAGGCTCAGAGAAGTTAAGTCACCTGCTGAAAGTGGCAGAGCTGGGACTGTAACCAAGAGAGTTCTGGCCCCTGGGATGGGCAGCGTGGGGACTCCCCCATATAGGGAAACAGATGGACAGCTCTGATCATCCTCCCCACACTCAGCCCCAGGCACTGTACTAGGCCTCAAGGACCAAAGCCAAGGCGGGAGGGAAGAAAGGGAGGCCCGCTCACTCCCTGAGTGCAGAGCTGTCCCACAGGGGCTCCCAGTGAAGACCTGGAGGCTTCCCACCCCCAGGGAGGGGAACCTTGCCCAGTGCTGTCCTTGTCTGTGCCACACTCCCAGCCGAGGAGGCAGCCCCTAGGGAACCAGGGATCTGCATTTCAGCACCGCCACCTGGACACCCGGGAGCCCCACGTCACCAATGGTCTCAAAGGCACTGCTTCTCAACTGAATACGAAGCACTGAGCAACATGCCTAGCACATAGTAGGTGCTCAATCAAGGGCGGGTTCCTTCCCCCAAGCCCAGCATCTATTTGTCCTTGCATTCTTCCTCCAGGCCTGTCTTCATCACCCTCTCCCCTTTCAACAGACTGACCTGGGCTGCTGCAGATGGGCATGTGGGCCTGGCAGAACTTTGTCACCCGTTAAGCTCTCAGCTGCCCACTGGGGAACCCCAAGACAGTACTCAGGATGGAGGCAGAACCCTGTGGGCCCTCCCTCCGCCAAGGCCCGGCTCCTCCCATGGCAGTTTCTAAGGCCCATCCCCAAAGAGAGAGCCTTGGAGAAGGGAGACTGTTTTGACAGGCATGTCTCTCAATATCTTTCTGGGGCTTTGCCCGAATGCCAAAAGCACATCTAAATAAACAGGAAAGGGAGGAGAAGATCCCATCCAGATCCTGCCACCTCTCTCGGCTCCAGGAGGGGAGAGATGCTGGGTGCATGAGCTGGCAGGCCGACCTGACACCGCGGCAGGCTGGTGGGGGCACTAGAAAAGGGCTGGGGGTGGTGGGGGTCCTGCTTCCAGAGTCACAGAGTGAGAGTCAGGAGGGCCCACAGAGGGCAGCCAGGCCAGTGACACTGAGGAGACATCTGAGGCCCAGAGGGCAGTGGGACCTGCCCAGCGTCACCAGGCGGAGCCATTAGAACCTGGGTCCCCTGCTCCTTGCCCAGTGCTCTTTGCATCTTCAGCATCCACGCTTCAAGAACCTCCCAGTCTGCCCACACTTCCTCTTTCTGGGCCACAGTCTTCCCATCTACAACACTAGGGGCTAGACTGGGTGATCACCAAGCTCCTTTCCAGCGCTGATATTTGATGATTCTATAAAGTCAGAGCAGCTGCCAGGGCCAGGGTGCCTGGGCCGCCCCAAGCTAGGCACTAATGGCATCAGGGAATTCTCTGGCTTTGCCCAAATCCTTCAGATGCGTCATTCCTCCTGCCCTCCCCTTCCCTGTTCCCCGGTCTCTACCCTCAGCAGGCTGCCGGGCTTCTCTGGCCTCCTCCCCTCAAGGGTATGCACCATCAAAGAGAGTCCCAGCTGGAGAATGACTCACTAATGGAATGTCAGACACTGTGACAGGCGAAAGAGGGGAGGCACCTTAAGCTGGGATTAAGTTGGTGACTTCCTGGTGGCCACCTACTCACAGGCCACCCTATGCCCACAGAATCCTCTACAATCTCATACCAGTGAGATCGCCACATATTCCGCCTGGAGAAGGTAGCCAGACTACTTAAGTCAAACAAAGAAAACCAATTCATAGGCCTTGAGAGCCTTCAGGGAAGCCCCAGGAAGAGGCTGGACCCTGACACTCTAGGGTCACTGTTGAGTTAAAATACTGCCTGGAAAGACACACTTAAACATGTTCTCATAGAGAAATATACAGGGCCAGAAACATACACAAGTTCAAGGACAGGCATGCATACAAATGCACACAGGAAAGGCATCCCACAAAGAAATGTATGTGTAAGCATACAAGTACCCCAGTGCCACCACACATACAGACACACACAAACACATACACATTGATCAGCACACACACGAATACACACATACACAGCCATGAAACATACAAGCTAACATACAAATACACTGAAATAAGCCAATAAATATACACATGTACTCAGCTATCATCAGGCACCAGCAGAATTGTGCAGACACACAAGCTAAACACGCTGGCCCTCACGTGCTCACATTCACAACCAGGACAGGAAGGGCAAGTGGCCCAGGAAGCTCCAGAGTTAGGAGCCCAGATCTCAGGACCAAGGCAAGAAAACAGCTCTTAACGGCTTCCAAGATAACTCCCCCTGCTTTTCTCGCAGGGCTTCACTTTGGACAATTTGTTTGCTTCTCTCACACTCAAAGCTCGTTTTTACAGCTTACAGCTCCCAGAACCTGTGACTTTTGGAGTTCTGTTCCCTGGCAAGAGCTGAAGCTTCCTGCCCTAAACATTTCTCCTGCCCATCAGTACAGCTGAAATTCCACTGTTTGACACACCTCTTTAGGTCCTAAGGGTAATTCAATCTCTAGGAATCCCCAGGTAAAATGTAAATAATTTTCATCCTTCCTCCGGAAGAAGGTGGGAGCAGGGGATTCCACCACTTAATGGCTCTGGGGCCTTGGGCTCATGACTTAACCTTCTATGCCTGTGTCCTCTTCTGTAAAATGGGGACGAGGTAGTTGTGAAGATTCAATGAGATCACGCATGGAAGAAACTTAGCCCATTTCCCTGCATACAATAAATACGAACTGCTATCATTGCGGTCATGATCACTTTCATGGTCATAGTTTTTTTTTTTTTTTTTGACATGGAGTCTCTCACTGTCCTCAGGCTGGAGTGCAGTGGCGCGATCTCGGCTCACTGCTATCACTTCCTTTGACCACCAGAGACCAGCCCAGCCGTTAGCCAGAAGGGCCTGGGCTGTTCCTCCTGCCTGGGAAGGAAGACTCTCCACACCCTTCAGGTACCTCCTCAGTCTTTCTCTTAGAGGCCTCCCCGGATGTCCCCACACTAGGCCAGGTCTCCCTGTAGACTTACCACAGTTGTAATTATAAGTGTGTTTGTTTAGTGCCTCCCCCACCCCATACTGGACTGTAAAGCCTCCAGAGCAGGGGCCATGGCAACCTGGGTCTCCAGTGCTGGACGCCTGGCAGGTATTCTCTCAATATTTCTTGAATGAATTCACAAATATTTAATGATATAAAAGGAAAAAGATAAAGTGCTCTGTGGGGCTTTTTAAAAGGATTTCACTTGGGAGCAATCTGGGCAGACTTGCTGGAGGAGGCAGCTTTTGACAGCATTTTAGAAACATTGAAGGTGGGACAGCAGGTGGGCTTGCTGAGATTGGCTGGGGCAGGATAGCCACATAAAGGCATTCCAGGCAGACTCACAGCATAAGCAGAGGTGTAGAGGTAGGACAGCGGGGAGTCTGGCTGCCCTGGGAGGCCCCTGGAGTTATCACAGGTCCCTCCAGCCTCCAAGTTATACACCACCACCTGAGCCTGGGCTTGTAATCCCTTCCCCAGGGCAGAGGACACCCAAGTAAAGGGGAACCCTAAGGAACACTGAGAGTCTAACGGAGGAAAAAGAGGGGAGCCCAGATTTGAAGAGGGTAAAGGTGAAGCTGGGAGGGGAGCTGAGGACGTCAGCAGAGCCCTCCTGGTACCTGCCAGTGCCCAGGATTAGGCGGGCATCAGCGAACAGAAACCAGTTACGCATTCCCAAGGTCTCAGCTTGGGATGTGACAACCCAGAGCAGCCAGGGAGTGACTCATTGTCCCATAGATCCTCCAGCTGACACTTGCCTTAGCATAATAAGCCTGTCCCAGAGGTCTGGATGGCTACAAACACCTCATCAGCTCTTTAAGCTCTCAGCCAGCCCTGGCTAAGGGGTGGGGAGTTGGATACCCAGGGCCTCGTGGCTGCAAGGAAGCCGATTCCACCAGGAGGTTACACCCCTGCAGCAGGGTCTATACTATCTCCGCCTGCCTGCACGTCCTATCACTGAGGTCCCAGCCAGTCCTCCCGGGGCTTGCTGACTTTAGTGCTCATTCCCCAGCAAAACTCCCCTATCCTGTGCTCTGTGCACTGCATGAGTGGCAAGAAAACCACGTTTGGAGTCTATAAGTCTGGGGTCAAAACCCAGCTCTGCTATTAATACTAATGAGGGCTCTTCCAACACGCTGCTGAGAATTAGTCAGATGTGTTTAGTAAGCCCTGTCTAAGCTTCAGGCACTGTATTAGAGCTTCCCATGACTTCTCTTTAATTCTCACAACCCAGTGTGCAGATGGGAGAACAGAAGTTCAGAAAGGGCAACTAATTTGCACAGCACCGCACGGTCAGGAAGCGGCAGAGCTGGGTTCAACACAGCAGACAGGCTGCTCCAGAGCTAAAGCTCTCATGTAATTCCATTACCAGACTGAGGCGTTGAGCCAGCACCTAAGCTGCTCTGTGACTCAGTTTCCCTGCTGTACAATGCGGGGATTAGTCTAGCTGATCTCTGAATTCTTTCCAGCTTTGTTGTGCCTCCCTGGTGACCCATTTGCAGGTGACAACACATGGGGGGGGAGTCTCCCGGGGACAAATGGGCACTAATGGTGGGACTTTCAGGTTTGCGCTGGGCCACAGGGAGCTTCTGTTGGGTAGGATTCCCCTGCACTTCCAGGCACCCAGCTGGCCCGGGGGGCCCCAAGGCAGCAAGGCAGGAAAGAGATGCTATCTTGTTTCTCTCCCTGGACCAAGAGCCACCAAGGAAAAAACAGGACCCCAGGGAGCTCCAGGACTGAGGACCAGTAAACACTAGTGGGAGGGAGGGGTGGGGGAAACTCCATAAATCCACCTGAGTAAGCAGTGCTTTTAAAAGCCCTTTTCACTACAGAATACAAAATGCACCATTTTAGGAGAGGATTTTATAGGCTATTTCTCCTGGGTGATTTACCATCTGCGGGCCAAGGTTCACCTGGGAGTCCTGGCCTCAGAAGGCCCATGGGTATGGGGTGGAGTCAAGGTCAGTTTCTTTTTTTTTTTTTTTTAGATGGAATTTCACTCTGCCACCCAGGCTAGAGTGTAGTGGCGCGATCTCAGCTCGCTGCAACCTCCACCTCCCAGGTTCAAGCTATTCTCCTGCCTCAGCCTCCATAGTAGCTGGGGTTACAGGCATGCGCTACCACGCCCGGCTAATTTTTTGTGTTTTTAATAGAGACAGGGTTTCACCATGTTGACCATGCTGGTCTAGAACTCCTGACCTCAGGTGATCCACCCACCTCAACCTCCCAAAATGCTGGGATTACAGGCATGAGCCACCACGTCCGGCACTTTTCAAGGCAAGGGCTGGTGTCCTTGCTGGCCTCTGGTGGGCTGGGTCACTTGTCTTGACCTGTCCTCCCAAGGCAGGGGACCACTCTGGCCTCAGACACCCAGTGTGGGGGCTGGCAGAAGTGTGGGGGCTGGCAGAAGTGGAGAGGTCACGGCTCACCCTCTTCCCTGCTCACCCTGCGCTTACTCCATTTAATTCGTTTACTCCCTGTCTCTCTCTGTCTCGTGCACCTTCATTCCGCAAGCCCCTCATGAGCCTGCCACAGGTGAGTCCTTGCCCCAGTGCTGGGAGTTCAGACAAATCAGAAACAGTCCCTGTCCTTGAGAAGGTGACCACCGTCTGGTGGGAGAGACAGAAGTGATGGATCATGAAGTCACAGAGTCCGTGAGGGAGCGTGTACAGATGGGGTGTTCTGCAACCTGGACAGAGCCCTGGATGGCACTAGTGAGCTCTGGAGACAGAGAGAGATGGGGAGGAATTGTGGGTAGAAGGATCCGCCCACACAAAGGCGTGGAAGCTGGGACAGCCTGGGGGGCTTGAATGCCAGGCCGGGGAGCTGGATCCCCCACCCTGCTGGGAGCCATCTAAGGTGCTGGAGCAGGGGAGTAACAAGCTCAGCTCGTTTTAGACGTTCTTTAAGCAATTCCACAGGAGAAGTTACTCATCCCGATGCAGAGCCTTGTGTTAGAAACAGATGTCACTGCTGCCACCTCCACAGAGGGCCTCCTGGCTTTGGAAACAACAATTGCCGCTTGACAACTCAGATATAATTATGTCTGTAATCCCACCAAAATACCACTTGATCGTTTCATTTTTGTAGCATGAGGAGGTGGGAAAATGAAGGCGTCTGAGCCTTGCCCCTGACATGCAGGCTCCCCCACCTCCCAGGAAAGGGGAGGACCTGCAGGGCCACAGGGCAGGATGACAAGAGGAGAGCAGTTCTCTCCTATCCCAGGGGTGTCTGACCCCTAGGGCCAGGCCTGCTCAAAGTAGGGGCAGGACAAGATAAGGCAGAGAGATGGGGAGGCCTGGGTCCAAATCTCAGCTCTGTCCCTGCAAGCCGTGTGGCCCAGGACAATGCACCTCCCCTCTCTGGGCCTCAACATCCTCGTCCGTAAGATGAAGAGAAAAACAGCACTGACTAGCAAAGACTGGGCTGCATGCTATGGTCCAGGCGCTGTGAGAACTTCAAGATCCAGGCCCATGAGAGGAGCCACCCTCAGCTATCTCTTCACTCCCCATCTGCCTTGATTTTGTCACCTTCTATGAGTGAGATTTGTGTTATCTGAGCCTCGAGTTGTAAGGATTAAATGAGACAATACTTAGAAAGTGCTCAGCACAGGGCCTGACTCAGAGTACTATGCAGAACAGGATTCAAAATCCCCCATCGTACAGACAGCAGAGGTGGTAGAGCTGGGATTCGAACCCAGGCCAGTGGGACTTGGAGTGCAAGCTCTGACCACCACCCTGCCTCTCCCACAATGCCCGCCTTACCCCCTCTCAAAGCAGTGGTAGGTGGAACAGGTGCCTATAACCCATCAAAGGGTGGCAGTGACTGAGTGTCTGTTGGCCCCAGCCTGGTGACCACAGTGCAGCAGCCCTGCCTGACAGATCACATGCTGGTCCACCTCACCCTGTGCCCTTTCTCTTGGTGGACAGCTGTCCCAGCCCCAGACCTTGTTCCATCCAGTGTCCCTGACCAGGGTCCCCTTTCAGAACCCCTGGCTTTCTGGTCAACCTAGGCCCAGCTGGCACAGCCAGTCATGCCAGGCCCAGCCATTGACAGGTGCTCCCGGATCTGAGCTGCTCCCAGCCCCCAGCAGTATGTTCTACACCTTGTTTAGCCAGCTAACACCTTGTTGGGCCAGCTCCCTGTGGCCCCTGACACACAAACCCCTGGGACTTCAACACTCACTGGGAGGAGCCACCCAGAAGTCCACTTGCTACCCTCTGCTGCCCCCAACTGGCAGGAAACCACCCTGCGCAGACACCTCCATCTCCATCTGAACTCACCACCTAAGAACTTGGTCTCTGGTCCCCTAGGAACCCCTCCAGCCCCTCTCCACCTTCTACTGCCAGGGCTGAGCCCTAGAAGTTCAGTCAGGGGTGATGTTGCTTTGGGGCCGTGACGGAAGGGTATGGAAGTGGGAGGGGTCTGCCCAGTTACCTGGGGCTCTGGAGGAAATGTGGGGTGGAGGTGCACCCCTCACACAAGCAAAGGGAACAGGTGTGGGGAATGCTGCCTTGTGCCAGGCACTGAGCCCTCACAGCCACTCTGTGGGGAGGGGTTCCTGCCCATTTACAGACAGGGAAAGAGAGTGGGGCAACTTGCCTGAGCCATCCTACAGAAGGGAGCAGTGGCCAAGATTCTAATCCTGCTTCATCCCTGGGTTGGGGGGACTATCCCTGGGAGAGGCCAGCACTGTACCCCAAGACCCTGAGTGGGTGTGAAGAGAGGAAGAAAGGCCCCCACAGAGAGCATTCCACTCGCCAGTTACTGAACCTGGCAGGGACTGGGGTGGTGGCCTTTACACCTTAACGGGAACCAGTTCATCTGATTCCATGCTGCCCAACAGGCTTAAGTGCAGGGCTGGGGAAATGGAATTTACAGGGATGGCCTTCTGATGTATTTGGAAGTCCCCAGGGCAGGAAGAGGAGGGGGTACAGAGGCTGGCTTGTTCCCTTCACTTCCATCCTCCTCACTCACACTGCCCAAGCCAGCTGCCACTTGCCAGGATGAGGCAGAAGATTCCAGGGATCCTTGAAGTGGGCTCTTCCCCCTACCCCTGCCCAAGGGCATTCTGAGCACAGATGTTGGGGGGGTTGGAACAGGCTCCTGAGAACCTGCTTGAGAAAAGCAATTTGCTTGTCCCCCCAACCCCATGCTGGATCCCCACCCAGTCTTGGTCTCTGCCCACTGAAGGAGCTCCAGACTCTCCTAGCCTGGTCAAGTATGCTGCACTCCATGTCTGCTCTGGCCTACTCTGGCCCACCTCACCTCCCTTGCTGAGGACCTCATACTCCTGTTAATATGGCCTTAGATCCCATCTGCTCTGTTCACTGCCGTGGATCTCTTGTCGCTTCCATTCCAGCCACTTCCTCACATTTCAGCCCCCAAACTGCGCTCAGTTCCTGCTGTCATTTGCTCATGCTGTTTCCCATGTCCTGGCCTTTGCCTGGAATGTCCTTTCCCCTTCACCTGCCTGGAAATTACTTCACCAAGCCCCGGCTGGCCCTTCTGTATTTCTGCAGGTAGCAACTACGTTTTCATCCTCTTTGTATCCTCAATGACTGGCATAGGCCCTGACACATAGTTGGTGATGATGGCAAATTTATCGAAAGAAAGAATAAAGAAAGGCAAAAGGAGAGAAGAAAGTAAGTTCGTTCACACCGCAGCAAGGCTCGCAGACGAGAGCTGGGCTCCTGCCCCTACCACCCACCAGCTGGAGACCTGCTGAGGCCAGGCCTCTCTCCTCCCTAAGCCTGGGATCCTCAACTGTAAAATGGAGCTGATGAAACCACCTTCCTGTGTATTAATGGGGTGGGGCGACAGCCTCCCAACCCTACCAATACTGCAGCAGTCCCACCTCTGTCCCAGGCCTCAGACTAGCCTGGTCTTGGATTCAGGAGGCTCCAAGACCCCCTGTCCCCAGACTCCTGCCCCGAAGAACATCCTTGCCCCACCCTGGCCACCCCGGACAACTCCTGAGTCCCACCTTCCAACACTCCCTCTGCAGAAAAGGGGGATGCCCCCCGCGGAAGGCAGACACAGACCAAAATGACGGTAATGTTCCTTTTGGGTTTGAATAGTTTAATACCAATCAGCCTCCGTGAAGGGCAGGGATGGAGGGAGTGAGGGTGGAGGGGGCGGAGGGGGCAGGGTTTGCTCTTCCACCACCCCGCCCATCCGCTGAATACACGCCGGATGCTGGGTCAGGAGACTGACTCACAGAGCAGAACTAAGCAAATTCCTCATACTTCAAGGAGAAAACTGGGGCGCCCATGGTGGGACCCCACCCAGGGGTCCAGCACTACCGCCCTGTTACAGCCAGGACCACGTGGCTGACATCCCTCCACTGGTTGATGGGCCACAAACATAAATATGTCCCAAGTGAACGACCATCTGAGATGGACCCACAGCAGCCTGGGCCAGTGGAGGGAGCCCCAGCAAGTATCCTGGGCAAGCTGCTCCTCTCCAGGCCTCAGTTTCCCCATATACCCTGGGACAGATCTGGCTTGTCTGATCTGTGAGCCTGGCTGGCTTTTCTGTTCCCCACCCCAACAGCCACCCGGAGCCTCCGTAGCTTGGAAGGGGCACAAATGGGGGGCAGCGGGGCCGGCTCTGCAGGGAGCAGAGAATGCCCCCTCCTGGACCTGAAGTCATGCATTCCTCCTTCAGGCAGCCCGCAGCCCAAACTTCGGGTCCCTCTACAGCTGGGGCTGGGGCCTGGTGGCCAGGAGGGGGCAGTGTGCAGATGAGCGGGAAGGAGCTGTCGTGGGGCTCCGAGGGCAGTTGGACCAAAGAACACCCATTCCTCCCAGGAAATGTGATGGGGGCTGGGAGAAGGGCTCAGCTCAGACGGGGTGGCTGATATCCAGGTGCTGGGAGGAGAGGACAGGAAGGAGTAAGGGGTGAGGACCACTGGATGCGGGGGAGAGGGACAGAGACCTGGGCTCAACTCCAGGCCCTACCCTAGACATGCTGTGTGACCTCAGGAAAGGACCCTCCCGTCTATGATTCTCAGTCCCTCCTCTGTATAGGGAAGGGTTGAACCAGTTAATTTCCAACAGCCTTTCCATGGTGACATGGGCGGGAGGGTCACCCACTAGCTTGCATGTTTGTGTTCACATGCCTGTTTCTTGAGTTTGTGTGACAGAAAGACAGCTGAAACATGGGGAGGGTGCAGGGAGGCTACAGGAGTGAGAAAAGGGGTGAGCAGCTGGAAAACCTGAGGTCCACAGCTCAGAGGTCTACTGCTAGCTCCACTCACAGCCATCATCCACTGTGGTTCTTGTATCCTGCAGGGGAAAGTCCAAAGGCTTTAGCTCACCCACCAAGGTCTCTCACTCTTCTCTCCAGGCCCTGAACCCATCCAGCACTCCAATCACACAGGGCCATTAGCTTGTTTCCTTCTATTCACTTCACTAACTGAAATACTCTTCTCCCTTGGTTCCTGACGAACTCCTATACACTCCTCAAAGCCCAGCCCCAAGAGTCCCTTCTTTAAGAATTCTTCCCTGTCCTTCCTGGCCAGAGATAACTGTTCCTTGTTCTGTCACAGCATCCTATGCAGGGTGTGCACAACCAAGCACCAATAAAAGTGAGTTGTTGAAAGAAACCAAAGACCTGCTCCTAGAAGCATCCATAATCAACCCAATGTTGAGTTTATCTGCAGTTTCTGCCAGACCCCTGGGCCTTCCCCTCCCTGACACTTCTCCTTCTCCATCTCGCAAAAAATAGCCCTGAGACCTAATTTCAGCTAAACCTTCAAACACGACTCTCCACTTTCAACTTCCCGAGGAGGAATCAATTGGCTGTCAAGTTTCCCTGAGCCTCTGCCACCTCCCACACCCCAGGCCTGCCAGCCATCCTCAAGGTTGATGGGAGGGGGGTGGGGGCAGAGGAAGGAGGGAGGGAGGAAGGACCCAGCCCGCAACAGGGAAGTTTGGGGCTGGGGAAGGGAGCAGGCTAAGGAGCTCGTGGGGAGACCAGGAAGAGTCATCAGCTCTTTGCCTCCCAAATCAAACCACGGCTCCTCTGCCATGGAGTGGCAGGAGAGAAAGAACAGCATGCTGTTGCTGCTAAGGGGTCCAGGGCCTGGGGAAGCTGGGTGGGCACATGCAAAGCCCCCAGACCCAGTCTGACCATTGGTCTATGCAGATCCAGGGCCCCAGCTTGCTGCCTGCCACCCTTCCCTCCTTCCCTTCCAGGAGACACTACTGGCACAGAGCAGACAGACCTGGGTTTGAATCTCAGGAGCCTGAGAGCTGATGGCCACAGATGCACAGGAAGCCTCTCTGGTCATCTACTCCCAGGCCCCTTCCCCCATCCTCATTCAGGGCCCCCTATAACTTGCAGGGCACATGCCAGCCTCGTAGCACTGTGTGGTCCTGGAGAGCCACTCCCCTACCCCCCAACTCTCCCTATAGGAGGGAGGGAGTTGTCCCAGATAGGCAGAAAAGTTCCACTCCTGAGCAAGCCACAAAGCTGGTATGAGGCTGTGCAGGGCCTGAAACCTGGGTCGGGGAACTCTCTAGAGCCCATTCTCTTAGCTACTGCACCAGAACATTTAAGCACCTATTTATGCCTGAACTGTACGCTGCCTTACAAAGTCCATCCCCCACATTTCACAAAAGGGGAAACTGAGGCTCTCCCAGGGTCATACAGTCTACAAGAGGCAGGGGCAGGACTAGCACTGAGCCTTCAATGCCCTACAGAGTGGCTGCAGGTCCTCGGCTGACTCACAAAATGAGGAGGGGTGGCATGTGATGGTGTAAACAACCCAGGCTCCTGAACTGCTGTCAGCTGGGTGGTGACCTCTGACAAGCCCTTCCCAGGCCTCAGTTTCCATGGAGAAGGTGGACAGGCTGAGCCTTGTAGACCTTACACCGTGACTCATTGATTCTCCCTGCGGAGCACCCCTGTAAGAGATGCTGACAGCCTGCCATCTGGGTTTGAAATGGCAGTGAAGGTGGCAGTTATTCCAGTACATCCTGTGGCATCTCCCCTGCCTCCCCGAGGCAAAACCATGTTTCCTGGGTTCCCTCGAGGGTCTACACAGAGCAAAAGTCAGCTGAGCACGTGAGGACATAGCTTTTGGGAGCCTGTAAGTGAGCAAGTGTGTGCTACGGGCTAGGGGAGGGAGGAGGGTGCTTCTGGCCCTGCACAGGGTCTGTGTGAGGGACTGTCCCCAAGGCCCAGGCCAGGCTCACCACTGACCTTCCCCCAAACACCTTGTCCTCTGCCTGTACTCCAACCCTCCTAGATCTTTACTGATGTTTTACAGCCAAAAATGGAAACCCGATTTGGATGTTAATGATGGATTTCATCCATGAAGCACCTACCATGGGTCAGACTTGGGCGACCACATTCACCAAGTCCACAGTCCAAGCAAAGTCTGTCATTCCAGATTTTACTGTCAAGAACACAAGGCTCGGAGAGGCTCAGTGGCTACTGAAATCACATGGGTCATGGAAGATCTGGGATTTGAACCCAGATCCCCACCTCTGAGTTCTCCAGTCCCCTCAGCTCCCAGCACCCAGCCCAGAAGAGAATCTCAAATCACATCTCTTAAGGACCAAGGTGCCCAGGAAAGGACACAAAACGTAGATGTCCGGCAGTCCTGACTCAGGAGCTGAGTGACACCAGCTAAAGAATTTCACCTCTGAACCTCAGTTTCCTCACCTGTGAAATGGGCACACTAATGGTGCCTCCCCTAGAGGGTTGCCATGAGAAGTGGGCAAAACGACCACCTTGAACACGCTCTCCATCCTGCAGACCCTAACCGGGCAGGTGGGACTGCGAGTTGAGTCCCAGGCAGCTCGAGGTTCCCAAGGCTGGCTCTGACTGAAGGTGGTTTCTACCCTGGGAGACAGAATGAAGACACCACTACAGGGAAAACACTGATCCTAGCTGTCACTTAAAGAGCTGCAAATTATAAAAACTTTAAGGTGTGATAATACCCCTATTAGAGCAACTCAGAAAGGGAAATAGCCGGAAAAGCGATGCTGATGGGGTTCTGGGGGGGTGTGGGGCAATGGATCCGCCTCCTAGCCTGAGGATGGGTGTGCCTCATGCCCTGGAGTCACAGAGACCTGGGGTCGAATCTTGGTTCCGCCACTTAGTAGCAGTTGGAGCTTGGGCAGCAAGTGACTTTACCTCTCGGAACCTGTTTCCTCACCTGGGAAATGGGGTAACCAATGTTTCAGCTGTAGGTGTGTCTCCTGGATGAAGAGAGATCAGGTAGGCTGGGCGTGGTGGCTCATGCCTGTAATCCCAGCACTTTGAGAGGCCGAGGTGGTAGGATCACCTGAGGTCAGGAGTTCAAGACTAGCCTGGCCAACATGGTGAAACCCCGTCTCTACTAAAAATACAAAAAATAGCTGGGGGTGGTGGCAGGCTCCTGTAATCCCAGCTACTCGGGGGGCTGAGGTGGGAGAACTATTTGAACCCGGGAGGCAGAGGTTGCAGTGAGCCAAGATCACACCACTGCACTCCAGCCTGGGCGACAAAGCAAGATTCTGTCTCAAAAAAAAAAAAAAAAAGAAAAAAAAAAGAGATCAGGGATGTAGGACAGTGAGCCCAGTGCCTGGCACACAGTAGGCACTTCATCAATGGAGGTGGCTACTATTACTAATTATTATTAGTCATCGTTCCCTAGGGTCCCCCTGAAGGCCCACCCTGCCTGCTGTGGCCCCAGGGATCCAGAGAGATCAGAACTTGGTCTTCGCTCCAGCTGATGGGGGTCACCCTTGTCCCAGCCTCCAAGCGCTCCCTGCAGGCTGGAGACCAGCTTCCTGAGACCCCCTGGCCAAACTCAGGGCCATGACCCTGAATCGTCTCAGCGCAGGCTTCCTCCTCATTGCCCATGGGCTCAACCCCCAGCTGGGGACTCAGAATCACCTCCTGGGGAAAGCTTGTTAAAATGCAGGTTCCCAGGCCCTGCCCTGGCCCAGTGGACTGAAATCTTAAAGAAGGACAATAAGCTAGTTTTTAAGGCATTTTTATAACATACTGGCAGTGGAGAGAATCAGTGGCCCTGGGGAAAGCCCCATCCCTTTGGCCTGGTACTGGAGGTTCCACGTGACCTTGACTCGGCCAGGCCTCCCAGCCTCACCTCCTACACTGTCCTCCAGATCCCCTCAACTCCAGCTCCACCAAGCAGTTCTGCATGCCACAAACACATCAGCCCCTGACCTTATGAGCTCACATTCTCATGCTGACACTAAGTATTAGGAAACAGAAGAGCAGGCTGCTGTGATGGCGGAAAAGCAAGAGGGCTTCCTTGAGGTGGTGTGGTCAGGAGCTGATATCTGAGCTGATGCCCAAGGGATGAGGAGCCAGCCCTATGGCAAGCAGAGGAAATTTCTAGGGTGCCTCCATACCTTTGCAACTGCTGTTCTCCCTCCCCGGAAGTCCCTCTCTCTCTCTCTCTGTCCTTGCCTAGCCATTTTCTACGGACCCTTCAAGATGCAGCTCAAAAGCCAGCTCCCGTGGGACCCCCTCCCAACCCACTGTGAATAGCCAATCACTTCCAGCTCCCCTGGAGCCCCTATATGATGCTATCCAGTGACAGCCAGGCCTGCACACTCTCTGTTCCTGCCACCCAGAACCTTCTTTCCTCTGCTTGCACACAGCAGGCATGCCAGAATAACTGATGAGTGAATGAATGGATGAACAAACCATCCAACATCCACCTGACCTACAGACCTGAGCTCCGTGGAGAAAGGAATGTGTCTATGTCATCGCTGCGTTTCTGGTGCCTGGCACAGCCCTGGAGAGAGGTACACACAGTAATGCTCCTGAACGAGGGAGTGAAGGGACCCAGAACTCTGGTGTGTGTGTGTGTGTGTGTGTGTGTGTGTGTGTGTGTGTACATGCACAAATGCAGAAGGGTATGAACAGTCAGACGTTAAGGGTCATTGGGTTCTGTTTCCATAAAGTTGTTTAGGTTTGTAATTTTTAAAAAGTCTGTGTGCTTGTGGGGACCACTCAGTTCAATAGCTATGATATATATTCTGTGTTTTGTCGGTTCTAAGCCATCATCAGTTATAATATATAGCATTATTTTATGTACCACCAAGAAAGATTTAAATTATGGTATGCCATGAGAGGTGTTAAAATATATGGAAACAAAAATAGTGCATCTTTTCGGGGTTGCAGAAGCACAGTGTGTGTGCGCCCTCAAGGGTACATTTATCTAAACTAACAAGAGCCTCTTCTCTTTCCGGGCCAGCTCAGCGCTGGGCCCCATAGCCTTCGGTGCTGTCTGTCCTCCACCTGCCCCCTCCCTCTCAGGATGGGACCCCCCATGTGGCCCCCGGGACCAGGGCTGAGCCACGGAGATGGGAGCAGCTGAGGGATCGGATACCTAGAGCAAGGGAGGCCGGATGCTCTCCGGGTCCATGAGGCTCCAGGAAGGGGGGCCGTGGGGTCACAGAGCAGCACCCCGGGCGAGGTGGTGATGGTGGTGGCAGTGGCGGTGTTGGTGACGCAGAGATAGTTACCGTGACCCGGAACGGCGTGGCGGCCGAGGGCTCCATGCTGGGGCTCTTCTCGGAAAGGCTGCCAGGCAGGCTGCGCCGAGAGCCCGGCCTTTCTTGAGGCGACTCTGCCAACAGAGGAGGAGAGAGAGGTTGAACAAGAACAGCCAAGGCCACACAGCTAGGGCCTCCTGCCACTCCCATCCCAGTCAGGACAACAGACAAACCGGTCCCTAGAAAATGGTCCAGGCACTATGGAAAAGTCTGGCAGTTCCTCCAAAAATTAAAAATACAAGTACCACATGACCCAGCAATTCCACTCCTGGGTATAACCCAAAATAATTGAAAACAAGTACTCAAATACCTGTATGCAAATGTTCACAACAGCCAAATGGTGGAAACCCAAGGGTCCATCAGCAGAAGAATGGACACACACACATGGTACTGACATGCAAAGGAATACCATTCTGCTCTAAAAAGGAATGAAGTTCTGATTTAAGCTGTAATGTGGATGGACCTTGAAAACATTACGCTGAGTAACCCAAAAGGACATATTTTGTATGATCCCATTTATATGAACTATCTAGAAGAGGCCAATTCGTAGAGACAGAAAGCAGATTTGAAGTTAGCAGAGGCTGATGAGAGAGGGGAACAAGGAGTTATTGCTTAATGGTACAGAGTTTCTGTAAAGGGTGATGAAGAGTTTTAGGAATGGATAGTGGTGATGGTTGCAGAACATTACAAATGGACTTCATGCCACTGAATTGTACACTTAAAACTAGTTAAAATGATAACTTTTATGTTTTACATATTTTATCGCAATTTTTTAAAAAGGGGGGAAAAAGGCCTGGCACAGTGGCTCACACCTGTGATCCCAGCACTTTGGAAGGCCGAGGCGGGAGGATCACCTGAGGTCAGGAGTTCGAAACCAGCCTGGTCAACATGGTGAAACCCTGTCTCTACTGACAATACAAAAATTAGCCAGGTGTGGTGTTGTGTGCCTGTAGTCCTAGCTACTCGGGAGGCTGAGGTGGGAGAATCACTTGAACCCGGGAGGCGAAAGTTGCAGTGACCCAAGATCGTGCCACTGCACTCCAGCCTGGGCAGCAGAGTGAGACTCTGTCTCAAAAAAAAGCGGGGGGAAAGGTTCCCCAAAACCCCCACTCCTTGTAATGTAGTGGGCTCCCTGTCACTGGAGGCATATAAGCAGACAGATAACTGAGCCATCTCCTGGGATGCCACACTTGGGGAGCTTGGATGACTTCTCAAGTTTTCTGTTTGTTTTAGAGTCAGGGTCTCACTCTTTCGCTCAGGCTGGAGTGCAGTGATGCAATCATACTCAACCAGCCTAGAACTCCTAGGCTCGAGCAATCCTCCTGCCTCAGCCTCCCAAGTAGCTGGGACCACAGGCACACCCCAACACACCTATCTAATTTTTTTAAAAAAAATTGTAGAGATGGGGGTTTCCTTTGTTGCCCAAGCTGGTCTCAAACTCCTGGCCTCAAGCGATCCTCCCACCTTGGCCTCCCAAAGTGCTGGGATTACAGGGCTCAGCCACTATGTCAGCCCCCACGTTTTTTCAAACATGAGAATCTGTGACTTCTGGCTTCCAGTTATTTTCCAGAGGCTTTAAACTTGGGAGGCCTACAGAGGCCAGCAGGAAATCCAGAATCTAGGAAAGCAGCCAGCCACTCGGCGCTAATTGGTTACTGCTACATCACAAGGAGGGGCTCAGGGCAGCCATAGCTGCCATGGTTCAAGAGAGGCTGATAATCTGGGTTTTTCAAAATATGAAGTATTCTGACTCTTAAATGGTGACAGCTCATTGAAAACTTTTAGTCATGGCCTTAGCACACCTACATAAAACCTCCTGAGTCTGTCCAACCTGCCAACCTGGCCACTTTCCTCACTGGTTCCCCCACAACAGCGTGGCACCAGCTGCCTCTTTGCCATTGCTCCAGAGGTGGCCCCCAACAGAGGACTCCCTTCCTGCTCCCCTTCCCCAGCCTGGTCCATCCTGCAGGCCCTGGAGGAGGTCCTGGGTGACCCCCTCTACTTCCAGCTCTTGCCTCGCTTTTGGCTCCTACAGCAATAACTAGACCTGAGTCTCCTATCAACGCTCTCATTTGCAGTGTGTGTGCGTGTGTGTGTGAGTGTGTGTGTGTGTGTGCGTCTGCAGAACTCCTAACACCTACGCCTAAGCTGGTTGCATCTCCACCTCCCCAGCACCCTGCATGGAGCCTGGTGCGTGGGGGGTGCCTGGGAAAGACCTGTTGACTCGCAAGGGAGAAGAAGGACAGGGCAGAGGTTTCCCTGGTAGGTGTGAACACACAGGGGTGTGGAGTGAGACGGTAATGCCCAGACAAACACATGTGCATGTTTATATTCATGCAGATACTCCAATGTGTACACTCCCAGACCCACCCCAGGTACCTACTGAGCAGGGGACGTGCGCACACACACACAGGACAGATGACATGGGGTTCACACAAGGAGCAGGCTTTCCAGAAGGCAGAACAGGATGCTGGGGCACTGTGTGCTTTCCAGGCCATTCCCTCCACACAGTCACATGGACAGGAGTCCACAGAAGCACAGGCTTCATCCTGAGCCTTGGCTCATGGCCAAGCAGGCAAAGCTGTCCTGAGACTGGTTCAGGCCCGCTGACCTCCAGGCAGGCCTGGGGCAGGCATTGACACCAGGTCCAGACCATCCAGCCCCAGGCGCCTCTTCCAGAAAAGCTCCCTTCCCACATGGCTCATCCTCAGCCTGGCGCCGTCTCTTAAGGCCCTTGCTGTTCCCGCACGGTGCTTCCTGCTTAGAACTTTCCTTGGACCTCCTCCTCCACAATCTCTCTAGTCACAGTCAGGGGATAACCACTCTTTCTGGAGGTTTTGCTAGGAAAATTCTTCCCATGCTTTCCTGTCTGCCTTCATCTCTCACCCCTTCGCACCACCCACCTGGAGCACCCTCCTGTCCTCTGTGACAGCACATGCCACCTCCCTCTGGGAGGCTGTCACCCATAACCTGTGTCCCATCTGCTATACTCAGCCAAGCTACCAATGACCAGAGCAGAAGCTGAGGCTCAGGGTGCAGTCACCAGCCCAAGGTCACAGGGCTACTGAGCACCACAACAGGAATGAGGGTCCAGTGTGTCTGGACCGAGTCCATGGCTCCTTCAGCCTTAAGTCCCATGGGTCCCAACACCCAGCCAAGGGGCCAACGCATAGGAGGTACTCAGGGCTTAGTCTCAGGATGCAAACCTTAGCCAGAGGCAGACCCCCGGGTTCAGCCACCTTTCTAGGGAAAGCGGTAGAAGTGGGAGATGGGCAGTGCCAGGCACAGTCAGGACCCTAAGCCCGACTGCTTCTAATGCCCTCAATGCCCTCAGAAAGAAGGGACTCCTCACCTTGGCACCGAAAGCCATTCTACCTCACACACTCTCTGGCTTCTGTTCTTGCTAACCCTCTTTGCTGTACCTGCCACGATGCAGGAATGTCCCACCTCCACACCTTTACCTATGCTCTCCCCCTCCCTAGAATTCTCTTCCCTGGAATGGCCTCCTGCGGGAACTGTCATCCTTTGAGCTCTGGGGCAATGCTGGGGGCGCCCAGATCACTTTAGGAAGGATGACTCACAACCCCGCACATCAGTCAGCCCTGCAGACTTGCTACTTGGCGACTCAGCAGGAAGATGGGTTGTCTGTTTCCCACCCCCACCCAGAGCCAGGCACCCTGCAGTGCTTAGTCAAGATGCCTCCATCAAACCAACAAACACGGGGTACCCACTGCAGTTATGGAACCTGGTTGGCAGAGTCAGGCTGCCCCACAGGGGTCTTGGGATCACCAGGACAAAAGCAGCTGGAGCTTCCAGGAACTACCCTCCCTCTCCTGACACATACACACACACACACCACACACACACACACACACCACCCTGGCCACAGCTTTACACTTTCCTGGGTAGGTGGGCCCTCACCACTCCAGGCAAGAGGTGCATGGAGTGCCCTGGTAGAACACTGGGTGCCCGGTGAGGATGTCTTTCCACTGAGACCAACACTGATGCCCAGAATCCTGCCTCTTGCCTCCTGGGTCTGGGCCAGGAAGCTCTCAGAGGTTGCTTGGTCCAATCTCCCATTCGACAGATGATGAAGCTGAGACCAGAAGCAAAGAAATGTGTGTGTGATCCCTCAACAACAGGTCTATAGCAAAGAGTGCTCCCAGAAGTCTTTAACTTCCATTCAGAAGCCCTGGCTACACCCCTCCACCTGAGAAGCTAGGAAGGCCGCAAGGATCCCAGGTGGCCGGAGGATAGGGGCCCACTCTCCCTCCTGCACAGGGCGGCTGGCTCTCCTCCCTGACCTCTCCAGTCTCCCAGCCCACACCCAGGGCAAGGCCTGCACTCCATACGAAACTGGAGGGAAACCTGGGGCACCTTCCCAGGTATCTCCTGTGTGGCCCCTAGTTCCATTCTCCACGTCTCTGTGCACTGCCTTCTGCTCCAGGGCACTGGCCTGTATAGACTTTATGATCTGAGCTTCTAGACCCTCAACTTCCATGTGGTTTGGCCAAAGAGGAACCCTGGCAAGAGATGAGGGGAGGAGGGAGAGTCATCTGGGCTGCCTGCCTCCTCCACGGAAGGTCCCAGCCACCATCGGGATGACCCTATCTTCTGGACCTTTGCCTCCCAGCAACCACGCTCTCCCCTCCTCCATGGGGCCTCAGGGAAGCAGCCCCCGCTGTCCCTAGCTTTGGGGTCCTGCACTGCCCCGTGGTTCCCGAGGCCTGCCCACGCCTTCATAAGCAGCCCCTCTATTAAACGCTCCTCTAATCACCATAGTCTGAGGCACCACCTGCTTTTCTCCAGACCCTGAACTGATCCACCAGGTGGGAGCTCAACTGCCTGGGAGTCACCCATGGAGCTGATGGGACCTCCTTTACCCACAGATGGGGAAACCAGGCCCTGAGAGGAGCTGTGATGTGCCCGTGGTCACACTGAACATCGAGGGCAGAGTCTGGGCCAGGCCAGGCTCTCTCCTGACCTGACACCCCACACACCTTCCCCACGGAGCCAGCCACCTGCCGTAAGCTCTAAACACAAAGTTAATGAAGACATGGATCGCTGGGTTCTGGACCCACGTTTCTCAATGTTTTTTCATTGTCGCTCTCCCTTAAAAGTCTTCTTAGACACTTTTTTCCTAATTTCCCCTCCATAAAATTTTAATATCACAGACATACAGTATCTTTTATGTACTGTGTGTATACTGGGCTTTGTACAGAAAGGTTTTTTTTCATCTTCTAGCCCAAGAACCAACTTTTTGCCCACTTAGGGGCAATCTCGCCCCTGCTGAGAATGCATGTTCTGGACCCTTTCAAATGTAATCCCACAGGACAACCTGGGCAGCTCTATAGTGAGTTCCATTTTCCAGATGGAGAAACTGAAGTTCTGAGAAGCAAAAGTGACTACCTCTAAAAGTCCTCCAGGGAAGAAGCAAGAGTATATGCCGAAAGTCCCTTAAACTGCCCCCAAACCCACACTTCCAGCCCCAGAGAAGATGGAGGGGACATGGAGCATGGGGTTGGGTGAGGAGCCAAGCTGACACCAGGAGCCTGGATTCAACCCTGACTCTGCTGTGTGACTCCATGGCTGCCCCTTTCTCTCTCTGAGCTGATTTCATCAATCCAATGAGTCAGGGAGTAAGAGCAGTGGTCATCTCCAGTCCTTGGAACCAAGTAAAAACACACACACACCCTCTATTATTTTACACAGGAAAAGAAGGCAGGGAACTGACCCTGAGTTCTAACTCTGGACCCTGGGGATTCAGCCTCGGGGTCCTAGGCCCCAGCATGCTGCCTTTGGCCTTTCATTTTGCAGCAAATCTTTTCTAATTTGGGCAAACAGACACTGGGAGGCCTGGCCTCATGGTCCCATAGGTCTAGCACCACAGCTGGTGCCAGTAGAAACCCAGAGAGGTGAAGTGAATCTGCTAAGATCACACAGTATGAAAGTGGCATTCCTAGGGTTAGATCACGGGAAGGGAGACCCAGCCGATCTCTTAAGAGTGCGCCCCAGACCTTCGAGCATGATCCAGCAGTCTTTCCTCCTCGGCTCAAACTCATTGCATGACTTCTATGTGACCTCTCGGTCACCTAGTCTGCAAAATTAGGCCATGGGACCAGCTGATCCTGGATCCCCTTTCCTCTAGGAGGTGGAAAGGGTCTCCATTTACCAGGCTGTCTTCCTATTCTTGGAAGCCACAGCTGGAGAAATGCATTTTAACCTTCATGTGTTTGCAAAAAATAAATAAAATAAAATCAGTTTCATTCAAATGCTGCTGGCTTGGTTGCCATGGTTACCACCTAATCATGAAGGATGACTGTTACTTGTTCCCATGGAAACACGGCGGCCTGAGGAACATCCTGTAATTTCAGACAAGACACCAAATTTCAGTTGTCGGGTTGCATCGCCCAGATCTTAATACTTAAAGGCAGGTAGAGGCAGCAACCTCTTAACGCTAACGTCAGGAGAAAAGAAGTCAGCAAGAGTGTAGAACAAGGAGGTGCTGGACTGGGGTGTCCCTGTGTCCTCGGCAGTGATCGGGAAAATGCAAATTAAAAGTCTCAGATGCCATTTCATACCTTTTGGAAAGGTCCTAGACCAGTCCAGAATTTAAAAGAAACTAAGTAAAAGAAATGAAAAAGAAACCAGTCTAGAAATTAAAAAGAACTGCGACTCCAAATGTTGGCAGAGATGCACAGAACACTTTCATCACTGCTGATGGAGTGAAAAGGGCTTGAAGAACAATTACACAATAGCCAGTAGGAACCGACAACACATATGTGCTAGGGCCAGAACCTTCCCTCCTACTCATCCAGTCAAGAAAACTGCTTCATCCTGCACACGTGGAGATCTGCACAAAGATACTGACCGCAGCACTCTTTGTAGCAGCAAAAAGTTAGAAGCAACCTAAATGTCCACCAATAGGGGAACAGTCATTCAATAGAACATTACACAGCAAGGAAGGGAGGACACTATTCACATGGAACACAATGGCACTACAAAGGACCTAGAGCTATAGAGATCAACATGAATACAACTCAGAAATATGATGTCGAGTGAAAAAAATCAGTTGCAAAAGGAAATGGTGTGTAATCCACTTATATACCATTTTTTTTTACAAGAATGTTCACAGCACCTTTATTTTTAATAGCCCCAAAACTGGAAACAACCAAACATCCTTCTATAGATGAATGGTTAAACAAACTGTGTTACATCCAGAATGAGTAAGGCAGAATGATGGTCCCCCAAAGAAGTCCACACTCTTAATTCCCAGAACCTGTGAATATGTTGCCTTACATGGCAAAAGGAACTTGGCAGATGTGGTTGAGGTTAAGGATTTTGAGATGGGAAATCATCCTGAATTATCGAGGTGAGAATAATCTAATGATAAGAATTTGTTGTTGTTGTTGTTTTGAGATGGAGTCTAGGTCAGTCGCCCAGGCTGGAATGCAGTGGTGCAATCTCAGCTCACTGCAACCTTCGCCTCCTGGGTTCAAGCAATTCTCTTGCCTCAGCCTTCTGAGTAGCTGGGATTACAGGCATGCACCACCATGCCCGGCTAATTTTTGTTCTTTGTTTTGTTTTGTTTTTTGTTTTTTTTAGACGGAGTCTCACTCTGTTGCCAGGCTGCAGTGCAGTGGCACGATCTCGGCTCACTGCAATCACCACCTCCCAGGTTCAAGCGGTTCTCCTGCCTCAGCATCCCGAGTAGCTGGGACTACAGGTGTGTGCCACCATGCTCAGCTAATTTTTGTATTTTTAGTAGAGACGGGGTTTCACCATGTTGGCCAGGATGGTCTCGATCTCTTGACCTCGCGATCCTCCTGCCTCGGCCTCCCAAAGTGCTTGGATTACAGGCCTCAGCCACCACGCCCGGCCTAATTTTTGTATTTTTAGTAGAGATGGGGCTTCACCATTTTGGCTAGGCTGGTCCTGAACTCCTGACTTCAAGTGATCCGCCAGCCTCGGCCTCCCAAAGTGCTTGGATCACAGCCGTGACCCACTGTGCCCGGCCAAATGATATGCATTCTTAAATGTGGAAGAGGGAAGCAAGAAGGTGAGTCAGAGAAATGTGATGAGGAAAGAGGCAGGAGAAATTCTAAGCCTGAGAGGAACTCCATCTGCTGTTGCCAGCTTTGACACAGACAGAGGTGGTCACGAGCCAAGGAATGTGGATGGCCTTGATCTAGAAACTGGGAACAGCCCTCAGCTGATAGCCAGCAAGAAAACAGAAACCTTAGTCTTACAACCACTTGGAATTGAATTCCCCTAGCAAGGAATTAGCAATGAAATGGGTTTTTCCCTAGAGCCTTTAGAAAAGAACGCAGCCTGCTGACACCTTGATTTTGGTCTGGCAAGACCCATGCCAGAGGGCTTGCAGGGTTGTAAGATTAAAAACCTGTGTTGTTTAAGCCGCTAAGTTTTAACTTGTTACAGCAGTCATAGAAAACAAATACACACAGTATGGAATACTACTTAGCCCTAAAAAAGAAACACACTATTGATACACACGACAACTTGGATGGATCTCCTGGGCATTATGCTGAGCGAGGAAAGCCAGTATCAAAAGGTCACATAGTGTATGATTCCATGTACGTGGCATTCTCAAAGGGATAAAGCAATAGAGATGGAAAACGGATTAGTGGTTGCCAGGGGTTAGGGATGGTGGTGGGGCAGGCAGGTGGATGTGATGTTAAAGGGGGAGCACAAGCGACATCTTCGTGGTGATGGAATAGTCCTGGATGCTGATTGCAGTGGTGGTTACTCAAATCTACATACATGATGAAATGGCAGAGAACTATACGCAGGCATGGTACCAATGTACACGAAAGATCTGGAATAAAAGCCCCTGACATCGGGAAGCTGGCTTGGCATTCACGGCTATACCACGTTATTCTCCTTTTAGACATAATCGCAAAAGACACAACCTCAGACAAGGTTACTCTGAGGCCATGATGAAGTGAGACAAAACAAGGTCACTACCTAATTTTTGTTGAAGTAACCCATAAAGACAAGGTCACTGTGCCACCCACAAAATACCAATCATCACCCTCTCTTGGCTGAAAGCAGTGACTGCTGCTACTTTACCAGTCACAGCTTTAGCCCCCAATGCCAGCCTCCTCTCCCTAGAGATAGGACTCAAGCTACACAGTTATAGACTTGCCTCTGCCTTCTGACAGCAGATGCAATTCATCTAGTGTGAATCCCACTCCCTTCGACCTCCCCCAAGTCACCCAACCAAAACCCAAATCCTATACTAGGTTCTTCCTAACACACACTTTCTGAGATGCCCCATGGTGCGTGCTCTCCCTCACTGCAATGAGTAATAAATGCAACTTATTCAACTAGAGGTGTACTCTTGGTGGGTCTTTGGCTAGAGGGCAACTGCAGCTGGAGGATCCGTCCTATAGTTATGTAAGATGCAACCATCAGAGAAAACTGGGTTCTTGGGACTTCTCTGTACTGGTTTTGCAATTGCTTGTCAATCTATAATTATTTCAAAATAAAAAGTAAGGCTGGCTGGGCGCGGTAGCTCACGCCTGTAATCCCAGCACTTTGGGAGGCCAAGGTGGGCGGATTGCTTGAGGCCAGGAGTTCGAGATCAGCCTGGCCAACACTCAGCCTGGCCAGCATGGCAAAACCCTGTCTCTACTAAAAATACAAAAATTAGCTGGGCATGGTGGTGGATGCCTGTAAACCTAGCTACTTGGGAGGCTGACGCACGAGAATTGCTTGAACCTGGGAGGTGGAGGTTGCAGTGAGCCAAGATCCCACCACTGAACTCCAGCCTGGGTGACAAAGCAAGGCTCTGTCTCCAAAAAAAAAAAAAAAAAAAAAAAAAGTAAGGCTTACTATGGACCCTTTAAGCTGAAATACACTTGCTGTCTATGTGATTAATATGATGTTTTACTTTGTTTACATGTGCATGCACTTACATAGAAAAATATCATATTACACAGTAGCCAAAAACTTGTTATCAGACGTTCTCTTTGGAGAAGGGGACGGGCTATGAATGGAAACAGATGACTGTACAATTTCCTGAATGAAAAATAATTAAGACTTCCCAAAACTAATAGTAAAATTAAAATATAAATAGGTGATATGACTCAGCACAAATTGTACTCGATGAATACATCTGAAGAGAAAAGAATAGAAGGAAGAGAAAATACAAAATCAGAAAACAAAACAAAACAAATTAAAATCCACAACAGCCTGGGTGCAGTGGCTCACACCTGTAATCCCAGCACTTTGGGAGGCCGAGGCAGGAAGGCTGCTTGAGGCCAGGAGTTCAAGACCAGCCTGGGTAACACAGCGAGACCACCATCTCTAAGAAAAGTTAAAAATTTAGCCAGGTGTGGTAATGCATGCGTGTCATCCTAGCCACTTGGGAGGCTGAGGCAGGAGAATCACTTGAACCCGGGAGGCAGAGGTTGCAGTGAGTGGAGATCGTGCCACTTGAACCCGGGAGGCAGAGGTTGCAGTGAGTGGAGATCGTGCCACTGCACTACAGCCTAGCGACAAAGCAAGACTCCATCTCAAAAAAAAAAAAAAATCAACAACAGCTCAAATGGTGATATGGTTTGGCTCTGTGTTCCCACTCAAATGTCATCTTGAATTGTACTCCCATAATTCGCACATGTTGTGGGAGGAACCCGGTGGGAGATAATTTAGATCATGGGGGCGGTTTCCCCATAGCGTTCTGGTGGTAGTGAATAAGTCTCATGAGGTCTGATGGGTTTATCAGGGGTTTCTGGTTTTGCATCTCTCTCATTTTCTCTTTCCACCACCATGTAAGAAGTGCCTTTCACCTCCCGCCATGATTCTGAGTCCTCCCCAGCCACATGGAACCGTAAATCCAATTACACCTCTTTTTCTTCCCAGTCTTGGGTATGTCTTTATCAGCAGCGTGAAAACAGACTAATACAAATGGCCAGTTAGAAAAAGTGGATCTGGCTGGGCGTGGTGGCTCACGCCTGTAATCCCAACACTTTGGGAGGCCGAGGTGGGCAGATCACTTGAGGTCAGGAGTTCAAGACCAGCCTGGCCAACATGGCAAAACTCCATCTGTATTAAAAAAAAAAAGATGAAAAATTAGCTGGGTGTGGTGACGCACAACTGTAATCCCAACTACTCAGGAGGCTGAGGCAGGAGAATCATTTGAACCTGGCAGGCAGAGGTTGCAGTGAGCTGAGATCCCGCCACTGCTCTCCAGCCTGGGCAACAAGAGTGAAACTCTGTCTAAAAAAAAGAAAAAGAAAGAAAGAAAAAGTGGATCAGAGAAGTCCAAAGATCAGGAATCAGGAACATACCTGTGGGTGGGGAAACATAGCTCCCACGTGGAAAGTGAACTGGCTAGTGCTCCCCGAGGGAGGGGCCAGGTGAACTGAGCAGGAAGCCAAAGGTAAAAAACACCATGCAGGCCAGGCGTGGTGGCTCACGCCTGTAATTTACCCCAAAGTGCTTTTCCCCAGCACTTTGGGAGGCCAAGGTGGGTGGATCATTTGAGGTCAGGGGTTCGAGACCAGCCTGGCCAACATGGCAAAACCTGGTCTCTACTAAAAAGACAAAAAGTTAGTCAGGCGTGGTGGTGCACACCTGTAATCCCAGCTACTCAGGAGGCTGAGGCAGGAAAATTGCTTGAACCCGGGAGGCAGAGGTTGCAGTGAGCCAAGATGGCACCACTGCACTCCAGCCTGGGTGACAGAGCAAGACTCTGTCTCGAAAACAAACAAAACACACCATGCAACAAGTCATGGAATCTTCAGATTGTTAGAACTTTCCAGACGAAGAGCTGTCCAGCTTATGCCTCTGTGTACGTCTATTTAAGAGTGTTGTGTGTGTGTGTGTGTGTGTGTGTGTGTGTGTGTGTGTGTGTGTGTGTTGGGGCTGGGGATAGGGGATGAAGCCAAATAAAGAGTTTGCTAAAATAATGCATTGATAAATTGGCAGCTCTCCTGGCTCCCACTGCACACTTTTTCTTTTTAATTTTACTTTTAGTTCTGGGATACATGTGCAGAACGTGCAGGTTTGTTACATAGGTATACATGTGACATGGTGGTTTGCTGCACCCATCAACCTGTCGTCTAGGTTTTAAGCCCCACATGCATTAGGTATTTGTCCTCATGCTCTCCCTCCCCTGGCCCCCCAACCCGCCGACAGGCCCCGGCGTGTGATCTTCCCCTCCCTGTGATCTTCCCCTCCCTGTGTCCACATGTTCTCATTGTTCAACTCTCACTTATGATTGAGAACATACCACTGCACACTTTTTCTAGCTCAGCCTTTAGGCACGCCTCTCTGGGACAGGGAGGAGAGGTGTTGCTTGGAGGTTACTAAACCTTACCCACCTGTGCTACGCACAATAATGTTCCCCAAGGAACCATGCGTCCTAATCCCTAGAACCTGTGATATGTCACCTTCTATGGCAAAAGGGACTTTGCAGATGTGATTAATTTAAGGATGTCGAGATGAGGAGATTATCTTGGATTACCTGGGTGGGCCTAAAATAATCACAAGGGTCTTTACAAGAAGGAGATAGGCAGGTCAGAGAAAGCAATGCGATGATGGAAGCAGAGGTGGGAGTGACATGGGGCTATGAGACAAGGAACCAGGCAACTTCCAGAAGCTGGCAAAAGCAAGGAAATGGATTCTTCTCCAGAGCCTCAAGAAGGAATACAGCCCTGCTGACACCTTGATTTTAGCCCAGCGAAAATGATTTCAGACTTCTGTCCCCCAGAACTGTAAGACAATAACTTTCTGTTGCTTTGAGTTACAAGTTTGTGGTAATTTGTTACAGCAGCCACAGGCACTAATACATCCATGGATCCAGGCTCAACATATTCTAGTTACATTAAAGTAAAGATAGAGAGATACAGGTTCAGATCATCGTCTGATTCAGGACTATGGAATTTCAAGGGCTCCCATCTCTCCTCTTTCAAATCTACAAATGGCTTAATAAAAGAGAAGAGCTTCCTTTTAGAAATACCACACTTATTCCCATATAAGGTAAGCTTTGCTCTTTCTCCATAATGCACCTTTTATCAAAAGACATATGCGATAGAGCTTGAAAACCACAAAAATATAGGATACCTTGGTTGCTTCTTTCATAATATAGCTTGGAGATGTTTTCACATCTGTACACATGTTATCCTTTCATACAGTCACTCCACACTCTGTGTATTTTACCTTTAGTATAGGTACTAAGTACATCAGTAATACTTCTTTAGGGTATATAAATTCTAATTATAGCACTCCAGAGGGAACCATGATTATCAAAACCTAAATATCCACATGTATTATTTAATTCATCTTATTTTTCATTTCATTCATTAACTGTAAACTATTTTCCCCCCAAATTTCCACCTTAGTAATGTTCTGCACTTTTGTTCTTTTCTTTATTTATTTTCATTAGAGACGGGGTCTCACTATGTTGGCCAGGGTGGTCTCCGACTCCTGGCCTCCAGCAATCCTCCTTCCAGCCTTGGCCTTCCAAAGTGCTGGGATTACAAGCATGAGCCACCATGTCCAACCCATGTTTATTTGAAATCTATATTATTAAATTAGAACAACATGGCTATATGAAATAACAGGCTTATTTTTTCTAACAAATATAAACAGGCATAAGGTTTTAAGTGTGTACATACTGGCTTTTCCATATCATTTTGAAACTTTCTTTACCTTTCTGTATTTGACAACTTGGAAGTCAAATTTTAACTTATCTCCAAAGTTCTAATTTAATGATTTGATACTAAAGCAAAACTGAATTTCAGTCCTTTGTGTAATTTTTAGCCTCTAGAACAGTTGACTCAGACTGTATATAAGATCCTGTAGGGGACATGAGGTTATAATTTGGGAAAGCTACAAAGAAGATCATTTTATGTTCTAGAATAGATCATGATTTTATGTTCTAGCATAGATGATTTTATGTTCTACAATAGCACTAGGAAGTTAGCGGGAAGGGGAACTGATATAAACCTGAAGCTTATTCCATCTGCTACGCCATGGATCATAGAGTCCTTTGTCTCTGACCCAGGGGTCTCGTGTCTTCCGCCAGCACTCATGAAACTACTTGTTTAACTTGTTAGCTGCAAGTAAAGTAAAATCTCAGCCACTTCAGTGATTAGCCAAGAGCACCAAAATATACTTAATAAATTTAACACATAAGAGACTAATAACTCAGAAACTCTGCTGAGAGACATTAAGGATCTAAATAAAGAGATATACTACATTCAAGGCTTGGAAAACTCAGTATTGCTTAGTTGACATTTCTCCCCAAACTGATCCATAGAGTCAACGTAATCCCAATCAAAATCCAAAATAAAAATTTTGAGGACACTGACAAGATGAATTTTAAATTTAGATGGCAAACCAAAGGACCTAGACAGCCAAACAAAGTTGAGAAAGAAGAAACAGGTTGGGGGACTTACATTACCTGGTCTCAAGAAGTACTTTGATCTTGAAACATAGCTAATTTACAAAACAGTGTAGTATTAGCATAAGGATAGACATACAGATCAATGGAACAGAATAGAGTCTAGAAATAGACCCATACATACATGGGCAATTGATTTTCAAAAACAGTGCCGAGGTAAATTGATGCTGGAAAAGATATGTTTTTCAACAAATAGTTCTAAAAAACAACTAGTTGTCTCTATGTAATAAAAATGGATCACCAGGAAATGTGGAGAAACAGATCTAAGAGAGATAATGACTGTGCCACGTATTTGTATTTTTATCCTAAAATCGACTCCTGAATTAAGAAACATCAGCTCCACCTTTAATCGGAGGAAACTGAAGTTCAAACCATGACCACACAGCTAGGAAACGTTGAAAACAGGATTCAAGCCCGGATATCTCTGAATCTAAGGGTTGCCCCAATGTGGGAAAGGAATGGCACTGTGCAGAGATGAGTGAGAAGACAGTGCTCCCAAGTGACTCAGGAAGCTGAGTTCGCGCCTGGCCCTTGGCCTCTCTCTATGTCCCCAGGGCCCAGCTCAGTCCCAGCTACCTGGCAGAAAGAGATGAGGGATGTTGATTTCACGTTTTGGTTTTATGATGTTGAGTTTGGAGGTGGTACAGGTACAGTGTCCTGAGGCCATGGAACTATGATAGCCTGCTGTCTCCTAAAGGGAACTGGGATCGAGTTCCAATGGTCTGTAAGCTCAGGAGGTGGTTCAGAATCAGAGGAGGTTGCCCACTGCTGCTGGGGAGTGGAGTCTGGTGGGAGAGGGACATGGGGACAACTGTAGAGGGCTCAGCATCCAGCCCACCATTCCTGCCCGGAGGATCCTCAACATAGAGCACTCGGGGGCAGGGCACAGCAGCTGCTCAGAGGGGACGTGTTTGGCTTGGAGCTGGTATTCCAGAGGTGGGGCAGAGGTGCTAATGAGACACATCCTTCCCAGTTACATCCCAGGATGCTGGGTAGGGCCCTTCCGCAAGGACAGTGCAAGGGTTTGCTCCCTTGTTGGTCTCTGGTTGGCCGCGTTAATAGTCTGGTGTAGCCTAGTATAAATCCTACAAGGTTTTCAGCATCTGTCGACCTTGTCCCCAGGTTTTCCTTTTGCTTCTCTACTTGAGCTCCCTAACAATTGCTTTTGACAGCCCATGCTTCCTATTCCTTATCTCCAGACACGCCTCACTTCCAAAGAATTCCCAGCCTTCCAAAAATCTCTGGATTTCCTGAACACTCCAAGGATGAATTCACCGGCCCAAAGTCTTCTCTCAACCCTGAGTTTCTTTTTCCTTTTTTACTTTCTGAGGATTTCTAGTAATTTGAGTCGGCAGTGTCACTTTCCCCATTTTTTCTTCTGGAGTTTTCTTCCCACGATTCTTTTCTCTGCATCTGCAGGGCCCATTCCAGGGCTGGCAGAGAGCTGGCATTTACTCTGTGCTGCTGGAGTTCAGGAAACTAAGGAGGTCTCAGGGTGTCCATATGTGTTTGCTCCTCTCTGCCATGTGCAATTTCACCATATCCATTTTTAAACACACAATGCAATTCGACACACTTGGAAGCATAGGCTTCTATGTAAAAGCAGAAAGCACATGTAGGCAGGATACCCACCACCTTTAGGTGGCCAGTTATGCCTGGAGAGAGAGTAGGTGGCTTTAGCTGTATCTTGGGCGTCAGCAAACTTTCCATAAAAGGCCAGATAGCAAATATTTCAGGCTTACAAGTCCATATGGTCTCTGTCTCAGCTATTCAACTCTGCCATTGTAGCGTGAAAGCAGCTATAGACAATACACAAATGAATGAACATGGCTGTGTTCCAATAAAACTTTATTTATGGGCATTGAAATTTGAATTTCATATAACTCCCTATGTTCTCCTTCTTCTGACTTTTTGTTCCAACCCTTTAAAAATGTAAAAACTATTCTTGGCTCACAAGTCATACAGAAACAGATGAGGGGCTGGGTTTGGCCAGTAGACCACACTGTCCTGACTCCTTCTGGACCTGAATCATTTCTATTTCTAAGAAAGATAGAAAGAAAAGAGAAGAGAGGCAGGTATGGCAATGTTAAGGTTTGTTCAACCTGAGAGGTGGGTGTCTGCAATATTATTTTCTATGCTTTTCTGTTCTACTTTAGAATATTTTAGAATTTTCAAAAACTTAAAGAAAAGAAGGGGAAGGGCTGGAAATAACCCCCCAGTGATCCCAGAGCTTATTGGTGGGTGCTGGATTAAAGGTGATTTTTATTTTCTTCTGTTCTGTAATAGATATTTACTGCTTTTTGTAATCTTAGGAGTTGGGTTTTTTTGTTTTTTTTTTTCGAGACAGGGTCTTACTCTGTTGCCCAGGGCGGAGTGCAGTGGTGCGATCATAGGTCATCACAACCTGGAAGTCCTTGGCCCAGGCAATCCTCCACCCTCAACCTTTTAAACAGTTAACACCACAGGCCTGTGCCACCACAACAAAAAATTTTAAAATTTTCTGTAGAGATGGGGTCTCACTATTTGCCCAGGCTGGTCTCAAGCTTCTGGCCTCAAGTGATCCTCCCGCCTTGGCCTCCCAAAGTGTTGGGATTACAGGCATAAACCATGGTGCCTGGCCGTAAACATTATTATTGTTGTTGTTGTTGTTTCATGTAGATGGAGGGGTTTGGCCCAAACTGGTGGTCTGTCTCCCGGGGACCTTCCATAACTTCTGGAAGAGAGCCTCTTCCAGAATTTCCCCGACACACAGGAGCCGGAGCACTCCCTGTGCTAGTAAAACCGGCCCTTCCCTCTGCAGACAGCATTGCCAAAGTGGGGGAGGGGGGCCACAGCCTGGGTTCCCTGAAGCTCAGGGTCCCAGGAGAGTTCAGAGGCTGCTCCTGATGGGGAGAGACACTTACCCCACCCTGTGTGCTGCTAAACCTACAATTGTGAACAGGTTTCTAGATACCAGGTGGAACCATGACTGTATTGACAGTTAATGGGAAATCCAAGCTTCTCTTGCACCCCCATTTTCACCAAACTTCTCCAATCCTGTCCTATTCTGCACCCCACACCTCCTCTCCCCCAAATAATCGATCCCCTGCAGGCTCCAGCACCTTTCTCGCCTTCTCCTGAAGCTGCTCCCTGAAAAGCCCCTTGCCCAGTCTTGTGCCAAAACCCCTGCAGCATCAGCATCCAAGGCAGGCCCATCAGCCATGTCCACAGCCTGCCGGGCATCCCCCACCCCAGCCCTCAATGACCCTCATCCTCCCGCTTCTTCACGCCTTTCCAAGGGCCTTATCCCACCACCTTATCCCACCACCAGCTCCCACTCCTCTCGCTGTAAGGACGACCCCTGGACTTCTCCTTCGTGGGTGTCAGCCTACCATCCTGTGAGAATTCCAGGAACTAGTTCAATGTCTATAAATGAAAACTATGAAGTAGCATAATATGAGGGTGGGCCACACAGAACCACTGACTTCTTTTCTTGCCAAATATAGATGTTTAAAAAAAAGAACACCATTTAGTATGGTGCATACTAGACATTTATGTATTGCATAAAAGGAATGTTCTAACCCCAAAGAATCCAAAGACCATCATCTCAGAATAAAAAAGAGGCATCAAAATGGGTTACTGAAGTGAAATGGATGTTATGGGAAACTCGCTGCAATGCCCTTACAGTCCTCATTTCACCGCAGGCCAGGGAGAGATCGTGGCAGGAGCCCAGCACTGGCCCTCAGATGGCGGCATCCTCTCTCCTGTGTCAGCCCTTCCAAACTTCCCAGCTCCTCTCCACCTGCCCTCTGCCTTCCCCCATCCTGCACCTGCCGGCCTCCTTCAAAATTCCCCAGGAAGCGGACTGGCCTCCCTGCTCCCTCTTCCCACTTTCTTCTCCCTGCACCATACCAGTCTAGCTTGAGGGTTGTTAAGAGTTCTTTTCCTAAATCACAGCTCTGGTAAGTATAGTGAGGGTTAAACATCCTGGACTCTGCCACTCAGTAGCTGGGTGATGCTCAGCAAGTCACTTAACCAGTCTGAGCCTCAGTTTTCTCATCTAGAAAGTGGAGCTGATAACACCACCTGGGAGAATGATGATTTAAGGCAGGATGCATGTAAAGGACTTAGAAGAACCCCTGGTGCTGTGTAAGTGCTCAAGACATGGAGATCACTGTTATCATTCCTGTTATTTTCAAAATCCTTCCTTTGATTCCCAGTGGTCTGCCAGGGGCTGTTCTCCCCTCTTTGCTCACCACTCAAGGCCCTGCCTACCTTTCCAGTCACACCATCTGCTAACCTTATGCCAAGACTCTTCCCCTTGGCCTCTGAGCTCCCGAGGGCGGGGGCTGGCTATATCTGCTGTGGCAGCCCCTGGCACCCAGGTCACACATACTAGGTGGCTCGCTAAAGCTCTGCTGCTCTGAACAAGTACCAGTGAGACCTGTGGCAGCCTCTCAGGGTAGGGATGCCGAGAAACCACCTAGGTGGGTCCAGTCCCCACTGGCATCACGTTTTCTTTCTTTTTCTTTTCTTTTTTCTTTTTTTGAGACGGAATCTCGCTCTGTCACCCAGGCTGGAGTGCAGTGGCGCGATCTCGGCTCACTGCAAGCTCAGCCTCCCGGGTTCATGCCATTCTCCTGCCTCAGCCTCCCAAGTAGCTGGGACTACAGGAGCCTGCCACCACGCCCGGCTAATTTTTTTGTATTTTTAGTAGAGACGGGGTTTCACCGTGTTAGCCAGGATGGTCTCGATCTCCTGACCTCGTGATCCGCCCACCTCGGCCTCCCAAACGTTTTCTTTCTAGATCAGCCCTAACTGATTTGCAAGCAACCCCTCAGACTTTGGGTGAACAGCTAATAATGACAATTCTCCTGGCCTATAATGACACCCTATGCTGCATCATATCTATCTGTTACATGTGCTTCTGAGCCCAGAGATGTTCAGTGACTTGTCTGCAGTCACACAGCATTTATGACCTAGTCAGGACTCTGTACACGCTCCTAGGCCAAACTCTGTGTCCCCAGAATAGAGGTGTAAATGGATAGAAAAACCAAGCTTATTCCAGATTACCAATTTATTGGTTTCCAGTCTCCGAACCCAAAGTCCACAAATCTCCATGCCAAGCAGGACAGTAGGAAGGAGTCATCTCCGACTGCCCAGCACCCTTGGGCCCCACTCTCTCCTCTTCTCCCCTCTCTCCCTCATCAGCCAGGGGCTTGGGGAAGGAAGGCAGAGCCTCATGGCCCCAACATCTCCCTCCCTGTGCTCTGCCTTTTTTCATTTCACAACTATGTCGGCACATCGCCTCCAAAGGCCAAGGAAAAAGAAATAGCACAGCCCAGATGCCGATAGTACTCTCCTGTCTGTCAGGGAGAAGAGAAGAGGGAAATAAAAGCTAACAAGGCTTCCAAAAGCAAAATCCCCAAACCACCTCTCAGGTACCCAGCAGCTGTCAAAGTCAACACAGGAACCTGGCGAAGGGAGGAAAACCCATCCCCAATAAAACCCAGGCAGTTGTGGATCTGAGATTCGGAGACTGAGCACCGCCGCATTTCCAAGGGCGTGATGGGCGTCCTCGGTGGTGCTTCTCTGCTAACATACAGGTGGTCTGTCTAGACCGAGGAACCAAGCCTGTCTTTGCTGAGTATCGAGTCTACTTTTTTTTCTCGTTATTATTATTTGGAGGGCTATTGAGATTCCCTTGCTTCCTTATTTATGCAACTGGGAAATCACAGCACAGAGAGCTGCTTCCAAACTGAAGGCCACATGGGCCAATTTCAGATGGATAATTAAATATTGAACAAACGCTGAAATGCCTCTACTGAATCGGGATGGCTAAAAATAGCCACCCCGCCACTCCTAGAGCGGGCACGCGATACGTGGGCATCTCGGCTGCTCATTCTCAAACCCCTCCTCCCTGCAACTGTCAAGCGCAAGCTTCCAGGGAAACAGAGGAGGCAGAGGGAAATAGACTCCCCGAATACCTACTTAATGGAAAACAAAACTTCAGCTCCCAGCAAGCTCTGAATGTTCCTGACCAGGAAATACTCTCCCTTTCCTGACATTTAACCAAGTGGCCCCGAGAGGGAGGTGCAGGGGAAATATCACAGCCATTGCCTTTCTCTTAAAAATAGTCAAAAGGCTTCATGTCATTTCTAAAGCAAAACACGTATGCAGCCTGGGATGTGAGCGTGTTTGTGTCAAGTTCAACAGTACACGGGAGTTGAATCGCCATTCTCTCCCCGCAGAAGACCCAACCAGGAGCCCAGGCACTTCAGTTTCCCTATCTGGGCTCATCTTAGGGAAAGCAACAAACTACACCAACACCGAAACAGGATACAAAGGGATCTGAGTTCCAGACCCGGATTTCTCGTTAACATCTTTAGGTAACCACGGGCAAGTGGCCTTGGCTCTGTGGGCCTCAGTTTCCCCAGTTGTCAAGGGAAACAGTTGGCTCCTGGTACTGGAGCCATAAGTATCCATCTCTCCAACCTCCCCATTCAGCAGCTGGGCAAATAGGCTCCAAGCCCCTCCCTGTACCCCCAGGTCTTAGTAAGTACAGAATTAAATAGAAGGATGGAGATAGAAGAATGAAAACCTGAACCGCTGAGATGAGGAGCATGCCCTGGGTCCATTCCAGCGCTCTCTGAGTTGCAGCAACCAAGAAAGTTAGAGGGAGCCCTGGGGCTTCTGAGCATGAGCTTTCGAGTCCAGTGGACTGGGTTCAAACCAGTTATTTCACCACCCCGACAGGAAAATGCAGAGGAAATATCACACCCAGAGCTCCGTTTCCCACCTGGTAAAGGAAAGTGACAACAATAACCCCTACCTGCTAGGAGGATTGGAGAACTGAGATGAGACATGAGGTAATCAGGGGGAGCTCTTGGCATGGGGCCGGGCACACATTCAGCTTGGTGAAAGGGAGCTGTTCTCTTCCTGATTATTAAAGATGATGAGGGTGGGTCAGGAAGGACAAAGGCAAGGGCAAGAGGCTGACATTCCAGCAGATTCACTGGGGCCTGTGGCCTCCTTCGAGGACCTAGAGAGCTCTGGGGATTAGGCCTCAGGTGTCTGCCAGGCTCCAGGGACCTCACACCAGGGGACTCTGAACCCTCAGCACTAAGGGCTTTGGTGGAGAAACATGGCTGAGGCCCTGAGACCTGTCGCATGCCCTGGGAAAGGGCATGGTTGGCAGGTCATGAATGACAGCAGGATCCAGGGGGCAGGGGCAGGCCGGGGAGGTCCCACCTGAGCTATCCCAGGCAGGTGGAGGAGGCAACCAGATGCCAACGGGGCCACTCCCCTGCCTCCCTCCCAAGCTTTGACCAAGACTGTGAGAGACAATTGCCATGAACACCCAGTGAAGTCATTGGCTGTGAAGGGAGGTGGCCTTCTCAAAGCCAGGGCCTGACCTTAGAAAGGTCTGCCTGCCCACGGATATCGCAAGGTGAATCTCAGGACCTGGAGGTGGGCAGAGCTGGGCTCCACCATTTCTGAGCTGTGTGGCTTTGGGCAAAGCTTTCATTCTCTGGGCTACAGTCTCCTCACCTATGAAATGAGGATAGTATCAGTATCCATCTCACAGTGTTGTTCTGAACACTGCATAAGACAAGGCAAGTTCAGAGTTGAGCTCATTGCCAGGCATGGAGCAGGCACGCAGCACACAGGAGCCGTAACAAAAAGGAGCCATTTTCACCCTCATTACACAACCTGAGAGGGAGTGAGCTCCCCAATCCTTGAGGTATGTAAGGGAGAGGAGGGACTGGAAAGGCTAGGGCCAAGCCCCAAATGAAAGATTGTGTCTTGGCAGAAACAGAAGAAGAGACAAGGCAGAAAAGGGCATAATGATTTCACAGGTGTCATCCAAGGTGGAGGCAGAGAGCCAGGCCTAGGGCCCTTGCAGGGAACATTTGAAAACTGGGGAACCACAAAACCCCCCCACCTCAGGGCTGTTCTCAGGCTCGCCCAACTCATGAAGTCCAAGCTGTTGCCCCAGAGGCCTCTTGCAGACCTTATCAAAGCCAGGGTCCCAGCCAGGCACGGTGGCTCATGCCTGTAATCCCAGCACTTTGGGAGGCCGAGGCGGGTGTATCACCTGAGGCTGGGAGTTCGAGACCAGCCTGACCAACATGGAGAAACCCCGTCTCTACTGAAAATACAAAATTAGCCGGGTGTGGTGGTGCATGCCTGTAATCCCAGCTACTCGGGAGGCTGAGGCAGGAGAATCGCTTGAACCCGGGAGGCAGAGGTTGCGGTGAGCTGAGATCGCGCCATTGCACTCCAGCCTGGGTAACAAAAGCAAAACTCCGTCTCAAAAAAAAAAAAAGCCAGGGTCCCCTGAGAAGTTACCCACCCCCCATGGTGGCACACAGGTCCTTACCTAACTGTTCTCTTGGTTAGGAACCAGTTGTATGAAACCATCCTCTCCCACCACGCGGGCAAGATACAGAGGCATGCAAGAGGGGTGTGTACAGGCACGGAGGAGGACCTGACCATCTCAAGAGAAAAACATCTGCAAAACCCCCAGCTCCCAGCCAGGGCCTGGCAGGTGGCTGGACCCCTAGAAAAACTCAGATGAAAACATGAACAACATAATCAAAACCCCTCATGGCTATGGGTATAGGCATTCCAAGAGGCAGGAGAGCAAGATTAACCCCCCTCGACAGATGGGGAAACTGAGGCCCTATGATGTGCCCAGTCATGCAACCAGTCCGCGGCTGAGCTGGAACTACAGCCCCTGCCTCCCACTAACCACTGCTCTGTCCCCTAGAAAGAGACTTGTGCCCTAGTGCACCCCAACAAGCTGGCCTCCCCAACAGACTGGGGGCTTGGCAAGGGCTGGGAGCACATGTGATTCATCTCCATGTGCCCCTGCACCCAAGCTGAAGCCCAGCACATAGTAGGTGCTTAAGAGGAGCTGACTGGCTGAATGAATGGGTCAGAACTTTATCCAGGGCTAGAGGAAAATTTCTGTTTCTCCTAGCAGCCCTGGGGAAACACAGGGGTCAGAGACAAAACTTTTCTTGATTTTGGTGTGACTAGGTGGGGAGGCACCTTGCTGATGATACCCTTCTGGGGAAAGGATCCCCCCAAATCCATGGGACATGCCCAGCCTTCAAGTGGAGTTAGGGACACAGTGGGAAAATGCAAATGGCCCTCACCCTCCGAAGGTCACTGTTTCTACCCCACCTCCAGCTACCCTCCAGCTTCGTGCTCTACCCCCCACCACAGCAGGTCTCACTCTGCCCATCCTTCAGATGGGGAAACTGAAGCCCAGAAAAGGGAAGAACCTAAGTCCCTTATTGGTCAAACTAGGGAGACTGCAGATACTGTCCCTCACTCACAGCCCTACCAGGGACAAAGCCCTGCTCCCTTCCCCCAGCCTGGCCACCTGCAGAACCTGGCAGCAACCAACTCTTCCTTGCATTTTTCTGTTTCTGAACAAATACACAGCCTGAGTTCTTGGTCATTTTCCTTCCCTGCTAGTGCCAGAGGCCAGAAAGGGTGTGGGGGCAAGAGTCTGATCCAGGCTGAGATGCTAGGCACCACCCACTCCTCTGAGGTCCGATGCTACCACACCATGGGACCAAGCCCCCATGTGGATGGGGAGGCTGAAGTTCAAGGTCAGAAGGGACTGGCTCAAAGGCCACAGGGTGGCTTCCTCAGCCTGAGTTTCTCCCTGGGTGGGGCCCTGCCCTCAGGTGGTGGTTGTGGCTCTGGGGTAGAGTCAGGCGTCTGAGGCTTTAGTGGAGGGAGGGCAATGGCTGCCCTAGCTGCCTCCCACCAAGGAGGAGGAGGACAGGGTGCCTCCAGCCTCCACCCTACACCCTGGCTGCAGCTGTAACTAACTCCTCATCACTCCAGGCCTTCTTTTTTTAAAAAAACAAACAAACAAACAAACAAAAACAATATTGAGACAGGGTCTTGCTATGTTGCCCAGGCTGGTCTTGAACTCCTGGGCTCAAGGATTCCTCCTGCCTTGGCCTCCCAAAGTTCAAGGCCCTTTATCAAATCCAAACTACTGTTGCCTGCTCTTCCCCACCCACTCACCCAGCCCCCTTCCCAATCCACTCCCCTCCCCAAACCCAGGAGGAACTCTATTCTCAATACCCAAGCCGTTTTCCTTCTCCCTGACTGCGCAGTCTGTTCATTCTGTCCAGAGAGAAGACAGTAGCTCACCCTCAGCTGCAGCCTTAGTCCCAGGCACTGGCTTCTGGCCCTCACATGACCCTGTCACTGCTAGCCCCATTGACCACACAAGGTCACTGAGGCTTGGAGAGGTAACTGGCTGTAGAATAGTTGTGTGCACAGCTGAGACTTGAACCCAGATCTGACTCAATTACTCCCTCTGCGAAGGGAAACCCTATCCATTTTGTGAGATCCCATCCAAATGTCACCTCCTCTGTGAAGCTCTCCCTGATCTCCCCAGATATAACTTCTGTTCAGAGACAGTCTCCTCCCCGCTCTGCAGGCCGTGAGCTCCTTCAAGCTGGGACACAAGCAGTGATCCTGTGTATGTGGGGTCTGGGAGCTGGGGCTCAGGTGACAGCCCCTGACACATTGATTATCCCCTGCCTGGTCAGCTGAGCAGGAGGTCAGCTGAACAGGAGCGAGACTCCCATTACAGTCAGGGATGGAACTGGGCTGAGGTGAGAAGAGGAAAAGGTCACACAGGGCATTTCTGAGGCAAAGGAGGGGCGGGTGGGTGAGGTGACGTGAGGTGGGTGCAGAAGGAGAGGCCCCAGGGTGGTCTGAACAGTACTGGGCATTTTCAAAGCTCCCATTTCTCAGTTTCTTCACTGAATCCTCCACATACGGCAGGTCCATTTTACAACCAGGAAAACTAAGCTCAGAAAGGGGAAATGACTTGCCCAAAGTCACAAAGCTTGAGCCCAGATTCCCGGTCTCCCAGACCAAGTCCAGGGGAAGGGAGTAAGTACAGAATTAACAGTACTAAGCCTTTCTCCAGGTCTTAGCAAGTACAGAATTAAATAGAAGGACAGAGATAGAAGAACCAAAACCTGAACCACTGAGATAAAGCCTTCCCCAGGTCTTTAGTACTCCCTCCAAGGAGTACTAAAGGCTTAGTACTCCCTCCAAGGAGTACTAAAGGCTTAGTACTCCCTCCAAGGAGTACTAAAGGCTTAGTACTCCCTCCAAGGAGTACTAAAGGCTTAGTACTGTTAATTCTGTACTTACTAAGTAACTTAGTACTGTTAATTCTGTACTTACTAAGACTTCAGGAAAGGCAGGAGTGGGGGGATTGCAGGCTTTGAGAGACCCTTGAGGACTGAACTACCAGCACACACCTGTGCACACACTTAGCCTCAGCTTGAACCCTTCTGTGCACAGGGAACTCACTACTTCCTGAGGAAGCCCTGGACTGCACAGTGCTACTCAGACCTGACTGTGGGAAAAGTCTTCCCCATTCTGGTGGAAGCAACCGAACACTACCTGCCTGCTTCATTTACCCTCACACCGACAAGAAAACTGAAGTTCAGAGGCAGCTCAGCCCAGGTCACACAACGGCAGCCTGCAGGGTGGGAATGTGGCCCCTCTTGGTCTACCAGATTCCCTGCATGGCATTTGTTGGCACAGGGCCCGGCTTCCCACTTTCAAGATAACCTGATGGTGTCAACTCGGCCCAGGTCCCTGCTAAGGCGCCGTCTTTCTCCTCCCTTCCACCCCACGGGCACCCTCGGTGGGCCTGAACCTCTGCCTAGGACTCCAGCCTCCCCAGAGCCCCTTTGAAGGCCTCCTCCTCCCAGGGGCTTCCCTCCCTCCTACTCAGCCAGGGAAGGAAGTCCCGGCCACCACCCGCCCAAACGCAGCCCCCGGGATCACACGCATTTCCAGCCGAGGATCCTGTTACTGGAAAAAGAAAATGCTGCTCGCACCTCCCCCTCCGTCTCGTCCTGCCTCCTGAGCTTGATGGAGAGAAACTTTGCAAAGGAGCTGGCGCCCACCCGCTCGAGGGGTCACGGTTCCTTCCCTGAGGTCCACCCACTTGTCCTAGCACCCAAGAGGTGGGGAGCCCGTTAAGTTCCTGGAAAGGGAAGAAAGAAGTCCGCGGCCTGGGCTGGGAAGGCAAGGTGTGGGAAAGCTCAGATCCACCCTGGGTTACTTTATTGCCCGGCTGCTGAGTAAACTGAGGCACAGTGGGGTAGGAGGTCTGATCTGAGATGCGGAGAAAGATTCCAGGCTCCCCTCTCCCTGTCCCTGGCTTAAGAGGAGACCCTAGAGCCTCGGCTTCCCCCGGCGAGAGGAGGACTAAGCAGAAGCTGGGGGAATGGGGGGTCCGGCAGACTCAGGAAGGGGCGGATGAGGAAACCCCCGGCAAATGGCTGGAAGGAGGATCCCGGTCCCTAGCATCCCAGGGCATCAGGTGGCTTAGTGGCCTTAGGAGGGTCTAGGGGTCAGGGGTCGGGGTGGCGCCTACCCCTGGCAGGCCGGGTCCGGCTGCGGGAGCGGCTCCTCTGTCGCTGCAGCCGGGGCCGCCTCAGCAGCCGGTAGTAGTAGGAGGACCTCCCGGTGCTCTTCCTGGCGCTGCCGCCCGCGGACATGCTGCCGCCCGCCGGGCACCGGGCCGGGCCTGGGCGCGCTCACACGGGCCCCATCGGCCGCTCCGGACAGCCCGGCGGGCGCCCACGCGTTCTCCCGCGCTCGCCCGAGCGGCCGCCGAGGCCCTGGCTGCCCCACAAAGTCGCTCAAACTCCTCCTCCGCCTCCTGCCCCCTCCCGCTCCCCGAGCAGCCGGCCCCGCGGCGGGGGCTGGGGACCCGGAGGCCGGGCTGGCACCGGCCCGGAAAGTCAGTGCGGGAGAAATCCCGGCCTGGAATCGGCGGGGCGAGGCGGCCCGGAGTTTCCCCGGGACCCCAGACGGGTCGTCCCGAGGGTTCTGGCTCCCACCCCCGCCCCCGAGGGTTCGACCGTCGACCTGAGGGCGCACCAGGCACCCAATCCCGCCAGCGCGGGTAGACGGTGCACACCTGCTTGTGCGCTCTCCGGAGCCCGGGGTAGGACGCATGCTTGGGGACGGTCACCTTCAATTAGGGTCCGTTCCTGCCCCAGGCTCGCTGGGCTGAGAAACGACCCTCACTGCTCCGCAGGCCCTGGCCCAGCCAGGTTGAAAGACTCCCCTGTGATGCAGGATACTTGCCTCTTCTTTACGTTTTAAAGGTTGTCCCGTCTGATACACGTATCATTTTTATGTAATTAAAATTACGGTGTCTGTTTCAAGCACTCAAAGCACTGAAGGCAGGGCAGAACAATCCCTACCCTACCGTAGGCACCAGAAACTCAGGGTGGCAGAAGGAAAGGTACCAACTCCCTCTATTGCATTGGCTGAAAAACTTTCTCCAAGTCACTCCTCAGCTCAAGAGCTTTCCGTGGCTCCCCAGAGCACAATGGCAATACGTCTAAACATCCTTGTTATTTGGACCCCAAATAATCTTGCCCCAACCAAAGTCCCCTCCAGCCTCACCTCTGCTCCCCCTAATTCTCACTTCTCTTTGCTGTGCTGCCAGCAGGGACTGCCTTCTTGGCTATTTTCTCCACCCGACCAAAGTCCACCCTTTCAGGACCCAGCTCCTCCACCCTTCCCTAACCATGGCCCACAGTGATCTCTCTCTCTCCCCGCCCCTTATCTCTTTAGCAATATTCGTCGTTTAAATTATTAAGACACCTGCCTGAGCTGCCTCCTTTGAAGTACAGAGGGGGAAACTGAGGCCTTGGCAAGGAGGTCTTGCCTCAGTCACATGGAAAGTGGCAGAGGCAAGTGGTCTTAGCCTGGGGCTCTCAACATTCAGACTTAGGGGTGGGGGGTGTGAGTCACCGCAAGTGCCTGAGGCCGGCTAGGGGATCTTCCTCCAGAACAGTGGGGAAGGTGGGGCCCTGGAGTGGGCGGGGCCGTCTGGGCAGAAATCCAGGCCGGGTTTTGCACCTCACAGGGGAAGCCCCCTCCCTAGCGCTCTCAGCCAGCGGGGAGGGTCCCTAGTCCTGCGGAGCCTGTCTCACAGCTGGAAGCCAGGCGCCTTCCCTGACCAGGGGGGAGGGGCAGGAGGGGTGTTACTCCAGCAAACTCAGTCTGAGGAGTCCAGAGCTATCAGCTGCCCTGGTCCCCTCTTCCCTGAATACTGGCCAATCCCACAGGAAGATGGAAAACCAGGGTGCCCAAGAGGACACCCTTAGCCTCCTTTGGGTTAGGCCAGGGGTGCCCAATCTTTTGGCTTCCCTGGGCCACACTGGAAGAAGAAGAATTGTCAGGCCACACATAAAATATACTCACACTAACCATAGCTGATGAGCTAAAACAAACAAACAAACAAAAAAACCACACACACAAAAAAACCTCATCATGCTTTAAGAAAGTTTATGAATTTGTGTTGGGCAGCATTCAAAGCCATCCTGGGCCACATGCAGCCGGTAGGCTGCAGGTCAGACAAGCTTGGAGGCATTGCCCTATCTCCTTTCAACAGCAGACATGGTGCAGGAACGTCTCTAAAAAGAAGCCCCTGGACAGAGCGCACACACAGTCACTCAGTCCCCAGGCAAGCTGGGGGCCTTGTTAGCATGCATCCTCCTCTGGCCAAACTGCCAGAACCCAGTTCAGTGCCTCCTCACGTAGGTGGGGTTCTGAGCACCACCTGTCCACATCTTGGCACTTCCAGGCATGACTAACCTCCGTAGCCAGGTCCACGGGTTCTGGGGGTGAGGGACTCCCAGGAAGTCCTACTCAGGACGGGGGCAACGGTCCTGCTCCCAGGGCCTGAGTTCATCTGGCCCATTTTGTTTCCCAAAGCAGGAACCCTCTGATCAGCCAGGTTCCAGCCCTCCCTGGAGGGGACGGGAGGCTCACAATCAACTCACTGTTATCAGTGGTGTGGGCAAGTGGTCTTAGCCTGGGCCCCCAACAGGAAGTCTGAGGAGTGTGTGTGGAGGGGAGAGGGGGCAGTAACTTGGAACTCAGGACCTCATCTGTAAGCACAGCTGGGCTCCAAAGGTCTGGCATGGTCTCCCCACTTCAGCTTTTCAAGTCCTTCTCTGTGCCTTAGTTTCCCTACCTATAGGGAGAACGTATGGACCCCCAATCCATCTGCCTTGTGGAGGAAGGAGGGTCAGCTAGTGAAATGGAGGAAGCTTGTGCATTTCTACCCTTGGGATGGGAATGGGCATCGCCAACCAGCTGAGCCGAGCATCTCCACGGGCCTGGGGCAGGTACTCTCCGGGTACTGAGTGGGAAGGGGGCAGGGCAGGAGCTAGGAGAGAAAGAGCCCAGGCTCCTTTTCCTTCTTCCTGGCCCAGGAACAGGGCAGTTAAAGGCCGCTCCCTGTACAGCCCAGCAGGGGACCTGGAATCAATCCTGCTGGGAAACTGGCCCCCCATCTGCTCCCACCTCCCGCCGGCGCCCCTGTGGCTTTCTCTCTCTGAACAGGAGAAGCCCTGCTTCCAGTGCCCACCACCACCATTGCTACCACTGCTTCCTGTGACAGACCAACAGATCGGACTTTCCAGCCCTGCCAACATGAGAGCCTCAGTACCTACAGGGCTAAAGGTCTGGTCTTATTCTCCCACCTCCAGAGGGGCTCCTGAATAGGCCCAGCTCCCACCTCTCCCATGTGCTGCTTTAGCGGGGACAGGGCTGCAGCCCCCAAATCACCTTCACTCAGTGAACAGGCATATTTCTGAGTTTCCCTCAAGACGCTCAATTCAGTGGGTCTGGATGGGGCCTGGAAACATGCAAGTTTAGTAAGTAGGGGTGTGGGTACTAGGACTGGCTAAATCAGATCTGACCTAACCCCACCACCAGCACCTTTACCCTCCCCTCAAAAGCCTCCCAAGGCGAACTCTCAGAGACCAAGCTGTGTCAAAAAGCGACCACCTCCCGCTTGCACCCCAACCCATTTCAGCCCCCTTGGTCATCCTCCAGACACTCTTTCCCACCACCAGTCTTCGCCCTGTTGGTGGGACCTGGACCGCTGCCACCAAGGTCTTCCCTCTGCACCCACCTGGTGCATTCCTGCTTACCCTTCAGGACCCAGCTCAAGCATCCCCTCAGTTTTTTATTTTTTAAATTTTTTATTTCCATAGGTTTTTGGGGAACAGTTGGCATTTGGTTACATGAGTAAGTTCTTCAGTGGTGATTTGTGAGATTTTGGTGCACCCATATCCCGAGCAGTAACTTGGGATACACTAAACCCAATTTGTAGTCTTTTATCCTTCACCCCCTTTCCACCCGTTCCCTGAGTCCCCAAAGTCCATTGTGTCATTTTTCTGCCTTTGCATCCTCATAGCTTAGCTCCCACTTATGAGTGAGAATATATGATGTTTGGTTTTCCTTTCCTGAGTTACTTCACTTAGAATAATATTCTCCAATTCCCATCCAGGTTTCTGGGAATGCCATTAATTCATTCCTTTGTATGGCGGAGTAGTATTCCATCATATATATACATATATACCCGTATATATATATAATACGTATATGTATGTATATATATAATATATATGTATATGTATGTATATATATGTGTATATATGGGTATATATACGTATATATGTGTGTTTATGTATATATATGTGTGTGTATATATACATTTTTGCAATTGCAAATTGAAGCACCCCCTCCTTAAAAAAGTCTACTCTGACTCCAAGGAGAGACACCCCCCTCCTGGCTCCTGGTATACCCCACTAGTCAGTTTGAATAATGGGGACACAGGAGGCTACTTGTGAAGACCAGGGAGGGATGGACCCAAAAAATTCCCCTCTAGGCAGAAAACCATCAGCATCCCTGCTGGAAAAGAAGCAGTGGGTAGCATCAGAGCTGGGCTGAAAGTCCAGGTACATCATGGGCCAGGCCAGGGTGGGTCAGCAGGGGCACCAGATGCAGGGGAGGGAGGCTAGCCCAAGGCAGTCTTGAGTCCCTCTGCGGTGTCAGGGTTGAAGTCAGTGAGAAAAGAGAGAAAAAAAAGCATATTGCCAAAATTACCTTTGAAAAGCCTTAAATTGCCCATAAAGCATAGTGTTTCCTCCAATCTTAAGACAGATCACCCATTTCTGCAGCTAAGCACAAAACAGAAGAGCACAGCCTTCATTGATGGGCCATTCTGTACAGGGGGGATGATAACAGCAACCACAACCAGTTATCTTCAAACACCAGCCTCCCCCAGGGAAGGGGAGATGCTCATGCGTGGGGCACCACAGAAACCCAAGGCTTCTTAACAGAGGAGGGTTACAAGTTTGACCTCAAGAGGTTTGTTTGAGGGTGGAGTTTGGGTTTAATCCTAATCATGGTAGCTGAACTGCATCTAGCATGCACTGTCCCAGATCCTGTTCTCAGCATTCTACCCACATCATCTCATTTAATTTCAGAATAATCCTAGGAGGCAGATGGTTATTTCTTTTTCCAGAAGAAATGTCAAGAGGCAGAGAGAGGGTAGGTGAGTTCCCTAAAGTCACAGGGCTTGCACTAGGAGGCAGGATTTGAACCCAGGGGGCTGAAAGGAGCAACGATCATAAGGTTGAGCAGTACGGAATGCAGAGACGGGGGAGTGGAAACAGTCTAGAACTTTCTTTAATAGCCAGCTTTGTCAAGGGACAGGAGGAGGCTAGGGGCGACAGGAGTCCTGACAGGGGAAGCATCGGAGCCCACACTAGGCCCCACACAATGGGTGTCTGGAAGGCTCAGACCTGTCAGGTTTCCTGTTGGGATGAGGGTGGGTGGTGGTGACCGGGGAAGTCCCCAGCCAGGCAGGCCTGCACACATCCGCCTCCCAGGACAGTCTCAACCTTTCAGTCTCTGGAGCTCTGGGCAGGGGTGGGGGTGGGGGGGACAGAGGGTCGGGGTGGGGGGGGTGGCGGGACACTTGTGGTTAAGGTCATGGCCTCTGCCCCAGGAGGTGGCCTGTCTGGCAGGCAATGACGACTTCCTGCATCCACTGTTCATCCGGGAATAAGGCTGGACCAGGAGCAGGATCTTCACTAGGAAGATGGGGGAGGCTGGGGCCAGGTCACCCCATTCAGGGAAAAGCATAGACAAGCCCCAAGAGGTCACACTAAAGCACTCCAGGCTAGCCAGGCGACCACCACTGCCACCGCCCCCCAGACTTCCTCCCAAAAGCCACCGATATATTTAATGACATCGTTTGCAGAAAACGGTGCAGTCAGGGACAAGATGACCCCAGGCTTGGATGGCTCTGCCCCTCTCAACACAGGCGGAAGTGGGGGACCAGTCAAGCGTGGACATTTGAACACACAGAGACAGAGCCTCGGGGAGTGTGAGTGTTTTTCCAATCAAGTCACCCAGGGCTGGGCCGAGGGCAGAGCCCTCGGGACAGGCCGGAACTCTAAGAGGGGGTCACCGTGTGATACCTCTGGGTCTCAGGTTTCCACGTGTTAAATGGAGATGAGACAGCTCTGTTCAGCTCACCTCCCAGAGATTCCATCAGGATCTAAAAATCTCCCCATTCCCCAAAGGGCCACCTACAGGTCCCCTCCAGTCCTCCAGAAGCCCAGAGAAGAGGACATGCACGTCTCCCTCGTACACGTCGACAGCCTGTCATAAAGCCCCGGAATGTCCGAGGTAGAAGGAACCTTGAGAGAAACTGATGAACGGGGGAAGCTGAGGCCCTCAAAATCAGCTGCTTACCCAGAGGACCCTCCCTAACCCATGGCAAACTGGGATCTGGCATCAACTCTGCAATCACTGAGGGTCTGGTTGGCTCTCTCATCCCAGCACAGAGCAGTCAGGGTGGGGCAGCATCCCTTCCTGAAGATGGGGAAGTGAGACCAAGGGAGGGAGCGACTCACCCAAGGTCACATGGGGCTGGGGATTAGGGTGGGTTCCACCTTGGAACCCAAATACAGCCGCCAAGACCACCTCTCTCCGTCGAGAGCCTGGACCACCTCTCCCAGAATGCCTGCTGCCTTCTGCCCACAGGAGCCCTGGGCTTCCCCTCCATACTGGCTGCCCTGAAGTTGAGGGCTCCAATCCTGTGGCCCAGGGGAGACTAATCCACTCTCCAGGCCCCAGCCCCAGCCCTCCTTCCTCACCCCAACCCTAGCAGCCGGCATTTCAGCCCAGATGGCCAAGCCTGGAGCCACTCTCTCTGTGTACTTCCTCTCCCTGCCCTGACCCAGAAACGCTGCCAAGCTCCAGGTGGGCCCTGGGCCCCAGTGACGCCCACAGCCCCTCCTTTCTCCCTGGCCCAGGCCTGGGGCTGAGGTTCCAGGTCTCTGGGCTTCTTCCTCCCCCTTCAGTAAGGGCCCAGACAGCTCCGCACCCACTGGGAAACCAGAGGGGGTGGCATATGGTCCCAGTGTGAGGTCAGGGAGCCCCCTCCCTTCTCAAGCAGGCCTGCCTGGTCATCTGTGAACCATTTCATGGCTGGCACTGGCCTGGGTTCCAGGGGAGGGCCTTGCTCAACTCCTGCAGAGACCACAGAGGAGGACAGCTGAACGGGCCCTGTAGTCAGCTCCTAGGAAGCCCCCATTCAGGTGGGGGATTTGGAGTGATGAGCCTTCCCCTCTTCACTGTGTGACCCCAGATCACTGCCTCACCTCTCTGTGCCTCCATTTCCTAAGGTATAAAGGGGTATATGAATATTTTGTGAGGTTGTGGAAGAGTCAAATAACATAGTGGATCAAAGCCTTGCGTATAAACTGACAAGCAGCTTCCCCTCCTGGCTCTTTTCTTTTTCTTTTCTTTTCTCTCTTTCTCTCTCTCTCTTTTTTTATTTTTTATTTTTTTTTGAGATGGAGTCTCAGCAAGCCCAGGCTGAAGTGCAATGGCTCGATCTCAGCTCACTGCAACCTCCGCCTCCCAGGTTCAAACAATTCTCCTGCCTCAGCCTCTTGAGTAACTGGGATTACAGGCGTGTGTCACCACGCCTGGCTAATTTTTGTATTTTTAGTAGAGACGGGGTTTCGCCATGTTGGCCAGGCTGGTCTCGAACGCCTGACCTCAGGTGATCCACCTGCCTCAGCCTCCCCAAGTGCTGGGATTACAGGCATGAGCCACTGCGCCCAGCCTTTCTTTCCTTTCTTTTCTTTCTTTCCTTCTTTCTCTTTCCTTCCTTCCCTCCTTTCTCCTTCCTTCCTTGTTTCCTTCCTCTTCCCCTTCCCCTTCCTCTTCCTCTTCTTCCTCTTCTTCCTCCTCCTCTTCTTCTTCTTTTTTAGACAAGGTCTCGCTCTGTTGCCCAGGCTGAAATGCAGTGGTGGGATTATAGCTCACTGCGACCTCGAATGCCTGGGCTCATGTGACCCTCCTGCCTCAGCCTCCCGAGCAGCTAGGACTACAGGCGTGTGTGCCACCATGCCTGGCTAATTTTTTAACTTTTTGGTAGAGACACAGTCTTGCCATGATGCTCAGACTGGTCTCGAACTCCTGGCCTTAAGTGATTCTCCCACCTTATTGTCCCAAAGCACTGGGATTATAGGTTTGAGCCACCATGCCTAGCCTTGGCTATTTCTTTTCTCACTAATTTGTGGATTGGTTGAGAGGACAGTCCAGAGCTGATCAGTACAGCTCCCAGCCCAGAGCAGGCTCTTAGCAACAGTGGGAGAGATGATGGCAACATTCGAAAAAAGTGGCTGAGCCTATCTGACCTGGAGTCAGCACTGAGAGAATTTGGAGAAGAGAGAAGTCCTGGAAGACTGCCTGGAGGAGGAGACACTGGCATGGAGCTAGACGGCTGAGTAGGAGTTGACTGCATAGCGAGCAGAAAAGTATATTCTTGGAGGGAGAGACAGCATGAGAAAAGCCCCAGAGGTGGAAATGAACAAAGCATGTACTGGAGACAGTGGGTAGGATGGTGAGGCTGGAGCAGAGGATACAGTGAGGACTGGGGAGCAGGCTATGTGAGGGGTGAGATCAGGGAGAATAGACAGGGAGATAGAACCAAGTTGGGGTGAGGCCCAGGCAGCTTCTCCAGAGGGGAAGAAGAGAAGTGGTAAGGGCAGAACTCTGGTGGGAGATCTGGGCTTGAGGCTTAGATTTGTCACTGTGTGGCTGTGCAACCTTGAATAAGTCACGGTGCCTCTCTGATCCTCCCTCTGCAAAAAATGAAAGAAGGGGATGGCTCCATATGGCAGGCTTACAGGTGTGGGGCTGGACTGGATGCCATTAACTACATTGGGAGCATTCAGAAACAGATTCCAGGGCCCCACTCCCAGCATCCCTGAATCCAGATTTTGATGGGTAGGGCCAAGGAATCTATATTCTTAAAAGAGCTTTCTAGTGGCTTTCTTGAGGAGCCACTGGCTAAGATAGTTCTGGACTCAGCTTGATAACTTTTCAATCTCTGAATGTGCCAAACGTGGTCCCACCTCAGGGCGTTTGCATCTCCAGTTCCTGCTGCCTCATTCCCACAAACCCCAGATCTTCAGATGGACAGCTCCTTCCTGTCATTCAGGCCTCAGCTCAAATATCACACCCTCAGAGACCTTCCCTGGACCCCTTATCTCAAGTGCCTTTGCCCCAATCTCTCCATGATATCCCATTGCCCTGTTTTATTTTCTTCCACATAGCGCTTCCTGAAACTATCTAATCTGTGTATTCAGATGTTCATTAATTTGTTTCCCCAGACTTTAATGAGGACAGGAACCTTGTGAGTCCAGTTCACAGCCATATGCCCAGTGCATAGAATAGCACTCAATAAATGTGTGATGAACGAGGTGCATGAAGGGAGCTGGGCTCAAAGCCCCTGTTCTTTTTTTTTTTTTTTTTTTTAATAGAAAAGAAGCTGTGGTTCCAGCACTTTGGAAGGCCAAGAGAGGAAGATCACTTGAGCCCAGGAGTTTGAGACCAGCCCTGGCAACACAGTGAGACCCTGTCTCTACAAAAAAAAAAAAAAAAAGAAAAAAAAGCCAGGTGTGGTGGCTCACGCCTGTAATTGCAGCACTTTGGGAGGCTGAGGTGGGTGGATCACCTGAGATCAGGAGTTTGAGACCAGCCTGGCCAGCAATGGTGAAATCCCATCTGGAAGCCGACACACGAGAATTGCTTGAGCCCGGGAGGCAGAGGTTGCAGTGAGCTGAGATTGCACGACTGCACTCCAGCCTGGGCGACAGAGTGAGACTCAGTCTCAATAATAATAATTAGCCAGGCATGGTGGTGTGTGCCTGTAGTCCCAGCTACTTGGGAGGATGAGGTGAGAGGATTGCTTGAGCCAGGGAGGTTGAGGCTACAGTGAGCTATGATCGTGTCACTCTACTCCAGCCTGGGCAACAGAGGAAGACCCTGTCAAAAAAAAAGAAAGTGAGAAAGAAAGAAAGAAAGAAAGAAAGAAAGAAAGAAAGAAAGAAAGAAAGAAAGAGAGAGAGAGAGAGAGAGAGAGAGAGAGAGAGAGAAAGGAAAGAAAGAAAGAAAGAAAGAGAGAGAGAGAAAGAAAGAAAGGAAAGAAAGAGAGAAAGAAAGAAAGAAAGAAAGAAAGAAAGAAAGAAAGAAAGAAAGGGAAAGAAATGGACAGAAAGAAAGAAAGAAAAGAAAGAAAGAAAAAGAAAGAAAGAAAAGAAAGAAAGAGGAAGGAAGAAGGAAAGAAGGAAGGTAGGCAGGCAGGCAGGCAGGCAGGCAGGCAGGCTGGCTGTGGGACCAGGAACAAGTGACCTACCTCTTGAGGCCTGGTGTGACACATGGATGGCAGGCTGGAAAGTTTATTTTTGAGTGGCAGCTGAGGATGGTCAGCAGGCCAGGGTGCAAATCCTGACCGTGAAGGAACTGGCACAGAGATTGCACTCGGTGAATGAATGAATGGATGAATAAATGCCTTCACTTTGCTGTGTGCCTTTGAACAAGGCTCCTCTGGCTCACAGCCCCAGCCTCCCCTCCTACAAAATGGGGTTGGCCTGGGTGGGTGTTCAAGGCCATTGGGTATTGACACTCAGAGCCTCTGTGTCCAATCTGGAACATAAATGGGAGCCATAGCTGGTGTTAGAGGAGAGGCAAGCACTGCCAGAGCCACGGTTCTCACATTTACTGGCCTTTCCTGAGGATCCCACCTAGCCCATAGCTAGCATCCTAAGACCAGGTAGGTGGGAATTAAATGGAGCTTCTGCCATCCTCATTCCTCAAATCCCCTTGGGAGTGAGAACAATCCCAGCTCTGCCCCCATCCTGGGAAGAGCATTTTGTCTGGAAATTCTACCAGGAAAACAAGGAAGGGTTGGGCCCCTATAATTTCTGCACCTGCTCAAACAGGAAGTAGCAGAAAGTTTGGGGCCAAGAAAAACAAGTTCAAGGTCATCCTGGATATCAGCATCCCCCATAGCCAAGGAGTCACCCCATCCCAGGAGGAGCTCTCTTGGCAATTAATGATTAACAGACAGATGGGGTATAAAGAGGGGATGGCCCAGGACCCACCCTTTAGCCTGTCACCAAAGGCTTAAGAGGAAGAAAAATTCACCTAGTCTTGTCTAGCATACCTTTGGTGACAGGGAGCTCACTACCAAACCAGCCCCCCATTGCCCTGAGAAAGTATGAAAGTGAAGCTGCCTTCCCACAACTGGGAACTGCAGAAGGCCTCAAGAGATCTAGTGGTCAGCCCACTCTCAAGTCAGAGGTCCAGAGGCTCAGGACTGGCCCCACCCCACGCCGTAGGCCTGCCCACAGGTTCCCAGCAGCAGAGGAAGCTGTAGCAGGCAAAGTAAGGAAGGGCCAGTTGGAGAGTTGGGGCTGGAGTTTAGCCTGTAGCCCAGCCCCTAGTCCCTCCTGACTCTGATGCTGAACTTGGGGAGGGGCTGACCTCTGATTGATCCTCATTTAAAAGCCCAGAGGACATGGTGTGGGGGGAGGTGGGGAGGCCTGAAGTCACCCCAATCCCACTGACAGTCCTAGGGAGGCAGCTTGGGCAACAGATGCCCTCTCCTCTTCCCCTGCAGCCTCTGTCCCGGGAAGCTGTAAGGAAGTTTCACAATGTTCTGGGCCTGCTTTCTCTGATGTCGCATTTCTTGTGTCCTCCTGGTGCTCTCTCTCTCATTGTCGCCCCCCTGACACAGGCTCCCATGCACACACAGGCCCGTCTTCCCACCCAGGCCCACACCTACCTCTCCGGAACAGTGAGCTCTTTCTAGATCCGCACTACCCAGCCCAGGCCCACACAGCAGCGGGGAGCCCTCAGCAGGTGCTGATCTGCGCTGCCCCCTGCTGGGCTATGGAGCCCTAGGATAAAGTACCCCTTGCCCCAGGCATCACCCAGGACTCCCAGGGCTCCTGGGGCGATGCACAGGAAGGACCCCTGAGTGGCATGGCATAGGATTCCAGTCTCCTAAGCAACTTGGGCCAGCCGACCCCATGCCCTCTGGGCCCCTGTTCCCCTGATGCAAGGAAGGGGATGCCCAGAACTTCAGATCTTGGACTTCGAGACATTCCAGTCCCCTGGGATGTGGGTTAAAGTGCAGACACTTGGGCCCACCGGGCAGAGTCTAAGTTAGCCAGTCTGGGGAACAGCCCAGGAGTCTGCATTTTTCATCAGCGGGCAGTGGTCCCACAGGTGATTCCAAAGCAGGTCATCCGTGGGCCGCACTGAGCCTCACTCGCCCACCTGTTGCTCTCTCTCAGGCTTTGAGACCACAGCCCCCAATAAAGACCTGAATCTGCTTTGTCCAAACTGCAGCCTGTTCCTTTTTTTCAGCACCCCATGTGCTGCAGGCAGGGAGGGGTTATAAACCTCATGGTACAGATGGGCAAACTGAGGCCCAAAATGGAGAACACCCAGTTTGAACAGTGCCTGACCCACAGTGAGGCCCCCAGCTTCCACCTCCCTCCGCAGGCTCCCCATGTGGTCTGGATTCTGGGGCCCAGCAGGTCATCTAGGGCCAGGCAGCAGCCGTGACTGGCATTCTTTGTTCTGGTCCCTATGCCCTCTGACCTCAGCAGGTCCTGGGCTGATTAAAATATCCCCTTACAGCTCTGATAGGCATGGTATCCCCTTACAGGGCAGAGAGGGACACGGTCCCATCTGAGGCAATACAGCCAGCTTGCCGCTGTGCTCTGACCACCCTCGGGAGCTGCACACTGCTAGCACAGGGAGATTAGAGGACTTTGGCCTAGAGGGTTTGCAGAGACCTGCTAGAAGAAAGCAAAGCTCAGAGAGGGCAGAGTTGCCCAAGGCCACTCAGTGCATACTTAATCCCAATTCAGTGCTTCCCCTTTGTCAGGCAGTGTCAATTCAGCAAGTCCTTCTAATGACCAAAAGCAGTGAATCCTGTTACTCTCCCATTTTACAGGCACAAGAGTTGATTAGTGGCAGAGACAGGATTCAATCCCACACAGCCTTGACTCTAGTCCTAGCCTAGGATAGTGGTCAGTGGATATGGCCCCAGCCCTACTCCTATCTTCCCTCTTACCACACCCTACTCCTATCCCTTCCCCAACCACCCTGGCCCCCAGCCCTTCACTGCTTCTTTCCTTTGTGTCTTTGCTCCCATGATTCCCACCTCCTAGGATACAGGACATGGGGCTGGCTTTGTAGACTTGGAGCCTGCTCTGTGAAATGGGCTCTTCAGAGCTCCAAATTCCAGCTTGAGGCTGTCCACCTCATCACCTTCATTGACATCTCCCAGAACCAGGGCATCGCCATCTCTACCTTTGGGGACCTCCATCCCCCCGAACTGTCCCCCCAAATCCTCCGCTGCCTCCTCAGTGTGGTTCTCCATAAAACAGCCAGAGTGAAATCTGAAACACAGCCCCTGCCCTAGCTGCCCTGGCCCTGCTGGCCTTTGGCCACTCTTTCTGGCTCACCTTCCCTGCCACAGCTCTCTTGAGCCACCTGGCTGACTCGCATTCACTCTTCCTTTCCAGAAAAACCACCACTCCCCTCTCTCAATTCACCGCCTCCTCCACAGCCCTCCTGCAACACTCTCTCTGAGCTCCCTGCGCCTTTCCTCCAGGGAGCCCACTGCTTTGTGCAGTGCCATACAGGCGTCTCTCGGTATCCCAGGGGTATTGGATCCAGGATACCAAAATCCAATCAGATACCAAAATCCAAGCACGCTCAAGTCCCTGACATTAAAATATAGCATATGCATACCCTCCTGTATACTTTAAATCATCTCTAGAATACTTATAGCTAATACAATGTAAATGCTATGGAGATAGTTGTATTGTTTAGGTAATGATGACAAGAAAAAGTCTGTACATGTTCAGTACAGATGCAATTTTTTTCTATCTTCAATCCTTGGTTGGTTGAATCCACAGATGCAGAACCCATAGATTCGGAGGGCCGACTGCATATTTTTTGATGATTCATCTCACATCTGTCTCTCCTGGCACACTGCTCTCCCTGAGGTCATAACCCAGTGCCCAGCTTGGCATTGTCACACAGCAGCTGCCAATGGGGGGAGGGGGGTGTCACCATTGAGTACATAGGAAGTGTGCACATCAGAGCCCCTCGGACCCCTGGGCCTCGTGCATCATGAACCTGCCAGGCTCACAGCAAAACAGGGCCAAATGCCTTCCGCCCCCACCCCAAACAAGTCACTGCTCAGGACTTCTTAATTTTCCTCCCCACAGGTTGCAGGGCTTCTCATTCTGTGATTTATAGCCCATCATATAAATTCCCCCATTATCTTTCACATGCAGCGCTCGGCCTCTCTGCCATTTAATAATACATTTGACTGGCTGGGCCTCTCCCGGGAGAAATCTAAAGCTTGGCTGCAATTCGGGGGCAGGCAACGCGGAATTCCAAGGGGTCATTTCAGACCCAAACCTTCAGCAGGTCTGAGCCTCCTACTCAGGGGCTAACTGGGCAGGGTCCCAATCCCTCTCCCCTCCCTTCCTCCAACAGAGAGACCATTGGCTGAGACGTCTCAATGTCCACTGGAGCTCTAGTGGCCAGTTTTACAGCAGGGGAGACCCTGCTTCTTCCCCCACCAGACTCAGTGGTTTCAAGGCTCCACAGCCATGATCTCAATCTACCTTTCCAATTCCCCGAGCAAGGCAGGAACCCATCGGAACCGTTTCACGGACGAAGTGGCTTCTCTGAAATATAGGGAGGTTGCCCCAGCCCTGCCCACTCCACGGGTGCTTGCTAGGCTCAGCCAGCAGAGAGTTCAAGGGTATCCTCTGTGCCAGGCACTGCACCCAGTGCTTGACTTGAATTGTCTCATTGCATCCTCACAAAAGCCTTCAGAGGGAAAAGGTGCTATTATGCCCATTTTGCAGATGGGGAAATCAAGCCTCAGAGACACTAAATTTCCCTAGGCTCCTCCAGGAAGCAAATAGCAGCTCCCTGGGGGAAAGTCTTACTGGAATGAAGGATGAGAAGGGGCTGGAGGCTACAGAGAACTCATGGCTTCATGCAGAGCCCTGCATTACAAAACAAAGTGTCCAGAAGGAAAAGAGAGCTCAAGGCTTTAGGATCTGACAGTCCAGGGGATAAATCCTACCCCTGGGGGTTCTCAGCTCTGTGACCTAGGGCAAGTTCCCTAACCTCTCTGGGCCCAAACTCCCCACTCTGTAGAATCTGAATACTATCCTCCCAGAACTGTCACAAGACTTGAATGAGACTGCACTCAGGAAGCTGCCTGGTAAACTGCCCAGTCCTGCACCGTGTCATTTTGGCTTGTTAGAACGGAGGAATCAAGACGTGGTGTAAAGACATGCAAAGACTCCTCCAGGCTGACATGGGACTGGCGGTTCAGAACAATGTGGGGATCTGGGCAGAAGACAGGGCTCCTCCTCAGCCCCATGCACCCACAGGCCAAGCTGCTTACCTCACTCTCGTACCAGCCACCTCCTGCCCAGACTTGGGAGAAACCAGACGGCCCTCCTGCTCCCGAGAGCACAGATCCCAGCGTTGCTCAGCTGGGGAGAGCAGCGAGAACTGGGCGTAGGGGCACTCCAGGCTAGCCCAGGCCAGGCCTCCCGCCTCTCCTCCCACCCAGCCACCAGGTCTGCTTCCCTCCTCCCTCCTGCTCCTGAAAGTTTCTGCTTCCACTTTATAGTTTCCGTGGCAACCACTTCTCTTCCTTTGATTGTTTCCTTCTTCTCAGTCACTTTGCCATCTTATGCTAAAAGGAGAATAAAAGCAGGCCAGAGCAGGAGGTCTGGCCAGGAGGAAGAGGATGGAGAGTGACAGGGCCAGGGGTAGGGGGGTGACCTCTGCAGTGCAGCCCTGGTTCCACCCCCAAAAGACATCTGAGGCTGGGCACCGTGGCTCACGCCTGTAATCCTAGCACTTTGGGAGGCCGAGGCAGGTGGTTTGCCTGAGCTCAGGAACTCGAAACCAGCCTGGGCAACATGGCAAAACCCATCTCTACTAAAAAAAAATACAAAAAATTAGCTGGGCATGGTGGCATGTACCTGTAGTCCCAGCTACTCAAGAGGCTGAGACACGAGAATCACTTGAACCTGGGAGGCAGAGGTTGCAGTGAGCCGAGATCGTGCCACTGCACTCCAGCCTGGGGAGACAGAGCAAGACTCCATCCCCCAGACCCCCCCCCAAAAAAGACATCTAAACAGGGGACTGTCCCTTGGGAAGGTCCTCTGCAGCAGGGTCCCACAAATGTGACTCTCCTGGGCAGACTGCCTGCCAGGCCCTGCAGGGGATGCCCATGGCTGCGTCTTTAAGGCTCTGCGTGGGGCTGGGCCAAAACCCGCTCCCCACTGTCTTGTCTTCACCCAGAGTGCTTTGTGTTTGAATGGCCTCCACCCTCAAGCCCCACCCTCTCTAGCTCTGGATATCCTTTCTTGTCCAAGGCCTCGCTCCCATCTCAGCGCCCCTCCTTCCTGTGGTTGCCCTGGTGCTTCCTAACCTCTCTCTCAGGTGGCCTTCTTCCCTGCAGACAGGCCATGTTGGCAGCAAAGCCAGTGCCTCCTTCACTCCGTTTCCATGCCCAGGCCCTGCACGGGGCTAAGCACACAGTAGGTCCACAGGAGGTGGCCCTGAACCTATGGCCAGAGAGACCAGAGTTCCAGTTTCAGCTCTACCACCAACTAACTGTGAGCCCTTCACAGATTTACTCTAGAACTTGGTGCTCCTGGTGGTAAAATAAGGATGGAATTAACTTCCTCACAAGATGTTGGAGACTGAAATGAGTTTGTGGGGGGTCTGAAAGAGCCTGGAAATTTCTGAAGTGCCCTACCAGGTCCGAGGTTATTTTTAGGCATTGAATTAGTGCTGTCCAATGAACAGCCCCAGGGTCTCCTTGACCCCACACACGGCTCTCTTTCTCCACCTGCTGACCTCCTGAGGCATTGACCGGCCACACGGAGGCCTGGCCTCTCCAGCCCCCTCCACTCCATAGCCACCCTCTGCCAAGCTTCCCCTTCGCACATAGACATACACGCACATGCACACACACATACACACGCACGCGCACACACACACACATATACACAGGTCTGAGGCTGGGTGGGCCGCACTGGCACACAGGGCCCCATGGTATCAGGCATCAAACCTGCCTGGTGTTGGCTGTTCTGGCTGAGGGGGCTGGGGGTGCCTCTGAGGTGCAAGTCAGCAGGGAGCAGCCGAGCCCACGGGGTGAGGGTGGGAGTGGAAGAGCAGCTTCCTCCCAGCCTAGCCACAGGTGGTGGCTGGGGTGGGGGCAGGACCAATGGGGCTGTCCACTGCCTTCTCCTATTGCTATCATCTGCTTCCTTTAGAGGCTAGACCACCAGGGCCAGGGGTCTGGGTAGGCTACCCAGTTACATCTCCCGGAAGTGCTCTCCCCAGAGAAAGGTGCTCCTCTTCCACACTCCCACGAGGGCCTCCCCACTTCCTCTTTGGCGCTGACAGTGAACTCCACCCCCACTGCCCACCCATTCTCAGACCTGCGCGTCACCCCTTCCAAACTGCGCACCGAGGCTGCACCTGCCCAGGCTTGTGCTGGAGTGAGGCTGCTTTCTAGGCACAAGGGGACACCTGGGGCCACAGTGGCTCAGGGTGGGGCTCCTGTGTACACTAAGGGTGGCCATTTCACCCTCCTCCAAAGACCTGCAGGGTTGAAGGACTTTGAGCAGATTCAGAAAAAAACAAAGGCTTGTGAAATGTCAGAACTAAGAGAGTAAAGGCGGGGTCAAGTGTGGCCGGCCGGGGCCTCTGCCTCCTCCATCTCTCCTCTTTCTGGCCCTACTCCTGTCTTAAAAGCACAGGATTCCCATGTTGTCATTGGGAAGCCAGGCCATTCAGCTCCTACCCCGGGGTGCATAGGGGACCCTTCCTAGGAGTTGGCATGTGAAAACCAATGCAAGTCATGGCATGGTCTCTGGAGGACCCTTCAAGAACTGTGTCCCTTTGTGTCCTGAGAGGGCTCTGACACAGTCCCTGTCCTCAGAGAGCTGACAGTCTGGTGGGACACATAGGCTTCCACAGAGAGTCTCGAACAAGGGCCCAAGGCAGAGGGACCACAAGGGAGGAAGTAACTAATTTTGACTGACAGGGCAGGGAGAAATCAAGAAAGGCTTCACAGAGGAGGTGGCATCTGGGCCAAGCCTTTGAATAGGACTCCAAGAGGCTGAGGGTGTTGAGGAAGAGAGCAGCAGCCCCAGACCCATGGCAGAGACCTAACTTGACTTCCCTTATCCAAATGCCATGTACTTAGACTATGGTGAGGGTTTGGGCCTGGAGGATGCTGTCCTGATGTCCCCTTAGCTGAGCCTTAAATCTCCCACAACGGTCCAGAATGAGGCACATCCAGGCCAGCTCCTGTGGCCAAACCCTGGGGCAATGTCTGTCCTGGTCACTGCTGTCTCTGGGCAATGGTCTGAGAGCACCAAGGGGGATAGAGCCTGCCAGGTCTTAAAAGCCTAATGAAAAGAGTCTCCTCGAGTTCCCAGAGCAGCCCATTCCAGGATTTCACACCACCCCACAGTCAGCCAGGAAGTTCTTCCTCCTATCTAACCTACATCTCTCTTGCTGAAACGTACACCCACCTTGCTTTGGAGACACAGGAATAACAAAGCACAGACGCTGAACGGCCTCACCAGGCACTCTGTTTGCAGCAGAGGTGGTTTGGTAGGGGGGGTGGGGTCAGTGGGCAAAGACACAACCCCTGGCTCTGACAAGAGAGAACAAGGCCCTCTTTGTGCACATGATTAATTTATAGGCCTGGGGAGGGTCAAGCGGGAATGTCCTCTCTCTGGGCCTCGAAGGCTTCCCTGACCCAATTTAGAAGCTGCGTTTATTGTATTGTTCATGTCAAACCTTCCCGATGAGGTCTCTATTCCCAGCGTGCTCATGAATTTTTCAGGAGTTTAATAGTGCACAATTTGAGAACAATTTATTAAGAAGATTAAGCCCCCCAAATATGCATCCACATGCTCTACAAAACAGCAAATTTATTCTCCGGCATCAGTGGGCTCCCACTGCCCGGAGCAGCTGGAACCCCTCAGTCTGGGAGAGAGGGAAGCTGAGCAGGGTTGGGGAGCCCCCCGAAAGGGTCTAGGGGAAAGTGCATATGGAATTCCAGGACCCCAAGTATCAGCCCCAGTGTGAGCAGGCCCAGAGGTGAAGCTGCTCCTGCAAAATCCCACGTTCAAAGACCCCACCTTTGTCACACCACCTTGCCCACCGCATTCCTCTTCAGGGAGGCTCCAGCGCTCACTCACAGTGGGACGCTGGTCTAGACACTTCCTGCTCTGAGACTTAGAAACCCAAGTGGAGCTCCCAGTGTCACTCTCTGAGGCCTGTCTCATTCACTGCACCTTCCCGACCCTGGGAACTCCTGGAGGAAAAGAACGGGGTTAGACGGCACCAGGTGTTGGAATGAGATGGAGTTTGTGTTTGACCCTTCCTGGGGGGTGGGAGTCTATGCTGGAGGGGCCAGAGGAGGCCTTGCTAAGGGAAAGCTGGGCAGAGGAGGTGAGGGCAGGGGAGGGGGTGTCCTGGCCCCAGCCCTTAGGGTCAGCAGGGAAGAGAGCACCTGGAGACCTGGTCTGTGCTCAGATACCAGCTGCAGAGACCCGGGCTTTGGTCCTGATCTGAAACTTCAGACTTGGCCGCGTTTGTCCCTGCATCTCCTCCAGTCCACTGGGTCACCAGGACCCATCTGTTTTATCACCGGTAATAAACAACCAGAGCTATGGCGTGTCCAGAGCTTACTCTGTGCCAGGAACTGTGCTGAGCTTTAAATCCCTTGTCACATTTTACGCCCACAGCAACTCTGCGAGACAGGTGCTGCTATCACCGTGCGTCTTAGATGAGCAAATTAATTCGCAAGCGTAACAAACACGCCCGAGGCCACGCAGCTAGTAACCCGCAGAGGCCACAATTCAAACCCAGGCGGTCAGTCCCAGCCCCAGAGGTCTGAGCCTCCTGACCTTCCACCTCATTCCATGGCTGGGACGGCCCCTGTCTCTCCCCACGAGGACCCTGGGCTCAGTTCAGCTCTCCACATTCCCCATCAGATGACTGCAAGGTGTCAACGATGGCCACCCAGCCTCCCGCCCATCCTCTCCCATCGTCTCTCCACACACCAACCAGGGGGTCTGTCCTCAAACCCAAACCTGCCCTGCTCCCTGCTGAAAGCCCTGCCACGGTTCCCTGGGCCAACAGCAGAGTGCAAGCTTCTTTTTTTTTTTTTTTTTTTTTTTTTTAGACGGAGTCTTGCCCTGTAGCCAGGCTGGAGTGCAGTGGCACAATCTCAGCTCACTGCAACCTCCACCTCCCGGGTTCAAGCGATTCTCCTGTCTCAGCCTCCCAAGTAGCTGGGGCTACAGGCACATGCCACCACGCCCAGCTAATTGTTGTATTTTTAGTAGAGACGGGGTTTCACCATTTGGGCCAGGATGGTCTCGATCTCTTGACCTTGTTATCCGCCAGCCTCGGCCTCCCAGAGTTCTGGGATTACAGGTGTGAGCCACCGCGTCGGGCCGCAAGCTTCTTTGCCTTGCATTCAGGACTTCCATTCCCACCTCCCTCTGCTCTCTCCCGTACCCTCCAGTTGAACCCTGCTCCTCCCTGGGCACCACTCATGCCCCAGCCTTCTGGACTCCATTTCTTTGCTTAGTCTGGTCCCTCTCAGCCTGACCTGCTTTCCCCTGTCTCTTACGTCAAAATTTTCAAGGCCCAAATCCAATGCCACCTCCTCCATGAAGCCTTCCCAGGATGGTCAATCAGGTCCCAGTGGTGGAAGTGACTTCTCTCTCCTCCTCTGAACTCCTGACAGTGCAGGGAGCTGTTCAGCTGTCTGTGTGCCTTGCCCCCTCCCGCAACCAGGCCAGGAGCTCCTTGAGGCAAGGTCCTCTCTCACCAGGAGCTGCTGTCCCCCAAAGGCCAGCACAGAGATGGGTACAAAGAGCAGCCTTGCCCAGTGCAGACTTCAGTCCATTTGACAGTCAGACACCTCATCCCTGTCAGCATGGGGTAGCCCCCAGCCTGTGAGGGCCCCTCCCTGGGCCTCAGCAGGAGCCCTTTACCTTTCTTAGATGCCATGGGCCCTTTGGGCTCTAGTAAGGTCTAAGGACCCCCTCTCAGAAAAATGTTTTTAAATACATAAAACAGGCCGGGCATGGTGGCTCATGCCTGTAATCCCAGCACTTTGGGAGGCCAAGCCGAGTGGATTGCCCAATGTCAGGAGTTCGAGACCAGCCTGGCCAACATGGTGAAACCCTGTCTCTACTAAAAATACCAAAATTAGCTGGGTGTAGTGGTGCACACCTGTAATCCCAGCGACTCGGGAGGCTGAGGCAGGAGAATTGCTTGAACCCGGGAGGCGGAGGTTGCAGTGAGCCAAGATTGCATCACTGCACTCCAGCCTGGGCAACAGAGCAAGACTCCATTCAAAAATATATATAAAAATTAAAAATTAATAAATAAAAATACAAAAATTAGCCGGGTGTGGTGGCGCATGCCTGGTTATCAAAAAAAAAAAAAATTTTTTTATGAGATGGAGTCTTGCTCTGTTGACCAGGCTGGAGTGCAGTGGCACAGTCTTGGCTCACTACAACCTCTACCTCCCAGGCTCAAGCAATTCTCCTGCCTCAGCCTCCCAAGTAGCTGGGCTTACAGGCACCTGCCACCATGCCTGGCTAATTTTTTGTGTTTTTAGTAGAGACAGGGTTTCACCATGTTGGCCATGCTGGTCTCAAACTCCTGACCTTGTGATCTGCCTGCCTCCACCTCCCGAAATATTTTTAATGCTATAGCAATATATGTGCTTCTTTATTAATGCCTTAGAGAACAAGATCTGGGGCTAATAACTATTGTAATTTTGAAGTACGGTGAACAAAAATGTTATTTTAGGATACCCATGACAACTGGGTATCTCATGTCCTATTATCAGGTCCACAATAATAGGACATGAGAATTTCTGCAATTCCTATGATTTCTGCAACATCATAGAATGGCTAATGCCACTGTGGTTGATCATCTACATTTATAATTGCAGGAATTACCATTTGTAATTCTAATTAATGGTTCTTGAAAATAACAGTGGGATTCTTTTTTTCCTATTCCAGTTCTTGGACACTCTGGAGTCCATCCTGAGACTCACTGGGTCCCGGAAGCCCTGGTTAAGAAGCCCTGGCTGAGAGGCGGGGGTTTGAGGGAAAAGAGGAGGATTTGTCTCAGAACCCAAATTCTGGCCTCTAGCTGGCTGCCGAGGCCCTGACCTTCTCCAGTCCTGCATCTCCACCCACCTGCCTCAGTCACATCACAGAGGAACCCAGCCTGTGCCCACAGCCTGGTTGTCCCAGCTTATCTGAAGCCCCTCAGTGGGGTGAGCTTAGCAGAAGCCTCCAGGGAATGACTCCCTGGAGCCAGAGTGCCCCAGACAGCCCAGCTCGGGGCTTCAGGGGCCCTGGCCGCCTCCCAGGCACTTATTTTATGTTCAGAAAGAGCAAAGCTGACAGGTAATAAATGGATGAGGAGGACTGGAGTGGGCTCTGACTGTCTGCCCGGCGCCTGCCCGGCCAGCCCGCCATACCCACCACCACCCTCTCAGGGGGATGAGAGCACCATTAATTACCCAGGAAGAAAGGGCGCCATGAGGACACACCCAATGCTGCTTGGGGACATCATCTATGGTGGCATTTTCTGAGAGAAGCACCAAGCCTGAAGCTTGGCTGTCACCCCCACCACCCTCTGCCATCAGCCGGCCAGGCTTTCCTTCTCCCCAGGTACTCCAGGGCGCCTTCCAACTTGGGTCATGCCCTCAAAGCCTCTTCACCTGTCCAATGTCCCTGAGGGACTGCTTTTTGCAGGTAGGGCCCCGAGGTGGGCCCCTGGGGTGGGACCCAAGAGCGAAAGGGAATCTATCGCATCATTTCTGTCGCCTTCACCAGCACCTTGGGTCCATCACTGAGTCTGGGGGGTTCTACTAGGCAAGTGTCTCTGGCCTCACCCAGACACCATGGCCAACTCTAGCCATCACTCCAGGCGCAAGTGATTGGGTTACCTTCAGGTGTGACCACACCTGTCACCTTTTGCAGGTCGGTGCCAACAGTTCTCCAAACAGGAGCTCAAGCCACCGTCCCACTTGCCCTGTGAAGAAGGAACTGTTATCATCACATTTTACAGACCAGGTAACTGAGGCTCAGAGAGGGTAAGTGACTGGCACAGCTGGTAACAACAGAGTCAGGGTTTGAGCCCAGTCTGTCCAGTTCCAAATCTCCCCTTTAGTAGCTTTCTGGACATCAAGTGGTCATCCTGCAACCACAGGTAGCCAAAGAGCCTCTCTAAAGAAGGTTTGCCAGGCCCTCTGCATGCCCCGCTTTCCCTCCCCTGCCCCTGCCGAGGGGATGCCTTGGAGCCCAGAGACACTGCCTCTTCATTCTAAAACTCCCACTGGGCCCAGTCCCACCTCTTCCGGGAAGCCTTCCCTGATTGCCCACACTCTGCAGATTCAAAAGTCTTCCAGTGCCTCCCACCCTTAGCAGAAGCTGTCAGCAGTGGCCACCAGCAGCCCCTAAGTTCTTTCCTTATCACCTCCAACCACCACACCCATAGCCAGGACCAGGTGCCCTACAGGGTCTCTTTTAAACCTGGAGGAAGATCTCGCTAGAAGATAAATGGGTGATCCCATGGCTTGTGCCAATCTTCCACCCAGAGGCAGAGTCTGTTCACACCTGGGCAGGGGGGCATCTGCCTCAGGATCACTAGGATGGGGGGGGCCCACCTAATCCAGTCTGCTAGGATGACTAAGGGGGGCTAGGAATCACATCACAGCCACTCTCTGAGCTAGGAGAAGCCCTGAGCCAGCATCTCCACTCAGCTCCAGGAACAAAGTCAGCAGATTCACTGCACCCACATGGAGCTTGAGAAAACTCAGAGAAGTGCCAGGCCCAAGCCCAAGGCCAAGGCAAGAACCACAACCTCTGCTCCAGGTGCATGGCAGGAATAACAGCAGTGTCGTTCTTAGCAATGACCACTTTCCTAATAAATGTGCTTCCTGCAGACAGAGGGATGCTGGCACCCAAGCCTGACGAGACCCACAAAGGATGTTCCCTGAAGCAGAACCCCCACGGAGGGGTGGCTAAGTCAATCTCACACTGCAGAAAGTTCTACGCAGCAGATAGAAACAGTGAGGTGGAATTCTACAGCTGAACTAGAAAAATGTGTCCAAATATCTTACTGAACGAAAGAAGCAAGTTGCAGAACGATACATGACTTTAAAAAAGAAATTTAAACAGAATCATATTATTCTATGGATATATACATGTGCATGAAAGTGCAAGGCAGCACTGAGAAAAATGCCCTCCAAATGCCTCCCACGCATTGGCTAGACTCTGCTGCCAGGGGCCCACCCCAACTCTGCCCCAGCCCTAGCCCAGCCCCGCTCTTCATACACAGGAAGATCATGACCCACCGACTCTCACATCCTGCTGCCAGGAGAGTACACAGCCACAGTCTTTGCAGAGAGTGAGTAGGCAACATGGATCAAAAGTTAAAAATCCATAAACGTCCATTTTAAATTCATAGATTCTCCTTCTACATGCTATCCTTCAGATAAACTCTCACAAGCGTGTAAGAACAGATGTACAAGGATGTTTATGCACTCCGGTTTGAAGCAGCATACAAAAAAAAAAAAAGCACCAAAACTGTAAACAACGTCTGTGTCCATCACAGGGGGCCTGGTTGAATAAATTATAGTCTCTCCTGAAAATGGAATCCTGTGTGACCGTTCTGCAGCGCGAGGTGGAAATGTGTATACCGACACCGTGGACTTCGAGGTGAAGATGCATCGGATACTTCAGGATATGTGGGATGATCTCCTGGGTGGATAGATTCTTACATATGCTTGTGTGTGTGTGTGTGTGTGTGTGTGTGAGTGTGTGTGTGTGTGTGTGTTGAGTAGGGGTGAAGAAAAAAGGCTTAGTTTTCAGTCTATAATATTTGATTTTATTTTTAATAAACAAAATCATGACATGCCATTTTTATAGACTAAGAAGCAGATTTTGGTGCAGGATGTTGATGGTGGGGGAGGCTGTGCTTGTGTGAGCACAGAGAGTAGATGGGATCTCGTACTTTCTGCTCAATTTTGCTGTGAACCTAAAACTGATCTAAAAAATAAAGGCTATTTTTTAAAAAATAGATTAAAAGTCTTTAGAAATTCAAAACACAAGAGAACCTTTTCCTCCAAAGTCAGTGCTTCTCCAGGTTGAATCTTCCTGTGCCTTCGTCATTCTTGAGCAAGAGCCACTCTCCGAAAGCTCAAACCAGGGGGTGCTGTCAAGGTTTCTCTTCTGGCTGGGCGCGGTGGCTCACACCTGTAATCCCAGCACTTTGGGAGGCTGAGGCAGGCGGATCACCTGAGATCAGGAGTTTGAGACCAGCCTAGCCAACATGGTGAAACCCTGTCTCTACTAAAACTATAAAAATTAGCTGGGCATGGTGGCAGATGCCTGTAATCCCAGCTACTCGGGAGGCTGAGGCAAGAGAATCACTTGAACCCGGGAGGTGGAGGTTGCAGTGAGCCAAGATCGCACCACTGAACTCCAGCCTGGTCAATAGAGCAAAACTCCATCTCAAAAAAAAAAAAAAAAAGGTTTCTCGTCTGAAGTTTGGTCTACACTATCTCGTCTGCCCAGAGTGCCTCACATCTTCATTTTTACCAACACAAATATCCTGCTCCATGAAAGCCCATTTTGGATGCCCTCACCCCCGGAAACACAGGCTCTCTGAGGACAGTCTGTGTCCTGAATATATCTCTGCAGCCTCCAGGGATGCCCAGTGCCAGGCACAAGGCAAGAGCTCATTAAACGTGTGCCAAGTCACTGGATGCCCTCCTCTGAACACATTAACATTTCTGAAAGCCCCAAGCACTGTCTAGACATCTCTCTGGGGCCACTCATCTTGCCTTGAATCATAATTCTGCCTGCCCTTCTTAGTAGGGAGCTCCTCAGAGGGGGCTCCCAGGGCCCATACCCCACGTGTGCCCCAGCCCTGTAGCCCACTTGGCTCAGGAATCACAAACGCAAATGCCAATGTGAGCCAGGAGGGAAAGGAAAGGAGAGAAGCAGGCTTGGCCAGGCAGGCTAAATGGGGAACACACTCCAGCCCACACTGTCCTATTGGAATGTGGGCCCACGATGGCCGGAAGATCAAGTTTACAAGAAGCTACCAGATTTGGATGTAAAATCCTGATCGTTCAATGGAGACAACTAGATCACATATTAAAATAAACACACACCATACAGGTCACAGCAAATAGGGCTGAAGGCCAGACTGGCCCAGACTCCCTGCCTGTGGTGCCCCAGGAAGCAACAGTTCAGAACTGGCATCATTGGGAAAAAAAAAAAAAAAGCAGAAAGCCCTCCTGATCCTGCCATCCCATCAGCCCAAACTCCAAAACCTACTCACTGCAACCCAAACCTCACTGCCAAAGGGAGATTCAAAGCCCAGCCATTGGCCAGGCGTGGTGGCTCACGCCTATAATCCCAGCACTCTGGGAGGCCGGGGCAGGCAGATCACCTGAGGTCCGAAGTTTGAGACCAGCCTGGCTAACATAGCAAAATCCTGTCTCTACTAAAAAGGTAAAAATTAAAATTTAAAAAAAAAAAGAGTTCACCAGGTATGATGGTGCGCACCTGTAGTCTCAGCTACTCGGGGGCTGAGGCGCAAGAATCGCTTAAACCCAGGAGGCAGAGGCTTCAGTGAGCCAAGATCACACCACTGCACTCCAGCCTGGGCGACAAGAGTGACTCTGTCTCAAAAAAAAAAAAAAAAAGCCCAGCCACTTTGGTAGCATCTATGTTGGCACTGCAGCTCCCAGCTGTGTGACAGGGGTGAATGACTTCACCTCTCTGAGCCTCTCTCTCTGAGCCTCTACTTCCTCCTCTGTAAAATATGGGGAAAAACAATAACTTCCTATGGATGTTATGTGGACACGTCACAGAGGGGCTGACTGCCAAAGCAGGGCCCCTCCCTCCCCATCTCAGCCCCTCATCCATGCCCTGGACGGGGCAGGCAGTGCGAGTGCTTAGCCTCCGAGATCCCGGCCCAGGAAGGCCTGTTTATAGCAGCGTGCTCTTCTCGCAGCCCCCTAAATCCCCACAACAGAAATGAATACTTATTGAGACTTACGTTCCTGGCACTGTGTTAAATGCTTCATGTACGTTCCTGTCTTTTAACTTTCTCAGTAATTCCAGAAGGTAGGTACAGTTGTGTGTTACATAATGATGGAGATATGTCCTGAGAAATGCATCATTAGGCGATTTTGTTGTTGTGTGAACATCATAGAGTACACTTGCACAAACCTAGATGGTGTAGCCTACTGCACGCCTAGGCTAGATGGTGGGTAGCCTGCTGCTCCCAGGATACAAGCCTGTACAGCATGTTACTGTACTGAATACTGTAGGCAATTGCAATACAATTGTAAATATTCATGTATGTAAACACAGAAAAATACAGTAAAAATATGGTGTTAAATCTTAAGGACCTTATTGGTCTGTCCTTGACCGAAATATCATTATGTGGCACATGACTGTATTTTTACCTCCCCATCTTACAGATGAGCAAACTGAGCCTCAGAGAAGTGATCTGACTTGTCCAAGGCTGGTTTGTAAGTGGCATGGTCTGGATTTGGCCGTAGGCTATTTCAGCAATCTCAGCCACCACTCCACCCTGCTCCTCAGGTGCATGCCTTCCTCCTTGCCACGAACCTCTGTGACTCCTACAAGCTGCCAGGTGTTAACCTGGTCAGTCCTGGGGACACCAGGAACAACACCAGCTCCTGCCTCTGGGCAGCCCCGCTGGGTCCGTGGCACAGACAACCATAGACTCTGCCTGGAAAAGCTGCTTCATGGAGAAGGTGACACCTGAGCCAGGGCCAACAGGTGCACAGGTAGGTAGTGAGATGGTGGCACTAGGAGAGGAGTGAATCTAAGGTACCTCCAAGTCTTGGGGCTGAGGGGTGGGAACTGCGGTCCAGACAGAACCAACTGGGCTGGGCCCAAGGCAGGTGAGAGAACAAATGGATGGTTTCTCTCATTAGAAAATGTACAAACATGGAGGCAAAGGAAGGAGAGAAGCAGCTTACAGATGTGAAGTAAACTCAAAACCTTAACCCGCCTGGTCAATATGGCAAAACCCCATCTCTACTAAAAATACAAAAATTAGCCAGGCATGGTGGCATGTGCCTGTAATCCCAGCTACTAAGGATGCTGAGACAGGAGAATCACTTGGACCCAGGAGGCGGAGGTGGCAATGAGCTGAGATCACACCACTGCACTCCAACCTGGGCAATAGAGCAAGACTCCATCTCAAAAACAAAACAAAACAAAACAAAACAACCTTAACCCTGGCCAGGCATGGTGGTTCATGCTTGTAATCCCAGCACTTTGAGAGGCCAGGTGGGTGGACCGCTTGAGGCCCAGCAGTTCAAGACCAGCCTGGGCAACATAGCCAGACCCCCATCTCTACAAAAAATACCAAAATTAGTCAGGTGTGGTGGTGCATGCTTGTAGTCCCAGCTACTCTGGAGGCTGAGGTGGGAGGATCACTTGAACCCAGGAGGTCAAGGCTGCAGTGAGCAGTGAACATACCATTGCACTCCAGCCTGGGCAAAAGGGCAAGACCCTATTCCCCCCACCAAAAGAACAACAACAACAACAAAACTGAACTCTTAAACCTGAAAGCTTAAAACCCACCCTTGGGGTTGCCCTGCCTCAAAGAGGAGGCCTCTCAAGCTAGGTAAAGTCCCCACTGGCCCTGCACCACCCCTGGATGTTAAATCTGGTGGGGCTGCCACCTGGGTCTAGGGTAGGGACTGGCCATGCCGTGTCACAGCGAGGACCCCGGCTTGGCAATCTGGGGCTGACCTCAGGCATGTCAAGCCAATGTCATCTGCAAAACTGAGGTGAGAAAGAGAGCAAAATTGCTCTCTTAAGTAAGCATCTCACTTGCTTAAGAGAGATGGCGCAAGGCTCAGACTCGGCAGATAGGACCCAGGGTGCCCCACGTGCACACCCCCAGGCACCCACATGCTCATTCTCAGGAATGCCTCTGCCCTTGACTCTTAAGGCTGTGAGCATTAAACAAGGGAATCAAAGTAAGTCAAAGCCCAGTGGCCCTGGCAATGGCACTATTCCCATCCCCCTTGCCCATATACCCCACAGTACTTGTCACTGTCTTGGCCAAACCTGCCCCAAGCTGGCTGTGAAATAATCTCCTCCAAGGGATCAAGTGACCATTTGCTCTCCTCCCTCCTGGGGGCAGGGGGTGGGGTGGTGGTGGTATTTTTCAGCTATTAACAATTGACATCTGTTAATTATTAGTTTGTGTACTTCTGTTTTGCTTTCACCCACACCATTGCTCAATCCACCCGGCAGCCCCAGCCCTGAGAAGTGGAAATCTTACCTCCCGAGAGAGAGACAGGAAAGCAGAGCCCCGACACGAGGGCAGTGGAGGGCTCCCGGCCATGGAGCCCAGCGTATCTGACAAAACCCACGTAACCTTCGAGACAGTGAGTCACAAGGAATAGAATTCTGCCCTGTGTCAGGTATTGGAGGTCCCCATCCTGGCCTCCTCAAAGCACACACTTCTGGAGGCAGCCATCTTGCCCCTGAGAGGCAGTTTTCCTAGAAGGCAAGATCCCCCTCTTGTAGACCCCAGAGATTCCCAGACTGCAAAAAGTATTGCTTCTATGGAAGGAGCCAAGGGGAGGGTAAGAAACACAAACGGGGCCGGGTGCGGTGGCTCACGCCTGTAATCCCAAAGCTTTGGCAGGCCGAGGCAGGCAGATCACAAGGTCAGGAAATCGAGACCATCGTGGCCAACACGGTGAAACTCCATCTCTGCTAAAAATACAAAAAATTAGCCGAGCGTGGTGGCACACGCCTGTAGTCCCAGCTACTCAGGAGGCTGAGGCAGGAGAATCGCTTGAGCCCAGGAGGCAGAGGTTGCAGTGAGCTGAGATCGCGCCACTGCACTCCAGCCTGGGCGACAGAGCGAGACTCCATCTCAAAAAAAAAAAAAAAAAAAAAAGAAAGAAAAAAGAAAAAGAAACACAAACAGGGTCAGGCATGGTGGCTCACATCTGTAATCCCAACACTTTGGGAGGCCAAGGCAGGCAGATCACTTGAGGTCAGGAGTTCGAGACCAGCCTGGCCAATATGGTGAAACCCCATGTCTACTAAAAATACGAAAAAAAAAAAATTAGCCAGGTGTGGTGGCATGCTCTTATAATCCCACCTACTTGGGAGGCGGAGGCAGGAGAATTGCTTGAAAAATGCTTGAACCTGGGAGGTGGAGGTTGCAGTGAGCCAAGATTGTGTCATTGCACTCCAGCCTGGGTAACGGAATGAGACTGGTCTCAAAAAAAAAAAAAAAAAAGGAAAAAAAGAAATACAAACAGCCATGATATTCTGATGGGAGACAGGGGACTGGACTGCACGAGGACTTACATCCCTTGCAGGCTTTGTGAATGTGATCAGATCCACAGGCAGGCACCGGGCTGAGGGGAAGGCACACCAGGCAGGGGAACTTTGAGAAACACAGGCAAGGCAGTCTAACAGGTAGAGGCCATGGAGTGGGTTGTTCAGTCAGCTGAGCTCCTGAGCACATAGGAAGGAACTGTTGGCAAGGAGGATCCTACTGGAATTTGGAAGAAGGGCCCTGAAAACCGAGCTGAGAAGTCTGGATTATATCTCAGGGAAAATAGGGAGTCCCTCAAGCAGGGACTTGATTATACCTTGAGCAAGGGAGGGACCCCTCAGACCAAGGTCCAGGGACTCCCCCTGGAGGCAGCATGGAGAAAACAGGAAGCTGCACCAGAAGGGGCTGTGGCTGGGCTGTCCCCTAATGGGCAGTGAGGGCAGGGATGGGGTGCAGGAGATGGTGCCCAAGGGGAACCACCAGACTTGCAGGTAGGAAAAAGGGAAGGGAAGGAAGGAAACACCTGGGTGTGGTTCCCTGTCCCAGGGGCTGGCCAGTGCGGTCTTCCCCTCAAAGAGGAAAGTTGGGACCTGGGGGAGCAGGTGAATGCGAGAGAGGAAGTGGTTGTTAGGAGAAAGGAAGGGCCTTTCATGTTGGATTGGTTGATGTGCTTTTAGAGCAGCCAGTGAAAAGCACTTCTCTCCATCTGAGCTCAGGGGAGGTTTACAGTCTGTGTTGGGAGTAGCCCAGGTTCAGGGGTTGTTAATGCCCTGGGCATGGGTGGGGCTCCCAGGTGAGAGCTGGTAGGTGAGGAGGGTACCCGGGTTAGGACCTCAGAGGGTCAAGCGGTGTCAACAGAGAAGTCTCAATAGAGAAACATCTGAGCCACCGGAAGAGCACAGTGTCTGGGAAGGCAAGAGAGGGCAGCTGGAGGGGCAGGACCCCCCCAGGGTGGCTGGCCAAGGCCCCAAGCAATAACATAATATCAAAGTTTACATATATTGAGCTCCTTTTATAAGCCAGGCCTTTAACCAGGGACCTGATATGTATTAGCTACCTCACTGATACTTCCAAGAACCTACTGGGGTTAGCACTGTTATCCCATTTTACAGATGGGAATGTCAGCAAAGAGCAGCTCAGTTACTCAGCAGGTCAAGCCTCATTCTAAACCCATTCAGACTCCAGAGCTCACACACACCTTTAACCACTGCAAGTGGAGCAGGGGGATGGTCGGCGTTTGTGGACCGGTCAGTGGCTGGCATTTTCAGTGTGGAAGGAGCTGCTAGAAGCCAGAAAGTAAACAGGTGGAAGCAAACAGCCACACCTCCAGCTGGGAAGGGTGGGAGGGCAGGGGTGCCTGGCCAGGGCTCCAGCAACTTCCTCCAGCAGCTGGCCCAGGCAGCAGGAGTCGGAGCCGCCCATTTGAGCGGCTGGATCCGGAAGGCTGCAGCAGGGGGTCAGAGCCGGGAAGGACCTTTAGTTCTTGTTCTGCCTTCAGGATCCAAACTTGGAGAACAATGACCACTAAAAGTGATTTGATGATGACAATTTTTGACTGTTGCTAAGTTTAGCACTCTGGGTGGGGCAGGCACCACGTCTTATAATGCACATACTCTGGCTTCCACCACCAACCCAATGTTGTATCCCAGTTTAACTCCACCCAAATAGGGGTTCTCTTCTTAGGGCCTTGTCATGGGAGAAAAAACAAAGAATAACTTCCTACCTAAGGAGGCCTTAGCGATGAATGAGATCCCTATTTAGTATCCCATTAGTACCTAATACCTAAGCTATTAATAGAAACGGCAATGCTTACCCCAAAGGAATGAATCACTAATGGTGGAATTTCAGACACCAGAGGTGGTTTACAAGCGCTCCCGGAAATCATTACTGGGATCACAACATACTCCACCCAAGTGTAAGGACATTTGCAATTCTTACCAAGTCCCAACTAGGAAAAAATCTTAAGAGCTACCTCCTTTTCCAACATCTCCTCTTTCAGAAGTGTGACATATAATCCGGGATAAATTTATCTCAATCTGCCCCAAAACTGTGCCTGATACATGGTAGGCACTGAATAAATATGTGTTGACACCGTTAGCGCAGGCAGGGGCCATGCAGCTCACTCTTGTCACAGTTAAAGGATATGAAGGCCAGGCTCAGTGGCTCACGCCTGTAATCCTAGCACTTTGGGAGGCAGAGATGGGAGGATCACTTGAGGCCAGGAGTTCAAGACCAGCCTGGGCAACATGGTAAAACCCCATCTCCACAAAAATTACAAAAATTAGCGGGATGTGGTGGCGCGTACCTGCAGTCCCAGCTACTCAGGAGGCTGAGGCATGAGAATTGCTTGAACCTGGGAGACAGAGGTTGCAGTGAGCTGAGATCACGCCACTGCATTCCAGCCTGGGCAACAGAGTGAGATCTTGTCTCAAAACAAAAACAAAACAATACAAAGGACACGAAGCTCTCCCTGGAGCCATCAGAGTGCCAAGAGCCACACCTTCCAACAATCACCCTTCATCACGGCCTCCACATAATAATTTATCTGTCAGTCCTTAGGATGGAATCACAGCCGGTCAGAAAGGGCTCCCAACCACATAATTGGCTCTTTAAGCTTTGGGGAAATCTTGCAACATCATTTAGGTTCAATCCAATTGTTTTCAACTCTTAAAAGTACTTCTACAACACCAAAATTGGGACCAGATTAGGGATGCCGTACACACAGCCCCTGCCCCGCCACCCCCACCACCAAGGCAAAGGCACAAATAATTAAACCGATTATGATGCTCTTTTCTGCTGAGCCAAGAGGTGGTTTCAGAATCTTTCTCAATGCACAGGGCTTGCTCTGTTTAGTTATAGGAGCTGATGTGCACCTGGATGTCACGCCTACAGCGTGAATTCCTTTTGGGAGAAAAAAAAAATGTTTCTACAAAAATCCATTGAATTTGGCCGGACACAATGACTCATGCCTGTAATCCTAGCACTTTGGGAGGCTCACCTGAGGTCAGGAGTTCGAGACTAGCCTGGCCAACATGGCGAAACCCTCTCTCTACCAAAAATACAAAAATTAGCTAGGCATTGTGGTGGGCGCCTGTAGTCCCAGCTACTCAGGAGGCTGAGGCAGGAGAACCGCTTAAACCTGGGAGGCTGAGGTTGCAGTCAGCCGAGGTTGTGCCACTGCACTCCAGCCTGGACAACAGAGTGAGACTCTGCCTCAAAAAAAAAAAAATCCATTGAATTTACCATTCATGACATGCACATTGTATGTTTATGAGGCTTTTGTTGTTTTTGCCTGTGTCTGCTCCCTCCTTCTTCTGGGGCCAGCACCCTCATTTCCCTTGGGGACTCCCCTTTCCCCATTCCCAGCTCAGTGGAGAAACTGAACCCAGAACTGGGGGGAAATGGGAAGAGAGAGACAGACAGACAGATAATCCCATCGTAATCCATTTGGGCCTCCTTGGGTTTTTAGGTAGGTGAGCCCATAAAATCCCTTTCACTCTGGCCAGCTTGAGGGGGGCCTTCTGTCTTGTACCTAAAGCGCCCTGGCTGACCTCATGCAAGCACTGAGCTGGCCACAAAAGGTGATCCCAATGTGACAAAAGGTCCCTGTCCTTTAGGGGCTTCTCAGTCTAGCAGGTGATTAAACATAGACTCAAGTAACCAGCCATGGAGTTGAAAATCCAGCTAAGAGCTACAATGGAACCAGAGAAACCGGCTCCCCTCCCACGTGAGTACGCACCCCGCTCTTCCACTGGGCATCTGATGAGCTCCTGACCCCCCATTCAGGCTCACAGGAATCCTGGACCAGCTATCAGGAGACTGGGTATGAGGCCTTGCCCCACTGTTAACTCATGGTGTGAACCAATCACCCTGGGCCTCGATTTCCTCATCTGTAAAATAGGAATGAAAATGCCAAGTAACACCAGGCCGAAGGCCATGGAATGGAGCTGCAGTGTCCAGACCTCAGCGGGGAGGGTGGTCACTATGACAAAGGACAGGCTGCCTCTGGGGCTGGACCCAAACCAGTGCCCCACAGGTTCCTTTCCCTTGGGTGAGGTGCAGAGAAGAGAGACTCCACGGAAACCGCTGTATTGGGCTGTCCCTCCCACAGAACGCTTGAGATGAGAGAGCCTGAGGAAGCTTCTAGTCCAAGCTCTTCCTCCCATATCCAGAGTATTCACTCATTTGAAATTGGGGAATTAGCTAGGGGAGCATTTCTAGGAGCAAATTTACTCGCTACTCCCCTCACCCTTTTGTTTTGTTTTGTTTTTGAGACAGAGTCTTGCTCTGTTGCTCAGGCTGGAGTGCAGTGGCCCAATCTCGGCTCACTGCAACCTCCACCTCCTGGGTTCAAGCATTCTCCCACCTCAGCTTCCTGAGTAGCTGGGATTACAGGCGCGTGCCACCATGCCTGGCTAATTTTTGTACTTTTAGTAGAGATAGGGTTTCACCAGGCTGGTCTCGACCTCCTGACCTCAGGTGATCTGCTCACCTCGGCCTCCCAGAGTGCTGGGATTACAGGCATGAGCCAGCGTGCCTGGCCACCCTACTCCCTTTTTATTCACGGAACAGATAAACCTCTCCAGTCACCCAGGCCCCTCACCCTGAGGTCCACCCTTCATGACCTTCTCTGTCCCCCTATTAAGCCAGGTGCCCTGGCCAGCCCTCTTCTCCCAGGGGACAGCAGTGCCTGGGGCAGCAGGGTCTGGAGCCAGTACCTCGGTCTGCCCAGCAGAAAGGTCAAGCCAACTGGGAGCCGCTGCTCTCTTTAAAGGCTCTCCAAGGAGTTTCTGCCACCTCCCAGGCTCCCTGGCAGACCAAAGGTTGATGGTGAGGGCCAGGGTCGGGCCAGGGCCGGTACTCAGGACTGACCTGCCTGTGGCGAAGAGTGATCAAGCCCATCAGACCTGACAATTTGCCTTTCAACTCCTTACTTCCCTTCAGCAAACCCGCCCCAGTTCCACAGTCAGGAGCGCTCCCATGCAACCCACACACCTTCCGTATAAGTGGGGAAAAATTCAAAGCTAAAAAATACATTCTTTTTAGTCACTGTTCCATCCCTGTCACCAACTACCACCAGCAGAGCCGCTAGCCGCCAACGCCTTTAAAAACGCCTATGTGGGTATCCCCCTGCCTCTGCACCCACACCTTCCCCTAAGAAACGTTCAGAAGCTCTGAATTACCAAAATCAATTACTCCAAGAAGGAACTCAGGCAGACAGGCACTAGAATAAAGACAGCAGATAATTCCCACTGTCAGGTAATTGCTCCCCAGAGAATTTCAGATAAAAAAGAGGACTCTAAAAGAGAGCATTTTCCCCCAGAAAGGCAGGAGAAGGCTGTGCCTCAATAAACAGAAGGCTCTTCTCTTCCCTGCAGCCTTCCCGCCCCTCCCTCGCCTGCATCCTGCAGGAGGCAACCACATAGGGCCACAGGAATCCCCAGGGATCAGGGTGGGAGGAAGGTGGGGTCGAATTTTGGGGTCCCAGGCCCAGGGACAGGGCTGGGTTCTCAAAGGACATTTGACTCTCATGTCCCTTCTTGGGCAGGGACACAACAGGGTCCCAAGGCTCCTGTTACACATGGGCCCAGGGACACAAGATTAGCAGTTAATCTGTCTCTATTCCATATGTCCATCTCGCCACCTCGACAAGGCCAAAAGATCTTTGAGGCCGGGCACAGTGGCTCACACCTGTAATCCCAGCACTTTGGGAGGCCAAGGGAGGTGGATCACTTGAGACCAGGAGTTCGAGACCAGCCTGGTCAATATGGTGAGGCCCTGTCTCTACTAAAAATATAAAATTAGCCGGGCATGGTGGTGCGCACCTGTAATCCCAGCTACTCGGGAGGCTGAGGCAGGAGAATCGCTTGAACCAGGGAGGCCAAGGTTGCAGTGAGCTGAGATTGTGCCACTGCACTCTGGCCTGGGCAACAAAGTGAGACTGTCTCAAAAAAAAAAAAAAAGAAAGAAAGTTATTTGAAAGCAGGTCCTTGGCTACCATGTCCAGCCCTTCCTTGCCACCCAGCCTTGGACACTCATTATAAAGGACCTGCCAATTGACCCAAGAGGTGATGGAGTGGTAGACACTGGGATTTACCTGAGGCTAGTCACTGAGTTCTCTGGGCTTTGGTTTCCTTCATTATAAGAGGAGATAGCATCAAACTGTTATATAGATGTCTACAACGCCACCTCTCCAGGAGTGTCGCAAAGCTTATCAATAGGCATTCCAAGAAGAAAGTGTTCTACAGTCAGAGGTTTGGAAAGTTCTGGAGTAAACAAATCTCAGCAGGTTTCTTTACTGCAGGATTTCTCAGAACCTTTAAAATTGTTCATATGGATTGGTACTATACAAAACAGGTACATAAAGTATTCAGCAGCCTTTTCTTAACCTTCTTTTCTACAAAGCATCTTACCAGGTTACCATTCCATGGAACATACTTGGGCCGACAACTATTGCAGACATAAGGCGTAACAAGGATACACTAAGGCAGTTAAGGTTGAGGGGCCATAGGAAATTTCATGGAGGGCACAGTGCTTGAGATAACTTCTGAAAGGAAAAGAGGCCCAGCACGGTGGCTCACACCTGTAATACCAGCACTTTGGGAGGCCGAGGCTCGTGGATCACCTGAGGTCAGGAGTTCAAGACCAGCCTGGCCAACAGGACGAAACCCTGTCTCTACTAAAAATACAAAAAGTAGCCGAACGCGGTGGTGCACCCCTATAGTCCCAGCTACTCAGAAGGCTGAGGCAGGAGAATCGCTTGAACCTGGGAGGCAGAGGTTGCTGTGAGCCAAGATCGCAACACTGCACTCCAGCCTGGACAATAGAGCAAGACTCCATCTCAAAAAAAAAAAAAAGAAAGAAAGAAAGAAAGAAAAAGAAAGGATTCTATGGGCAGAGACCAAATAGGGGATGTTCCAAATAGTAGAAACCGCACAACAGAATTGCAGAGGTGGGGCCGGGCGCAGTGGCTCACGCCTGTAATCCCAGCACTTTGGGAGGCTGAGGCAGGTGGATCATGAGATCAGGAGTTTGAGACCAGCATGGCCAACATAGTGAAACCCCGTCTCTACTGAAAATACAAAAATTAGCCAGGCATGGTGGCACATGCCTGTAATCCCAGCTACTTGGGAGGCTGAGGCAGGAGAATCACTTGAACCTAGGAGGCAGAGGTTGCAGTGAGCCGAAACCATGCCATTGCACTCCAGCCTCGGCAACAGAGCGAGACTCCCTCTCAAAAAAAAAAAAAAAAAAAAAGAAAAGAAAGAAGTGCAAAGGTGGGAGAGTCCTGGACACATTAGGTCCTGGTTATCATCTTGCAAGAAGGAGGTCAAGGCTAGAAAGGTAGGATGGGAAGGGTCTTTGGGTAAAGAACACGATGAGGATCCCTGAGTTAAAAGTAATGGCTTACTTACCAGTGCTTACCATGTGCCAGGCATTGTGTGAAGCAAAACTATTACAACATAGACCTATGAAGCCGGTTATCTTGTATCCTTTGTTTTAGAACCCAGGAAAATTAAGTGGCCGCAGTTAATTCCTGCAGCTACTAAGTGGCAGGGCAGGGATCTGAAGCCCCCCAGCACATCAGTTTCAACCCCATGTCTTTATCCAATCTGCTTCTCCACCCTAGAGCCATGAGGGACAGGGCAGAAGCCAACACCATCAACACTATCAAGCTGCGGAGAAGAGCCACTGATTTCTTGCCATCTGAAGACTTCTCCCTGTGCCTTGATTTTTAATTTGTATGCCATTGGACAGAATTTCTCCAACAAGTGCATAGGTCATTTGTTCTGAATATTTAAAAGGAGTCTTTTCAACTATCCCAGCACTTCTCCAATAAGTGCACAGGTCATTTGTTCTGTATTTAAAGGGAGCCTTTTCAACTATCCCTCCGCGAGTTTGCGAGAAGTTGCCCAAACACCAAAAACCACATGTGGCCAAACACATCAACATCCTCGACAAGATTTATGTTCCAAGCACGTGGCTGCTGCCTTGATTTATGGGGCCAGTGGAGCTGATCTAAGAGGAAGCGAACCTCTCAGGGGAAGGAGACATCATCATCATCAAATATCTCAATAATCATCTCAATCACAGTAAAAAAAAGGCACCGGGCCACTTCCTGCCCTAGCACTGGAAAGGAAGTGAAATTATTTGCCGCAATTCAATTTGGTAATTAACTAAACAATGCAAAGAGAAATTCCAGCAAGGATATAAATACTTTAAAAATCCCTGCACTAGTTGGTGAGGAGGATGTCAACAACAAACAGGAACTCCAGGGAAGGCAAGAGGCAAGGGCAGTCAGGTCGGGGTAAGGTGGGTCCCAAGCTAAAAACAACAGTGGCCAAGGTGGTTTATAATTACAGACACTACTTCATGCCAGCTCTGTGCTAAGCACTTTACACACATTACCTCACCGAAGCCTCAAAACACTGAGGAGCCCAGGCAGCTGCAGAAGGACCTGCCTGAGGGCACACAGTGGGAAGTGACAGACTCAACTCTTATCCCAAACCTGCATCTTCTCCTTCCACATCCCTCTGTTTCCTGTCCGAAAGCATAGCCTAGATAAATGGGGCTCTAGGAATAGCCAGGACAAATGGGGAAACTGAGGCAGGATTTGACATCCCCCCTCCCCACACCTCCCCAAGTGTCCTAACTGCCAAGCTTGGGGGCTCCCAGCTGACCTGGCTGCAAGACTCCGATGGAGAACTGGGTAAGCTCGGGAAAAGTGATTTTGCAATCCTGTTTGCAGAAACCTGAGCAGTTGTCCTCCTGGGCCTGGCTCTAGCCTTTCTTCCTCTGGGAAACCCACTTGACCTCTTACCTCCCCCCACCAACACGTACACACAACACACAAACACACACACACTGCTGTCTACAGCAACTTCACCAATTTGTGGCTTCCCCAAAGGCTGAGCAGGCTCTCTCTCTAAGGAGGACCCTGGCGGTTCTCGGAAGGGAGAGAGGGAGGAGCAGCAGCTGAGACTTGTTGGAGTTCCGCCCTGCCCCACCTTTACCCCGCATGCCTGCTTCAACAGACACTCACCCCGGTGACTTACACAGCAGAAACAAGCTCACGGGGACTGTGGATACCATGCAAAAGATAAATTTCAAGCACCTTAAAGAAATCTTTTTCTCTATTATCCCCTTTCTCTATTCATCAAAGCAGCTCCCTTAAAAACCCATGTTCAGACACCTTTTTTGGCCAATTTGAGACCCTGTGTATCTCCAAGAGAAAAATCATTCACATTAAAAATAATAATTTTTTTTTGAGGCAGGGTCTCACTCTGCTACCAAAGTGGGAGTGCAGTGGTACGATCACGGCTCCGGCTCGCTGCAGCCTCAACCTCCTCCCGGACTTAAGCGATCCTCCCACCTCAGCCTCCAGAGTAGCTGGGACTACAGGCACACACCACCAGCCCCAGGTAATTTTTTTTTTTTTGTAGAGACAGGGTTTTGCTATGTTTCCCAGGCTGGTAGATTGACTCTTTAATTCAGATCTTCCCCTACCCAGAACTACCTTCACCAAAGGCAGTAAGTTCTGGAAAGGGGTATGGCCAGAGGATCCCAAGACTGCTATAAAGTGCATTAAGAAGACCATCAGTAATAATAATGCAAATAATAAGTAATAACAAAACTGCAGCATTTATTAAATGTTTATGATGTGCAGACACTGTACTGTGTTCTTTCTTTGCACGTATAATTTTAATCTAGGCTGGGCACAGTGGCTCATGCCTGTAATCCCAGCACTTTGGGAGGCCGAGGCAGGTGGATCACTTGAGGCCAGGAGTTTGAGACCACCCTGGCAAACATGGTGAAACCCTGTCTCTACTAAAAATACAAAAATTAGCTGACTGTGGTGGCACACACCTATAATCCTAGCTACTCAGGAGGTTGAGGCAGGAGAATCACTTGAACCCAGGAGGCAGAGGTTGCAGTGAGCCGAAATCACACCACTGCACTCCAGCCTGGGCAACAAAGTGAGACCCTGTCTCAAAAAATTAAAAAATAATAATAATATAATAACAGCCCTAAAAAATAGGTATTATTATCCGCAATTTATAGTTAAGAATACTGAGGATCAGAGAAATAAGATAACTTTGTCCAAGGTCAAACAGCTGGTAGGTAGAGCAGCCAGAACCCAAAGCCAGGTCTGTCTGATGGACCTTAGACCACACACACACCCTTAGCCTGTCTGCTGTACTCAGCTTCCTTGGGGTGGGAACGAGTTACTTGGTGCTTCCCCTAGCTCCTACTCCAAGCCCAGGATTCAGTGGCCATCAACAGATTTCTGTTCCAAATCTGAATCAAAACCTATGGTCAAGGCCAGGCATGGCAGCTCATGCCTGTAATCCCAACACTTTGGGAGGCTGAGGCAGCCAGATCACTTGAAGTCAGGAGTTCGAGACCAGCCTGGCCAACATGGCAAAATCTAGTTTCTACTAAAAATTACAATTAGCCGGGCGTGGTGGCAGGCACCTGTAATCCCAGCTACTCAGGGGGCTCAGGCAGGAGAATTGCTTGAACCCAGGAAGCAGAGGTTGCAGTGAGCCAAGATTGCACCACTCACTCCAGCATGGGTGATGGAGTGAGACTCTGTCTCAAAAACAAACAAACAAACAAACAAATCTTATGGTCACTCCACTCAAAAGGAAATCCCTTAGCGAGCCCCTGCCTTGAAGATACCTTCTAGGGGAGGATGGGAAAGGAATTACAATCAACATTCACAAAGCCAGTGACCTACAGGGGGTGGAAAGAGATGGGCCCAGGACTGGCGGTCCGTGAAACCATCTTCAAATACGCCCTTCCTCTCATGGAGCCTGCATACCGCTGTACCTGCTCTCCTCTGCGCCCCCCTCTGACTATTCAAGGACAGCACTACTCAAGGACAGTGGGGAGATGGAGAACGATATCAGCGTAGAAAAAGACCCTTCATCCATCACCTTCCCACCCCTCACGTGCTGAATTACACCTGGTTTCTCCATACTTACACTTCCACAATCCCTTAGGAGGTAGCCCTGCAGCTAGAGGGCAGGGCAGCAGAGTGCCTGACACGAGAGGCTTTGGAGTTGGGAAGACCTGCATTCCAACCCTGGCTCTGCCCTTCCCAGCTGGGTGACCTTAGGCAAGTCACTCCTCCTCTCTGGGACTCAGTTTCCTCATCTGCAAAACAGAGGTGAAAACAGGATCTCACAGGTCTATTGTGAGAACTAAATGGGCTGATGAGCCGAGTGGCTGGTCCATGGGAAGTACTCAGAAAGTGTGAGCTGCTAGGTATTATCATTACAGCCCAGAGAGGCCATGCACCGTACTCAGGGTCACACAGCCAATGTGAGGCAGAGCAAATGCTAACACCAGGTTCTGGCTCTGGTCCAAGCTCCTTCCTAACACAGAGCCACTATCCTGGGAAGCTGTGAGATGGCACAGTACAAGTGCTTATCATGGCTCAGCAGCTTCCCCAAGCCCACAGTTCATGAGCCAAGTACAAAGTCCCAACCAAAAGGTTTGTTTTTCTTATACACACACACACACACACACACATACACAAAATCAAGTAGCTCAGAGTGAAAGTTCCCAAACCTTGGCATCCTCCCCTATCCAGAGGTGAGTAGTGATCTCATCCCTGTGACTAAGCCACACCGACGCCAGGAGCCCTCTCTGGGAACCTGCAGGCTTGGCGTTGCTGGCTCCCAGCCCCAGGAGGAGCCAAGGCTGCAAAACTGGGATTCTTGCAGAGCTGGGAATTCTTGGCTCTTGGAGCTGAGAAGCAGGGTGGCTCTGAGAAGTGGGTGATGTTGCAGCCAAGGACCAAGATAGCCCTGGAGATCCAGGTTTGAATCCCAGCTCTGCCAGGAACTTGTCATGAAGTTTTAGGCAAACCCAGGCCTCTATCCCCCTAATTCTAAAATGGATAGATCGCACCAGAAGATTTCCAATGGTCTGTCCAGCTTACATCTTGCTTAGCTCCTGTCCTGCCCACCAGGGGCCTTGGCCTAGCTAGGGAAGGAGCAAAGAGTTAATAAACATACAAGTTAGAGGGCCATGGGCACTAAAATGTACAGAAAAGGTCAGTGTTGCTGGAACAATCAGTGCAGGATGCCTGGAGAAGTTGGGAGCCGAATGGGGGTCCCAAAGCGGGAGGGATGGAAGTGAGAAGTGGAGAAAACTGATCCTGGTGGTCTGGGAGCTTGTCAGTGGCAGGGTGTCAGATGCACTAGACAGCCTGTAAAAGTTTCAATGAGTCAGGTCGGGCTAGAACTTCAGCCACTACCTCCTCCCTGTCACTTAATTCCTCCCACCATGGGGAAGACAGACAGATGGACAACCAGGAGCACCTAGATTAAAAACTAGAAGGCTGGGCGCAGTGCCTCACACCTGTAATCACAGCACTTTGGGAGTTCGAGGCGGACGGAGCACCTGAGGTCGGGAGTTCAAGACCAGCCCGGCCAACATGGCAAAACCCCGTCTCTACTAAAAACACACAAAAAAATAGCTGGCCGTGATGGCACACACCTGTAGTCCCAGCTACCAGGGAGGCTGAGGCAGGAGAATCGCTTGAACCTGGGATGCAGAGGTTGCAGTGAGCCGAGATTGCGCCACTGCACTCTAGCCTGGGCGACAGAGCGAGACGCTGTCTCAAAAACAAACAAACAAACAAACAAACAAACAAAAACTAGAAAAAGCCGAGAAACCTAGTTACAGACTTTGCCCCAGAGGGGGCTCCTCCCCAAACCAAGAGGCAGCAGAAAACGGGGTGCTCCCCCTAGCACGATGCAAGGTTCCATAAGGAGAGGTCAGGATGGACAGGTGTCTTCTGAGGGTTTAAAAAATATATATTCTGTCAAACACCATAAAGTAATACCTACAGCAAAGCCAGTTAGCACATCATTGCAATGCATGGTTGTTACAGCAGGAAGCTACTGTGCTCTGTAATCCTCAATGGCTCCCTATTGCCTACAGCTTTATGTTCACTATCCTTATCATAGCATTCTAGGTCCTCGATTTGGGGTCCTGATGGTACTTTTCTGCTTTATTCCCATCACTACCTTACCCCCCCAACTCCTGCTCCAACCAGTTACAGTCCTCGGCTGCTCCCCAAGCCCATCATGAGCCTTTGCTCCCTGGGACCTCAATTCATTCTCAGTCTCCCTGCCATCCTTGCTGCTTTGCTTAAAAATCTACCCCTATTGTTTCCACCAACCCGCTTCCCTCCTGGAGCCTGTTGACTCTCATCTGGCTTCTCCTAAGAATATAAAACACAGACCTCAGGGGCTGAGGATCAGACAGGTTCTGCCACTGAATTTGGGGTACAGTCTCAAGTAAGAAATTGGGCACGCACCTCCACACGCTCATTTATAAAGCGGGCAGTGCAACCTCTCCCCACGTCAAAGGCTGCCGAGCCACTCAAGTGAGATAATGGAGCCATAGGGCTCTGCACAGCGTCAAGTGTGACACGAACTCAAGGGATTAGGGTGTCTATTTTTAACTCCCCACATCCTGGCTGAAAAACAAATCTCTCACACACCCTGCAGATCCCTATCAGAGGGGCTGACAGAGCCTTTTGGGAATTCTCTCCTCCCGGAAGCAGCGCCAGCTTTGATTGCGTTCCCTCTGCCGGGAAAGGCTCTGAGGTCCCTGCTCTGGCCAGGGCCTGCTTCCATTATGTCTTCTGGCTGGGTCCTGCTGCTCCCGGCAAACAGCCGTTGCCTGGTAGACTCAGTTGTCACACATTCTACAGCCAGTGATAGTCAGACAGGGTCACCAAAGATGCTGAGAAGAGTCCCTCATTCATCTGCTTATTTATTTACTTATTCACATTCCCTCCCCTCCCCTCTTAAGAGGTTGGTCTTGCTCCAGGGTCACCCAGAGGGGAAAACCATGAGGCACCTGTGCTAGGATGCCTCTGTCTAAGGACAGGGGCAGGGGCAGAGACAGATAAACTGATAAGGCAATAGTAAGTAGGACAGGAAGCAACAAAGGAACGATGGGGTGGTGACTCATGTCTGTAATCTCAGCACTTTGGGAGGCCAAAGTGGGAAGATTGCTTAAGTGGGAGGATTGCTTGAGGCCAGGAGTTCGCCAGCCTGGACAACACAGCAAGACCCCATCTCTACAAAAAATAAAAAAATTAGCTGGGCATGGTGGTGCTTGCCTGCAGTCCCAGCTACTTTGGAGGCTCAGATGGGAGGATTGCTTGAGCCCAGGAGTTCAAGCTACAGTGAGCCATGATTGTGGCACTGCACTCCAGCCTGGGTAACAGAGCAAGACACCATCTCAAAAAAATAAGAAAAACCCAAAGGAATGATAGGAGTATGTGAACATAAAACCAGACCATCATCAATCTCTCTCCTCTCCCTCCAGTACCCTAGCATCCATCAGACCTCACTCCAAGATGAGTCTTTACTAGGTATCAGCCACTGTCACCTACAAGGACAGGGGGCTTCCTACTTCAGGACAGAGATCTCTGACCTGGTCACCTGACCCATCTGCGCAGGTGTTCTCTACGTTCATAAGAACACTGCCGGCCAGGCATGGTGGCTCATGCCTATAATCCCAGCACTTTGGGAGGCCCAGGTGGGTGGATCACTTAAGGTCAGGAGTTTGAGACCAGCCTGACCAATATGGTGAAACCCTGTCTCTACTAAAAATATGAAAATTAGCCAGGCATGGTGGCATGCACCTGTAGTCCCAACTACTCGGGAGGCTGAGACAGGAGAACTGCATGAACCCAGGAGGCAGAGGTTGCAGTGAGCTGAGATCACGCTACTGCACTCCAGCCTGGGCAACAGAGCGAGACTCCATCTCAAGAAAAAAAAAAAAACAAAAAACAAAGAACGCTGCCATTCTCCCTGGTCCCACCTCCCTCACCCCCCACTGCCTGAGTTCACACTCATCCAATGATGGTAACAGGGAAAATGATCCCAACACAAGAATGTCAAAGAAAAAAAAATCCTCACTCTGAATTGGGAGCCGTCAATAAGGAGAGCCTCCTTCCAACAGCCACTCTGAGCCCTGCCCGTGAGCACTGGACCTGGAGTGAGGGGAGTCAGGGAAGTCCTGAGCTGCATCCTTCCAGCCATGGGAGCTGAGCTGTGTTTCTCAGAGCCTTGGTTTCCTCAGCAGAAAGTCACAGGGGGACTGGGAGGGGACCCTCTGCAGAAAGCACCTTGCACACCAGAAAGTGTGATATAAATGCTTTGTGCTGTAGCATACATTATTATTATTATTATTATTGAGACAGAATCTCACTCTGTCACCCAGGCTGGAGTGCAGTGGTGCCATCTCAGGTCACTGCAACCTCCACCTCTTGGGTTCAAGCAATTCTCCTGCCTCAGCCTCCTGAGTAGCTGGGATTACAGGCATGCACCACCACACCTGGCTAATTTCTTTCTTTATTTTTTTTTCTTTTTGTATTTTTATTACAGACGGGGTTTCACCATGTTGACCAGGCTGGTCTTGAACTCCTGACCTCAGGTGATCCCCCGCCTTGGCTTCCCAAACTGCTGGGATCACAGGCGTGAGCCAGCACACCCAACCTTAGTATATATTTTTGGTCCTCATTTTTTTCTTTCCCTTTTGGCCTCTGAGACTCAACAGCCCTCTCTGAACTCAGGGACAGATGTTTCTGTGGACTTTCTGGCCACAAATAACTGTGCAACCCCAGAACAGTTATGTGACTCCTCGATGTTCATGTCTGTGGGGACCATGTCTGTGGGCCCCCGACACAATCCCAATAACCCCCACAGGCCCTTCACAAGTACTTTTTAAACACTCTTAAGAAAATGCTAAAGAAGCCAGGTGCGGTGGCTCATGCATACAACCCCAGCACTTTGGGAGGCCAAGGTGGGAGGATTGCTTGAGCCTAGGAGTTCAAGACCAGCCTGCGCAATATAGTGAGACCTCATCTCTACAAGAAGAAAAATTTTTAAATTAGCCAGGCATGACGGCAAGCGCCTGTAGTCCCAGATACTCTAGGGAGGCTAAGGTGGGAGGATCACTTGAGCCCAGGAGGTGGAGGTTGCAGTCAGCCAAGATCATGCCACTGCACTCCAGCATGAGTGACAGAGTGAGACCCTGTCTCAAAAAAAACCAACAATAATTCTAAAGAAGCAGGTGAATTTGGCTATTCTCATTTGAGACCTGAAATTCAGCCTGCAGGTGGGGACTGACACTGACAGGTGGCTTTCCCTAACCTGCTTTTAGGCCGGTCCCCCTTGATGCCACACAGCCAGAATAAAGTTTTTTTTAAGAAGCAGATCAAGAACAATCCAAATGATGGGACCGGGCATGGTGGCTCATGCCTGTAATCAACACTTTGGGAGCCTGAGGCGGGTGGATCACTTGAGCTCAGGAGTTCGAGACCAGCTTGGGAAACATGGGGAAACCCTGTCTCTACAAAAAAATACAAAAATTAGCTGGGCATGGTGGCGAGCACCTGTAGTCCCAACTACTTGGGAGGCTGAGGTGGGAGGATCATTTGAGCCTGGAAGGCGGAGGTTGCAGTGAGTCAAGATCGCGCCACTGCACTCCAGCCTGGGCGACAGAAGGAGACCGTGTCTCAATTAAAAACAAAACAAAACAAAACAAAAATCCAAATGAGGCAGAGAAGTTCTCTGCAAACCAAAGGCATCTCTCTTCTGTCCCTTGCTAGAGCCAGCCCTGCCCAGAGCAGACTGCGAGGCTCTCCACTTGACTCTGTTGAGGAGGGGGGTGCAGGCACGGCAGTTGGAGCAGGAGTGGAAAAATCATGCCTGATTCAAAGCTAGTCCAACTCTACAAAGCTTTCCAAGCATTCACTAGGGCATTCACTAGAGCAATTTCTAAAGCCCAGAGCCCATCACGGGGGACAGGCAGCGGACAACGACAGGCAAAGCAGGGCAGTTAGTAAGAAAGAGCTACAAGCCCGGAGGAACGGCTCACCCTTAGGGGGGCAATGAGAACAAATGGAGGTGAAATTGGTGCTACACCCAGAGGGGCAGGAAGAATTTGGGCAGTAAGCAGTGGCAGAGAGAAAAGGGCATTCTGGAAGTCACAGGCCAAGTCCAGGCAACATAAAACCTGAAGAGCAGAGAAAGAAGAGGCAGGGAGGAAAACTGGAGCCAGACATGGGGCCGTGTTTGCCAGGCCAGGGAGCTTGGCTTTGATCTCGTGGTTAACAGGAAGTCACTCACATGACAGTAAGTGGCCAGCAGAGGCTGTGGTTACTAAGGGCTACTGTAGGAAGCTGGGTTGCTGGAGGCCCACCTGGGATGGGAAACAGGCAGCTGGACCCCCTCAGCCAGCTGCTCGCCCCAGGGAGAGGTTAGAACCGTTCAGGTCAGATTCAGGAAAGGCTGAGGAAGCCCAGAGGAGAGACATGTGATGGCTTGGAAGGGAGACAAGGCTCTTACATGTCCCCCTTGTCTCCTGGTCAAGACTACCCAGGGCTGAGAGGGCCTGCAGTGGGGTTGGCCCTAGTGCCCCCACGCTCCCCCTTGGCTCCTGCCCTTGACCCCCAGTCATTCCCACCATCACCTTCTTGCAAGGATCAGGGTGCAAAACACTGTGTAATTCTAAGGTAAGTGACCTCCCCCTTCCCTGGGCTTCCTCCACTACCTGTCCCCCTCTGGACTGCCCCCAGGTGTCCTGGCCCCACTGGCCACCATTCCCATAAGAGCCTTTCTGGCCCCTTTCATAGTAATTCCCATGGAGCACTCTGCCCTCCAGCCCAACTCAACCCCTCACCCATGCCCTGAGCCCATCATGAATACCTCTCCCTAGAAACCCAGACAGGAAATGCAGACAGAGCCCAACTTGTAAATGTCAAGGTGGGAAAGAACCTCAGAGATCTGGACAAAAAGCCCCACCTTCAGCCCCTTTACAGAAAAGAAACCTAACGTTTTAAGAGATGACCAGCCCTGCCCAAGATCACACAGCCTGATCGTGGCCCAGGTCTTCAAGCTTCCAGGTGAGGGCTCTGGCACCAAAGCCACAACCAGATAGGGCAGAAAAATAGTGAGGCATGAACAAGACTGCAAAAAAGGCCAGAGTGCCTTATTGTCAAGGCACCTGGATTTAGGTCCTGACTCTTATCACCGCTCCCTCCCCTGCCCACATACACACATTAGGGCTTTGGACACGTCACTGCAGTTTCCTGGACTCCAGTGACCTCTTTCATAAAATGGGTGTTTAATAATTTGTGCTTTCAGCAGGATCAAATAGGTCCAAGGCAGAACAAGCACCCTGTCTGCAGCACAGCTGGTAGGCCAGAATTGTGATACAGCTGGGGTCTATGCAGGCGATTCCTCCACCCTGTATCTCTCCTAGTGAGTCAGCCCAGGCCAGGCAGCCTCGGGCCAGACATTTCCCCAAAGCTGCCCAATGGCCCACAGAGCGGTCTTCCAAGGGAAGGGATGGAGATTGAAAACATAGATAGACGCACAACAGAACCACCCCGCTCCTCTCCCCGCGAGATGCAGGCCCAGCACCTTCTGGCTGGGAGGGCCAGAGGCCACAGTAGGAGGATGGAGGAAGAAGGTGTTGAGGGGAGGGAGAGGTTTCTGCCAACCCCTCCAGGGTCCTCACCACTCTGGGTGAAAAAACTGAGCAGAGGCTGGGTACAGTGGCTCATGCCTACAATCCCAGCACTTTGGGAGGCTGAGGCAGGAGCATCAGGAACTTAGGAGATCAAGACCATCCTGAGCAACATAGCAAGACTTCATCTCTACTAAAAATTAAAAAATTGGCCAGGCGCGGTGGCTCACGCCTGTAATCCCAGTACTTTGGGAGGCCGAGGTGGGCGGATCACGAGGTCAGGAGATCAAGGCCATCCTGGCTAACACAGTGAAACCCTGTCTCCACTAAAAATACAAAAAATTAGCCGGGCGTGGTGGCGGGCGCCTGTAGTCCCAGCTACTTGGGAGGCTGAGGCAGGAGAATGGCGTGAACCCAGGAGGTGGAGCTTGCAGTGAGCCGAGATCACGCCACTGCACTCCAGCCTGGGTGACAGAGGGAGACTCCATCTCAAAAAACAAAACAAAACAAAACAAATTTAAAAATTGGCTGAGCATGGTGGCATGTGCCTGTAGTCGCAGTTACTAAAGAGGCTGAGGTGGGAGGATCACTGGAGCACAGGAGTTTGAGGCCTTAGTGAGCTATGATAGTACCACTACACTCCAGCCTGGATGACAGAGTGAGACCCTGTCTCCAAAATATAATAACCTGAGCACGAGGGCCTCGTCTAAGGCACACCAATCCTAGAAAGCAGAGGCCAGTGATCTTGGGGGTGCCACAGGTCTGCCCGCAAGTACATCCACTTGTGGCAGGAGAAACTTCACCAGGGCTCCCGTCAGCCAAGGGCCTGCTCCATTCCACCCACCAGTGGGTGGAACAGCATACCCATCTTAAGTTGGGAGAAAGCCCTAGAAAGGAAGAGTAACCAGCTCCAGAGAGTGAAGCCAAGACTAAATTCAGATCTGTTGAAAACTATATTCCACGTTCTCTTCCTAAGAGTACCTTAGTGCTATGGTCCTCGAACTGTGACCTGCAGGAAAATGGCCTGGGTTGGGGGGGAGTGGGAGTGGCGGGTGGTTTAAAGTGGAGATCCCAGGCCTGGAGTAGAGATGAGGGATCTGCATTTTAACAGGTGCTCTAGGTGCTTGTGATAAAAGCATTGCTGGCACACACCAGTCCCAGGAGCACACACGCACGCGCACACACACACACACACACAAAGGCATGTATGCAAGCAAGGATCAAAAGCGAAGCATGTGCTCTAAAGACAGATACAGATGCTGAGTTTGGTGCACAGCCCAGCCAGCCCCTTACCAGTTGTAGGATCTTGGGTAAGTCCCTTAACCTCTCTAAACCTGTTTCTTATATGCAAAATAAGGATAAGAAAATAATCAACCTCATGGGTTTGTTTTATGGGTGCAAGAAAATAATATGTGTAAAGTCCTCAGGGCAGGGTCTGGCATATAATAAACACTCAATAAATAGTGCTATGATCATTACCAACCTCAGTGCCTGTGTGTTGAATGCTGAAGGGACGGAACAGAATGCCAGGCACCAGGGGACCACAGTGAATAATTGAGACAGTAAGAAATGCCCCAAGGGTTGTTCCAGAACCAGTGGATAGAAGTCATAGAGACAAAGATTTCTGTCCCAAACAGGAAGAATGTTGCTCAATCATGAAACCAAGAGTTTCCCAATCATGAAACCAACTGTCTAGTGAACTCACCGTCACTAGAGGATCCTAGCAAAAAAGACTAGATGTTCACCAAGTGGGGACACAGCACCAGGGAAGGAAGAATGCGGGGATAGGAGGGCCAGGTGATCTTGAAGGTGACTTTGGGCCAGGTTCTGCAGGTCAGCCCTTTTCCCCATCATGCTGGTTATTTAGTTCATTTGCTCTTCCTTGCCATTTACAATAGTTACCTCCAGGTGTCTAAAAGGGGTGGGGAAAGGGGGAAAGATCAAGATAGACAGAAGCCTTGTACATTCTGAATAGTTCATTGCAGGGATAAGAATGTGTGAGGCTGTTTAAACCTGAGCCTACAAACCCACTGAAATTGTGGGTGTGTGCATCTGTGCACTTTTCTCAAAAGGGCTGATTAAGAGGGGCTGGTCCTTACCAACTTTCTGGGGGAGAGGAAACTGAGGCACAAGGATGCTGGCTCTCTCAGACAGCAAGAGGGCACAGGCTCCAGGGTATAGATCGGCTGCTTAAGATGGCTGTCCTACGAGCCAGGCGCCTTCTACGCCTCACCTCGAAAAAACCTCCCTATATCCCCCTTGGACGGGACCCTTGAGCTCTGAGAGGTTAGGAAACCTGCCCACAGATACACAGCTAGTGAGCAGCAGGGGCTGATGTTGGAACCCAGATTCCCTGGGCTCCAGAGCTAGGTGTTTGGTTCCATTTTTTTACTCTTAGGTATTCTGTCCTGGGTCAGTAAAACACGGAAAGGAGTTAACATTAAGGAGGACTAATGTTAAAGATTGGTCCTTATTGGTGACAAGCTACCTACTCACCCACTCACAATCAAAATTAAGGTAAAATTTCCCTCCTTAATAGCAGAAGGGGCCAGAGGGAGAGGAGTTTCCATATGGCTCACACCAGATAGCTCAAGAGTGGACCATCCTGAGACCAGAACACCCTGCAGTCATTCCCACCAGGCTGAGCACTGGAAGCAGGTGGCGTTGGTCCCTGTTCCCACTCTGCTTAGCCCAAGGTGTTTTCACGGAAGGTGGGGTCCAGAGCAGCCCAGGAAACGGAAAAGAGACCTCACTTCAACGACCCAGCCCTGCCAATCGCCTCCCTGATAATTTAGGATTGGCCAGGATTGAACAAAAACACCCAAAACTTGGGTGCCCCAGGGGGTGCCTGGCTCTGGATAAAGAGGTTTGGTTGGCTGCCCTATCACCAATTCCCAGGGTGAGCTGAGGAAGGTCTGAAGTTTGGGAGACCGCTGGAAGCCTTGGGGATCGGTAGGCTGGCACCCCCCACCCCCAACTCCCGCCGCCCGCGGGCCCCAGCTGGGGGCGCCTTCCTCGCGATCCCCTGTATTGTACTCTCCCAAGAACCCAGCGCCAGCCCTGGGTCCCGGCGGTCGAGATCTGGGCAGGGCGCACAGGAAAGTTTAAAGGCTCAATGCATCGCGCAGATTTCCTTGCGGGAGAGGGGACTGTAGGGGAAAAGCGGGGTAAATAAAGCAAAGTCGCCGCCCATTCCTCAGTCCCCTACCCCAACACCTCGCATCGGAGCCCCCGGATCCTCTCGAACCCGGGATGCCGCTCGGATCCCGGCAAACCACCGAGCCCCCCTCCACCTGAGCCGCGGCCCCCAGCTTTTACCTCTACGCGCGGGCCGGGCCGCTGGGCGCTGCCATCCCAAAGGCTCCGGAGCCTGAGCGGCCCAGGGCCAGGGTTGCGAAGCGGCGGAGTCGCGGTGTCGCCGGGCGGCTGCAGGAAAGTTTCCTTCGCGCCAGCTGGGCCGAGTGGAGCGGGGCGGGCGGAGTAGGCGGCTGGCCAGGCAGGAGCGCGCTACGGCCGGCTCCGCGCCTCCCCCGGCGCCGCCGCTCTACGGCTCCCGGGCTCCCGCGGCCACCCGGCCTGCCCAGCCCTGCCAATCGCAGGCCCAGCCGCCCACAGCTCCGCCCGCCAGGCCCGGGACCCAGCGCGGGCGGGGAGCAGAGGGGCGGGGGCGCACCTGTTTGGTCAATCGACCTCCCCACCACCGCCCCGCCCAGGCCGGACTGGGCAGAGCCGAGGCCCTCCGCTCCGAGCACACGCTCCCCAGCCTGGTGCCGGCCCGAGATGCCGGCGGGACCACACGCCCCCTCCCCTCCCGGAGTCCCCAGGCCTCCAGGAGTCCAGAGATAACCTCTGCTTCCGTTTCGGCGCTATGAGGGTACGGGACCGAGGAGTGGGCCGCGACTTTGCTTTACTTATCCCTCTTCCACCCTACAGCTCCCCTTCCCGCTAGAATCTTCCCGCATCCGCTGACCCCTTAAACTTTTATGTGCGCCCTGCGTGGATCTCCAACCTCAGGAGCCGGGGACTAATGGGGGGAACTAGAGCTTGGGAAGGGGACAGTGCGGGGTGTCACAGGGAAGGCACCCCAGCACTCCCACCAACAGAAACTCCCGAGGACTCCAGCTGGCTGGAGGGAACGTCCCGCGAACGTCTGCGACCCGCTTCAGCAAGCGTGACTGAATATTAAAGCGTGACTATCTTATTGACCCATTTCCCAGATAGGCACACTGAGGCCAGAGCGGGGCGAACGCTTTTCGGACCGTGGTGGCGGGACAGCGACGTTTTCCAGCTAAAGGTGGGTTTGCTGAGAGCTCCTGCCTCCTTTTCCCAGCCCTACGCGGATGCCTGTGTTCGTCCTCACCTTGCCGCCAGTCGCGGATCTGGGGCCAAGGAGGAGAAACAGGCCCCGGGCAAGTGCCCGCGTAGGGCGAGGGCGCGCCTGGAGGCGCACGGCCTTACCTCCGCAGCAGAGCGTGTCCTCGCAGAGCGCGCAGGCTGGAGGCCCCAGCAGGGGCAGGGAGGCCCAGGCGAGGGCGCGGAAGGAGGCACCGCCAGCTCCCATCTCGGACGGCCTCGGCAGTGCCTCGGCCAGCGGGCCTGCCACCCTCCGCGGCACCTGTGGGGCCAGCGCGGTGCCCGCGGCCTCCGCCTCCGTGGTCGGTCCCGGGCCAGGCCCGGGGTGAGGGGTGTGCAGGGCTCCCGGCTCCTTGAGCCGTCCCGGCTCAGAATCCAACGGCGGCTCGCAGGTCGAGCTGGGCAGGGCGCTATTTTTAGCGAGAGCTGCTCTCCCAGTCGTACAGACAGAACCAGTTAATTCGGCCGCTGGGGACGGGCCTGCACGGTGAACTCCCCGAACGGCAGCCGGAGCTCTGCTGAAAGCTGATCCTTCGCATTCCTGCCTCTCGAGGCGGGAGGGCGGGAGGACGCCTGTAATTCCAGGGGGAAGCCAGCGTCCTCTCTGAAGACAGCGCCTGGGCCCAACTGCACGCCAAAAATGGGGCTCTTTAAATTGGCTCTGAAACCTGGCGCGACTTGATGCTGATGCCAAGCCGCAGACGATGTCCCATAAAATGTCCATCTACTGTCTCACCCTTCCCACCGGTCTCCAGCACTGGGAAGAGCCTCCCAGAAATGGGGTCTCAGCCCCAGCACCCACCAGAAGCTGGCACGGTCATCACTCAGGAGCTACTTGTTGAATGAAGGCAGGAAGGAGTGAAATCCGATACCAGGGTCAGTGGAAGTCTTCGGAGCATATGCGATGGATGCACAGGGTGGCTTTGAAATCTTATAGAACCCCTAATCCAACACTTTCTGGCTGTGCGACCTTGGCAAATCATCTTACCTCTGTTTTATCTTCTCAGTTTTACCTTCTGCCTCAGTTTTATCTTCTGCAAAAAGGGAGTTTTAGAACTCCAAGAGATAGTATGCAAGAAATCCTTTTGTAAACAAAAGCATTATGTAGATGTTCATGTAAAACGTGATGAGAGAGCTGCAAAGGTGAACACAAGTTTCTACTCTCAGGAAGTCACTAGCACTCCTCTAATTCGAGAGAGGAGGTGCTAAGGACCCCAAAATGTACAATCACAGCATCTGGTATTAGCCCAAGGGTAGATAAATTGGCCAGTGGACTAGAATAGAGGCTGCAAAAATTGACCCATACAGGTATGGAAACTTGATATGTAGCAGAGATGGCCCTGCAGGTCAGTGGGAGAAGGGTGGACTTTTCTATAAATGGTGCTAGAGCAATAGAATGTCCATATTAGTAAAAGATGAGCTGAATCCCTACCTCACACCATGCATAAAAGATCAGTTCCAGGTGTACTGAAAACTTACACACACAAAAAAAACTCATAATAGTCAAGGATGTCTTAAAGAAGACCTCAAAAGCATAAATCATCAAGAAAAACATCAATACATTTAATTAAAATTCAAAACTTCTGTTTATCAAAAGATGATATTTACAATATAATATCCAAAATATACAAAGGCCTTCCACAAACCAATGTGCTAAAGAGGCAATAGGAGATTGGGCAAAATATATGAACAGGCAATTCACAGAAAAAGAAACATGAATGGCCAATAAACATATGCAAAGATGGTCAGTCTCACTAGTAATCAGAGAAATATAAAACAAAATCCCAGTAAAGTGCCACTTCATGCCTGTCAGATTGGTGCAAAAACAAAGAAGTGGGACAGTAGGGACCTGGAGTCTGGAGAACTGTCCTGTGCTGCAGGCAGGAGTGGAAATGGGTAGAGCCACTCTGGGAAACAATTTGGCAGCATCTAGAAATGTCGAAGTGCACATACCCCAGTGACCCAGAGTCTTGACATAGAGAACCTCTTGCTCATTGCAATAATGATAATACTAGTAAGGAATTTGAAACAGCCTCCATCCCTATCAGAGGAAGAATGCATAAACAAATTGTGGGGTAGTCAGCAAAATTCTATACTGCAGCAAAAATAAATGATTAGAAATTCATTATGAATCTCAAATCTCAAATAAGGGGAGGGAGAACATGTTGCAGAACATCAAATTTCTATAATATCATTCATATAGTTTTGTTTTGTTTTGAGACAGAGGCTTGCTCTGTCACCCAGGATGGAGTGCAGTGGCGCTATCATAGCTCACTGCGGCCTCGAACTCCTGTGCTCAGGTAATACTACCACCACAGCCTTCTGAGTAGCTGGGACCACAGGTGCAGTGGCACCACATGCAGCTAGTTTTTTGTTTGTTTGTTTGTTTTTTATTTTTTTGAGATGGAGTTTCACTCTTATTGCCCAGGCTGGAGTGCAATGGCACGATCTCAGTTCACCGCAACCTCTGTCTCCTGGGTTCAAGAGATTCTCCTGTCTCAGTCTCCCGAGTAGCTGAGATTACAGGCATGCGCCACCATGCCCAGCTAATTTTGTATTATTTTGTATTTTTTAATAGAGACAGGGTTTCTCCATGTTGGTCAGACTGGTCTCGAACTCCCCGCCTCAGGTGATCCACCTGCCTCGGCCTCCTAAAGTGCTGGGATTACAGGCATGAGCCACCGCGCCTGGCCTAATATTTTTATTTGTAGAGAGAGGGGTCTCTCTATGTTGGCCAGGCTGGTCTCAAACTCCTGGACTCAAGCGATCCTCCCGCCCCAGCCTCCCAAACAAAGTGTTGGGATTACAGATGTGAGCCACTGTGCCTACCCTGGCTTCAAGTTCTATTCCTGTAATTCCACAAACTACGTGACTGGTGGCATGAGCCGCTATGCCCAGCCTTCATATAGATTCTTTAAACATGCCGAACAGAATACCATATATTCCATAGGAATGCACAGATATGGTAAAAGTATAAAGACATTCAGAGGAATGATAAATACACCATTCTGCAAAGTTTTTACCTCTGGATAGAGGGAGATGTTTAATAGGAAGGAGCTTCACACATTCACACATCTTAGTAAGGTTTTCTTTCTTTCTTTCTTCTTCTTCTTTTCTTTTTTTTTTTTTGAGACAGCACCTCTCTCTTTCAACCAGGCTGGAGTGCAGTAGCATAATGATAACTCACTGCAGCCTCAACCTCCCAGGATCAAGGGATTCTCCCACCTCAGCATCCTGAGTAGCTAGGACTACAGGCACACGCCACCATGGCGGGCTAATTTTTGTTTGTTTGTTTGTTTGTTGTAGAGATAAGGTCTCACTATGTTGCCCACACTGGTCTCAAACTCCTGGGCCCAAACGATCCTCCTGCTTCGGCCTCCTAAAGTGCTGGGATTACAGGTATAAGCCACCATGCTCATGCTTGGTTTTATTTCTTGACCAGGATAGGAGACACACAGTGTTTGTTTTATTCTTCATCACTTTTTTTTTTTAAGGTGCAGAGAGTCATGGTGGGAGGCCACATAAAACCCAGTCCTACTCTGAACTTCAGTTTCCGTATTTTAATAACCTGGTCATCCTTTCTGGGAAATACCTAGCACAAAGACTGGCTCATGAGGAAGTGCTCAGTAAATCTTAAGAACATGAATAGCCCAGTCTGCAATCTTCACTGGGGTCCTTCACACCCTAGTCCCAGTCAGCTGAGACTGCCCCCGCCCAAGCACCACCATACAACCAGGTCTCCCAAGTCCACCAAGCTCTATCATGCCCCAGGAATTTGCACACACTGTTTACTCTTCCTAGAATGTCTGTCCTCCCTATCTCTACCCAGTCAGTGCCTACTTCTCCTATTATAATCCAGCTCAGGCATTCCAGCCCATGGAAAGCAGAGGGTTCCCACAGAACCCACCCACTCCACCATCTATATTTATCATATTGTAGATTGTTGCACCTTGCTATGGGTCTGTGTCCTGGAGCAGACTGTGAGCTCTTCCAGGTCGCAAACCTTGCAGCCCCACCACCTGCAAGAGGCCTGGCCTCAGGAAGGTTTATTGAATGAAGAAAAGGACTGAGTGACCCAAAAACTCAGAAACCAAAAGGGATCATTCCAAACTGTCAAAAGGAAAAAGCAACCCCACCACCTGCTGGACTGACTGCTTGGTCTTCATTGAGTGTTCTTGATGGGAATGTGAACTTCAAAGTCAAAGAGTGCTCGGGGCCTATAATCCCAGCACTTTGGGAGGCCGAGGCGGGTAGATCACCTGAGGTCAGGAGTTCGAGACCAGCCTGGTCAACATGGTGAAACCTCATCTCTACTAAAATACAAAAATTAGGTGGGCATGGTGGCACACACCTGTAATCCCAGCTACTAGGGAGGCTGAGACAGGAGAACCCCTTGAACCTGGGAAGTGAAGGTTGCAGTGAGCCAAGATCGCACCATTTGCCCTCCAGCCTCGGCGACAGAGCAAGACTCCATCTCCAAAAAAAAAAAAAAAAAATGCTGCATTCATATCCAAGCTGACCCACTTGCCAGCTGTGTGACCTAGAGCATGCTACTACATCCCTCTGAGCCTGTTGCTGGGTTTACACAGCCAACATTGACTAGAGATTATCACAAGGGTTATTATAAAGATTCAATGAGATCATAGTGGCAAAATGCATGGCTCCTTTCTTGGTACAGGTAGCAATTATATGACTATGGTCAAGAGGAAGTTGTTTACAGGGGAGGATGGAAAGAACTTGATCAGGTTACTATGAAAGTGGGAGGGCTGGGCATGGTGGCTCACGTCTGTAAACCCAGCACTTTGGGAGGCCAAGGCAGGCAGATCACCTGAGGTCAGGAGTTTAAGACCAGCCTGGTCAAAATAGTGAAACCCCATCTCTAATAAATATACAAAAATTACCTGGGTGTGGTGGTGCATGCCTGTAGTCCTAGCTACTCGGGAGGCTGAGGCAGGAGAATCGCTTGAACCTGGAAGGTGGAGGTTGCAGTGAGCCGAGATTATGCCACTGCACTCCAGCCTGGGCAACAGAGTGAGACTCCGTCACAAAAAAAAAAAAGAAAAAAAAAGAAAAAAGAAAAAAAAGAAAAAGAAAATAAAATAAAACTAATAAAGAAAGAAAGAAAGAAAGAAAGTGGGAGGCTGATCAAAAATTCCAGGGGGCTGAGCACAGTGGCTCATGTCTGTAATCCCAGCACTTTGGGAGGCCAGGACAGGAGGATCGCTTGAGCCCAAGAGTTCAAGACCAGCCTGGGCAACATGGCAAGACCCCATCTCTACAAAAAATTGAAAAGACAATTAGCCGAGCACGGTAGCATGCATCTGTGATCCCAGCTTCTAGGGAGGCTGAGTTGGGAAAATCACTTGAGCCCAGGAGGTCAAGGCTATAGTGAGTCATGTCCACGCCATTGCACTCTAGCCTGGACAACAAAGTGAGACTCCGTCTCAAGAAATACAACAACAACAACAAAATTCCAAGAGAAGCCAAGCACAGTGGTGAGCATGCCTGTGGTCCCAGCTACTTGGAAGGCTGAGGCAGGATGATCTCTTGAGCCCAGCAGTTTGATGCTGCACTAAGCTATGATCATGCCGTTGCACTCCAGCCTGGGCAGCAGACAAGACCCTGTCTCAATTATTTAAAAAATTCAGGCGCGTTCTCCAGTTCTGAACAAAACCACACCCAGGGAGGCTGGCCCAGGAGATGAGAAGGTCAAAAATATGCATGAAGTTAGTGCTTCTGGGGCTCTTTCCTCCTGTCCTTTGTGCCACCCCCTGAGTGAGGCGCTGTACAACACTGTAGAACTAAAGACCCTCCTCTCTGTCTGCCCATCCGCTCTGGCACCCTCCAGTCTGTTCTCACATGTAGCCCAGGGATTCCAATCTGGACCCGTCTTTTCCTTGTCAGCTTCCATCTGTAGGGGCGACAGAGCCTGCAGCACCTTCCCCAAGGGATGTGTCTGGAGTGATTTGCCAAAGGCATCGTCTGCACTATATCTGCAAAATCCACGTATGTCCACTTGTCGAGTTCTTCCATCAAGGCAACACACAGGATAGCAAATTGCTTATGGTTCAGACTCTAGACGATGAATTGGCTAATGTTACATGTTGTACAAGCTAACAAATATATAAAGTTGACAGGGCTATATGGTCACTGGAAAAGAACAACATGTACTTCAAGGGTTCCAATGAGATTTTCTGAGCTAATGTGCCAATCTTCTTTGGTTCAGATCTCTCTGGACAATGTAATATTATCCTGGTGACATGGACATTAGCCACTGGGGCACTTTGTCCCATGCAAACGGCCTAGCCAGACAGGAAGCTGACCCAGCTTAAGATCTGCCATTTTTCTTTTTTCTTTTTTTTTTTTGAGATGGAGTCTTGCTCTGTCACCTAGGCTGGAGTGCAGTGGCACTATCTTGGCTCACTGCAGCCTCCACCTCCAGGGTTCAAGTGATTCTCCTGCCTCAGCTTCCCAAGTAGCTGGGGTTACAGGTGCGTACCACCATGCCCAGATAATTTTTGTATTCAGTAGAGATGGGGTTTCACCATGTTGGCCATGCTGGTCTCAAACCCCTGATCTCAAGTGATCTGCCTACCTCGGCCTCCCAAAGTGCTGGGATTATAGGCGTGAGCCACTGGCGCCTGGCCAGATCTGCAGTATTTCCTAATGGCTCTCGGGAAGGTCACCAATGACCTCCTTGTTGGTAACACCATAGGATACATTTCCACCTCCATCTCTCCTGATCTCTTGGCAATACTTAACCCCACAGAAACTTCTGTTCCCTTCCATCTTACCATACTCTCCCAGTTTGTCCCCTAGTTCTCTGGTCACTTCTCCTCCTTGGCTACCTCATCTGACTCCCCTGGGCTGTAAAACTTGGAGTTTGAGACTGTCTGAGTCCCTCTTATTTTTCTAGACTCTCTGCACAGGCAACTTGAACTACACCCAGGCCATGGCTTCAACCACTGTCCTTATGCAGATGATTCCCAAATGTTTATCTCCAGCCCAGTGCAGACACTGTGGTCTCTTGCCTGGACTTCGCTAAGAACTGAACTTGTTCCATGCATCCACCTGGCCCCTCTCCATGTGGGTCCCTATCTACTAGTTCTCCTCATTAGGTTTTCAAAGCACAGATCCAATCATATCACCCTCACTTCTGTTCAAAGCTTCAATGGTTTCTTGTTGCCATCATGTGGCCTCCAAGATCCTGGGTGGTCAGGTCCTACCCATCTCCCCAGCCTCATTTCTTTTTTCTTGGCAGGAGAACAGAGTCTCACTCTGTTGCCCAAGGCTGGAGTGCAGTGGCACGATCTCGGCTCATTGCAACCTCCACCTCCTGGCTTCAAGCGATTCTTGTGCCTCAGCCTCCTGAGTAGCTGGAATTACAGGCATGCATCACTGCAACCAACTAATTTTTGTATTTTTGGTAGAGACAGGGTTTCACTATGTTGGCCAGGCTGGTATTGAACTCCTGGCCTCAAGTGATCCACCCGCCTTAGCCTCTCAAAGTGCTGGGATTACAGGCATAAGCTACCATGCCTGGCCCTAGCCTCATTTCTTGCCATCTTCCCCATCCCTCTCTGCCTCCAGCCACTCCAGCCAACTTCCAGATCCTCAAATATACAACGCTTCTTCCCACGACACAGCCTTTGCATACCAGTTTCCCCTCTTCAGAACACTTTTCTCCATTCCTTGGCCCAGTTAACTTCTCCCAATGGAAGCCTAATGTCATTTCCTCAGGGAAGGCTTCCCTGGCCTCCCACATGACACACCCATGGCTCAAGTCACTTTCCTTTATGGTGTCCGTTGCAGTTGGTGATGGCATCTTCAATGTGTGATCACTGGATGGATGTGTCATGCTCCCGGGCTGGGCATCCCTAAACACAGGGATCATGCCTGGTTTTCTTCATTGTTGTATCCCCTCCTACCCTCAGCAAGGGCATGTAGTAGGTGCTCAATGAATGTTTGTTGAATGAATGAGTGAAGGCACGTCTGCTTTCCCACCTCCATCAATAGGCTCTGTTTATTGTTGTTGGATACTGTTTGTTGCCAGAAATGTCTACATTTCTGCCCGTTGCTATGAATGCAAGTTTGAGTGCTTTGCCAGATGCTCTCTCATTTAATTCTTACGACCGCCTCTGAAAAGGTTCTAGTATCTATTCCCTTTTGACAGATGAGGAAACTGAGGCTCAGATTTTAAGCAACTTGCACAAGATCACACAGCATGTAGATGACAGAGCCTGTTCTCAAGCCCCATCTGTTTGATTCCAGATCCTGGGTTTTGTAACCACAACACCCTTTTCACAGATAGGCTGGGGTGGTGGGTCCTTACCTGATGATGGAAGTGAAACTCAAAACTGCAGTGACTGAAGCATCATAGGATGAAGACCCAGGCCCACAAGACCCTGGAGCAGGGATAGTATGAATGACAGGGGAGGAGTGGGAAGGAGGGGCCAGAAGGAGAAAGCAGCTCCGATCTAGTGTGCGTGTGGGGCATGACGGTCACGGAGCATAAGTAGTGGAAATGCACAGACCTCACTTCTGCCTCTGAGGCATTGAGAATTCAATACCCAGAGAGAATGAGATGATGTCAGACACTATGCATGGAGGAAGGACCAGGTGATACTGAACAGGAGAACAGCTGTTTCCAGGGAAGACCTGTTCTGAGGGGACACATCCCTGTCTGAGTCTAATCATTCTCAGATGCTTTGATTCCACCTCCGCAGTTTCTCTCATACCCCAGGAAGGGAAGGGAAGGGAAGGGAAGGGAAGGGAAGGGAAGGGAAGGGAAGGGAAGGGAAGGGAAGGGAAGGGAGCAGGACTGGGCAGAAGGAGGAATTGAGCTTCCATGCAGTCAGTGCAAGCCTCAGCCTACCCTACATCGGGAGCTGGGATGGCCCTTCAGAGTCATCCTGAGCAATGCCAAGCTTTTATGACCCTGGGTTGGTCAGTCACTGGATGTAGAGCACCAGTGTAGGAAGGAGCTGTCACCTCTGGGGAGGCGGCTGTCCATGGATTCTCCACGTGCCTAAGTCAATGTCATTCGGCTCCTTTTGTGCCAGGCTCTGGGCTGGGTGCTGGAGACACAGATGCAGGGGGAAGAGACAGGTAACAATGTCATCAGGTGGTCCCCAAGCAGGACACTCCCATATGCTGCTGAGCACTGCTGGTAATGGCTGAGACACAGGTGGGCAGCTATGCGGCTCTGCTACCAGCCTTGGGAGCGGGGCAGGAATGGCTCCAGGAAAGGCTTCCAAGGAGATGACCTCTGAGTGTGTCTTTAAGGAAGCGAGACAGAAAAGTTAGCCAGGCAAAGAGGAAATAGCCCATAAAAAAACATGGCACCATGAAACAGCCAGCGTGCTCAGGGAATTACAGTCAAGTATTATTGGAGCCTCAAGTGAGGGGAGCAGCCATGAGAGGGGGCAGGAGAAGAGGCAGGGCTGCACCATGAGGGACCCTACATGCCATGCTCAGCAACTTGGCCTTAGGGAGCTACTGAGAGACCTTGAGGGGGCTACTGAGCGACCTTACTGGCCCCTCTCCATGTGGATCCATGTCTACTAGTTCTCCCTATCAGGTTTTCAAAGCACAGATCCGATCATATCACGCCGGGGGTGGGACAGAGCCAACTCTTGAGTTTTACAAAAATCTGGGGAGTGAGTAGGAGGCAGGGAAGGGAGGACAGGAAGGGTTAGGTCAGAAGGAAGATAAGAGATTGGATGGTTGCTGGAGGGGAATGCCTTGGGTTTGGTGGGGGGTAGGGGGTGTGATGTGCAACCCGGATCTCCTCTTCAGGAGTAAAGGTCTCACTCCCCTAGGTATGGGGAGGCTGCTAGAAGTAGTCCCTCAGTGCTTAGCTCTTGGGGGTTGCCTCTGCTGAAGACAGCCACCTCCCCAGAGGTGACACCTCCTTCCTGGGGTGTCCTACATCCAGTGACTGACCAACCCAGGGTCATAAAAGTTTGGCACAGCTCAGGATGACTCTGAAGGGGCATCCCAGCTCCAGGTGTAGGGTGGGCTGAGGCTTGCACTGACTGCATGGAAGCTCAGTTCCTCCTCCTGCCCAGTCCTGCTCCCTTCTCTTTCCTTCCCTTCCCTTCCCTTCCCTTCCCTTCCCTCTTCCCCATTCCCCCTTCCCCCTTCCCTTCCCCCTTCACCCTTCCCCCTTCCCCCTTCACCCTTCCCCTTTCCCCCTTCCCTTCCCTTCCCTTCCACAGGTGTTGAGCCAGAGAGCAGCCCTTGATGGATCTCCTATGCATGAATACCTCTCAGAGCCTGCTCCTGGGGAACCCCAGTTGGGATGAGGAGGACGGGAAGCACTCGCTAGGTGCCCAGCTGGTGGGAATGACCCAGCAGAATGTCTGATTTTGGGGCTGCCAGTGAGAGAGGTGTACTGATCTCAAGAGGTGCCTGATCTGAAGGGATCAGGCAAGGTCACAGGAGGGATGGAGAGGCCGGCTCTTCTTGAGACAGAAGCAGAAGTTGGAAGCAACTTGGGGTGGGGAGGAGGTCAGGAAATGGAAGGACTCACGGTCTTGACCTTTTTTTCCCTATGCAGCCAGAAGTAAGGTTTGCCGCTAAGGGGATGGGTAGATAGTAAAACAATTACCTAAGAAAGTAATCACCGTAGTGCATGATAATTATTGCCACAGCAGTGGTAAGGAGTTCAGGGCTTCAACGCATGGATAGGAGTTTACCAGGCTGTGTGCCCACAAGGGAAAGTCATCATGGGCAGAGAACCCAGCTAGGCACTGATGTGAGGAGATGGGGGTAGGATTGCCAGATGAAATACAAGATGCCAGGTAAATGTAAATTGTATATAAACAATGAATTTTTTTTAGTGTAAGTATATCCTATGCAATATTTGGGACACACTTATACTGAAAAAACTACCCATTTTTTATCCCCTTTTGGCCCCCTCCCTGTAAGCAGCCTTATCTACCAGTGGGTCTCCCACACTCTCACCCAGGCATTCTCAGGTTCCATCTTACTCCTCCTTTACTCAACCACCTCTGGTGGCTCCCCATTGTCCAAACCCTCAATTGGTCATTTGAGGCCCTCTGTTTCTTGACCTTCGGCTACCCTCTCAACCCTATTCTTTTTTTTTTTTTTTTCTTTTCGAGACAGGATCTCACTCTGATTGCTCAGACTGGAGTGCAGTAATGAGATCTTGGCTCACTGCAACCTCAACCTCCCAGGCTCAGGTGATTCTCTCACCTCAGCCTCCCAAGTAGCTGGAACTACAGGCATGTGCCACTACGCCTGGCTAATTTTTGTCTCTTCAGTAGAGTCAGGATTTCATCATGTTGGTCAGGCTGGTCTTGAACTCCTGGGCTCAAGCAATCTGCCCGCCTCAGCCTCCCAGAGTGCTGGGATTTATAGGCATGAGCCACTGCACCTGGCCTCAACCCCATTCTTGAACCCCTACTTTAATCCCCTGCCTCCGGGTTTTTTCCTCAAGCTGTTTCCTCTGCCTACACTGCACTTTCCCAAATCCGCTCTTCCAGGAAGCCTCCCAGATCTACATTCCCTGTGGGTGGATGGAAGTAGTCATCTCCACTGATTATCAGCAGTAGCACCAGTTCGCTTCTCCGAGCCTTCATTTCCTTGTCTCTAAAATGGGCACAATATTGTCTTTTTCGTCAGGTTACTGAGGGGACAAGAGACTGTTAAGAAAGCATCAGAAACACCCTTGAATGCTGACACCCCCGCTGCCTGTGCCTAGATCACTGCCTGGCACCCAGTGGGCACAGAGTCATGTTTGCTGAATCAAATTGACTCAGAGGTCCTGAGCTTTTACAGTTTAACTTGCTTCTTGGAATTACCATGCCCAACAGTGGAACTTGGACAAATTCAATTTCCTGTATTAAGATGATCTGAAAAGGGATGCTTAATGAGGTCACTGCAATTTTTTTTTTTTTTACTTTGTCACCCAGGCTGGAGTGCAGTGGTACAATCATGGCTCACTACAGCCTCCACCTCCCAGGCTAAAGCGATCCTCCCACCTCAGACTCCCAAGTAGCTGGGACTGAAGGTATACACCACCTTGCCTGGCTAATTTTGGTATTTTTTTGTAAAGAAGGGAGTCTTGCTGTGTTGCCCAAGCTGGTCTCGAACTCCTGGGCTCAAGTAATCTGCCTGCCTCAGCCTCCCAAGGTGCCAGGCCACTGCAATTCAGGCTGCATAACAGGTTTCTCCCCTGTAGACAGGGGACAAACCAGCTCCCTTGCAGCTCCCTGCAAGGGGCCCATTTTGGACCCAGTCTCTCCAACTGGAAGCAGGTAATATCTGCCACTTACGTTTCCGTCTCAAGCCCTCCCAATCCTAGACCACAAAGGATGATTTCTTATAACTATTAGCATAATTACCCAACTGCAACGCTATAGAGAAGTGATTCGATGAGCCTGTGATTTTCGCACAGTTATTTGTCTCAAGTAAGTCACCTGAAGTTCATCTGCCATCAGGATTCATGGCTGTGTTCGGTAATCATAGGGAATTATTTTGCTAATAACAGAGGTACCTTGATCTAATTTAGTTTTAATGCCAGGAGGTGCCCTCCCAGAATAATCAGCTTTAGGGCAATTCCAATTTCCAGGTTTGTTACATGTTCTGGATAGAAGATTCAATTCAAGGAGGCTGAAGTTACTTCTTTATCACCCAAAGTCATCTAGGGGCGAAATGGTAGCCTACCTCTACGTGTGTGCAGAAAAATGCAGGGAGAGGCCCAGCGACAGGGAGCCAGGGTGGGCTCCCAGCCCAGAGGAATGACTGGAAGCCACTGATGGGTTAGGATCGGGTCAAGTTAGATCCGTAATTAGGGTTCCTGGTAGAACCCTAATTTTTCTTACATTCATTCATTAACCCATTCTATTTTTTTTTTTAAATCCCTAACCCTCACCCAGGCTGGAGTCCAGTGGCACGATCTCAGCTCACTGCAACCTCTGCTTCCTGGTCTCATGTGATCCTCCAGCCTCAGCTTCCTGAGTAGCTGGGACATCAGGTATGCACCACATGTCTGGCTAATTTTTGTATTTTTTTGTAGAGACAGGGATCTTGCTGCCCTGGCTGGTCTCGAACTCCTGAGCTCAAAGCGATCTGTCTGCCTTGGCCTCCCAAAGTGCTGGGATTATAGGCGTGAGCCACCGCGCCCAGCCAATCTTGTGCACTCTTTTATTCCATTTCTACCATCTCTCCTTGGCAAGACCTAATCTTTGCAGTTATTAATAGAGTCCAAATAATGATAACAAACCCTCGTGCAGCCCTGTTCTAAGTGCTTTAATCCGTATCAACTCATTACATCCTGTGAGGGAGGTGGATGCTACTATTATCCTCATTTTGCAGATGAGAAAACTGAGGCAGAGAGGTTAAGAAACTTGCCTCAAATCACAAATCTATCTAGTAAGGGACAGAGCTGGGATTTGAACCTTCCCCAAGTTCCTATGCAAGGAAGAATCCTGAACCCACCAGGAATTGTTCAGCCTCGACTCTGTGCTCTCATTGACCCCTCGCCATTCTGGGACAGAGGTGTTGTTGGCCGCATTTTATTGAGGAAGAAACTGAGTCTCAAGAGGTCATTGATTTGGCCAAGTTCAATGCAGTGAGTAGATAAATGGAGGAGTTGGGACTTGAACCCTGAGATTCTGATTCTAAACCTAGTGCTGCTGGGCACAGTGGCACGCGCCTGTAGTCCAAGCTACTCAGCAGACTGAGGCAGGAGGACAGCTTGAGGCCTGGAGTTGAAGGCTGTAGTTGGCTAGGATCGTGCCTGTGAATAGCTACTGCACTCCAGCTGGGGAAATGCAGAAAGACCCCACCTCTAAAAGTAAGTAAAAATAAATAAAAATAAACCTAGTGCTGCCTTGTCCAAAGCTGGGAAATTTACGGCATGGTTTTGAATGGCTTTGGCAGCAGCCTAGCTATCATTAATTAACTAAGTGCACGGTGATTGTCCTCCCACAAATCCCCCTCCAGCCACTCTGCGCCCCGCTTCCCACTTTGGTCCTCTTCTCTACTTCCCACCCTTTGCCCCAGAAACTAAGTGTCCTTTGTTGCTATTCCCTGTTACCCAACAAAACCTACTTTCAGATTCCTGATCATTCCGTCATATGTTTATACTTTCAACAGAGGGCTGTGTGGTCCAGCAGGAGGGGCCAGGAGCTAGAGGTAGCTCTGTCACCCTGTCCTCCCTGGGCACTTGGGATGAAACCTGTTTGTCCCTAGGCCTTGTCTTCTAGTCTTTACAAGGGGAAGAGGTTAGACCAGTGTTCTTTAAACTACTTGAGCCATGGAACTCCCATTTTATTTACTTTTTTTTTTTTGTAGAGACAGGGTCTTGCTCTGTTGCCCTGTCTAGAGTGCAGTGGCGTGATCACATTATAATTCACTGCAGCCTCAAATTCCTGGGCTCAAGTGATCCAGAACCGTCATTTAAATGAAAATTTTCAGGCAAGCCCAACATTTGTATTATTATTATGATTATTATTTTGAGGCTGGGCGTGGTGGCTCACACCTGTAATCTATCTCAAAAAAGTTTTTATTTATTTATTTATTTTGAACAGAGTCTCACTCCGTCGCCCAGGCTGGAGTGCAATGGCACGATCTCAACTCACTGCAACCTCCACAGGACCAGGTTCAAGTGATTCTCCTGTCTCAGCCTCCCGAGTAGCTGGGATTACAGGCGTGCACCACCACGCCTGGCTATTTTTTGTATTTTTAGTAGAGACAGGGTTTCACCATGTTGGCCAGGCTGGTCTCAAACTCTTGACCTTGTGATCCTCCCACCTCAGCCTCCCAAAGTGCTGGGATTACAGGCATGAGCCACCACGCCTGACGTCAATGTTTGTATTCTATTGGATCTGGTGAGCTGCTCTAGTCCAAGCTGGGTTCAAGGAAGGAAGTGTCTCCTACACGCCAACTTCTGAGCTTCTCCTTGGACACAACGGGAAAACCACTGGCCTAGACAGAGCCTATAGGCTCTTGGGGCTCTTAGAGACAGGAATCTGGGATCCACGGATGGCAGGTGATGCCGAAGTGCTATGCGGGCAGCTAAATGCCCACCTGGGACCCCCCACCCATCCCCCCCAACAGCTGCCCCGCCTTGTTGGCTAAACTGTAGAGGGGCCTGCCAGCAAAGCCAGCCTGTGCCCAGGACCCTGCCTCTGGGGCACTGAGCTGTCCAGGGGTCTCACCACAGAGAAATAGTATTGCTCTGATGCTCAGGGTGTGCAGTCTGTCTGTTCTGGCACGTTCCTCAGTGGCCAGAAGAGCCGGCTCCTCCCCTACCCCTGTTACCCATTTGTTTTCTCTTTCTTGGCCTCTCCCTTTTCTTTTTTGTTTTTTAAACAGAGTCTCACTCAGTTGCCCAGGCTGGAGTGCAGCGGTGTGATCTCAACTCACTGCAAAATCCATTTCCCAGGTTCAAGCAATTCTCTTGCCTCAGCCTCCCAAGTTGCTGGGACACCACAGACGCCTGCCACCACGCTCGACTAATTTTTTTGTATTTTATGTAAAGACGGGGTTTCGCCATGTTGGCCAGGCTGGTTTTGAACTGCTGACCTTAAGTGATCCACCCACCTTGGCCTCCCAAAGTGTTGGGATTAAGGGGTGAGCCACCGCGGCCGGCCAGCTTCTCCGTTTTCTAAAATTATGTTTTGTTTTGTTCTGTTTTCGTGGCTCCTTCTCCTTCCCCTTCTCCTTCTTTCAACAAATGCTCGCTGGTTACTGGTCTCAAGCTTTCTGTCCCAAGCCTAAGGCTACAGGGGAATGAGACACACATGAGGGCTGCCCGCAGGGCAGAGCCTTCACCTGGAGACAGCTGCATCCTGCAGTGACTGTGGCCACCATTGCACTAAGAACTCATTCACAGGGGCTGGGAAGGCTTCTGGAGGCAGTGGTGAGCAAAAGGGCACTAGCATGTGAGTAGGAGTTTGTCCCGTTTCGGGGGTGGGAATGAATGCACGTAGGGAGGAGGCAGGTGTTTCCGGCTCAGAAGAGAGTCATGGAAACTGTAGAGGCTTAGCCAGCCCAAGCGTTTGAGGAGCTGTCAACAGCTAGATTTGGCTGAAGCATAAAGTGGTCATTGGGGGGCTATCAGGAGTGGGACGAGGTAAGCTGCCCAGGGTGCCAGTGGCCAGGGGTCCGGAGAGCCTGTTCCAGAGCTGGGAACAGATCCTGAGAGTCACGGGGGCGCCAGTGGAGGTCTGCAGCAGGGGATGTGGGGCCAGACCTGCAATGTAGAAGCACACCTGGCTGCCCACAGTTGGGAGTGAGGAGACAGTGAAAATGGGGCTTCCCTTCCTTCTCACCCCCCACAGCCCGCACCCTCCTCTGAATGCTCTGAGCAGCCCTGGTTCCCTCTGAGACTCAGCATGGGGACAGAAGGAAGGGGGCTTTGGGCTGCCGGCTGCTCATCCCACCCTGGCCTGGCCCCCACCTCAAGGCAGTCCCTGACCTCTTCACCCCCAGGACCACGAGTCAGGAAAAGTTCAAAGCTTGCTCTCCCCCAGCCGGGATGTTTTGATTTCTGGGCCCGCTGAAAATGGCCCGTTTGTGCTGAGACGCTCAGGCACATTAGCTTCCAACCCCCTTTCAGCCCTTTCTATCTGAATCCGGGCTCTGACAAGCCCCTTCCCCAGCCCTGCAGCCCCTCTTGGCCCCAGATGACTGTCCTCACTTCCCCCCACGGCCCCCAACCGTGGTGAAGGAGGGGGAGGTCCTATCCCCAAACACAAGCTCTTTTGTTCCAGCCGGCAGCTTGGCCCTCAGCCCTGCACCCGCTGCTGGTGGCGTTTCCTAGCACTTAATGAGCCCGGGGTCAGCTGAAGGATGGGGAGTTGGCATTGAGGGGCTGGGGACAGGGGCTGGAGCACAGGCGATTTCTGGCTGCAGCTTTGGACCTGTCCCTCCTCTGCTCGAATCTCTCCCATGGTTCCTGCCTACTTTACTGGGACTGCTGAGGTGAGCAGAGACCCCAGCCTCCTTGTAGCTCTCACACAGCCTCTCCTGCCTCTCCCTGGAGCAGGACTAGGCACGTGGGCTGCTCAGTGCAGACTCAGAGCAGGGATGCACACAGTGGGAAGCACGCAGGCTTTGAAGCCAGCAGGACCAGAGTTCAAATCCTGACTCTGTCACTTCCTGGTAGTACAACCAGGGACAAATCACAAATCTCTGTGTGCCTCAGTTTCCTCCCCTGTAAAATGGGGCTACGTTTTCCAGCCAGAGTTCTATGAGCTCTGGCACAAAATGCTCATGCACCTTCCCTTCTCTTTCTCTTGTTCCCTAAGAGTCTGACTAGCTCCCCTCCTGAAGATGCAAGGTGCAAGGAAGATAGTCAGAGCTGCCCTCCTCCTGCTCCCCCACAAGTTGAGCATGCACTGGGCTGCCAAGGACATTGGGGGACGGAAACCTTTAATGCCACTAAACAGGGAACTGGAGGCTGAGCAGGTCTGGCGAAGGTAGCCAGTCCAGGAACCCCACTACCCCCTTGGCTCTGGGTCTTCTTGGCCTCCCTCCTTGGGCTAGGCTTCTCCTGCTGGGATTGTGAGCTCCCAGAGGTGGGCAGCCACCCAGCCTCACCTGAGCTGCCTCAGGGGTGGTTTGGGTCTTAGCAATTCCAGGAAGACCCAGCACAACCCTGTTCCTCCCCTGCCTGAAACTATTCATGGCTCCTCCCAGTGCAAGGTAAAGCCCAATCTCCTGATCCCGGCATTTGAGGCCGCTACCCCAGCCCAGCTGACCTCTCCAGGCCTGCGCACCTGGATTTTGGGGTACAGCCTCACTGAATCACTCAAAGTTCTTAGATGGGCGGCCAGGCGCGGTGGCTCACGCCTGTAATCCCAGCACTTGGGGAGGCCAAGGTGGGTGGATCACGAGGTCAGGAGATTGAGACCATCCTGGCTAACACGGTGAAACCCCGTCTCTACTAAAAATACAAAAAAATTAGCTGGGCGTGGTGGTTGGCGCCTGTAGTCCCAGCTACTCAGGAGGCTGAGGCAGGAGAATGGCGTGAACCTGAGAGGCGGAGCTTGCAGTGAGCTGAGATTGCGCCACTGGACTCCAGCCTGGGCAACAGAGCGAGACTCCATCTCAGAAAAAAAAAAAAAGTTCTTAGATGGGCTACTCTGTAGTTCTCAACTCCAGGCCTTTCCCCTGTGGTTCCCTCTGCCTGTTCACTACCTCCATCCACCAGGCCAACCTCCGTATTTTGTTTGGCTTTGTTTTTAGAGATGGGCTCTCCCTGTGTTGCCCAGGCTGGTCTCCTAATCTCAAGCGATCCTCCTCCTTTGGCCTCTCAAAAGTGCTAGAATAGCAGGCACGAGCCACTGTACCTGGCCTTAGGTCTCTGGTTATCTTTAAGGTCAGCATCTTCTCCTTCCCACCTACCCCTAGAGGTCTCTCCACCCTGGGATGTCACTGTAGCCTTGAGTGCCTGTTCTAAGCTCTTCCCTAAAGCAGAGACCCAGCCTCATGCTTCCCTGGGTGCGTGCTTCCCCTCTAGCACCCAGCATGGAGCTAGCACAGAGAAGGCACAAATTAAAAGAAGTGAACCTGGGCAGGGAGCAAAGACCAGGGCTCCAACAATCCTCCTCCAATTCCAGCAGCTGCCCCTTAGAGTCACCTGGTGGGGCAGGGGAGGAGGGAAAAAAGGAGGAGGGGTTTATACATTCCATTGCCCAGGCCTCCTTTAGACTAAACTGAATCCAAATCTCTAGGGCGAGGCTGGGCATCGTTCCTACCCAGAATGATCCTGAGGCAGATGAAGGATTAGAACTTTCTGGAAGATTGAGGTTTCCTTCCCCCGACCCAGGTGCAGTGGGCAAGGTGAGGCCAAGTCCTGCAGGAGGCTTTGAGTGCTCCTTAATACCCCACTGTGTGTGGCATTGATTGGAGGAGCGCTTTATAGCTTGCAAAGTACTTTGATTTGCATCAAGTCATTCGTTCATTCATTATTCATTCAACAAATATGCAGCAGAAAGTGCCAGGGCCACAGAGATGAAGCTCCAAGGTGTGTGGCAGAGACAGGCATGTGGACTGACAGATCGATGGACAAGGCCATAAGGTGTGACAGGGCTGCCCCCAGAGCCCTGAGCAGAACCGGTCAGGTGCACAGAGGAGGAGGGTATTGAGCCTATGTTAGGGAGGTCCCCTGGTCTGGGTGGTACCGGCAAGGCAGAAGGTCCAGGTAGGGGCTGGCAAAGGTGTGGGTGGCAGAGGTGGACTTGGTCCTGCAGTGGGCAGGGGTGTGAGGACACACAGATGTGAGGAGGGATGGTGGGGACTGCAGAGGGCCTGGCCTGGTCACCTGGTGGCTTAGCTGGGAGCCTACAGGAAAGACCGAGAGGGGATGAAGAGACAGGCGAGAGGAAACCCAGGAGAGGAGACTGTGGGGTCCTCAGGGTGGGGGGGTAGGAGAGAGATTCAAGCAATGGCAAACACAAATGATTATAACTACAGCCAAGATCAACTGAGGCCTCATTCTCTGCTAGATCAGTTCTCAGAATTTTTTAAATAAGCATGAACAGTGTTACTCCTCTCAATAACCTGTGACAGGAGTACCAGGGTAACCATCCCATCTCACAGGTGGGAAAACTGAGATTCAGAGAAGTTACATCATTTCCCCTGGTAAGGGGCAGAGATCTGATGGTGCGGGGCTCCAGGGACCCTGCCCTGACCTACCCCCAACCAGAGCCTCACCCGAGAGGACTGGTAAGATGGTGCCCCAAGAGAAAGCCCTGGATTCTGCAGTTGGTATTCCACTGGTGGGCCCGTTCAGAGCAGCTTTGGGGCAGGGAGTGGTGTTGAGTTGCACAATGCCAGTGGGGAAGCAGAGATCAGAAGGACATGGGCTGGGAATCCCAGCTACTCGGGAGGCTGAGGCAGGAGAATAGCTTGAACCTGGGAGGTGGAGGTTGCAGTGAGCCAAGATCGTGCCTCTGCACTCCAGCCTGGGTGACAGAGCAAGACTTCGTCTCAAAAAAAAAAAAAAAAAAAAAAAAAAAAAAAAAAAAGACATAGGCCGGAGAGGATGAGGCAGTGAGGATGGGATGGGAGAGACTTGGGCCCGTTGCAGGGCCGGAGAAAGGGCCAGCAAGGGAGGTCGATGGGGGGGTCCTCATACAGGCAGGAGGGTGGGCAGGAGGTGCAGAGCCCAGGGACCAAGGTTGGCCTCAGCTGGGGAATTGACGGAGGGAGAGGAGAACTGAAGCAAAAATCCCCCGGGGCTTGGAAGGGCCACGGAGAAGCTGTCGGGGGCTCGAGCCTCACTTTTCTCTTGCTGCCGGGCACGGTAGGCCCTCAGCCAAGTCTGTGTTCCCCATTCTGCTGGGGAAGGGGAGCTTTGCAGGAGTCACTAGGGGGAGAGGAGGGAAGAGGGGAGCAGGGGGAGCCCAGCAGGAGGGAGAAAGAGAGAGAGAGAGGCAGAGATACAGAGAGATATATAGAGATGACTGAGACAGAAGGACTGAGAGAGATAGGAACAGAGATAGAGAGACAGAAAGAGACAGAGATAGACCCAGAGAGAGTCTCTGAAAGGACTACCCATCCCCTCCCTGCTGTCAGGGACCAAGTCTGAAAGAAGAGGCTCAGAAGGGTTTGGGGGACAGCCACCCCTACCCCACCCGCCACAGAACTGGCAAAGGAGAGACTAAAGGGTCTCTGAGCAGGGCACCCACCCCCCAGATTCCCTGGTGCCCTGGCTTCAGGGCCATAGAGTCAGCTTAGCTTCTCAGTCAAGCACAGGCCTTCCCAGGAGGGAGAGATCTCCACCTCTACCCCCGCCTGGAGGCAGGAGGATCCTGACCCGGGACAGCCCCCAAGGACCCCTGAGTGACGCCCTGACCTCAGGCTGCAGGGCCTAGAGCCTGGTGCCTGCTCCCTCTGCTGAGCCACCCACCCTACTGACCTCTGGTTGCCATCTGGCTGCCTCGGGCTGTTGTTTGAGGTCCCCGCCCTCCACCGCCACCTAAGAGCTGTGCCCTCCATTTTCCATGCCTAACACCCCACCATTAGCAAAGAGCAGTGTGAGGCCATTTGTCACAGAGAGAGCATGGGAGGAGAGAGAGAGGGTCTTGGGCAGGGCTGCGGGTGGGACAGCCACCCCCAGCCATGTCAGTCCCTGCAGTCCCTGGCTGTGGCTTTTCTAGGGCACAGACCAACTCTTTCTGGTGCAGTCTGTGGAACCCCAGAGCAGGAGTGTGGGCCCCCCACGCCCTCACGTGCTCACTCACGGGCTCCTGAGGAGACAGCCTGCCGAGACAGAGGCCCACTGGCAGACACACCGTGGAGCTCCTGCACTCACGCACGCCTGCCCGTGTGCGCACACACAGAGGCGCCCTGGGAATGTAGGTCACCGGCTGGAACGCTTCGAGCCTGGGGTGCTGGCGATCCGGCCATCCAGCACAGGCTTCCAGATTGGACAGAAATCCACCCCCACTCCACCCGCCTCTTCCCCCACTCTCCCGAGACAATCTGACCCAAAGCTCCTCAGGCTTGTGTTTTCTTTTCCCCAGAATCCCACTGGCTGGGGCTGTGTCCAGGGGAAGGGGCAGGGCTCCTTGTCCATGCAGCTTCTTCTCTGTGTCTGTCCCTGTGCTGGGCGATGCGGAGTCTACAAGACATGGAGGGATGTGGCTCCCACCTTGAAGAGTTCTAAGGCAGAGCCCGAGAGATGTCCTCAGACCAGAGGCGAGTAATGGTCAAGGGGGAGAACAGAGCACTGCTTTGTCAGGGCCAGGCTGGCTTCCTGGGGGAGGTGACAGGACCCTGGTTGGGCAGTTGAGTGAGGGCTTCTGCAAGCCTGGGAAAGGGAGTGGTTCTGACACACGCTGGGAAGGCCCCAGCAGCTCCCCTCCCTCCCTTCTGGAATCCAGGCCTCTCTCAAAGGTGACCGTCACCAACTTCTCTAGAGATAGCCACTGGATGGCCCTGCAGGCCCTTCAGACACAGCAAGCCCAGAACATCGTTTCCCCTCCCCCCCCAGAATCTGCCCTTCCACCCAGGTCCCCATGTCAGTGTGGACACCAACATCTCCTGCCACACAGGCCAGAGATCAGGGTTATCCTGACTTCTTTCTTTACCCACCCAGCCTCCCCTCCAAGTTTTCACTGTGGCTCACCAAGCAGCTCACAGCCCAGAGATGGGGACAAACAGTAAAGCAAATGGACTTTACTCATCAAAGTGCAGTGGGATAGCAGAAAGCCCAGGGAGCCTAGGCAGCCCAAACAAGCTAGTCAGGGAAGGCTTCCTGGAGGAGGTGACCTGAGCTGAGACTTCAGGATGGGCAGGATTGACCGGGCTGGAGGGGTAGTAGGGAAGGCTAAGATGAAAGAGTGTTTCAGGCAGCGGTAAGAGCAAGTGCAAAGGTAAGGGAGAGAGAGAGGCAGATTCAAGGCAGAAATTAATTCATGATGATGGGAGTGGCAAGAAAGTGGGGTGTGGCTTGGAGATGAGAGCAGAAGTGTATCTGCAGGGTCAGACCATGAACGGCATTAAGCTCTGTTAATGAGTTTGGATTTTATCCTGCTGCAGCGGTGGGCCCTGTGAAGTTTTTTGAATGCCTATGAGTGGCCCCTTCTGGCTGTGCACGAAGGATGAGTTGGGGGGCAGGTAGAGATGGACAGCCCCAGGAAGAGGCAAGGCAGCTGTGCAGGTGTCCAAGGTGAGGCCTGGCCTGAAGTGGGGGCTGGAGACGGAGAGTCGGGGTGGATCTCTGGACCTCTTAGGAGGTAGCATGGACCGTAAGTGGGCCTGGTTTCATCTTCTCTGACCTCCATCTTCCCATGATGTAACAGAGAATGGACAGGAGGACCTCAAGAGACCCTTCCCCTTGGGTCTCCCTACACCTTGGCCATTTGCTATTTGTTCCAGCCTCCCTGGGCTTCCAGAGTTGAGACCTTGGGAGGAATCCCAGCTGGGAGGACCACAGCTCTGGCTTTGGAAGGCCCAGGGTGGGCTAAGCAGCCCAGGGCGTATCCACCCAGCAGAAGGAACAGACGGGGCAGTGGGAGCAGAAGGCTAGACTCTGGATATCCTGCAGTCAGCCCAGGGAGGCCAGTGAGGGGAAGCTGGGGACACACTGGGCCTGATGTGTGGGGTCCACCTGCCTCTTTGGAATAAGGAGGGCTGTGGCAGCCATCCAGCAACCTGAGCATGAGTCAGGCCACATTACTTGAAGGACCGATACTCAAGCGAGTGTGTCAGTTTCTTCCTCTGTAAAACGGGAATTGAACAATATACCAAGAAACACATTCGGTGGTAGGAAAGCTTAGGGGACCCGGATCATGCTACAGATTGACTTAAAGATCTTTGACTCTGCACCAGGTCCCGTGGCGGAGGAGCCAGCCTGAGGCAGTGGCTGTCCAGGACCACAGAAGAAGGAAGGATCTATCCTGCTTGGTCCTCACAAGAGAGGAGCCCTGCGCGGTGGCTGCTGCTGTCCCCATCCCTCCGAGGCTCTGAGAATCAACTGGCCTGGCTCACAGGTCACACGGAGGCGCAGCAGATAGAAGCCCAGGCCTGGGGGTGTTAAGTACAGTTCAGGAGGGGCTCTCCAGGAGCCTATGGGAAGTGAAATGTCCGCGTCCTATGCACATAGGTGCTCCCTCCCTTTCCCTGTCCCTCTCTCTGGGGAAACCAACTCTTCTCTCTTGAGCTTTATCCTGGCTCTTCCCCGCCCTGCTCCAGGCACAGGGGCTCCCTCCTCACCAGCCAACCCCCACTGCAGCCTCAGCCCCTGACCTTGTTATGAGGCCAGCTGCTCAGGCTTGTGTGTGGAAATGACCTAAGCCCCTCCCGAGCTGGCCTCTTTGTTCTTTATTGTCTGTTCCTCCTGATTGCGCCTCTTCCCAGAGTCTCAGGGCAAGGGGAGGGGGCGTGTGGCTCTACCACTCATCCAGCTGCCCAGCTGGGCAAGTTCAGAAGCCCCCCGCATGGCTGGCCAGCAGAACCGAGGCCCCCCTGGGCATGGGAAAGGGCCCTGGATTGGGGGCCAGGAGACCCAGTGGGGTGGTGGGAGCAGCCCAAAGTGGAGAAAGCTCACAGGATCTTGGGAGTCCTGGGTTTGAATCACAAGTGTTCCTCACTCGCTGTGTGGCAGGGCCCTTCTAAGCCTTGATTTTCTCCTCTGAGCTGTGGGGTTGTTCCTTCCTCTGTGAGGAGTCAGTGGAGAACATTTAGCAGTGAGCCAGGCACACAGTAAATGCTCATAAATAGGACCCCAGCTCTGCATCCTTGGCCTAATTTTTTCACTTATAGAAGGGCTCCAGGTATGAATGTGGCTTCTCTTCCTTCATTTTTCTGAGGCCCAGGCAGCCTGGTCTAGGACAGAGCCCTCGAACAAGATGGAAGGGATCTAGATTCTGGCGTCCCTTCCCCATTCCAGGCAGGCTAGGCTGGTGTCAGTTTCACAGATGGGGAAATGGAGGCTCGATGAGAGCCCAGGTCTTTGGCTGGCACCTGCTGAGTGAGCTGAGTGGCAGAGCCAGGAGGAGGCCTCAGAGGGAGGGCAGGCCTAAGCAGGGGAAGCGAGACGATGGATGGGAGGCCAGTGGCTGGACACATAGCTGTTATTTTTTACAATTATTATCTATCTGTCACCAGTTGAAGCTAATCCCTCTGCCTCTCAAAGGAAGGCCCAGGGAGTCATGATATCAGGCCCCCTGATGACATTAGGCTATTTTGGCCTCAAATTGTCTTCTCTTTAGACCATCCCTGTCCCACAGCTGAGTCTGCCTCTCGCCTTGGCCAGCTGAGCTGACATGGCTCCTGCCACATCTCTGAGCTGCTTCAGTGAACGCTCCCCGGGAGAGAGGATTTTCCACAGGCACAGGGAGGGGCCTCCAGGTGGCAGCTTTGGCACACAATGGCTTTCAGGACTGCAGCAAAATAAAGATATCAGGCTTTGTAGCTGGAGAAAGCTGGGTTCAAATCAGTGCACTCACTGCGTGATCAGGGCCAGTCACGTAACCTCCTTGGGCCTCAATTTTCTCATCTGGAAAATAAGGCTAACTGCAACCCACCAGGTGTATTGCAAGGATTCAGAAGACAATGTAGGCCAGATGCAGTGGCTCACACCTCTAATCCCAGCATTTTGGGAGGCCAAGGTGGGCAGATTACCTGAGGTCAGGAGTTCAAGACCAGCCTGCTCACATGGCAAAACCCCATCTCTACAAAAACAGAAAAATTAGCCGGGCCTGGTGTTGCGCGCCTGTAGTCCCAGCTACTCAGGAGGCTGAGGCAGGAGAATTGCTTGAACCCAGGAGGTGGAGGTTGCAGTGAGCCAAGATCATGCTACTGCACTCTAAACTGGGCGACAGAGTGAGACTCTATCTCAAAAAACAAAAAACAAAACAAAAAAATGCTGGGCACGGTGGCTCACGCCTGTAATCCTAGCAGTTTGGGAGGCCAAGGCGGGTGGATCACCTGAGGTCAGAAGTTCGAGACCAGCTTGACCAACATGGCGAAACCCCGCCTCTACCAAAAAATTCAAAATTAGCCAGGCTTGGTGACGCATGCCTGTAATCCCAGCTACTTGGGAGGTTGAGGCAGGAGAATCGCTTAAACCCAGGAGGCAGAGGTTGGAGTGAGCCGAGATTGCGCCATTGCACTCCAGCCTGGGCAACAAGAGCGAAACTCCATCTCAAAAACAAACAAACAAACAAACCAAAACAGAAGACAGTGTAGATAAAGTGTCTTTGGATCCTGGCATGGAGTAGGTGCTTACCAAACAGTTATTACAGCAGTAGCATTGGGAAGTTTACAAACTCACATCCACCTGCTTCTCTGCTGGGATCTGCCAACAACCCTGAGGTAGATGCCCATGCTGGTTGTCATCAGGAAGAAATGGAAAGTTCTGAGCTTTTGAGCTGCCTGCTCCACCTCCATGATATCGAAAGCAACCACCCGCTTCTGGAGGGTTTATCCCAGCGGGCTGTCTGAGCCCAACCCCCGCTCCTGTACGAGTCACAGACTCCCCTGACAGGTGTCCAGCCTCACACTGTTTTGCCTCCTTACTCCTCCAGAGCTCCAAGACCGCCTGAAAAACAGGCAGGGCAGGGCTGAGTCTGCCCATTTGTCAGATGAGGAAGCTGAGGCTAAGTCAGGGCAGGGACTTGGTCCAGGCCACCCAATAACCGAGAGAGCTGGGATGAGATGCAGGCCTGCTCTCTTGGGGCATGGGGCCCAGCACCCTCAGCTGACAGCTAAGGAACCAGAAGTCCAGAGTCGGGGAGGATGCCTAAGGATGCGGAGCAAGTTAAGGGCAGGATCCAGCTCATGCCACTCATTAATTCACTCACTCTCGCTCACTTATTCATTCATTCATTCATTCATTCATTCATCCACTGAGTATGTATTGAGTGCCTTCTCAGGACCAGTGCTGTGCAGCACCCTGGGAACCCAGTGGCAGACAAGATACAGCCCCTGCCCTCAAGGGCCTTATAGTCTCATGTGGGAGTCAGGCTGGTGAGCAGACAATGAAAACACACCCAGGCGGAGGAAGCACCAGGAGCTGTCCTGGTAGGAGGACGGTACCCACGAAGTGGAGAAATAGCAGGACTCCAAAAGAACCCGGAGAAAGCATATTTTGCAGGGCAGGACTTTTTCTCTTATGCTGGCCGCTGCCAGGCCTCTGTCTTGCCCCCTTCTTTGGAAATCACAAGGCAGACGGAAAGGACATGCTTCTCTGAGCTGGACTTTTCACACAGCTCCAAGGGGCTGGCACCAGAGGGGACAGTCACATCTTGTCTGGCCGTCACCCCAATTTACACCTAGGGAAACTAAGGCCAATCACAAGGGCTCTGCAGGGGTTAGTGCCGAGTTTCCGAGCTCTCCCCTTCTCCTCACCTTCCTGCCTCTGACTGTCCTGTAAAAGAAACCTCTGCACCTATGTCTGCTCCTCGCTGCAGCTGTGTCTGAGCCCTTCTTGGCCATGCTCTAAGGGGCTCCCACCGCCAGACCACCCAATAGGGCTCTGCTCAGTCCTGCCTGCTAAGAGGCTTAGGCCTCCAGAACTTCAGTGCCAGTGGCTGCGGATCCCCCACCATGCCATGGCTGAACCCTTTCAGCCTCTGAACACCTGATGGATGCAATCAGAACTGGGGTCTTCACTAGACGAAAGGCGCTTTGCTCAGCTTGAAGCAGGGAGAGATGTCCAGAGCCTCACCCCCAGCTTTGCAGCTCCCAACCCTTCCCCATCCCCATCAATGTTCCTGAGCCCCCTAAAGGAGCTCAGCTTGCCAACCCCTGACCAAGATTGTAAGTATCAGAGAATGCTCCAAAGCATCACCAGTCTCCATGCCTTTGCACCTGCTGTTTCTTCTGCCCTGGAATGCCTTTCCTTGCCTTTTTGCCTGCACCAACTGCATTTGTTCACTCACTCATTCAACAAGCATTTGTTGGATGCTTACTCCTGCCAGGTGGAGAACTATGCTCTGGGGATCCAGATTGCTTAGAGACTCACGGGAGATGCAGGTGAAACACATCAGCATGCAATAATGTGTAGTGCACATATGAACACGTCCATAAAGGAAAAGAGGGCCTATGAGAGTGATGCATTGGGGGAACATGGTTTAAGGAGGGCTTCTCTGAGGAGGTGACTTTTCAGTTGATACTGGGAAGAGGAGGAGGAATTAGCTCAGGGAAGAGAAAGAGGAAGGATGCTCAAAGGCCCTGGGGGGAGACAGCTTGGGGGCGTGAGGAAGGTCAGATCTGATGGCGGGAAGCGAGGGAGTGAGGGGTGAAGGAGGAAGAGTTCAATCATGAAGGAGCAGAGGAGGCAGGCACTGGCGAAGGGACCCTGTGGGCAGCAGCAGGAGAGAGAGCCCCAGGAGAAGGGGCCAGCCAGAGATAATGGGAGGAAACCCCGAGAGCAGCCTGTCCCAGAAGCCAGGCCGGCACTGTGGCTCATGCCTGTAATCCCAGCACTTTGGGAAGCCGAGGCGGGCAGATTGAGAGAGCCCAGGAGTTTGAGACCAGCCTGGGCAACGTGGGCAAACCCTGTCTCTACAAAAAATACAAAAATTAGCCAGGCATGGTGGTGCATGCCTGTAGTCCAGCTATTCTGAAGGCTGAAGCAGGAGGATTGCTTACACCCAGGAGTTCGAAGCTGCAGTAAGCTGTGATCATGCCATTGCACTCTAGCCTGGGTGACAGAGTGAGACCCTGTCTCAATAAAAAAGGAGGGTGTTGTGGACTGAACATGTGTATCCCTCCCATCCTCAAGTCATATGTTGAACTCCCAGCGTGGCTCTGTCTGGAAATGGGGCCTCTAAGGAGTAATTAAGGTTAAATGAGGTCATAAGGATGGGGCCCTAGTAGGATTAGTGTCCTTATAAGAAGAGACAAAAGGATCACAGCACTTTGGGAGGCTGAGGCAGGTGGATCACTTGAGCTCAGGAGTTCGAGACCAGCCTGGGCAACATGGCGAAAACCTGTCTCTACCAAAAATACAAAAAATTAGCTGGGCATGGTGTTGTGCACCTGTGGTCCCAGCTACTCGGGAGGCTGAGGTGGGAGGATGGATTGAGCCTGGGAAGTGGAGGTTGCAATTGAGCTGAGATCGCACCACTGCACTCCAGCCTGGATGACAGAGTAAGACCCCATCTCAAAAAAAAAAAAAAAAAAAAAAGAGAAAGAGAAAAGGGCTGACTGCTGTGGCTCACGCCTAGAATCCCAACACTTGGGACCCTGAGGCATTGGAATTGCTTGAGCCCGAGAGTTCTAGACCAGCCTGGGCAACACAGCAAGACCCCATCTCCACACACACACAAAAATTTTAATTAGTGAGGTGTGGTGGTGTATGTTTGTAGTCACAGCTATTCAGGAGGCTAAGACAGAAGGATCCCTTGAGCCTAGGAGTTCAAGGCTGCAGTGACCTTTGATCACATCACTGCAAAATGTTATTATTACTTCTGAGATGGCATCTCGCTCTCTGTCGCCCAGGCTGGAGTGCAGCAGCGTGATCTTGGCTCACTGTAGCTTTTGCCTCCCGAGTTCAAGTGGTTCTTATGCCTCAGCCTCCCAAGTAGCTGGGATTAAAGGCATGCACCACCATGCCTGGCTAATTTTTTGTGTTTTTAGTAGAGATGGGGTTTCACCATGTTGGCCAGGCTGGCCTCAAACTCCTGACTTCAAGTGATCCACCTGCCTCAGCCTCCCAAAGTGCTGGGATTTCAGGCATGAGCCACTGCGCCCAGCCTTCTGTTTTAATTTCTGTTTCTGAAATCTTTGTTGTGTGAGTCACCTTGTCTATTTCGTTACAGCAGCCTGAGCTGATCAATATAGAGGGAATCATTGACTTCTTCAGTGGAGGAGTCACCTCTGCCAGGAAGCCTTTCTGGATTCCAAGTATAGGGTTAGGGCTTCCACACGCCTTGACTTCCCCCATCAGTGCACCTGCATCTCTCTCAGATTAGCCTAGGAAAGTCACAAAGTTTGATTTGTTCTTGAACACCAAAGCCCAGTCCAGAACCTGAAAGTAATTGTTAAATTGATGAATGTAGAACCGGGGCTCAGACTGGGGAAGTGACTCACTGAGACCGCAGTTTTCCTGTGCTGCCCTGACCCAGGATGGCCTCCTTCAGCCCTGGACCCCTGAGGCTGGCTGGGTGGGAGACCTTGGCTGGAAAAGCCAGACCCCTCTCCAGCTGGGCCTGGGATTGCTCCCAGAGAGAGCCTGGGCTCCACTCCATGCCTGCCTGTCCCTTTCCTAAGGCCCCCTCTGTCCCTTTCCTCTTCCTCTTGAATCCCTTACCTCCCTGCCTGGCCAGCTTCCAGGAGATCAGCAACCGGCCTCGTGACAGGCCAGGACAAGGAGCTGATTGTGCATGGGGCCTTTCCATGAGGGTGGAGGCAGCCTCAGTTTCCAGCCTTGCCCAGCCCAGAGGCTGCTACTAGCAAATCTGGAGGACAGCAAGTGGGGACTGTGGGTTCCTGAGATATCCCTGGCTGGGGCTGGTCCTTCCCACCCCCTCGCCTGCCTCTTCAAAGGTCAGTGCCCTCCCTAGGGGAGCATCCAGACATCCAATGAGTCCATACGCATCCCAATGCCAAGCTTCCAGTGAACAGCTCTGGAGGCAGGCAGGCCTGTCCCACACCCTCAGGCTGTCTGCCCCTGGCCTCCCCAAGGACCGCATCACTCTGAATTTAGTCTGGGATCGTTTGTCTGTCTCCCATTCCAGACTGGGAGCTCTTCCAGGCCAAGGGCTGCTCTCCCTATTTTTTTCCCTCTCTCCTCCCTTTGTATTCTCCTCCTCCTTCCATTCACTAAGCACCAACTATTTGTTAGGACTGAGTTCCTCATTCCTACACATCCCTGACCCTGACACAGGGCTTGGCACATGGAGGTCACTCTGCATGCATCAACTGACCCCCCGTCCCCTGGGCCCAAAGATGCCAGGTCTGTGGGCTGGGCCTTGCCAAGCTTCCCTGAGGGCTGCAGCTCCAAACGTGGCAAAGGGCCCCTCTCCTTGGAAAGGGCTGAGCTCCTGCAGGAGGAAGGAAATTTGGCCTTGAATCTGTGCCAGGCAGCCAGGCCTGGATGGGGTGGGGGAAAGTCCGGAGAAACAAGCACTTGGTTTTCTTAGTAGAACTGTGGTCTCAGGAGGACCTGAACCCCTGGAAGGCTGACCTGACCCAAGCTGGGATGAGGTCGCCCTGCAATTACCACCTCTTCCGAGGCCAACAGGACTTCTCCCTGCTGAGTCCCAAAACCTGCTGCCCCACCCCCCCATGCCCAGCCTCGGTGCCTCGGCCACACTCTTGCACTCTTGCGTCCCTCCTTGGTTGTCCAGAGACAGCCAGGCTGTGCCGGGCATCCCAGCCAAATGTGAGCTCTCTGGCCAGGCTGAGTAGTGCAGGAGCTGAGTTACTGCGTCGCTGGAGCCCCAGGCCTGCAGAAACCACCACGAAGGAACCCTTCCGAGTCTTATAAATCCCTCTTCCAGACTCTGCATGGGCTCTGTCCCGAGCAACTTTTCCCCCAATAATGCATGCAGAGCTTCCAGTGGCCTGGGCAGCTCTCCGGTGGCAGCCACTGGGGCCCTGTCACACGGGGAGTGCTTTCAGCATGAGCCCTGGCCTTTAATTACAAGGTATGTTCCTGTTGCCTCTTCCATCTATATTTATCCGCAGGATCGCACTAATTGAATTCCCCACAGCACAGGGCAGGCCTGGCGAACAGCGAGGTAGGCAGACAGGCAGGGGGGCTGCAAAACTTCCTTCCTTTCCTTCTTGGCCAGGAGCAAAACAGAAGCAGCTGAGAAACTCTCTCTCCCTCCCCTGGACCTTGTCAATGCCTGGAGTCTGAGGGGCTGCCCGCTCCAGGGACCCTCCAGCCCTGAGTCTCATAGCCCAACGCACCCATGCCCACCCATGGGTCCCAAGACCAGACAGTGCCCAGATGCCTGACTGCCTCCCTGCTTCAACTCAGATTCCTATAGCAGAGAAAAGTCTGTTGAGCAGAGAGGCTGAAACCCCCAACTCTGCACTTTGCTGGCACCGTCTTACCGTAGGAGTCGTCTTGGTCCAGAAGGGAGTCGGGCTCCATGGCGTGTGGGCCCCCAGCCCCTGGCCCCACCTGATTTATGAACCGAGGCTGTCTCCATGAGCGTCTGGGTTCCTCCTTTTGTATTCCATCTGGCGGCTTTTCCAACTAGATGACTGGGTATTCCTGCAAGCAGGCCCCTTTCCAGCCCTCGCCTTCATACAGTACATTTAAAGTAGCAGTAACCTCTTTTTCCTCCCCCCGCAGCCTGGCTGGAAACATTAGAAGGGACTGAGGCAGCGAGATGTCTAAAATAGGAAGACGCCGGGACGGTTGGCCTGGCTGCCCGTGATGCTGGCTGCGGGGATCTGGCCCGGCTGTGCAGATGGAAAAGCTAAGAGGTGAGGCTGAGACGGGCTTAGCATCTGGAAGCCGGCTCTGGGGCCCAGGGGGTTTGCAGGAAGCGGGGAGCCCAGCCCCCCAGGGGAGGGGTTGGGGGGTCTGCTCTGTTTACCCCCAGTGCCCAAACCCCAAGGGCTTCTCCCAGGCCCTGCTGGAACCTCCCACTCAAATCTGTTCTACAGACATTTCCCGCAGTGTGGGGGATGCAGAAATTGACTCATCCATCCATTCAGTTAGTCACTAAATGTTTTTTGAGCATCTAGTCTGCACCAGACACCGTGCCCGGTGCTGAGTTTGCAGCAGGGAGCGAGGCACAGTGCCTGGCTTCTTGGAGCTCACAGGAAAGCAGGTCATTGCAGCGCAGTGTGTGGTGCAAGAGCTGCAGGAACAGAGAAGGGGCGCCTCACCTGGATGGAAGAGGTGGTCGGGGAAGGCCTCCTGGAGGAATGGGCACGTAAGCTGGGGCCTAAAGGACGAGAAGGAGTTAGCCAGGTACAGAAGGAGGGAGTGACCTGTGCAATAGCCCTGAGGTGAAAGGGTGCGTGGGGCGTTCAGTGCCCCCCCGAATAAGTTCCAGGTGGTTGGAGTAGAGCAAATGATGCGAGGCTGGTGAGAGATGGGACGGGGGAGCCAGGGAGAGAGGCAGGAGTGGGTTGGACAGAGCCTTTGGGGATGACTCCAGGCCTGCCTGGAGGAGGGTCTGTGAGAATGACATGATCCGGATTGTCCTCTGGGAAGGCCTCCCTGGTGACCTTGTAAAAGAGGGGAAGCCACCAGGGGAGAGGGAGATGCAGGCTCCACGGCCACAGCTGTAGGAACCCTGGGTGCTATTTATTAAGCAGGCACCAGAGGTGAGCACCATTTCAAGTATTTGCCCACATTGTCTCATACATTCCTCACTATGGTCCCTTCCAGGAGAAACTCTGGTTCTCCTATTTTACAGACGGGGACAATGCAGTTTAGAGAGGTGATGTGACTTGACCAAGGCCACAGTTGTGAGTGACCACCAGGGCAGGTCTGGACCCCAGAGAGTGCACAGCCTTGGTGCTGGGATGGTGGGGAGGACAAAGATGCATCTCAATCAATCTGCATTCAATCTGCATCTCCTAGGCGGGCGTGGTGGCTCACACCTGTAATCCCAGCACTTTGGGAGGCTGAGGCGTGCGGATCACCTGAGGTCAGGAGTTAGAGACCAGCCTGGCCAACATGGTGAACCCCCATATCTCTACTAAAAATACAAAAAATTAGCCTGGTGTGGCGATGCGTGCCTGTAATTCCAGCTACTTGGGAGGCTGAGGCAGGAGAATCACTTATATCCGGGAGGCGGAGGTTGCAGTGAGCCAAGATCGTGCCACTGCACTCCAGCCTGGGCGACAGAGCGAGAGTCCATCTCAAAAAAAAAAAAAAAAAAAAAAAATCTGCATCTTCCTCTCCCACAAGCCCACCCAAGCCACAGGGCAGTACCGTGGGCTTATGGGAGACAGCTTCATTTGGGCTCAACCAGGGAAGGCTGCCGAGAGGAGGAGGTGTTTGAACTGGGCAGAGAAAGAAGAGCAGAATTTGATGGGCCAAGCAGGGAAAAGTGAGGGCGTCCCAGTTAGAGGGAATGGCACAAGCAAAGGCGTGGAGGCAAGAAGGTAACACACAATGGAAATGACAGGTGACTGGGAGGAAGTCAGGGCTGATAAGCAGGTTTGGGCTAGATCAAGAAAGGGCCTGGAGTGCCAGCCTGGGGGTGTGGGCGTGTTCCAGAGGGTGACACACAGCCCCAGCAGGCATTTGTTCCAGGGAAATGACCTCCTTCTCAATGGCTGCCTGGGAGCTCCTGCAAGCGGCTCCCCGCAGCCTTCTTAACGCTCTGCTCTGAAAGCAGGAGAAATCCTCTATCCCCACAGCATGGCTGGAACACTAGAAGCCAAGCCTTGGTGACCTGGTTTTTGGAGACATGGCTCTGGTGCTGGGGTGGAGGAGACATTTAGAGAAGGGAGATACAGGGAGACAGGGAGTGAAGGCAGGAGGCTAACAGGAGGGTCCAGGCCAGGGGTGGCAGAGAGGTAAGAACCCACCGGGCTTGCTCCTGGCCACCCACTGCTGCCCAGAGCAGCCAGTGGCTGCTGACGTGGTTGGCCTGGCTACAGGGAGGTTCCTTCAGTCACTCGTCACCCCTCCTCCCCAACCTCGGATGACAGGGATCCCAGCTCCCAACCTCCCGCTGCCTTAATTACAGGGAGACTGGCCCTACCCAGGCTAGCTGCAGGCACCAGGCTCCCTGGCTCTAATCAGTGGGTAGGGCAGACTGGGGGTTGAGGAGGCAGAAGGGGGAAATCAGGTCCTTGGACCACTAGCCAGTGGACGGATTCAGGTCCAGGTCTCCCTAGTCCTCCAAGGCCCCAGGGGATCTGCGTGTCCATTTGTACATATGCACACGTGGTCTCTTTTCAGATAGAATGTGGTGGTTAGCAGGATGGGGCTGAAATTGACCATCTGGATTTATATCCAGGCTCTGCCACCAACTAGCTGGGTGCCACTCGGTGAGTTACTCAACTCTTGTGAGTCGCGTTGGCAGAATGGGGCTACTCAAGCCCTTACTTCAGATAGTTATTGTGCAGATGAAATGGGGTAATGTGCATCAAAGTCTTAGGGCAGGTCTGGGTGTGTCCTAAGCACTCAGTAAAGGGCACTGCTCTTCCTCATACAAATTTTATCATCTCCCCAGCTTAGTAAAGGAAGCGTGGGAGAACATGGGCCCATTTTACAGATGAGGAAACTGAGGCTCCAAAAGAAAGGACTCAACTTGAGGGTCTACATGGAGGCTCAGGATGCACCCTTCACTCGGCTGGCTGTACCCCCAGAACCTGCTGAGAGCAGAAGTAGTGGGAAGAAGATCTGGACCCCAACTCTGGCTGTGCCTCTAGGCAGTGCTGTGACCTAGGGAGAGGGTCTTGCTTCCCTGGGCCTCACTTTCTTCACCAGTCAAGGTACAGACTTGGATGACCCTGACAGTTCCCACCTCCCAATCCATTTCCCTCTTGTTATGAATTAGACATGTTTAAGTACAACCAGAGCTCCTACCCTCCAGGGATTAATCGTATTGAACATCGGGCACTAGGCTCTGCTTCCCTCCCTTTATGATAAGAGACCCATCTATTTAGTGGCTGCGTAACATTCCACCCTTTGGCTGTGTCACACCTGCTTTGAGCCAATCCCCTATTGATGGACACCTAGGTTGCTGCCAGTAGTCATGATGACAAGCAACGCTGCAAGGACTATCTTGACTGTACTTCTGTGGGCATCTGTCTACTGATCTCCTTAGGAGAAAACCCTAGACATCAACTTGCTGGGTCAAAAGGCGCCTGTGTTTGCAAAATTCCCAGTGTGGCGGCAAAGCGCGTGCAAGCCCCCTCTGTTCTTTTATTCATTCCACCAGCTGTTGTTGAGTCTGATTTTGTGCCCGGCCCTGTAGAAGGCCTGGGATGGTGGGTGTCCCTGCTCCTTTGAATTTCCACCCTAGCTGGGGGGAGACACGCACGCTGTCTGGTAGAAAGGAGTGCTATTCAGAGAATTACATGGGGGCTGCACAACAGAGCAGGTGATATCCAAGCAGCAACCTGCCAGGCAAACAGAAGCCAGCCATGCAGAGTTCAGGGGCCGAGCATCCAGGAGTGGGCAGAGCTGCTGCAAAGCCGGGGTGAGAGTGAGCTGGCTGAGCAGGAGGGTAGGAACGATGGCCAGCATGGCCAGGGCTGGGAACCGCTGGAAGAGTAGTCCAGGAGAAGAGGGGAAGGTCACAGAGGCCACCTCTCCAAGGACCTTGTGGGCCAGGGGATGTGGGAGCCATTGCAGGTTGAAGCAGGAGAGTGACATGAGAGGTTCCCTGGCTACAAGGGGAAGGTGGCCGGAGGAGTGGCCAAAGAGGATGCAGGAAGCCAGTGGGTCACTGCTGTGGTCCCTAAGGAGAAAGACCTCAACCAGGGTGTTGGTAGCAAAGGTGGGGAAAAGTAAACAGATTCAGGATACATGTGGGGGCCGGGCACGGTGGCTCACACTTGTAATCCCAGCACTTTGGGAGGCCGAGGTAGGCGGATCACGTGAGGTCAGGAGTTCAAGACCAGCCTGGCCAACATGTTGAACCCTCGTCTCTACTGAAAATACAAAAATTAGCTGGGTGTGATGCTGGGCATCTGCAATACCAGCTACTCGGGAGGCTGAGGCAGGAGAATCACTTGAACCCAGGAAGCGGAAGTTGCAGTGAGCTGAGATTACATCATTGCACTCCAGCTTGGGTGACAGAGTGAGACTCAGTCTTGAAAAAGAAAAAAAAGATATATGTGGGGACCTCACGCACAGCCTGACAGATGTGGAGGAAGAGAAAAGAAACATGTCCAGGCAGACTCTGAGGCTCTTGGCCTGAGCAAGTGGATTGGTCCATGGAGCTGGGAGAGGCTGTGTAGAGAGGGGTAGGGCTGGGCAGAGGGAACTCTGCTGTGGTGACGATAAGTTTGAGAAATGTAGACAGACATGTGGCGATGTCCGGCAGGTCACTACTGGCTGCGGGATCAGAGCTCAGTGGAGTGGTGGGGACAGAGGGCATAGCTCTGGGAGCCATAGCTCCCACCAGCCCACTGCATGATCCTGTTCCAGCAGCAGCAGGAATTCCCAGGTTCCAGACATGACCTGTCACTCCATGTAAAGGAAGGAGCTGAGGAGTCACTGGTGGCAGCTGGCCCCCCGAGTCTGGCTGCGTGGAGGGATGTCAGCAGGAGGGAGTGGGTGGACCAGGGTCCTTCAGTGGGCATCAGGGAGAGACAGCAGCACCTGGTGGCCAGCTTGTTCATTGGCTGCCCTGTTGGGGAGGATGTGGCCAGTGAGGGTGGCACAGCAAGATGTGGCATCTGCCCCACTCACCCCCTCTGCCCCTGCCAAGGCCTGGGCTGGGTGGAGATGGGGGAGCCAAACACAAAGGAATAATTGAAACCAAAACCCAGGGGCCTAAAAGCTGTAAGAAGACAGGTCTAGGGTAAAGGAGCAGCATGAGAGAGGAGTGATCTGCTCAGCCGGATCCAGAAAGCCTTTGCAGAGGTGGGGCCAGCCCAGTTGGACTATGAGGGATGAAGAGGAGTTCATCAGGCAGACTGGAGGAGGACGGGCATGTGGCACTACTGTGTATCAAGGCATGCAAATGTGTGACAGCCTGGCTGTGTTTGCTTTCAGGTTATTTTCCTGCTGTGAGTTCTGATTTTTGTTTTGTTTTGTTTTGTTGAGACAGAGTGTTGCTCTGTGCCCTAGGCTGGAGTGCAGTGGCGCAATCTCAGCTCACTGCAAGCTTCGCCTCCCAGGCTCCAGCAATTCTCATTCTTCAGCCTACCAAGTAGCTGGAATTAGAGGCACACGCATCTGTACCTGGCTAATTTTGTATTTTTTGTAGAGATGGGGTCTCACCATGTTGGCCAGGCTGGTCTCAAACTCCTGGCCTCAAGGGATCTGCCCAGAGTGCTGGGATTACAGATGTAAGCCAATGAGTAAGCCACTGATTTTCTAGCTACATCCTGCTATTGAAGGCCAAATGGAACCCATAGAGGGCTCAGAATGTCTTACTCTTCCTGAGATTCGGAGCCAGGGTGGAGACTGACCTAAGGCGGGGGCACTTTCCTCAACCCAGCACCACTCGTCTGCAGGACACGGACCCTAGCCATTTAGCCAGACCCACGTGGGCTGGAATCCGGCGTCGGCTCTGGCTCCGGTGCCTCCCGACTGGGTTTCTCACCCCAAGGACAGGTAGCAGAGCTTAGTGATTTGGAGCTCAGGATCTGATATCAGCCTGCCTGGGTCCAAATCCCAGCTCCCCATTTTCCAGCTGGATGACCCTGGGCAAGTGATTTCACTCCTTAGTGCCTCTGTTTCCTCATCTGTAATCGAGGATAAAAATAGGCCATGCCTGGAGAGCCATTAGGAGAACTAATGAGTTAATTCAGGTAGAACTTAAAATGGAACTTGGGGCCAGGAGAGGTGGCTTATGCCTATAATCCCAGCACTTTGGGAGGCCGAGGTGGCGGATCACCTGAGGTCGGGAGTTCGAGACCAGCCCGACCAACGTGGAGAAATCCTGTCTCTACTAAAAATACAAAATTAGCCGGACATGGTGGCGGGTGCCTGTAATCCCAGCTACTCAGGAGACTGAGGCAGGAGAATCACTTGAATCCGGGAGGCAGAGGTTGCGGTGAGCTGAGATCGCACCATTGCACTCCAGCCTGGCCAACAAGAGCAAAACTACATCGCAAAAAAAAAAAAAAAAAAAAAAAAAAATAGAAGTTGGACCAGAGGAGGTGCTCAGTGAATCTAAAATCCATAGCCCATAGCACAGCCTGCCAGGCCCTGCAAAATCTGCCCACCAGCTCATCTCCCCCTCCTCCCATCTCTTTCCCCTCTCTCCTTGTCTCCCTCCCTCTCTCCTCCTTTCCCTTCTCTCCTTTTCCTTTCTCCCTCTTCCTCTCCCCCCTCCCCCAACCACATGGGCCTCCCAGTTTTTCTTTGCACTGCCAGGTGCATCTCACCTCAGGGCTTCCCTATTTCTTCTTTTTTTCTTATTCTTTTTTTTTTTTTGAGATGGAGTGTTACTCTGTCACCCAGGCTGGAGTGCAGTGGCCCGACCTCAGCTCACTGCAACGTCTGCCTCCCAAGTTCAAGTGATTCTCCTGCCTCAGCTTCCTGAGTAGCTGGGATTACAGGTGTGTGCCGCCATGCCTGGCTAATTTTCATATTTTTAGTAGAGACGGGTTTCACCATTTTAGCCAGGCTGGTCTGGAACTCCTGACCTCAGATGATCTGCTCAACTCCACCTCCCAAAATGCTGGGATTACAGGTCCCTCTATTTCTTCTGCTTGGGATGAGAGCCCCCTCCCCCGTGTTCAGGTCCTGGCCATATGCTGCCTCCTTTAGAGGCTCCCCTGATTACCCTCTCTAAGATATCATGACCCCTGCATCCCTGCCTCTCCCATGGCTCTGTCTGCCCCTGTCCCGGCTTTAGTTTTCTTCCTGGCCCTTCGGATCCCACCTGACATTATTTATATATTTATTTGTGTATCATTCTCCAGCCCCTACTTTCATGGAAGCTCCAGTCTGTATCCCAGCACCTAGAACTGTGCCCAGCACAGTGGGCCCCCAATAAACATGTACTGAATAAAATATTTGGCCGGGTGTGGTGGCTCATGCCTGTAACCCTAACACGTTGGGAGGCTGAGGCAGGTGGATCGCTTGAGCCCAGGAGTTCAAGACCAGCCTGGGCAATATGGCAAAACCCCATCTCTACAAAAAATACAAAAATGTGCCGGGCTTGGTGGTACACGCCTGTAGATCCAGCTACTCAGGAAGCTGAGGTGGGAGGATCACTTGAGCCTGGGGTGTTGAGGCTGCAGTGAGCCATGACTGCACCATTGCACTTCCGCCTGGGTGACAGAGCAAGACCCTGGCTCAAAAGAAAAAAAAAAAGTATCTGTGGAATGACTAAGCGTTGGCTGAGTTGTTATTTTTTTTTCCCCACTCCCTCTCGCCTTGTATGCACTCCATCCAGGAGCCCTTATTGAGGTACTGGGTTCCTTCTCTGTCACCCAGGCTGGAGTGCAGTGGCACAGTCTCGGCTCACTGCAACCTTCACCTCCCAGGTTCAAGCGATTCTCCTGCCTCGGCCTCCCAAGTAACTGGGATTACAGGTGCAGGCCACCATACCCAGCTAATTTTTGTGTTTTCAGTAGAGCCAAGGTTTCACCATGTTGGCCAAGCTGGTCTCAAACTCCTGACCTCAAGTGATCCACCCACCTCGGCCTCCCAAGTGCTGGGATTACAGGCGTGAGCCACCGCGCCTGGCTCTCCCTGCATCTTAATGCTTTTCTGGTTGGACTGGGTCCTCCCCACTTCTCATTCAGGGCTGGTACCCGGGGGCCAGAATGGGAGGAGGGAGACCAGAGGGTCTTGTACTCAGAGAGGCCTGGTACTCTCCATGCACCTCATATATCAACCTTCTAAAAAGGTTTTCTGAGCCCCATTTCACAGATAGGAAAGCTGAGAGGCGTTCAAGGGGCTGAGAAGCAGCAGAGCTGGGGCTTGAGTCCGCCTGACAGGAAGTCATTATTCGCCCCAAGTAAACACCCAGTGCCTCTTAGCCAAGGAGGGCAGAAGTATGTCTGGGTGGGGGTGGCAGGGAGGTGTGGAGGTGGGAAGGGGCCTTCAAAGAGGGAATGTCTGAGCCAGGCTTTGGTCTGCTCCCTGGTGGTCTCACCTTACATCCCGGGCCCCTCCCACAACTGTCCTTCTCCAGCCCCCGCATTTAGGGAGGCGGTGGTCTCTGCTTTATTATTATTTTTGCAAACTTTTATTTTAGGCGCAGATTTGTTATATGGGTAAACTCATGTCACAGGGGTTTGTTGTACAGAGGCTTTCTTGACTCATCTAAAGGCCTTGAACCAAGGGTTGGCACCGCCTTAGGAATTCTGAGCCAGCCCCAGGGGACGAGGGTGCATTGCCGGCGGCCCTGTCATCGGCTCCCCAGGGCAAGCAGGGGCCACAGACAGCCAGCTGCCCCATGTGTGTGCTTGCCTAGGGTCCTCGTGAGTTCCCACGTCCTCTCAGGGAATCCCAACTGTCCCAAGGAAACCCAGGCTCAGAGGAGGAAGTGGCTAATCAGCCGCACAGAGGGAGGATGTGACAGGCACCACGCTTTGGGGCTGGGTTAGAAATTTGAGTCCTCCGCTGTGGTGCGGCTGGGGAAGTTAAATAACTTGGCACTCCCTCCCCCAACACACAGCTGATTCCAGGGCCCAGACTCTCAACCACAATGCCCTGTGGCCTCCTCCTAGTGCTGCACAAATGTGAGGTGGAATTATTAAACAACCTCAAACCTTTCCAGGAAAGAAGGCAAGCTATAAATAAATGCCTGGAGTTGGGGGATTTCCAGGGCTGAGTGGACGGAGATGATGGTCTAGGGTCCTCAAAGTTCCTGGAAATCATCAGTTTCATGATGAACTGTGGGGCTGGACTTGAGATGTGTTGGCTGCTGGGTCCCACGGCTCTGCCTCGTGTTCCAGGAAGCTGTTCCCTGGATTCCCGTAGCAGGCACACAATTGTAGGAGGTCAAGGCAGGGATGAGACACAGGCTTGTGTGGATGGAGTGGGATCTTCAGCAGCTGGCAGGAATAGGGCCCTCTGTCCCCTTTCCCAGCCCCCAGAGCTTGGCCTTGGTGAGGCACAAGGGCCTGGCCATCATCCAAGAGAACCCCAGGCTTCCTGAGCTCTGTGTTGGAAGCAACTGGAGATCTCAACCAGTAAACCCTCCAACAGGGCAGCAATCTCCTGACATCCTTGATCTAAACTCCGCTTGCTTACCTCCTCAAATGGGGAACTCCCTACCTCCAGGCAATCCTGGTCCTAGCTTTTCTTTTTCTTTTCTTTTTCCTTTTTTTTTTTTTTTTTTTGAGACAGAGTCTTGCTCTGTTGCCCAGGCTGGAGTGCAGTGGCACAACCTCGGCTCACTTCAACATCCACCTCCTGGGTTCAAGCGATTCTCCTGCCTCAGCCTCCTGAGTATCTGGGACTATAGGCATACACCACCACGCCTGGCTCATTTTTGTATTTTTAGTAGAGACGGGGTTTCACCATGTTGGCCAGGCTGGTCTTGAACTCCTGACATCAAGTGATCCACCTGCCTCAGCTTCCCAAAGTGCTGGGATTACAGGCGTGAGCCACCACACCCCCTAGCTTTTCTTTTTTGTTTCCATTTGTACAAATGTATGAGGTACATGTGCAATTTTGTTACATGCATAGATTGTGTAGTGGTCAAGTCAGGGATACTTACGGGGTATCCATCAGGCGAACAACATCCATTGTACTCAGTAACTAATCTCTCATCCTAGTTTTATTCTCTGTGCTCACAGGGAGTGATTCTGCCCCGGGGAAGCCCCTGAAGTCATCAGAACTCCCCACATGAGCTCAGCTCTCTGCATTCCACCTGACCCTCCTCCCCAGCCACCCTTCCCCATGCTTCTTGGCTAGTTTTCAGGTTTTGTGGCCAGTCAGGATAAACCTCAAGAAGCTTGGAAGCATTTCACCAACCCGGCAATGACAGCAGTTTATGCAATTCAGCAAACTTTCACCAGGGACTATGCCAAGTGCTGGAGACACAGAGATGAATCAGTCAGTCACTGCCCGTGAGGCTCTCCACTCAGACGGGGATTGGGAGGGTGGGGAGGGATACCCGAGGCATCAGCCAGGAGGGGGCTGGATCAGCAAAGTGAGCCTACCTGGTGGAGGGGAGGGTTTGAAAGGATCCTTTAGGGTAGCTAATTTCCCAGTGACAGAGAGGGCATTTAGGATAGGTGGACACAAGAGAAAAAAGCCAGACAGGCCACAGAGCTACTGTTTGGCCCCAAGCAATATATTATATGTCGGGGTTGGCAAACTTATTCTGTAAAGGGCCAGGTGGTATTTTAGGTGCTCCAGGCCATGTAGTCACGGATGCGACTGCTCAACTGGCCACTGTAGCTTAAAAGCAGCCATAGACAATATGTCAATGAATGAGCATGGCTGTGTACCAATAAAACTTTATTTGTTGACACTGAAATTTGAATTTCCTGTCATTTTCTTGTGTCATAAAACAGTACAGTATTATTTTGATTTTTTCCCCCCAACCATTTAAAAATGTGAAAACAGGCCCTGTGTGTATGTTCATGCCTGTAACCCCAGAGCTTTGGGAAGCTGAGGTAGGTAGATTGCTTGAGGCCAGGAGTTCAAGACCAGCCTAGATACAAAAATTAGCCGGGTGTGGTGATGTGTGCCTGTAGTCCCAGCTACTTGGAAGGCTGAGGCAGGAGAATCTCTTGAACCTGGGAGGCGGAGATTGCAGTGAGCCGAGATCACACCATTGCACTCTAGCCTGGGTTACAGAGTGAGACTCCATCTCCAAATAATAATAATAATACCAGCCTAGGCAAATAGTGAGACCCCATCTGTACAAAAAATAAAAAAGTTAGCCTCAGGTGTGGTGTGTACAGGAGGATCCCTTGAGCCCAGGAGTTTGAGGTTACAGTGAGCTATGATTGTGCCACTGTCTTCTAAGGCCTGGGTGACTCTGTCTCTTAAAAAAAAAAAAAAAAAAAGCCAACCTGGGCCACATAATGAGACCCTGTCTCAACAAAGAAAAAATTTGTCGGGCAGATGTCATGCACCTGTAGTCCTAGCTACTTAGGAGACTGCTGAGATGGGGGGATTGCTTGAGTCCGGGAGGTCAAGGCTGCAGTGAGCCATGATTACACCACTGAACTCCTGCCTGGGCAACAGAGTGAGCCACTCTATCAAGAAAAGAAAAAAAAAAAAAAAAGGCTAGGTGCTATTCTGAGCACTTTAGGAGGCTGAGGCGGGCAGATCCATTGAGCTCAAGAGGTTGAGACTAGCCTGGGCAACATAGCAATACCCCTTCTCTACCAAAAATACAAAAATTAGTCAAGCAAAGTGGTGTACACCTTTAGTCCCAGCTACTCAGGAGGCTGAGGTGCGGGGAGGATTGCTTGAGCCCAGGAGGTCAAAGCTGCAGTGAGCCAAGATCACACCACTGCACTCTAGCCTGGGTGACAAAGTGAGACCCTGTCTCCAAAAAGAAAGAAAGAGAGAAAGAAAGAAGGAAAGGGCCGGGCATGGTGGCTCATACCTGTAATCCTAGCACTTTGGGAGACCGAGGCAGGTGAATCACCTGAGGTCAGGAGTTTGAGATCAGCCTGGCCAATGCAGTGAAACCCCGTCTCTACTAAAAATACACAAATTAGCTGGGCGTGGTGGTGTACGCTTGTAATCCCAGCTACTAGGGAGGCTGAGGCAGGAGAATCGCTTGAACCTGGGAGTCAGAGGTTGCAGTGAGCCAAGAGGGCGCCATTGCACTCCAGGCTGGGCAACAAGAGCGAAACTCTATCTCAAAAAAAAAAAAAGTATCTAGGCCAGTCAGTGGAAGTGTCCTTTCAAATCCTGCTCCCCATCCAGGGGTGACCACTCCCCATCCAGGTGGGTGACTGTGAGTTCAGCCCCTTTCCAATGCACACAGACATGTACACATGGGCACACACGCACCCACAAGCTTCATTATTCACACCACACACAGCTCATTCCACACGATGGTTCCGTGACATGCTTCTGTCACTTAGCATCTCCCCCGTGTCTTCCCATCTCAGCACCTGGATCCATCCTCTTTGATCTTTGTATTGACCACCAAGCATCACGTGGCAGGCTATGCCACCCTGCACCCAGGCGGTCCCCTACCATTGGGCATCCAGGCTGCTCCCTTCTCTAGGCAATTACCAGCCATGCTGCTGTGACCCTACAACATGCGGTTCTAACTCTGTGCACTGTTGCCAGCCTTTTAGTCAAAAAGATTCTCTGAAGCAAAAGTGCTGTGTTAAAGGGCACAAGAACTGAAGTTTTGGATCAGCGTGGCATCCTGTAGCAGTTTCCTGTCTTGCTGCCAGGAACAAGCATTGCAAACCCTCTGGGACCTGGGGAAGTCCTGTGGGGTGGTCAGGAACTGGGACCTCAGTGTCTCAGATGCCCCTAGGAGACTCTAGGGCTCAGGCATCACCAGGGTGGACAGACCTGCCTCCTCCTGCAAAGTTGGGCCGGGTACCTGTCTTGGTAGAAACCCTTGGGGACAGTTTATCCATCCATCCATCCATCCATCCATCCATCCATCCATCCATCCATCCTTCCATCCTTCCATCCATCCATCTGCCCATGGATTCAGCAAGTATTTCCTGAGCCCTGATTAGGTTCAAGTACTCGGGCTATGGTGGTGAGTACGATCATGTGTCTGCCATTTAAATCTTCACTGTCTGGTGAAGGAGGCACTTGTTCATTCATTCATTTATTTAGCAAATATTTATCTGGGTCTACTACATGCCAGATACCATTCTAGATACTGAAAATACAGCAGGGAACACAGGAGAAAGAAATTCCTGCCCTCATAGACTTACTTCTAGTAGAGGAGACAGATAAGGAACATATAAACATATGTCTAAGACGGGAAGTACCGGAGACCTCATCTGCATGCAGATTGGCCAGGGGAGACCTCCCTGAATAGAGATCTGAAAGCAAGAGGCAGGGCACTGTGCAGATATGATGGGGGGAGTTTCAAAGGGAGAGGGAACAGACAGTGCGAAGGCTCTGAGGCCAGCAGTGGTGGGAGAACAGGTCAGCCCCCGAGGGTCTCGTAGGCAGGGAAGGGCTTGGCTGTTACTCCAAGTGAGGTGGGGCCTGAGGGTGAACATGGCCTCACTTCCAGGCCAGGTGCCAGTTGGGAATAGACTGCAGGGGGCCAGGGCTGAAGTAGTGATGGGGCCAGGAGGCCACTGCACGTGCCTTAACAAGAGATCTTGGACCAGGTGGTCTAGGCGAGGTGGTGAGAAGGCGTGGGACTCTGGTGTATGTTGAAGGTGGTCACTGGCTTTCCTGACGGATTGGATGTGGGGTGAGAAAAAGGAGTGAACGATGACACCAAGCTTTTTGGCTTCCTGAACAGAAGGATGAGGGTCCCAGAAGAAGAGTCAGTGGAGGAAGGGGTTTGAGCCAAGAGCTTCATGTGAACTTGCTGGGCTGGAGGCATCCATTAGACATCGAGTGGAGAGGTGAGGAGCAGCCGGAGGACAGATTCAGGCTGAAATAGAATTCAGGGGCTGTCAGCATGCAAATGGGATTGAAACCCAGGCATCTGAAGGCCGGTGCAAAGGGAAGGAGAGTAGACAGAGGAGAGGAGAGGAGAGGAGAGGAGAGGAGAGGAGAGGAGAGGAGAGGAGAGGTCCCGGCCCAGTCCTGGAAGACACCAACATTAGGTGCAGGAGATGAGGAAGAACCGGCCAAGAGAACTGAGTAGGAGCAGCCAGCCAACAGGAGGAGACCTCAGAGACAGCAGTGACCTGGAAGCCATGGGAGGAGGGCTTTCAGCAAGGAGGGCATGGCCAGCTGGGTCAGGCAAGGCTGAGCAGCTGTATGTGCTGAGGACTGACCGCTGTCCCAAGATTTGGCAACAAGGAGACAGATGATAAGCAACAGCAACACAGTGTGATGAGGGCAGAGACCAGGGAAGCCCAGGTGACCATGGGAGCCCCAAGGAGGGGCACCCAATCAGGGAGGACTTCCTGGAAGAAGGGATGTCTAAGCAGAAACCTGAGGGGTGCACACACATTCCCCAGGTAAAAATGGGGAGGCCAGGCTGAGGGAACAGCACAGACAGAGGCCAGGAGCAGAGAGCAGGCACAGCTCATTTGGGGAACTGAAAGTAAATAAGCCTGGCTGTGATATGGGGCTCAGGAGGGCTTAGGGGTGGGCGAGGGTGTTATTCCTAGAACCCTGGAGAGATCAGCAAAGCAGATGGTGGGGTCCTCAATTAGAGACCAGACTTTGGTGATGGGTGGGTGATGGTAGAGGGAGGAAAGTAGGCTGGTGGCTGGAGAGATGGTGGAGCCATTCCTGAGATGGGGAACCAGGAAGGGAAGCGATTTGAGGAAGATGAGAATTCAGATGACTTTAGGATGCTGGAGGACATTTGAGGCGATATCCATCATCAGCTGGGCATGCAGGCTGGGCATCGAGTCTGGGAGGCGACCGCGTGCACAGGGAGGAGGCCAGACAGGGCTGGGTGAAGGGACACACACACTCATCTCTTTCTGGTGCCGCTTGAGGTCAGCCTGTGTCCAGCCACCCTCTGGGTGCTGGGGAGGGGCCTGGCAACCACCAGTCATTGTGGTTTGTCTCTCCAGACAGCAGGAGTCCAAGGGAAGCCCAGTGGTTCCTTAGACAGGCTGTGGTAACTGTGCCTCGTCCCTGCCACCTCCACCTACCCAGAGGCCACCGAGTGTCTTTGCACACCCCTCAAGCACCCACCACCAGGAGAGGTATGGTCACGAACATTCGCTCATGGCACAGCAATGTATGGAGCACCTGCTGAGTGCTGCATGGTCCTGGCCCTGAGAGAGCAGTAATGACCCAGGAAGACAGACCCCTGCCCTCCTGAGGCCACCGTCCAATGAAAGAGGCAGGCAATAAACCCATCATTAGAATCAAGTGTGAAGCCTGGGCGTGGTGGCTCACGCCTGTAATCCCAACACTTTGGGAGGCCAAGGCAGGAGGATCAGTTGAGGTCAGGAGTTCGAGACCAGCCTGGCCAACATGGCAAAACCTCGTCTCTACTAAAAATACAAAAATTAACCGGTGTGCACCTGTAATCCCAGCTACTTGGGAGGCTGAGGCAGGAGAATCGCTTGAACCTGGGAGGCAGAGGTTGCAGTGAGCAGAGATCGTACCACTGCACTCCAGCTTAGGTGACACAGCGAGACTCCATGTGATGTTGAGAAAGGGAAGCCTGGGGGACCTTTGGGGGCTGGGCGGCAGGGGGGTGCTTCCGGGAGGAGGCAACATTTAAACTATAGGTCTGAAGGATGAGTCAGAGTTAGCCAAGAAGAAAAAGGAGTGAAAAGGTGTTTGAGTGAATGGGAATGGCATGTGGGAACCTCAGAGGTAAGAAAGTGCCTGACAGGTTTAAGGGAATGAAGGGATTAAGTGAGATGGAGCATTGGGTGTTGGCGGTGGTAAGGAACCTCAGGAGTCAGGCTTAGGGACTTGGACCTTCTCCTGAGGGCGATAGGGAGCCATTGCGTGTCTTAAGCAGGGAGTGGCTTGCTCAGATTTGCATGTGGGAGAATTCAGAGACAGATCAGAAACACTCAACCTCAGCCCAGAGGGGCCCAGGCAAGACCCCCCTCTCCCTCCTCTGTAGTTCCCTTGACGCGTGAGGTGGGTCAACACGGCTTGCACTCCCCCAAGGACCCGAACCTAAGGTCCTCTGGAGGCAGGCCCCAAGCCTGTCCTAACAAGTGCCGTGAGAGCCCTCCAGGCCTGCTCTGGGAATCCAGTCTTGTCGCCAGGAGACACGAGCCCATTTGACTCCGGTGGGGGGAGGTGGGCTGGGCGGCACCACCGCGTGAATGCTCCGGAGCTACCCACGGAGGCGACTGACTGGCTGCCAGCGTGCGCTCCGGATGCCACCTGGTAAGGCTGTCGGCGGGAGGCCAAAGAAATCAATCAGGTCCCGAAGACACGCCGCCCCCTCCCTGCCACAACAGTCCCCTGCCCTCGGAGCCTGGAGAGGCTGGGCTGTCCCCGCAGCGCCACCGTGTGGGCGAGGTGGTCACGACGGCAGGTGGTCGGGGCGCTCAGCTGGAGGTGCTGGTGCTGGGGAGAGCGGAGGACACCGCGGGATCGGCAGGCGTTGGGGACCCCACGGCAGCCATCGATCCTATTCTCATCACATAGTTTCAAATTAATTTTTTCAAAACGGAAACATATTTGCGGCCTGTTTGTGACTTGTAATTATTAAGTAATAATATACTTCCTGAAAACAACATGCAAACTCCATGGACTATAGAAAAAGGCAGGCATGGGCAGCTTCCCTGCAGAATTCCATCCCACCACAACCTCTGATTGCATTTTGGCAAACAGGCTTCAGATTATTTTTCTGGCTTCTTTTTTTTTTAAGTCAGGGTCTAGCTCTGTCGCCCAGGCTGGAGTGCAGCGGAGCGGTCATGGCTCACTGCAGCCTCCACTTGCCTGGGTCAACCGATCCGCCCACCTCAGTCTCTCAAGTAACTGGTACTACAGGCACGCACCACCATATGTAGGTAGTTTTTTCATTATTATTTTTGTAGAGACAGGGTCCCACTCTGTTGCCCAGGCTGGTCTCAAACTCCTGAGGTCAAGCAGTCCTCCTGCCTCAGCCTCCCAAAGTGCTGGGATTACAAGCATGAGCCACCATGCCCAGCCCAGATTTTCTTCAACAGAAAGAATATATGTATATGTATATATATATATATATATATATTCACACACACACAAATGAGGTCATATTGCATATGCCTAATGTTCTGCCACTTGCTTTGCTTTTTAAACATTTTTATCAACTGTGGAGTTCGGAGAAAAGAATATTTATTTAGATTGGGCTTGGTGGCTCACACCTGTAATCCCAGCACTTTGGGAGGCCGAGGTGGGCGGATCATGAGGTCAGGAGATCGAGACCATCCTGGCCAACATGGTGAAACCCCATCTCTACTAAAAATACAAAAATTAGCTGGGCATGGTGTCATGTGCCCATCATCCCAGCTACTCGGGAGGCTGAGGCAGGAGAATTGCTTGAATCAGGGAGTCGGAGGTTGCAGTGAGTGAGCTGAGATCGCCCCACTGCATTCCAGCCTGGCAACACAGCAAGACTCCATCTGGAAAAAAAAAATTTATTTAATATACGTGCAGTATATGAATCAGGTTGAAGTGGGACACTGTGTGCCCACCGTCCAATTTAAGAACATTTTAATTACCCTGAAGTTTCTTTTAAAAATATATTTTTCCCTCCTTTCTCACCTTATTATGGATTATATGGGTTTTTTTGTTTGTTTTGGTGGGTTTTTTTTTTTTTTTTTTGGACAAAGTCTTGCTCTATCACCCAGGCTACAGTGCAGTGGTGCGATCTCGCTCACTGCAACCTCCGTCTCCCAGGTTCAAGCGATTCTCGTGCCTCAGCCTCCTGAGTAGCTGGGATTACAGGCACCCATCATCACGCCTAGCTAGTTTTTGTGTTTTCAGTAGAGACGGAATTTCACTATGTTGGCCAGGCTGGTCTTGAACTTCTGACCTCAAGTGATCCGCCCACCTCGGCCTCCCAAAGTGCAGGGATTACAGGCGTGAGCCACCAAGCCCAGACTGATACAGTACTTTTAATTAATCCATGGCATTGCTTTATTAATTTGTTAGTACTCCTTTCTTTTAGTGGTTATCCTAAAGATTATAATGCGTATCCTTGACTTATTAAAGTCTGCTACAGACAAACTCTCACTGCTCGTAGGGAAATGCAGGAAGTTTAGACCACTTAAAACTCCATTTACCCCCTCCTGACTTGGATGCTATTGTCATCTGTTACCATCTGCTATTTGAATCCTTTATATATTTCAAACTCCACAAGACCTAATTATTATTGTTTTATACAGACAATATTTGTTTAGATTAACCAAATATTTTCTCTCTCCATTGGCCTTCATTTCCTCCCAAATCTCCAAGTTTCCATCTGGGATCCATTTTCTCCTGCCTGAAAATCACCCTTTGCTAATTCTTTGATGGGGACGTGCTGGTGATAAATTCTTTCCATTTTTATTTGTATGAAATGTCTCAGTTTCACTTGAATTTAAAAAAAAATTTTCTTTTTCTTTTTATAAAATCAGATCTTCTAGAAGAGGCCACCTTTGTTTTTGAAGAGTATTTTTTGCTGGGTACGTTGGTGTAGGCTGGCAAGAGAAGGCAAGAAAAGAGAGAAAAATAACCGTGTAAGTGGGACAAATAGAAAACAAACAGTAAGACCAGTGGCCTAGACCAGGCACAGTGGCTTACACTTGTAATTTCAGCAATTTGGGAGGCCGAGGCAGGTGGATCACCTGAGGTCATGAGTTCAAGACCAGCGTGGCCAACATGGCGAAACCCTGTCTCTACTAAAAATACAAAAATTAGCCGGGCGTGGTGGCACAAGCCTGTAGTCCCAGCTACTTGGGAGGCTGAGGCAGAATTGCTTGAATCTGGGAGGCGGAGGTTGCAGTGAGCCTAGATCACGCCACTGCACTCCAGCTTGGGTGACAGAGCAAGACCCTATCTCAAACAAAAACAAAAACAAAAACAAAGGCGCAAATCAGATCTGCCTCTCAAAGTTGCTGGAGGGACAGCATGGGGCCAGGGGTAGGGAAAAGCAGGTAGCGACAGGGGCAGAGAGGGGTGGGGATGAGAGTGGGCCCGTATGTGACAGGACACTCCCTGGGGTCAGTTCTTCAGAGCTGGGGGCCCGGAGTTGAGGATGGGAGTGGAGAAGGGAGATGGGGCAGGGGTAGACTCTGGAGTTTGGCAGCCAGGGGAGCCTCAGCGGTGGAGCTGAAAGAGCCCTGGAAGCGGTCCTTGGAGAGTATTTGGGGAGGAAAGCAGGGGATTGCTAAGGAAACCGTCCTACAACAACCCACTCCAGTCGGAGCTCACTGAAGTTCCCGAATAAGAACTCTCTTCTCTTTCAGGGTGCAGCTTCCTACCCACATCTGCACCTCTGAGGGGGTGTATGTATGTGCTGGTGTGTTTGCGTGTTTGCTTTATGTGAGGGGTTTATGTGTTCTTGTGTGTCTGTGTGCAGCCCCTCTCACTGCATAACCACTTTACCCCCATGGCCTGGCTTTCTCTGCTCAGGGCCTCGTATATGCCCGTTCCTCTGCTGGAAAACCCTTTCCCTCCCCTCCCCTTTGCCTGGTGCTCTTCTGCCCATTCATCAAGAGGAGGTGGAGCCCACACCTGTAATCCCAACACTTTAGGAGGCCAAGGCAGGAGGATCCCTTGAGCTCAGGAGTTTGAGACCAGCCTGGGCAACATTGTGAGACTCTGTCTTTACAAAAAAAAAAAAAAAATTTAAATTAGCCGGGTGGTGGCACTCACCTGTAATCTCTGCTACTCAGGAGGCTGAGCTTGAGCCTGGGAGGTTGAGGATACAGCGAGCAGTGATTGCTGGGTGACAGAGCAAGATCTTTTCTCAAAAATAAAAAACAAAGGAGGGGGAGGGGGAGGGGTCTTCTCCCCCAAAAGCCTTCCCTGACCTCCTCACATGTCTAGTGAGGGGCTCCTCTGGTATTCTCGCACCTCTGCCCTGGGCTTCTTTCTCCCCCAGCACTGATCACATTGGGTGCTAATCTCTGGTTCTTGTGTCCATGAGTTCCTCAAGGGCAGGACAGGATCTTGTCTATTTCTATATCCCTGGCACCAGGCAGGGACCTGTCACAGAGAGAGGCTCAGAGGATGCTTGTTGAATGAATGAATGAGGGAATAAGTTAATGACCACATGAACAGCCACTTCTTCAGAAGGGTTTGGGACACAGGCAGGTCTTCCTCGTTCAACCCAAAAAAACAAATTGTCATCGGAGCTGGCGGGTCCTTTAGAGATGAATCCAGAGGCCAGGTGCGGTGGCTCAAGCTTGTAATAGCACTTTGGGAGGCCGAGGCGGGTGGATCACCTGATGTCAGGAATTCGAGACCAGCCTGGCCAACATACTGAAACCCCGTCTCTACTAAAAATACAAAAATTAGCCAGTCATGGTGGCAGGCGCCTGTAATCCCAGCTACTCGGGAGGCTGAAGGAGGAGAATCACTTGAACCCAGGAGGCAGAGGTTGCAGTGAGCCGAGATCGCGCCACTGCACTGCAGCCTGGGCGACAGAGTGAAACTCCGTCTCAAAAAACAAAACAACAACAAAAAAAAGAGAGATGAATCCAGGATCCAGCAGCATGGACCTTACCTGGGAGCTCATTAGAAATGCGGCTTCCCAGGCCCCACCCCAGATCCACTGCATCAGAATCTGCCTTTAAAAAGATTCCCAGGTGACTCACATGCTCTTAAAAGGTGAGCAGCTCTGCTCCCAAGGGCTCCACCTCCCATTTTATAGACAAGGGAACTGAGGCCTGCGGAGGGCCGGGGCCTGGCGAGGCCTGGGCAGGAGCAGGACGTCAAACTGGGCGGCCTCCCAGCGGCTCCGGTCCCCGCCCCGCGGGTCCTCCTGCTTCCCGCCCCGCCTGGCCTGTCCAGACCTTCCCAGCGGCCTCCTGAGGTCTTTGCAAGGAGCTCGCACTCCCCCTGGCGGGCATAGGGAGGGACGGCCTGGGCTGAGCTGGCCGAGGACGGGGAAGAGATGTGGCCTTAGGGACCGGGCGGGGGTGGAGAGGGCCAGCAGGGAGCCAGGGTGTGAGAGGTGGCCAGGTTAGCGCCCCTGCTTTGGAGAGGCTGCCTGAGCTCATCTTGGCTACTCACCACGCGCCACCTGTGGAGTCCGGAGCCTCTGCTCGCCTCCTGCCAGGGGAAAGAATAAGAATGGAGCCCACCTCACTCGCTCCTCGTGAGGATCCCATGAGGATGCGCCGACGTGAGGGGCCAGCGGGGTGGAAAGCCTCCCGCCTGCAGAACACCCGGAGCGCCTCCGCCTCCATCCCAGGTGTGGGCGAAGCCGGCCTGGGCCCAGCCCAGCGCTGCGCCTCAGCCCCTCGCCTCCCACCCATGGAAGAGGGGGTTTCCAGAGCCCCCAGCGGCCCTCCCCTCGCACTGGGGGTCGCAGGCCCACGGAGAAGGCTGTAGAAACGCCCACTCCTCGGCGGTGGTTGGGGGGACGGTGCCCAGTCCCTGAGGCCCTGGGATCCCAGAGCCTGGATTCCGGAATGGGATGACTCTGGGGGGCAGGAAGTGTCGGAAAAAGCACGTGCTCTGGAGTCAGACAGACCAGGTTCAAGTCTGGCTCAGCCACAGACAGGCCAGTGATCTCGTGGCTCCTGCCTCAGTTTCCTCGCTTGTGAGGGACCTTCCAGGACTGTTGTGACACTTATGTGAGGGCTGTTGAGCACCCTGCACATAGTAGGCCCTATGGTCATGGTCACTGTTGTAACTCACAGCGTACAGTAGGGACCAGAGGATGGGGTCAGTCGGGTGGTCAGCGGAAGATGCCCCCTCACACCAGGGCACTGTCACGCCCAAGTACAGGGGCGGGGTCTCTGAGTCCTTTCTGGGCAAAGTTGTGATATCAGGGCAAAGGAGGGTGGGGGAAGGGACCGGTAAACGAATTGGAGCATGTTTTTTTTTTTTTTTTTTTGAGACGGAGTCTTGCTCTGTTGCTCAGGCTGGAGTGCAGTGTGCCATTTCGATTCACTGCAACCTCCGCCTCAGTTCAAGCAATTTTCCTGCCTCAGCCTCCCAAGTAGCTGGGATTACAGGCACCTGCCAACATGCTCGGCTAATTTTTGTATTTTTAGTAGAGACAAGGTTTTGTCATGTTGGCCAGGCTGGTCTCAAACTCCTGGCCTCAAGTGATCCGCTGGCCTCAGCTTCCCAGTGCTGGGATTATAGGCGTGAGCCACCACACCTGGCCTTTTTTTTTTTTTTTTAACAGGCTCTTGCTCTGTCCCCCACACTGGAGTGTAGCAGCTCACTGCAGCCTCAAACTCCTGGGATCATATCATCCTCCCACCTCAGCCTCCCCAGTAGTAGGGACTACAGGTATGCACCACCATTCTCAGATAATTTTTACAAAAATTTTTGTAGAGACAGGGTGTCCCCATGTTGCCCAGGCTGGTCTCTAACTGGCCTCAAGTGATCCTCCTGCCTCAGCCTCCAAAGTAAATGGGATCACAGGCAGGTGCACCTGGCTGAGGAACACAGGCTTGAGCTGGGCAGATTGAAAGCCTGATGTCCCCCTGCTCTCACCACTGGGCTGCTTTCCAAAGTGCTAGCTTTGAGGTCAGTGGCCACCAACCTTCCCAGGTGGGGTCTTACCCTGAAGCCATTCTGCTTCTGCTTCACCCACAGGCCTTTCAAAGGGATGCCCCACCACGTGACCCTAGGCCCCCTACCAGGGGTCAGCCCCTGCCCCAAGGACACCCTTGCAGGTCTGTTAGTGACCTGAGTGGCTTGGCTAGGAAAAATGAGCTGAACCAAACCAATATCCTGCTGAGTTGTGGAACTGGGAAACCAAGAGAGTTGAGCAGCAGGCCAGGTGACCAAGCACTCCGCCTTGCCCAGGACTTTCCTGATTTTTAAACTGAAAGTTTATCTTTCTAATAAACTCATATATATATATATATATATGTATACACACACACACACACACACACACACACACACACACACACGTATCCTACTAGTTCTGTCTTTCTGGAGAACCCTGACGAATTTATATGTCTGTGTGTGTGTGTGTGTGTGTGTGTGTGTGTGTGTGTGTGTGTGTGTTTGTGTATATATATATTAAAGATGAGAGACTGGCCGGGCACAGTGGCTTATGCCTGTAATCCCAGCACTTTGGGAGGCCAAGGCAGGGTGATCACTTGAGGTCAGGAGTTCGAGACCAGCCTGGCCAACATGGTGAAACCCTGTCTCTACCAAAAATATAAAAAATTAGCCGGGTGTGGTGGCGGGCACCTGTAGTCTCGGCTACTCAGGAGGCTGAGGCAGGAGAATTTCTTGAACCCAGGAGGCAGAAGCTGCAGTGAGCCGAGATCACACCACTGCACTCCAGCCTGGGTGACAGAACAAGACCCTGTCCCAAAAAAACAGGGCCAGGTGCAGTGGCTTACACCTGTAATCTCAGCACTTTGGGAGGCCAAGGCGAGCGGATCACAAGGTCAGGAGTTTGAGACCAGCCTGGCCAACATGGTGAAACCCTGTCTCTACTAAAAATACAAAATTAGCCAGGCATGGTGGTGTGTTTGTGCCTATAGTCCCAGCTGTTTGGGAGGCTGAGGCAGGAGAATTGCTTGAACCCGTGAGGCAATGGTTGCAGTGAGCCGAGATTGCGCCACTGCACTCCAGCATGGTCAACAGAGCAAGACTCCATCTCAAAAAAAAAAGAGAGAAAAGCATATAAATTTATTTCAGATGAGTTTTATGTAAGTTCTATGTAATACAGGAGCTTTCATAAAGAAATGAAGACGCAAAGAAGCCATTAAACCTGACTGTTTTTATGCTAGGTTTTTTATTTTTTGTTTTTGGGACAGAGTCTTGCTCTGTTGTCTGCTGGAGTGCAGTAGCGCACTCATGGTTCACCACAGCCTTGAATTTCTGGGCTCAAGTGATCCTCCCACCTCAGCCTCCTGAGTGGCTGGGACTACAGGTGCGTGCCACCACACTCAGCTAATTTTTGTGTTTTTGTAGAGATGGGGGTCTCACTGTGTTGCCCAGGCTGGTTTTATGGTAGGTTCGACAAAGCAGAAAGTCACGGAAGAATGGGATAGACAAAGAGCTGAGTGTAATCAGCTAGGGGAAATTTACTGAGGCCTGTTCATTCAGATTCCTCTTGACATCCTTTCATCTTCAGAGTTTAGGAGGCTCCTTTCCTCTGGGTAGAGAGAGGGCACCTCTCACAAGTGGGTTTTATGACCTGACAGGGGAAGGTCAGAAAGTCTTTCCTGAACATGCCATTTCTCAAATTCCTTCAGCTTGAAATAGTCAATATGCCCAGATGGGCCTGGCGCAGTGGCTTACGCCTGTGATCCCAGCACTTTGGGAGCCCGAGGCAGGTGGATCACAAGGTCAGGAGTTTGAGACCAATCTAGGCAATATGGTGAAACCCCGTTTCTACTAAAAATACAAAAAATTAGCTGGGCATGGTGGCGGCCACCTGTAATTCCAGCTTCTCGGGAGGCTGAGGCAGGAGAATCACTTGAACTGGGGAGGCGGAGGTTGCAATGAGCCAAGATCATGCCATTGCACTCCAGCCTGGGTGACAAAGCGAGACTCCTTCTCAAAAAAAAAAAAAAAAAAAGCCAAGATGCCGTATCGGGGGTATCCTGCCCTGAGCCCTGTCAACATTAGCACATCGTGTTTATCCATTCATCTGTTGGTGACCTTGAGTTATTTCCACCTTCTCGCTGTTGTAACTAATGCTGCTATGAATGATGGTGTGCAGACATCTGTTTGAGTCCCTGCTTTCAATTATTTTGGGTCTATAGCCAAGAGTGGAATTGCTGGATCATATGGTAATTCTATGTTTAACTTTTTGAGGAGCCGCCAGACTGTTTTCCACAGCAGCTTCTGCTAAGTGTTCTTAATGCCTTATCTCATGAAGCTCTGGCAGCCACCACCCACGAGGGTGGCCCTGTCCTGGCCCACTTCACAGGGGAGGACAATGAGATTCAGATGGATGAAGTGAAGTGTCCCAAGTCCCTCAGCTAAGAAACACAGAGCCAAGATTCAAACCCAGATGGACTGATTCCATGAGCTTGTGTCACCTGGCCCTGGGGTGGCTTGGGTCTCCATATTGGCAGACTAGGGACTAGGAGGGGAAATAGAAGGGCCACCAAAGAAAGGAGAGGAAAGGCACAGGAGAGAAGCAGAATGCCATAGCCCTGCAGGGCCCACCTCAGCCCCCCACCAGCTCCCTGGCTCTGGGAGCCCAGCGGTATTGGGCTTCCTGGATAGAAAGGATGGATCTGTCTCTGCCTATCAGCCTCTCTTCTGGATGTCCATTTTCCCTAAGGAACTCCTAAAACCTTAGTCTAGGGGATTGAGTTGCCTAGAAGTGGGTGGAGACACAGACCTAGGCAATCAGTGTAATTCTTTCCCCCTGGCTGTGGTGATTGGTTCAGAGAAGGGCCGGGTACCTCATCTGGCTCAGTGAGACTTGTGTCTGGCTGGGACCATGGTTAGAACTGATAAGAAGAGAAAAACTGCTCACTGGCAGCTGAGAGGGTGGGATTGAGCCAGAGGTTGAATGAGCAGGGAGGAGGCAGATGAGGGAAGCAAGATGGAGTGCTGGATCCAGCAGTACCTGAAGCCAGATAAGCCAATACCTCCTCCTCTTCCTTCTTTTGCTCGAGGTTAGCTTGGGATTTTTGCCATTTGCATCCCAAGGCACCCTGATTTGGAGATTTGGGGGTGTTGAGAGAATCTCTGCTCCCTGGCTGCCCTACCTGTGCTCGTGCCATCCACTTCCCCTTCTGTGAGCTGGTCAGAGCAGTCCTGTTCATTTCAACCACCTCAGCCAAACCAAAACAGAGGGACCTCACCACAGCCTGGAAGGAACCAAGAGCCTGAGACAGTGACTCGGTGGTTATGGGGCTGAGACCCTCACCGGAGCCTGGTACAGTGTCCTGATAGCAGGACCACCCAGGCAGGGTGACAGAGGCCTCCATTCCAGGGAGGAGCCCTGGAGCTAGTGATGCTGGAAGGCAGATGAATGAGACTGTACCTTTCCAGACAGCTCGGGGCTTAAGAGAAAGACTCAGTTCCCAGGCTTCCACAGGGACCACAAACTCAAAGTACTCACAGAGTCCCATAAATCAAAAAATCAAGTCCTCTGAAGGGGAACCAACCCTCTTGATAGTTTTTTGTGTATGGGGGGGTTTTGTTTGTTTTTTAGACAGGATCTCACTCTGTCACCCAGGCTGGAGTGCAGTGGTATGATCATGGCTTACTGCAGCCTTAACCTCCCGGGCTGAAGCAATCCTCCCACCTCAGCCTCCCAATTAGCTGGGAATACAGGTGTGTGTCACCACGCCTGCTAATTATAATTGTTGTTTTTGTAGAGATAGGGTCTGTATCTTGATAGTCTAAACACCTCCAGGGGAAAGGCTAGGCCAGCAGAGAGTGGGCCATGCAGCCCACATGGTCTTGGCCTCCTTGGAAGCGGTGTACTGTCTTTGGATTGGCGTGATGGGAAGGCTGTCACCGAGGGCATTCTTCACCCTCCGCTCTGTCATCTTCCCCTGGAACCCTCCATTGGGCCCAGGGGCACCTTATTCCTATCTCAGTACCAGCGTCCTGCTTCTCCTAAGCAATTGGTTTGTCATCCTTCCTAGACTTTGGACATTGTGTAAGTGGCCACATTTCCCTTTTCACACCACTTGCTAGGAAGCTTAAAGTCAATGTGTGGCAAAAGTATAGTGATGAGGGAATACAGCCCCTCATAGCAAAAGAACATCATGCCACATGGCCCAAAAGTTACAAGCTCAACCAATAGAAATATCCTTCATGTTTCACTCCTTCAGAATCATATTCCCTTTGTCTTCCAAAAGAATACTTTCTTTTCAAATGTGTATCTGAATCTTTTTTCACACAAATACTTTATTTTGTTTACTGAAACTCTCTCTGTTTGTTTTGTTTTGTGTTTTGAGACAAGCTCTCACTCCGTTGCCCAGGCTGGAATGCAGTGGCCTGGTCACAGGTCACTGCAGCCTTGACTTCCCAGGTTCAAGTGATCCTCCCGCCTCAGCCTCCCAAGTCGCTGGGACTACAGGCACACACCATTGCACCCAGCTAACTTTTTAAATTTTTGTAGAGACAAGGTCTCACTATGTTGCCCAGGCTGGTCTCAAATTCCTGGGCTCAGGTGATCCTCCTGCCTCAGCCTCCCAAAGTGCTGGGATTATCGGCATGAGCCACTGCGCCTGGCCTCTCCTTGTTTTCAAGATGCATATCTGAATTATTTTTCAAATCTGTGTTACAAGGGTCTCCCTCCCCTGTACATCTCAACATGAGCTCCAGAAGGAGGTGGTGAGTGTATGTATGTGTGTGCGTGTGTGTGTGTGAAATCATTTATAAAGAGAACGTGTAAAACTGATAGGCTGAGAACGAACATGAGTTGTCACCCAGCCATGGCTGGTGGATGTTCCCCGCATTCCTTTGTGCCCAAGTAGACCATAAAAGCCATCTTCAAAATTACCTGAGTTGGCCAGGATTACAGGTGGCTCACACCTATAATCCCAGCTCTTTGGGAGGCTGGGGTGGGAGGACAGCTTGAGGCCAGGAATTTGAGACCAGCCTGGGCAACACAGTGAGACCCTTCTCTTTATAAAATAAAATTAAGAAGTTAGAAAAAAAAAATCCTGGCCGGGCATGGTGGCTCATGCCTGTAATCCCAGCACTTTGGGAGGTCGAGGTGGGTGGATCACCTGAGGTCAGGAGTTCGAGACCAGCCTGGCCAACACGGTGAAACCCCGTCTCTACTAAAAATACAAAAATTAGCTGGGCGTGGTGGTGTGCACCTGTAATCCCAGCTACTCGGGAGGCTGAGGCAGGAGAATCGCTTGAACCTGGGAGGTGGAGGTTGCAGTGAGCAGAGATCAGGCCACTGCACTCCAGCCGGGGTGACAGAGTGAGACTCCATCTCAAAAAAAAAAAAAAAAAATCCTGAGTCTGTGGTCTGTTTCCCCCACAGTAGATCCTTATGTTCTGCACTTTAGCTTTGTTCCTGGATCCTCTGTGCTCCCACCCTTGTGCTACTTTCTTGTTTTCCCCCTACTCTTTTTTTCTGCTCTGGTTGTGTATCACGCATCCTTGGAAGCTGCCTGAGGTCCTCTCTGCAGCAAGGCAGGGAGCAAACCAACCAATCAACCAACCAATCAGACAATGTACAACTGGATTGCTGGGCCCTCTGGCCTGGGTCAGAGAGGCTGAAGCCACGACCGGGTCCTCGTCTTTTTTTCCTTTATTCTTTTTTTTGAGACAGAGTCTTGCTCTGTCACCCAAGCTGGAGTGCAATGGCACAATCTTGGCTCACTGCAAACTCCGCTTCCCGGGTTCAAGTGATTCTCCTTCCTCAGCCTGCCGAATAGCTGGGATTATAGGCATGTGCCATCATGCCTGGCTAATTTTTGCATTTTTTGTAGAGACAGGGTTTCACCATGTTGGCCAGGCTGGTCTCAAACTCCCGACCTCAGGTGATCCGCTCCCCTCGGCCTGCCAAAGTTCTGGGATTACAGATGTGAGCCACTGTGCCTGGCCAGGTCCTCATCTTTCTAGTACCAGCCAGAAGGTGGCATTAGAGCAGCTCCCAAATGTCATGCAAGTGTCAGAGCCAGGGCAACCTCAGGTATGGATGGGATAGTGGTTGCAGATGGGCCTTGAGGACTATAGAGGGAGGCGAGCAGGGCAGAAGAGAGCTGAGGAACAGCAGCAGTCTGCAGGCTGACACCATCCTCAGGCCTCCGGGGCAAATTAATGTCAGACAGGCCTTCTAGGTCAATGTCAGGAGCGAGAGAGAGAAAAGATGGAATGTGCTCAGTGCCGGACATGGAGGTGCTCAGGAAATGTTGGAACTCTCCTTCCCCATGTTTTCCTGGAGGATTGGATGGCTTTGCCCTTTAAAAGGCCAGTATCAGGCCAGGTGTGGTGGCTCACAACTGTAATCCCAGCACTTTGGGAGGCCGAGGCGGGCGGATCACCCGAGGTCAGGAGTTTGAGACTACCCTGACTAACATGGAGAAACCCTGTCTCTACTAAAAATACAAAATTAGCTGGACATGGTGGCGCATGCCTGTAATCCCAGCTACTCAGGAGGCTGAGGCAGGAGAATTGCTTGAACCCGGGAGGCGGAGGTTGCAGTGAGCCGAGATGGCACCATTGCACTCCAGCCTGGGCAACAAGAGCGAAACTCCATCTCAAAAAAAATGAGATAAAATAAAATAAAAGCCAGTGCCTGGAGCCCAACCCAGGTCCGGTCCATGCTGTTACCACCATATTTCTCCCTTGGCATCGTGAGCCCACCCTCTGCAGGACCGACCCCTGAGAGACAAGGCCAGTCCTTTTCTCTTGCAGCTGCTTGTTCTGTGGTGAGATTCAGTGGGTGGGAAGAGATGGTAGGAATAGCTGCAGCTTGTCCCACTTTTCATTGCCCTTCTTGTTTTTCTTCTCCCAGAAGAGGAAGTCAGTGGGAGGGGCTCTTTGCCGGGAGCCCAATTTGTCCCCAGCAGTGAGCCTCCGTAGAAAGAACAGCAGACAGAACCTGAAAACCTTATTTTGTATCTGCTGGTGTGGTTGAAAGCTTGGACTTGGCCAAATGTGGTGGCTAATGCCTGTAAGCCCAGCACTTTGGGAAGCCAAGGAGGAAGGATCGCTTGAGCCAAGAACAGACTGTGCAACATGGGGAGATCTCGACTTGACAAAACAAACATTTTTTTTTTTTGGCCGAGTGCAGTGGCTCATGCCTGGAATCCCAGCACTTTGGGATGCCAAGGTGGGAGGATCACCTGAGGTGGGGAGTTCAAGACCAGCCTGGGCAGCATGATGAAACCTCGTCTCTACTAAAAATTCAAAAATTAGTTGGGCGTGGTGGCAGGCGCCTGTAATCCCAGCTACTCGGGAAGCTGAGGCAGGAGAATCGCTTGAACCCAGGAGACAGAGGTTGCAGTGAGCCGAGATTGTGCCATTGCACTCCAGCCTGGACAACAGAGTGAGACTCCACCAAAAAAAAAAAAATTCTTCTATCTTTTGGCCAGGCGAGGTAGCTTACGCCTATAATCCCAGCACTTTGGGAGGCTGAGGTGGGCGGATCACAAGGTCATGAGTTCGAGACCAGCCTGGCCAACATAGTAAAACCCTGTCTCTACTGAAAATACAAAAATTAGCTGGGCATGGTGGCGCGTGCCTGTAGTTCCAGCTACTTGGGAGGCTGTGGCAGGAGAATTGCTTGAACCTGGGAGGTGGACTGAGATCTTGCCACTGCACTGCAGCCTGGGCAACAGAGCAAGACTCCATCTCAAAAAAAAAAAAATTTTTTTTTAATTAGCCAGGCGTGGTGGTCCATGCTTGTAGTGCCAGCTACTTGGGGGACTGAGGTGGGAGGATCGCTTGGGCCCGGGAGGTCCTGGCTGCAGTGAACCATGATCACACCACTGCACTCCAGCCTGGCAACAGAGTGAGACTCTCTCAAAGAAAATTTTTTAAAAAGAGAAAAGGAAACATGGTAGTTAACCACTAAGGAGGTAAGGGAGGACTTGAAGGAATTTAAAAATAACAAAGTAAAGGCTGGGTGCAGTGACTCACACCTGTAATCCCAGCACTTTGGGATGCTGAGGTGGGAGGATCACTTGAGGTCAGGAGTTCGAGACCAGCCTGGCCAACATGGTGAAATGCTGTCTCTGCTAAAAAAAAAAAAAAAAAAATTAGCCGGGCGTGGTGGCAGATGCCTGTGATCCAAGCTACTTGGGAGGCTGAGGCATGAGAATAACTTGTACCTGGGAGGCAGAGGTTGCAGTGAGCTGAGATCACGCCATTCCACTCCAGCCTAGGAGACAGAGCAAAACTGTCTCAAAAACAAACAAAAAAAAGTAGATAACAGCTGCTATTTCTAGGGATGAGGGTGAGGGTAAATATTCAAGGAAATACATCTTTCCTGTGGTACTTTACTTCTATTTGAAACAGGGGCTCTCTCCGTTGTCAAGGCTGGAGTGCAGTGGCACAATCACAGCTCACTGCAGCCTCAACTTCCAAGGCTCAAGCGATCCTCCCACCTCAGCCTCCCAAGTAGCTGGGATCACAGGCTCACGCCACTATGCCTGGCTCATTGTTTTAATTTTTAGTAGAGATGAGGTCTTGCTGTGTTACCCTGGCTGGTCTTGAACTCCTGGACTCAAGCAATCCTCCTGCCTCAGCCTCCCAAAGTGCTAGGATTCTGTAATCCTAGGTGTGAGCCACTGCACCTGGCTGTCCTATGGTGCTTTTAAAATTTTCTCGTTGCCTTTGGTTTCTGACTATCTTATTCTGATGTACTCTAATGTAGCTCGTTTGTCTATATTTTGTTTTGGGTTTGCTGAGCTTATTGAATTTATAGTATGATGTCTTTTGTTAGATTCAGAAAAGTTTTGGTCTTTATCTCTTAACATATTGCTTCTTCCTAATTTTCTCTTTCTCAAACCATATTTATATTATGTTAGATCTTTCATGTGTGTTGTATTTATGTCTTATGCTCTTTTATGTTTTATTTTTACTTTTTTTTTCTATGCTTCAGTTTGGATAGTTTTAATCACACCCATCTTTCAGTATGCTAGTCCTGGCTTTACTTGTTTCCAATCTTCTGTGAAACCCATCTATGGAGTGCTTATTTTCTTTCTCTCCTCTTTTTTTTTTGTTTTGTTTTGAGACAGAGTCTCACTCTGTCGCCCAGGCTGGAGTGCAATGGCACAATCTTGGCTCACTGCAACCTCCCAGGTTCAAGTGGTTCTTCCGCCTTAGCCTCCCAAGTAGCTGGCATTACAGGCACCCGCCACCACGCCTGGCTAATTTTTGTATTTTTGTAGAGACAAGGTTTCACCATGTTGGCCAGGCTGGTCTTGAACTCCCGACCTCAGGTGATCCATCCACCGCGGCCTCCCAAAGTGCTGGGATTACAGGCATGAGCCACCACGCCTGGCCTTGGATGCTTATTTTCAGCATGTAATTTTTTAGTTTTAGAATATTCATTTGATTCTTTCTTTCTTTTTTTTTTTTTTTTTTTTTGAGACAGAGTCTCGTTCTGTCACCCAGGCTGGAGTGCGATGACACGATCTTGACTCACTACAATCTCTCCCTCCCTGGTTCAAGTGATTCTCCTGCCTCAGCCTCCTGAGTAGCTGGAATTACAGGCGACCGCCACCATGCCTGACTAATTTTTGTGGGTTCTTTTTGATACAGACAGGTTTTCGCCATGTTGGCCAGACTGGTCTCCAACTAACTCCTGACCTCAAGTGATCCGCCCACTTCAGCCTCTCAAAGTGCTGGGATTATAGGCATGAGCCACCACGCCCAGCCTCATTTGATTCTTTTTAGAAATTCTAGTTGTCTAAAACAAACAAACAAACAAAAACCAAACAAGGAAAAAAGAAATTCTAGTTGTCTCTTAAAAAACACTAACGTGAAAGGAACTTTAAAAAGGTGATTGGAAGCTCGATTCTCACAGTTGGGTTTCACTGAAAGGTGATTGAAGTGTGTGCAGAGCTCTCATCATACCATCAGCAGAAAGCATATTCTTTGGGACTTAGCAGCTTAAAAAGAAAAGTCCTCCAATCTCAGGCTGGGCACAGTGGCTCATGCCTGTAATCCCAGCACTTTGGGAGACCAAGGTGGGCAGATTACCTGAGGTTGGGAGTTCGAGACCACCCTGACCAACATGGAGAAACCCCGTCTCTTCTAAAAATACAAAATTAGCTGGGTGTGGTGGTGCATGCCTGTAATCCCAGCCACTCAGGAGGCTGAAGCAGGAGAATCGCTTGAACCCAGGAGGCGAAGATTGCGGTGAGCCGAGATCGCGCCATTGCACTCCAGCCTGGGCAACAAGAGTGAAACTCTGTCTCAAAAAGAAAAAAGAAAGAAAGAAAGAAAAGTCCTCCAATCTCTTGCTTGGGGTAGGGCATGGAGGAGACACCCCGGGCTGTTGGCATTCTGGGAGCAGGTGAAGGAAAAAAGTCTGGAATCCTGCCATTCAGAATGCGTATCCCTAATCCCCGTTTGCAGTCTTGTTCTCTGCTGTGCCTGGTCTGAACAAGTCTGGGGCCTTTTGAGTTCAATTCCTCCAGGAAGAAAATGCTGTTTTTAGGCCTGTGGGTTTAGTCATCTGGCTGCATGGGATAGGGAGAAGGCTTGGGAGACAACTCCTCCATGTTCAGACTTCCAGCTGCACCCTGTTCCCTCCAAGACTTGGACCTCTCGGGGATGTTTCAGGACAAATTGGCCTTGGTGTCTCCTCCATGGGCACTTTGGGTCATAACCACTGGTGACCTTGGTACTTCTCTGTTAGCATGCCATCTTCCAAAGGTTGGTTGGAATCTTTACTTGGCAGATGCCTCCTCTCCCAGCTTCTTTGTCATCATAGGTCAGCTTAGATTATTCCTTTACTGTCAGGTTAGTGGTGTCTGAGGAGGGAAAGCAGATGCATGCCTATGGCCAATCCACCATGTTTAAGCGGCTCATGACCAGAGTAGATTTGCCTCCACTCCCCGCTCACCCTTCTAATCTGGCCTCTGCCCTCACCACTCCGCTGAAACTTCCCTTATCAGGTCCCCAGTAGCTGGATCCAATAGACTATGTTTTTTCTCCGTATTATTTGATATCTTGGTAGCACTTGACACCGTCAAACTCACTCTCCTTCTTTCAGTGCTCTCCTGTTTTATCTGCCGGGGGAATATTTTGTCCCAAAGACCCCTCCTGCCTTTCTCCTACCTCTTTGGTCTCTGTCTCTGCTTCCAGTGTGCTGGCTTCTCTTCCTTCTGCTTCTTCGAAACCATGACTATTCTCAGGGGTCTGTTCTGGTTCCCTTCCTTTCTCACCCTGCACCCTCTCCCTGAGTGTGTTCATCCATTCCCATGGTTTCAATTTCACTCCAAAGGCTGATCTTTTCCAAATGTCAACCTCCAGCTCTGACCTCTCACCTGAATTCCAGACCTACATCTCCAGCTGTCCCCAGACATCTCTTCTTGGATGGCCTCAGGCTGTTCAGATCCACACGACGGAAGCTAGACCCTGCTTCTCCTTCCTCCCAAACCTGCCTCTCCTCCTGTACTTCTAGCTCAGAAGTGGTCACCACCAGCCAGGAGCAGTGGCTTACACCTGTAATCCCAGCACTTTGGGAGGCCAAGGTGGGCGGATCGCTTGAGGTCAGGAGTTCGAGACCAGCCCAGCCAACACGGTGAAACCCCGTCTCTACTAAAAATACAAAAAACTTCGGCGGGCATTGTGGTACATACTTGTAATCCCAGCTACTCGAAAGGCTGAGGCAGGAGAATTGTTTGAACTCAGGAGACAGAGATTGCAGTGAGCCAAGATTGTGCTACTGCACTCCAGCCTGGGTGACAGAGCAAGACTCCATCTCAAAAAAAAAAAGTAAAAGAAAAAAGAGGCCGGGTGTGGTGGCTCACACCTGTAATCCCAGCACTTTGGGAGGCTGAGATGGGCGGAGCACAAGGTCAGGAGATCGAGACCATCCTAGCTAACATGGTGAAACCCTGTCTCTACTAAAAAAAAAATACAAAAAATTAGCCAGGCCTGGTGGCAGGTGCCTGTAGTCCCAGCTACTTGGGAGGCTGAGGCAGGAGAATGGCATGAACCCAGGAGGCAGAGCTTGCAGTGAGCTGAGATCGCGCCACTGCACTCCAGCCTGGGCGACAGAGCGAGACTCCATCTCAAAAAAAAAAAAAAAAAAAAAGGAAAAAAAGAAAAAAAAGAAAATAGTTATCACCATTTGTCTAGTGGCCCAGAAACTTGGATGTCAAACTTGACTGCCCATTTTCTATTTCCACACCCAATTAATTGCCAAGACTCACTGCCTTTACCTTTTTTTTTTTTTTTTTTTTTGAGACAGAGTCTTGCTCTGTCGCCCAGGCTGGCGTGCAGTGGTGCAATCTCGGCTCACTGCAACCTCTGCCTCCCAGGTTCAAGCAATTCTCCTGCCTCAGCCTCCCAAGTAGCTGGGATTACAGGTGCCCAGCACCACGCCCAGCTAATTTTTGTATTTTTCGTAGAGAATGGGTTTTCAACTTGTTGACCAAGCTGGTCTCAAACTCCCGACCTCAGGTGATCCACCCACTCAGCCTCCCAAAGTGCTAGGATTACAGGTGTGAGCCACCGCGCCCGGCCTGCCTTTACCTCTTTAATAAATCCCGACCAGTCCACCCACTCTTCCTCCACACAGCCTGTCTCTCAGCCCAGCCTCAGTCTCCCAGCTGGTCTCCCCCGCTTGGGTCCTGCCCCTCAGTCCTGCTGCTGACCATCTGCTCAGACGCAAATCTCATCCTGTCACCTCCCTTCTGAAAGCCACTGGGGCCAAATGCAGTGGCTCACACCTGTAATCCCAGCACTTTGGGAGGCTGAGGTGGGTGAAGCACCTGAGGTCAGGAGTTTGAGACCAGCCTGGCCAACATGATGAAACCCTATCTCTACTAAAAGTACAAAAATTAGCCAGGGATGGTGGCAGGTGCTTGTAATCCTAGCTACTCGGGGGGCTGAGGCAGCAGAATCTCTTGAACCCCGAGGTAGAGGTTGCAGGGAGCAGAGATCATGCCACTGCACTCCAGCCTGGGCAACAGAGTGAGACTCAGTCTCAAAAAAACAAACAAATAAATAAATAATAATAAAAAGTAAAATAAAAAGCCTCTGATGACTTCCACTACCTAGGAATTTGGTCCAAATTGGCCCTAGGCTGGAGTTGTCAGATTCAGCAAATAAAGATAGAGGATGTCCACTTAAATTTGAATTTCAGATAAATACGAAATCCTTTTTTTTTTTTTTTTTTTTTTTTTAGTATGAGTACGTCCCATGCAGTATTTGGCATCGGGGCCTCCCACTCCCTGCACTCTTTCCATATCTCCAAACTTATTACTTGCCACATTGTTTTCCACATGTAAAATTTGGGACAGACTGGACTACATGAAACTCCCTAGGCTGGGCACGTTAGCTCACGCCTGTAATCCCAGCACTTGGGGGCTGAGGCAGAAGGATTGCTTGAGCCCAGGAGTTCGAGACCAGACTGGGCAACATGGTGAGACCCTGTATCTACAAAAAATAAAAAAATTAGGCTGGGCACGATGGCTCACATCTGTAATCCCAGAACTTTGGGAGGCTTAGGCAGGTGGATCACTTGAGGTCAGGAGTTTGAGACCAGCCTGGCTAACATGGTGAAACCCTGTCTCTACTAAAAATACAAAAATTGGCTGAGTGTGGTGGTGCGAGCCGATAATCCCAGCTACTCGGGTGGCTGAGGCAGCAGAATCGCTTGAACTCAAGAGGTGGAGGTTGCAGTGAGCCAAGACTGTGCCACTGCACTCTAGCCTGGGTGACAAAGTGACACTCCATTTTTTTTTTTTTTTAAGATGGAGTCTCGCCCTGTCGCCCAGGCTGGAGTGCAATGGCATGATCTCAGCTCACTGCAACCTCTACCTCCTGGGTTCAAGTGATTCTCCTGCCCCAGCCTCCCAAGTAGCTGGGATTACAGATGTGCAACACCACGCCCAGCTAATTTTTTTGTATCTTTAGTAGAGACGGGGTTTCCCCATGTTGGCCAGGCTGGTCTCAAACTCCTGACCTCGTGATCTGCCCTCCTCAGCCTCCCAAAGTGCTGGGATTACAGGCATGAGCCACCATGCCCGGCCGAGACTCCATCTTAAAAAAAAAAAAAAAAAATCCGGGCATGGTAGCACAAGCCTATAGTCACAGCTACTCAGGAGGCTGAGGTAGGAGGATCATCTGAGCCCAGGAGGTTGAGGCTGCAGTAAGCCAAGATTGTGCCATTGCACTCCAGCCTAGGAGACAGAACAAGACCCTGTCTCAAAAATTAAAAAAATAAAAAGAAGCTCCCCAAATGGGTTAGACATTTCCTCATTGATATGCCCTTTATTCCTGCTGTTTCCTCCACCAGAAAGGCCATTCTCCCTTCTCCCCCAGTCCATCTTTGTTCATCTCTTGGGTGTCAGGACACACTAGGAGTCCCTCCTCTAAGATTCCTCTCTGCTCCCTCAAAATGGATCAGCTGCTCTCCTGGGTGAAGGGAGGCCCCTGTGTGCCTGGATGGCAACTCCACCCTCTGGACCGTCATGTCAGCTTACTCATTGTCTCTCTCCCCTGCAGTCAATGAGTCGCCAGCAACTCTGTGCCGTTCCTGGTTCACATCTGGCTCAGCCCACAAGGCCCCATCCAGCTGGAAGCTCCCGAGGGCCCTGGGCCTTGGCAAAGGCCCCAGCTTTCTTCTCACTCTCCTGGCCTGGGTCCCGGTCTGACGATTCACACTTCCTCCTTGCCTGAGTTCCCACGAAAAGTGGCCTCCACCGCCAGCCCCCTGCCCAGGACCAGGTTACAAAATGCAGAGACAATGGAGGCTCCAAGCCAAATTTCCAATGGGCCTGCCATTAAATCACCAACAGCATCTGTGTGTACATCTGGGACAGATGCCGGCAGCTGAGGCCACAGGACGCATGGCTTTGTCACATTGGGTCAGCATTGGTGACCTTGGTGGGAGTGTTGGGGGTGGAGCTCAGACCTAAAGTTAGGACACTTGAGTCTGAATTGCTGCCCTTTCTAGCTGCCTCAGTTTTCTTGTCTGTAAAATGGGGATAATAATGCTTATCACACAGGGTGTGCGATCAAGGAGAGTGATTCACACACACAAGGATATCTAGCAGCAAACAGGACTCTGGCTCTGATCATCACTTACCTTTCTTGAGGCTGGTGGCAGCAGGACCTGTGATCAGAACACTGTTTGTAGGTTTCTTCTCCTAGAATCACCAACCAGGCCCAAGCAACTTTATTCAGAGAGGAGGACAGTCATCCAGCCCAGACAGCATCTGCCTGGTGAAAATGGCTCCAACTCAACCACCCAAGTGGATGCAGCAGAGTTGTCAAATGAAGCTAAGGGTGAGAATGACTGAACAGGGATAATATAAAGGCCAGAGGGCCATGCTCTGGCCAGGGAGTTGGAAAGTCTGAGGCTTCCTGGCTTCTCAATGTTGGCCCCTCCACCCTTCCTCTCTGCCTGAACCTTCTGCAGACACCCACTGAGCAGTCACTGCTGCCAGCCAAGACCCTCTCTCTGCCTCAAGGTTCCCCTGGAGACTTTCTTGTGGCACCTCTCAGCACCTCTTGCAATTTGTAGCATTTACTTACAGACAGGATTACAGGTTTACCCTCTATCTCCCCCTCCAGACTGCAAATGCCTCCAGGGCAGAAACCTCTTAGTTTACAGATAACAGCAACCAGAAGTGATCTACCAGCAGGTAGCTCATGCCTGTAATCCTAGCACTTTGGGAGGCCAAGGTGGGAGGATCACTTGAGGCCAGGAATTTGAGAACAGCCTGGGCAATATAGCAAGGTCCTATCTCTACAAAAAATAAAAACTTAGTTGGACATGGTGGGTGTGGTGGTATGTGGCTGGGGTTCTAGCTACTTGGGAAGCTGAGGAGGGAGGATTCCTTGCGCCCAGGAGTTTGAGGCTGCAGTGAGCTGTGATTACACCATTGCACTCCAATCTGAGTGACAGAGTGAGACCTTGGTTTTTTTTTTAAAAAAAAGGTATAAATTCTTGAAAAGAAAAATAATGTTTAAAAAAAATTTTCTTGAGGCAGGAAGATCTCTTGAGCCCAGAAATCCAAGGCTGTAGTAAGCTATGATCACGCCATTGCATTCCAGCCTGGGTGACAGAGACCTTGGTCTTTTTTAAACAAAATTATAAATTTTTGAAAAGGAAAATTTAAAAAAAAATTTTTTTTTTTGAGACGGAGTTTCACTCTTGTTGCTCAGGCTGGAGTACAGTGGCACAATCTCGGCTCACTACAACCTCCACCTCCCAGGTTCAAGCGATTCTCCTGCCTCAGCCTCCTGAGTAGCTGGGGTTACAGGTGCCCACCACCATGCCTGGCTAATTTTTTGTATTTTTGGTAGAGACCGGGTTTCACCATGTTGGCCAGGCTGGTCTCAAACTCCTGACCTCAGGTGACCTGCCCGTCTCAGCCTCCCAAAGTGTTAGGATTACAGGCCCCTTGGCATGAACAGACTGGGCGCCATGAATGGCAGCAGGAGGCAGACAGGCTCCTGGGTGGGAGAAGGCAGGTCCCTGGTGAGGCCCCACCTTCAAGCCAGGGAGGGCCTGAAGCCTGGGGGCTGGGCTGCCAGTCCCATGGAAAGGAGTGGGAACTTGTGGTGCTTTTTCTAGGCCCACTCATGGCCGCTCATGGACCAATTGGTGCACACTTCCTTCCCTCCGAGGAAGGGTACGAACCCTCAGCTCCTCCTTGGCCTCCCTCCCCTGCTCATCGGTGTTCAAAGTCTGGAAGGGGCTGAGGTGGCAGGCGGCTTGTGTGTCAGCACTGCACCAAGTGTACCCACACCCGGCCGGGCTGTGACAGCGCCTGGGCTCAGCCCCAACCTCACTCCAAGATCAAGGAGAGGCCAGGCAACGGGAGCAGGAACTTCCAAGCCTGCGGGGGAAGGGGGTGTCTTCCCAGGCCCCCGAGAGTACAGAAATGCCTGGGTCCACAGCCACGGATTGGGCAGCTGCCGCTGCGCCTGGAAGGGTGGGGCTCCTGTCTGCTCCCAGCCCCCAGCCCCCAGCCCCCACTGGCTCCATGGAGTATGCAGCGCCGGCCGCACCTCACCCACTGTAGCCAGTGTCACGACAGCGGTTTCTCTAGACAGGCCACCACTGCCATCACCAGCACTTTGGGAGGCTGAGATGGAGGATCATTTGAGCCTAGGAATTCAAGACCAGCCTGGAATGCATAGCAACATGGCAAGACCCATCTCTACAAAATATTAAAAAATTAGCCAGTGCACACCTGTGGTCCCAGCTGGTACATGCCGGGGCACACCTGTGGTCCCAGCTACTCAGGAGACTGAGGTGGGAAGATGGCTTGAGCCCAGGAGGTGGAGGCTGCAGTGAGCTGAGACTGCATCACTGTACTCCATCCTGGACAACAGAGTAAGATCCTGTCTTGAAAAAAAGTGTTTACTTTTATTATTTTTGTTTTTTTGAGACAGAGTCTCACTCTGTTGCCCAGGTGGAGTGCAGTGGTGCAATCAGTTACCGCAACCTCTGCCTCCCAGGTTCAAGCCATTCTCCTGCCTCCTGAGTAGCTGGGATTACAGGCCGCCACCACATGCCCAGCTAATTTTGGTGTTTTTAGTAGAGATGGGGTTTTACCCTGTTGGTCAGTCTGGTCTCAAACTCCTGGGTTCAAGTGATCTGCCCACCCCGGCCTCCCAAAGTGCTGGGATTACAGGTGTGAGCCACCGTGCCCAGCCAAAAACATTTTTTAATGAAAAAATATTTTAAAAAAGAATTCTTAGCAAACCAAAGACAACAGGAAAAACAACAAGGAGGGACTAGAGGAATTTATTTGAAGCCTGTGGCACCTACAGCTGCAGGAAACATTCCAGACAGCCCGACTCCTCAGTAGATTAACATGAAACCTCACACTAAAAGCCTCATTACCTGGGTTCCTACCACCAGATACTCGATGGCTGGCTTTCTACAACAAATCACAAGGTCTGCTAAAAGGCAAGAAAAAAACACGGCATGAAGAGGCAAAACAGGCATCAGAACCAGACTCAGATATAAAACAGAATAAGGAATTATCAGATAAAAATTTTGAAATAACTCTGATTATATTGGCAAAGACTCACTCCTTTGACCAAAATATTAGTCAAGCTCCTCTGAGTTCTCTGCTTGATTAGGACTTTCTTGGGCTTCCCTTTCTGTCCTTGCAGAATCCAATTGGAGCAGGAATCCTGCTAGGTCTGCTTATTGAAAATCCCTCCTCTTGGCATCTGACTAACCTGGCCAACCTTTATCAAGAGTCCTATCAAAGCCTGGGTGCAGTGGCTCACACCTGTAATCCTAGCACTTTGGGAGGCCAAGGCAGGTGGATCGCTTGAGCTTAGGAGTTCAAGACCAGCCTGGGCAACATGGTGAAACCTTGTCTCTACAAAAAATACAAAAATTAGCTGGGCGTTGGCCAAGGCACAGTGGCTCACTCCTGTAATTGCAGCCCTTTGGGGGGCTGAGGCAGGCAGAATCACCTGAGGTTAGGAGTTCAAGATCAGCCTGGCCAACATGGTGAAACCCCATCTCTACTAAAAATACAAAAAAATTAGCCAGGCATGGTGGTGGGTGCCTGTAATCGCAGCTACTTGGGAGGCTGAGGCAGGAGAATCGCTTGAACCTGGGAGGCGGAGGTTACAGTGAGCCAAGACTGCGCCATTACACTCCAGCCTGGGCGACAAGAACGAAACTCCATCTCAAAACAAACAAACAAAAAATAGCCAGGTGTGGTGGTCCAGATTAGAGGAGACTAAAGAGAAGCAATAACTAACCCAAGGTGTGATTCAGAGAAAATATGATGAGGGTAAATTCAGGGAAAATATGATGAGGGTCTGTGGAAGACAACAGAACTGTATCGACCTTAATTTCCTGATTTAGTCACTAGCCTGCGGTTATTTTTTGGGGGAAATACAGACTGAGGCATCTAGAGGTAAAGGAGCATCAATGTGGGTGAAGGGTGCATGGGAACTCTTTGTATAATTTGTATAATTTTTAGTGTTTCTGCTTGTCAGAAATCATGTCAACAAGAGAGTGAAATATTTAAAGCATTGAAAGAAAAAACCAGCCGGGTACAGTGGCTCACACCTGTAATCCTAACACCTCGGGAGGCCAAGGCAAAAGGATCACTTGAGCCCAGGAGTTCAAGACCAGCCTGGGCAACAAAGTGAGACTCTCATTTCTACCAAAAAAACACGAAAATTATCTGGGCATGGTAGCACGAGCCTGTAGTCCCAGCTAGTCAGGAGGCTGAGGTAGAAGGATCGCTTGAGCCTGGGAAGTGGAGGCTGCAGTGAGCAATGATCATGTCACTGCACTTTAATCTGGATGACAGAGTGAGATGCTGTCTCAAAAAAAGAAAAAACAAAATAAATACATAAATAAAATTGGAAAATGCAGACAGTACAGTTATATAATGAAAACTGTCTCTTCCCCCAACTATCTTTTCCCCACTGTTGATAATTTCTTGTGATTCTTCCCAGAAAAAAAAAAGCTTTATGCACATGTCAGCACGTATATATATTTTTAAATTCTGTATATGCTTTTTTAAAATTTTGCTTGAAATGGGTCCAAACTATACTTCCTATTCTGCATATTGATGTTGCCTGCTAGTAATAAATCTTAGAGAACTTTTTATATTCCTACATTCAGGTCTTTCTCATTCTTTTAAATAGTGCCATTGCATTCCATCCTATGAAAGGATTACACTTTGTTCAATCTGTTGGTTACTACTGACTACTTTTCTTGTTTTCAGTTTTTCACTGTTGCAAATGACACTGCAAAGAACATTCGTATACATTTCTCTCTCCCTAAAACAGTTTTCAGCCTGACACCGTGGCTCATATCTGTAATCCCAGCATTTTGGGAGGCTGAGGAGGGAGGATTTCTTGAGCCCAGGAGTTCAAGACCAGCCTGGGCCACATAGCGAGACCTCATCTCTACAAATAATAAAAAACAATTAGCTGGGCATGGTGATGCATGCCTGTAGTCCCAGCTACTCAGGAGGCTGAGGCAGGAGAATTGCTTGAGCCTGGAAGGTCGGGGCTTCAGTGAGCTGTGATCTTTTTTTTTTTTTTTTTTTTTTTTGAGACAGCCTCACTGTCACCCAGGCTGGAATTCAGTGGCATGATTTTGGTTCACTGAAGCCTCTGCCTTGGGGTTCAAGCAATTCTCCTGCCTCAGCCTCCCAAATAGCTGGGATGACAGGCACCTGCTACCATACCTGGCTAATTTTTATATGTTTAGTAGAGACAGGGTTTCACCATGTTGGCCAGGCTGGTCTACAACTCCTGACCTCAAGTAATTAAAAAAAAAATTCTCACTCAGCCAGATGCGGTGGCCCACGCCTGTAATCCCAGCACTTTGGGAGGCCAAGGCGGGTGAATCACTTGAGGTCAGGAGTTCAAGACCAGCCTGGCCAACATGGTGAACCCCGTCTCTACTAAAAATACAAAAATTAGCTGGGTGTGGTGGTGGGCGCCTGTAATCCAAGCTGCTCGGATGGCTGAGGCAGGAGAATCGCTTAAACCCAGGAGGCAGAAGTTACAGTGAGCAGAGATCACGCCACTGCACTCCAGCCTGGGTGAGAGAGAGACTCCATCTCAAAAAAAAAAAAAAATTCTCACTCATAAGTGGAAACTAAACTATGAGGATGCAAAGCTTAAGAATGACACAATAGACTTTGGGGACTCAAGGGGAAAGGGTGGGAAGGAGGTGACAGATAAAAGACTACAAATTGGGTTCAGTGTATACTGCTTGGGTGATGGGTGCACCAAAATCTCATGAATCACCACGAAAGAACTTATTGTGCAACCAAATATCACCTGTTCCCCAAAAACCTATGGAAATAAAAAAAATTTTTTTTAATGTTTTAAATAAAAAAAAGGTTTTCTTTTGAAATGTTCTTTTGTAAATTACCTACAGAAAATTTACAAAAAATGTACACTCGGCCGGGCACAGTGGCTCACGCCTGTAATCCCAGCACTTTGGGAGGCCAAGGCGGGTGGATCATGAGGTCAGAAGTTCAAGACCAGCCTGGCCAATATGGTGACACCCCATCTCTACTAAAAATACAAAAATTAGCCTGGCGTGGTGGTGCACGCCCAGGAGGCTGAGGCAGAAGAATCACTTGAACCACAGAGGTGGAGTTTACCGTGAGCTGAGATTGCACCACTGCACTCCAGCCTGGGCTACACAGTGAGACTCCATCTCAAAAAAAAAAAAAGGTACACTCCTCACCAGCTTGCCTTAATGTTAACATCTTACATAATTGTTGCACAGTGATTAAAACCAGAAAATGGGCTGGGCGTGGTGGCTCATGCCTGTAATCCCAGCACTTTGAGAGGCTGAGGTGGGCAGATCACCTGAGGTTGGGAGTTTGAGACCAGCCTGACCAATATGGAGAAACCCCATCTCTACTAAAAATACAAAAATTAGCGGGATGTGGTGGCACATGCCTGTAATCCCAGCTACTCAGGAGGCTAAGGCAGGTGAATCACTTGAGCCCAGGAGGCAGAGGTTGCAGTGAGCCAAGATCACGCCATTGCACTCCAAACTGGGCAACAAGAGCAAAAGTCCATCTCAAAAAAAAAAATGAACATTGATATAATACAATAGTTACCTACATTTTTCCACTAATATCCTGTTCTAGTCCAAGATCCACTCTGGGATTCCATATTGCATTTAGTTGTTTCATTAATCAGAGTTTTCCAGAGAGATGGAATGAATAGGATGGATAGATAGATAGATAGATAGAGTTTATTAGTCCATTTTCATGCTGCTGCTAAAGACATACCCAAAACTGGGCAATTTACAAAAGAAAGAGGTTTATTGGACTTAGAGTTCCACATGGCTGGAGAGGCCTCACAATTCATGGTGGAAGGCAAGGAGGAGCAAGTCACATTTTAGGTGGATGACAGCAGGCAAAGAGAGAGCTTGTGCAGGGAAACTCCACCTTATAAAGCCATCAGATCTAGGGCTGGGCACCGTGGCTCATGCCTGTAATCCCAGCACTTTGGGAGGCCAAGGCAGGCAGATCACGAGGTCAGGAGTTTGAGACCAGCCTGGCCAACATGGTGAAACACCATCTCTACTAAAAATACAAAAATTAGCCAGGAGTAGTGGCAGGCACCTGTAGTCCCAGCTACTCGGGAGGCTAAGGCAGGAAAATTGCTTGAACCTGGGAGGCGGAGGTTGCAGTGAGCCAGGATAATGCCACTGCACTTCAGCCTGGGTGACAGAGCAAGACTCTGTCTCAAAAAAAAGTTACTGATCCTTGTTTTGTTTTTCAGAGTCAAGGAAACAAGCTATGTACAGCCTTTAATAATTAGGTAAGGTATAGTCTTGTAAACAAAATTTGGAGCATGTTTGTTTCTTTCTGCCTGACTTCTCCAAAATTTGGAAACTATTTGTGAGTACTCTTAACTTATGGCAATATAGTTGTTTGCATCAGTGCAATAAGAATCCATTTCATTTTGCAACAGGACGCAATTGGAGAAATTAGTTGTTTTACTGGCTTTGACTGGAAGGGTATGCTTCCCTTGTAAATCAAGCTTGACTTACAGTGACAATAAAAGCCCCTTGGGAAAACTGGCCTCATACCTTGTCTACACCGTCCCCATACAGGGTTCCTAAGCTGTGGTGAATAGAGATTGTCACTTTCTCACAGGTCTAAGAACCCCATATTTTTGGAACTATAAGAAGAGAGGAATTCACCCAATTCATAGGTATTTCAGGGTACAAACCCATGGCTAGGCGTGGCTTTAAAAACTCCTATCTGAGATTTCTTATGGAACAGAGTTCTATCAAAGCCAATTTTAAAAGCCTATATAAAAACAATTATTCTTGTTGCACTTTATCCAAATAATCAGGCCAAGTATAAAACTAAAGTTTGGCTGGGCATGGTGACTCACGCCTGTAATCCCAGCAGTTTGGGAGGCCAAGGCAGGTGGATCACTTGAGGTCAGGAGTTTGAAACCAGCCTGGCCAACATGGTGAAACTCTATCTCTACTAAAAATACAAAAATTAGCCAGGCGTTATGGCATGCACCTGTAATCCCAGCTACTCGGGAGGCTGAGGCAGGAGAATTGCAGAGCGAGACTCCATCTCAAAAAAAAAACAAAAAAAAACCTAACATTTATTTTGCAAATTTTTTTTTTAATTTTTAAAATTTTAAATTTTAAAAACATGATTTGTTTTTAAAAAAATGAGGACCAGAGAGAGACAAATTATATTTCAAAACTTATACACTTGTCATTAAATTCTAATCTCCTTGGTTGTTTTTAGTTCTTGCCTACATTTTAGACTAACCCTGCTTATTCCTGTAAACCAACTAGCAATGTCAGGCTGCAGCTCAGAAAAAAAAAAGAAATGGGTAATGTAAAAATCTAGATCAGTATTCTAGTTCTGAGCAATTATCCTGCAAATCCTGCCAGGTGATGGGAGTAAATAGAGTTCCCATAACCCAGAGTTTTCTTTGTTTTGGAAAATAGAACCAAAGAAGTTAACCAAAGCCAAACCCCATGCATCCAAATCTTAGCAGGCAGAAATATAGCTACCAGTTATCTGGGCATGTTGGCAGCCTTGGGATTTTTGGCTGTCCTTACCCCCACCCCTTTGCTTTGTTTTAATACATGTCCTCTAATAATCCAAATTGTTTCTTCTTTCCTAAAGGCTATCAAGCTCCAAATAGTGATGCAAATGAAACCACACATGGATGCACCTTTCTTCCAAGGACTCTTAGACTGGCCTCAGTAGGAACCCTACCAGCTGTTCCCCACACAATCCCCCTCTCCAGTAGAAAGTAGCTAGAAGGATCATCTCCCCACTTCCCTAACAGCAGTTATGGTCTTCACTCCTGAGGAGGGGGAATGAGAGAGGAGAAAGGAAGAAACTGGTGAGGCAGGCAGTTAGGGTGGATTCTCAGTTAAATTCTTTCAAACAAAAGAACTGCCCAAAAAACGAAGCTGCACAGCCATTGCAGTACATTCAGCTCCATAGAGACAGTGCCGGGGCAAGTGAGAGCCAGATGGGCTCTCACTTGCATTTTTTTGTGCAAACTTGTCTGGAGAAGCATAAGAGAAGCACCCAGATGCTTCAGTCAACTTCTCAGAGTTTTCTAAGAAGTGCTCAGAGAGGTGGAAGACCATGCCTGCTAAACAGAAAGGAAAATTTGAAGATATGGCAAAGGTGGACAACGCCCATTACGAAAGAGAAATGAAAACCTACATCCCTCCTAAAGGGGAGATAAAAAAAGAGGTTCAAGTATCCCAATGCACCCAAGAGGCTTCCTTTGACCCTTTTCCTGTTCTGCTCTGAGTATCGCCCAAAAATCAAAGGAGAACATCCTGGCCTGTCCATTGGTGATGTTGCAAAGAAACTGGAAGAGATGTGGAATGACATTGCTGCAGATGGCAAGCAGCCTTCTGAAAAGAAGGCTGCAAAGCTGAAGGAAAAATATGAAAAGGATATTGCTGCATATCAAGCTAAAGGAAAGCCTGATGCAGCAAAAAAGGGAGTTGTCAAGGCTGAAAAAAGCAAGAAAAAGAAGGAAGAGGAGGAAGATGAGGAAGACGAAGAGGATGAGGAGGAGGAGGAAGATGAAGAAGATGAAGATGAAGAACAAGGTGATGATGATGAATAAGTTGGTTCTAGCGCAGTTTCTTTTCTTGTCTATAAAGCATTTAACCCCCCTGTACACAACTCACTCCTTTTAAAGAAAAAAATTGAAATGCAAGGCTTTGTAAGATTTGTTTTTAAACTGTATAGTGTCTTTTTTTGTATGGTTAACACACTACCAAATGTGTCTTTAGATAGCCCTGTCCTGGTGGTATTTTCAATAGACACTAACCTTGCCTGGTACACTATGGGGGTTGTAAATTGGCATGGAAATTTAAAGCAGGTTCTTGTTGGTGCACAGCACAATTTAGTTATATATGGGGATGGTAGTTTTTTCATCTTCAGTTGTCTCTGATGCAGCTTATACAAAATAATTGTTCTGTTAACAGAATACCACTCTGTAATTGCAAAAAAAAAAAAAAGCTGCAGCTGTTTTGTTGACATTCTGAATGCTTCTAAGTAAATACATTTTTTTAATACAAAAAAAGAAAAGAAAAATCAAGCTGCAGACACAGACAAGAGAACTTGCATGGGGGCTTGCCTAAGACATGCCCACAGATGCACAGATAAGAAAGCCTACACAGGTAACTTGCCTAGACATACCTGCAATGGAAAATTCCATCCCCTGACACAGGCGCAGTAAGGGAAACAAAGCAATATGGAGTAAATCAAGTTAAAGGCCCACATGCACATTAGGAGCATGGGGTGGAGCTAGTAGAAATTCGCACCTTATGCAAATGAGATGTCCAGCCCTCATCAGTTTCCTATAGAAGCCTTTGCATTCAACTGTAAAAATGGCAACCCTCTTTTAGGCCCCCTCTCCACAGCAGAGAGTTTTCTTCTTTTGCTTATTAAACTTTCATTCCAATCTCACCCTTGGTGTACACACATCTTAATTTTCATGGTCACGAGACAAAGAACTCCAGATGATACCTTGAACAATGAGAGACTGCTACATTATGGTGCATTGGTGAGACTGTAACACTAGCTTGGGGAAAACAATACTGTATAAATATCAGATGCTGATTCAGTGCTTAGGCAGCCTTCTCAAGACCCTTGTCCCAGCCCTATTGTCATCTAGCTGGCACTGTAACTGAGTCTACAAAAAACCACGCCACCATTCTGTCAAGCCAGATGCTTCAGGATGATGGGAAACATGGTAAGACCAGTGAATAATGTCATGAGCATGGGCTCATTGCTGCACTTTTCTGGCTGTGAAGTGTGTTCCCTCATCAGAAACAGGCTGGATATGGTGGGTCATGCCTGTAATCCCAACACTTTAGGAGGCTGAGGCAGGAGGATTGTATGGGGCCAAGAGTTCAAGGCTGTAGTAAGCCATGATCATGCCATTGCACTCCAGCTGGGCAACAGAGTGAGACCCTGTCTCAAAAAAAGAAGAAGCAATTCTATGTGGAATATTATGATTGATGATGGATAAGGCATTCCATAAGTCCAAATTCATATCCAGAGTGTCTGGTCCAGTAAGGACAGAATGCTGCCCCTTCCATGATGGGAGAGGACCAATGTAATCAACTGCCATCAGGTAGCTGGCTGATCACCCTGGGGAGTTGTGCCATTGCAGGGACTCAGTGTTGGTCTCTGCTGCTGGCAGATTGGACACTCAGAGGTGGCAGTAGCCAGGTCAATTCTGATGAGTGAGAGTTCAAGCTGCCGAACCCATGGATAACCTCCATCAGTGCCACCATGACCACTTTGTTCATGAGCCCACTGGGCAATGACAGGGATGGCTGGGGAAAGAGGTCGACTGATATCCACAGAATGGGCCATCCTATCCTCTTGAATATTAAAACTCCTCCTTGCTGAGGTCACCCTTTGGTGTGACCTCACATGGGGTACAAATATCTTCACACCTTTCCCCACTCAGAGAGGTCCGTCCACATAACTCTTCCTCAAATTTCTTTGTCACTGATGTTCCAACCATGTTTCTTCCAAGTTCCTGACCATCTGCCAAACCATTGGCTCCAGCTCATGAATTGGTTTACAGTCACACATCTGACCATTTCTCCTTTCAAAGCAAAGTGCACAACCAGGCCCACTGCCCAAAGTCTTGAACACTGAGAGGATTTCCCTTCACCACTGTCCTTCAGGGTGTCCCAGAGAGGGGCTGTAGTGCTGCAGCGTCCACTTGTGATTGATGCCTGCATATTGGGCCAAACTATCTGTAAACCTGGTCCTACTCTTCTCTTCTTTTGTCAGCTGAATATAGGAAACTCCCCATGAGCCATAGGTGCAGGCTGAAAGAGCCAAGGAAGGGTAGCAGGAATGGGGACCATGGGAATTTGGGCCACTTCCTCATGCAACTTACTTGTGCCTTTAGGACCTGCTTGAGCCCTGTCATGTATCCACCACTTCCATTTGATGATGGAGTGCTGCTGTGTATGCCCAACTTTACAGCTTGGTGGGTCAGATAATGCCCACCGAGTCACATGATAACTTGGTGGCCCATGGTCAAGCATCCAGCTACTACAAAGTCCAGCCGCAGGCCAAGAGCTGTCTCTCAAAAGGAGAATAGTTATGTGCAGATGATGGCAAGGCCTGGCTCCAAAATCCTAAGGGCCTGTGCTGCAATTCACCTATAGAGGTTGGCCAAAGGCTCCAAACAGCGCCCCTCTTGCCACTGACACCTCAAGAACCATTGGATCTGTTGAATCATACGGCCAAAGTGGTAGAGCTGCTTGCACAGAGAAGTGTCACTTTCCCCTTATCTCTTTTCCCCTCCATGGCCTTTCGTCCCCACTGTCCTCACATACCTACCTGTTGCAGAGTCTTCTCCTGTTCTGGGTCCCACTCAAAACTAGCAGCTTTTTAAGTCACTCAATAGATGGGCCAGAGTAACACACCCAAGTGAGAAATATGTTGCCTCCAAAATCTGGTACCAGATCGACTATGTAGATATACTATAATATATAATACATATGTATTAGTCTGTTCTTGCAATGCTATAAAGAAATACCTGAGTCTGGATAACTTATAAGAAAGGAAGTTCAACTGGCTTACGGTTCCACAGGCTGTACAGGAAGCACGGCAGCATCTGCTTCTAGGGAGGCCTTAGGAAACTTTTATTCATGGCAAAAGGCAAAGCAGCTTTTACTCATGGTGGAGGGCAAAGCGGGAATGGGCCTTTTAACATGGCAGGAGCAGGACCAAGAGATGGTGGGGGGAGATGCCACATACTTTTATTCATTATTTATTTATTTATTCGTTTGTTTATTTATTGAGACAAGGTCTCACTGTGTTGTCCAGGCTGGAGTGCAGTGGCACAATCTTGGCTCACTGCAACCTCCACCTCCTGGGCTCAAGCGATCCTGCCTCAGCCTCCTGAGTAGCTGAGACCACAGGTGCACACCACCATACCCAGCTAATTTTTTGTATTTTTGGTAGAGGTGGAGTTTTACCCTGTTGCTCAAGCTAGTCTCAAACTACTGAGCTCAAGCAATTCACCTGTCTTGGCCTCCCAAAATTCTGGGACTACAGGCGTAAGCCACCACACCTGGCCCACACACTTTTAAATAACCAGATATCAGGCTGGGTGTGGTGGCTCATACCTGTAATCCCAGTACTTTGGGAGGCCGATGTGGGCAGATCACAAGGTCAGGAGTTCGAGACCAGCCTGACCAACATGGAGAAACCCCGTTCTCTACCAAAAATACAAAAATTGACCGGGCATGGTGGCAGGTGCCTGTAATCCCAGCTACTCAAGAGGCTAAGGCAGGAGAATCGCTTGAACCATGGAGGCGGAGGTTGCAGTAAGGTGAGATCACACTATTGTACTCCAGCTTGGGTGACAGAGCGAGACTCCGTCTCACAAAAAAACAAAAACAGGCTGGGCAGGTGGCTCATGCCTGTAATCCCAGCACTTTGGGAGGCCGAGGTGGGTGGATCACAAGGTCAGAGTTCAAGACCAGTCTGGCCAACATGGTGAAACACTGTCTCTACTAAAAATACAAAAATTAGCTGGGCGCGGTGGCATGCACCTGTAATCCCAGCTACTTGAGAGGCTGAGGAAAGAGAATTGCTTGAACTTGGGAGGTGGAGGTTGCAGTGAGCCAAGATCATGCCACTGCACTCCAGCCTGGGTGATAGAGCAAGACTCCGTCTCAAAACAAAAACAAAAACAAAAACAAAAAAACAACTAGATATCATGAGAACTCACTATCACCATGACAGCACCAAGGGGGATGGTGTTAAACCATGAGAAACCACCCCCACGATTCAATCACTTCCCACCAGGCCCCACCTCCAACACCGGGGATTACAGTTGACTATGAGATTTGAGTGGTGATATGGTTTGGCTCTGTGTCCCCACCCAAATCTCATCGTGAATTGTACTCCCATAATTCCCACATGTTGTAGGAAGGACCTAGTGGGAGATAATTTGTACCATGGGGGCAGTTTCCCCCATACTGTTCTCATGGTAGTGAATAAGTCTCACAAGATCTGATGGGTTTATCAGGAGTTTCTGCTTTTGCATCTTCCTCATTTTGTCTTGCCATCACCATGTAAGAAGTGCCTTTTGCCCTCTGCCATGATTGTGAGACCTTCCCCAGCCACTTGGAACTGTAAGTCCAATTAAACCTCCGTATTTTGTAAATTACCCAGTCTCAGCTATGTCTTTATCAGCAGCATGAAAATGGACTAATACAGTAAATTGGTACCAGTAGAGTGGGGTGTAGCTGAAAAGACATCCCAAAATGTGGAAGCGACTTTGGAACTGGGTAACAGGCAGAGGTTGGAACAGTTTGGAGGGCTAAGAAGAAGACAGGAAAATGTGGGAAAATTTGAAACTTCCTAGAGACATGTTGAATAGCTTTGGCCAAAATGCTGATAGTGATACGGACAATAAAATCCAGGCTGAAGTGGTCTCAGATGGAGATGAAGAATTTGTTGGGAACTGGAACAAAGGTGATTCTTTTTATGTTTTAGCAAAGAGATTGGTGGCATTTTGCCCCTGCCCTAGAGATTTGTGAAAATTTGAACTTGAGAGAGATGATTTAGGGTATCCGGTGGAAGAAATTTCTAAGCAGCAAAGCATTCAAGAGGTGACTTGGGTGCTGGTAAAGGCATTCAGTTTTATAAGAGAAGCAGAGCATAAAAGTTTGGAAAAGTTGCAGCCTGACTATGCGATAGAAAAGAAAAACCCATTTTCAGGGGAGAAATTCAAGCCGGCTGCAGAAATTTGCATAAGTAGCAAGGAGCCTAATGTTAATCCCCAAGACCATGGGAAAAATGTCTCCAGGCCTTGTCAGAGAACTTCATGGCAGCCTCTCCCATCACAGGCAGGAGGCCCAGGAGGAAAAAGTGGTTTTGTAGGCAGGCCCAGGGTCCCTGTGCCGTGTGCAGCCTAGGGACTTGGTGCCCTGTGTCCCAGCTGCTCCAGCTATGGCTGAAAGGGGGCCAATGTACAGCTTAGACTATGGCTTCAGAGGGTGGAAGCCCCAAGCCTTGGCAGCTTCCACATGGTTTTGAGCCTGTGGGTGCACAGAAGTCAAGAATTGAGGTTTGGGAACCTCCATCTAGATTTCAGAAGATGTATGGAAACGCCTGGATGCCCAGGCAAAGGTTTTCTGCAGGGGCGGGGCCCTCATGAAGAACCTCTGCTAGGGCAGTGCAGAAGGGAAATTTGGGGTCGGAGCCCCCACACAGAGTCCCTACTGGGGCACAGCCTAGTGGAGCTGTGAGAAGAGGGACACTGTCCTCCAGACCACAGAATGGTAGAGCCACTGACAGCTTGCACCGTGCGCCTGGAAAAGCCACAGACAATCAACGCCAGCCCATGAAAGGAGCCAGAAGGGAGGCTGTTCCCTGCAAAGCTACAGGGGTGGAGCTGCCCAAGACCATGGGAACCAACCTCTTGCATCAGCGTGACCTGGATGTGAGATCTGGAGTCAAAGGAAATCATTTTGGAGCTTTAAAATTTGACTGCCCCACTGAATTTCAGACTTGCATGGGCCCTGCAACCACTCTGTTTTGGCCAATTTCTCCCATTTGGAACAGCTGTATTTACCTAATACCTGTACCCCCAATGCATCTAGGAAGTAACTAGCTTGCTTTTGATTTTACAGGCTCATAGGTGCAAGGGACTTGCCTTGTCTCAGATGAGACTTTGGACTGTGGACTTTTGGGTTAATGCTGAAATGAGTTAAGACTTTGGGGGACTGTTGGGAAGGCGTGATTGGTTTTGAAATATGAGGACATGAGATTTGGAGGGGCCAGGGGCAGAATGATATGGTTTGGCTCTGTGTCCCCACCCAAATCTCATCTTGAATTGTACTCCCATAATTCCAATGTTTTGTGGAAGGGACCTGGAGGGAGATAATTTGAATCATGGGGGTGGCTTCCCCCATACTGTTCTCATGGTAGTGAATAAGTCCCACGAGATCTGATGGTTTTATCAGGGGTTTCCGCTTTTGCATCTTCCTCATTCTCTCTTGCTGCTGCCATGTAAGGAAGTGCCTTTCTCCTCCCACCATGATTGTGAGACCTTCCCCAGCCACGTGGAACTGTAAGTCCAATTAGACCTCCTTCTTTTGTAAATTGCCCAGTCTCTGGTATGTCTCATCAGCAGCGTGAAAATGGACTAATGCTAGTAGGGACACAGATCCAAACCATATCAATATACATGTGCATATACAAAAGAAAAGAGAGAGAAATGTTTGTGTGTGCATTAGTCAGAGTTCTCCACAGAAAAAGAACGAGTAGGATGTGTATATAGAGTGAAATATATTTATTTTAAGGAATTGGCTCATGCGATTATGGAGGCTGGCAAGTCTAAAATCTGAGAGTAGACTGGCAGACTAAGACCCAGGGCCCAATGCTGCAGTTCACATCCAAAGGCATCTGTTGCAGAATTCCCTCCTGCTCGTGGGCCATTTTTCTCTGTTCAGGCCTTCAACTGATGGGCGAGGCCCACTCGTATGATGGAGGCCAATCTACTTTACTCAAGTCCACTAAAAAGTTTTTTTTTTTTGAGATGGAGTCTCACTCTGTCGCCCATGCTGTAGTGCAGTGGCATGATCTTGGCTCACTGCAATCTCCACCTCTTGGGTTCAAGCGACTCTCCTGCCTCAGCCTCCCAGGTAGCTGGGACTACAGGCAGGCGCCACCACGCCTAGCTAATTTTTGTATTTTTTAGAAGAGATTGGTTTTCACCATGTTGACCAAGCTGGTCTCGAACTCCTGACTATAGGTGATCTGCCCGGTGGCATGAGCCACTGCACCTGGCTTAATTTAAATGTTAATCTCATCCAAAAACACCCTCATAGAAACATCCAGAATAATGTATGACCACACATCTCTGGCCCAGTCAAGTTAACACATGAAGGTAACCATCACAATTGGCATATGAGTACACAGAAACACAGTCCCTAGCTCTGTCTGTGGAGAGGGACTAGAATCCATGACACCTCAACAACAATGAGGACATTCTGCACCTAGATTTTACTTTCAAATACTGTTCCCTAATAAAAGAAATAAGGACTCCATAGAATTTCTCCTCCATTTTCTTGAAGAAATGGTTGATTCCAGGATTGGAACAGGGAAAATATAGATGAAATTAGAAGATGTTGTAGCATCCGAAAGTAAAGAATAACTTGGCCACAAGCAGTGGCTCATGCCTGTAATCCCAGCACTTTGGGAGGCCAAGACAGGCGGATCATCTGAGGTCAAGAATTCGAGATCGGCCTGGCCAACATGGTGAAACCTCATCTCTACTAAAAATGCAAAATAAATAAATAAATAGATAAGCTGGGCATGGTGGTGCATACCTGTAGTCCCAGCTACTCGGGGAGGGTGAGGCAGGAGAATCGTTTGAACCCAGGATGGGGAGGTTGCAGTAAGCCAAGATCATGCCACTGCACTCCAGCCTGGGTGACAAAGGAAGACTCCATCTCAAAATAAAAAAAAAAGAAAAAAAAAAAGAAACTTGAGGTCAGGGAAATTCAGTAACCTGCTCAAGACTGTATAGTTCTAAATCACAGTGGCAAAACTTGAACTCATGCCTGCCTGACATCTGAACCACATGGTTATGTACTTTACAGAACATCTGTCTTGCCCCCGTGGTCCATCCCTGCAAACCTGGTTTTTTTTTTTTTTTTTTTTTTTTTTGAGATGAAATCTCGCCCTGTCACCCAGGCTGGAGTACAGTGGCACAATCTCAGCTCACTGCAAGCTCTGCCTCCCGGGTTCATGCCATTCTCCTGCCTCAGCCTCCCGAGTAGCTGACTACAGGCGCCCGCCACCATGCCCGGCTAATTTTTTGTATTTTTAGTAGAGACGGAGTTTCACCGTGTTAGCCAGGTTGGTCTTGATCTCCTGACCTTGTGATCTGCCCACCTTGGCCTCCCAAAGTGCTGGGATTACAAGCATGAGCCTTTGCGCCTGGCTGCAAGCCTGGTTCTTAATGAGTTGTTGACCAGATCTCGTATGCCCAGCATTTCCCATGCTGGGTGGATATAAATAGACACTCTGTGCTCTAACAAGTCAAAGTCTTGGTTCCCCAGGACTTCTCAGCACTTTAGCATGCACTGTGACTCTCTTCAGAGAATGTGCAGGATGCAGATTGTCTGAACTTACATAAGCATGAAACCGTTTTTTTCTTGCAACATTTGCTAACGTCCCAGGTATTATACCCTCCGGCCATACCCTGACTAATATCACCCTTGAGTACTTGGGGACAGTGCGATCCAAGGGGGTCTTTCTTTGGGGGTGAGGGGTAATTACATTTTCTTGGGAGGCTTGCAGGCTGGAAAGCATCCACAGGCTGAAGGGGTTGGTGTTTTCAGGCCCTGGAAGAGCTGGCAGGAGAGTAGATAAGGGCATCAGGGCCCGCCTGGCTCACCGTATGTCAAACTCAGTCAGCAGCTGCTTCCGCTGCATCCTGAGGCTAGCTCTAACGGCAGATAATGCTCCCTCCCCTCTTTACATGGTGGGGGAGTTTGGCCTCCACTGCATTTCCTCTGGCTCAAGAGGCTAAATGTGGTTTCACTGCTGTCTGCCATTGGAAAAATTTGCCTTCCATGCTTTATGGGGCCTGGCGCGGGTGCGGTGGCTCACACCTGTAATCCCAGCATTTTGAGAGGCCGAGGCAGGCAGATCACTTGAAGCCAGGAGTTCGAGACCAGCCTGGTCAACATGGTGAAACCCTGTCTCTATTAAAATTACAAAAAGTAGCCAGGCATGGTGGTGGATGCCTGTACTCTCAGCTACTTGGGAGGCTGAGGCAGGAGAATCACTTGAATTTGGGAAGTGGAGGTTGCAGTGAGCCGAGATCATGCCATTGCACTCCAGCCCGGGTGACAGAGTGAGACTCTGTCTCACCAAAAAAAAAAAAAAGGCTTTATGGGAAATATGCGAAAGGCCCCAGAGACAAGGAGACAAGCAGCTCTGTCTCAACACCTCTTTTTAGGTAATCAATGCTGCCAAGGCTACTACCTTGCACAACTCCAGGAGGCACTGTTGACTTAGAGTACATGGAGCACAGTGAATGGTGCCCATTGGGATCCCTGCTAGTCCTGCAACATCCTCTGGAATTGTGCAGTGTGGTGGCCTTCATGGTGTTCTTTTTCATTTCCTGTGCCAAAAATCAAGGCGTCATTTTGCTAAAAATAGGAAAAAATAATAAATTTCAAGTAATGTTTTGCCTCTAAGCATTTTCCAAAATGTCTTAATGAGTCTTAAAAAAAAAAAAAAGCAGGGGGGAGGAATGGGCGCCATGGCTCACGCCTGTAATCCTTTGGTAGGCCAAGGCAGGCAGATTGCCTGAGGTTGGTAGTTGGAGACCAGACTGGCCATCATGGTGAAATGCTGTCTCTACTAAAAATACAAAAATTAGCTGGGCGTGGTGGCAGGCACATGTAATTCTGGCTACTTGAGAGGCTGAGGCAGGAGAATTGTTTGAACCTGAGAGGCAGAGGTTGAGTGAGCCAAGATCACGCCACTGCACTCCAGCCTGGGTGACAAGAGCAAAACTCCACCTCAAAAAAAAAAAAAAGTCCGGGTGCGGTGGCTCACACCTGTATTCCCACCACTTGGGAGGCCAAGGTGGGCAGATGACCTGAGGTCGGGAGTTCGAGACCAGCCTGACCAACATGGAGAAACTCCGTCTCTACTAAAAAATACAAATATTAGCCAGGCATGGTGGTACACGCCTGTATTCCCAGCTACTCAGAAGGCTGAGGCAGGAGAATCGCTTGAACCCGGGAGGCGGAGGTTGCAGTGAGCTGAGATTGTACCATGGCACTCCAGCCTAGGCAATAGAGCGAGACTCTGTTTCAAAAAAAAAAAAAAAACACTTGACCCTGAACTTCAATTTCTAATTCCTAAAGTAAGAATAATCACACATATTTCAGCAAGTCATTGGGAAACTGAATGAGGAAATGCATGGAATGCTCTTTGGAAGCTATGAAGCACGATATAGTTATAGTAACCATGGTAACAACAATGCGTTAGTGAGATGTAAAGTTGCGCACAAAGCACCAGTAACAAATTCCCAATCTCTGAGGAATTCTGTGTACTTGGCGGCAGTTCCTATGGATTGATAACCACTCATCCTACAGATATATTTCACAGTCAAATCTATGCCAGGCTCCAAGCTTAGGTTGGGGATATCTACTAAGAACTGTGGAGAGCATAAGATTTTACCCTACATGGTAGCTAACTTGAGTGCTAACAGAACACACAAGATTCCTGGGTCAGAGACAAAAGATTTTATTCCTCACAGCATGAGAAGCAGCATAAGTATCAACATATTTGCATTAGTTCCTCTTACCCCCAAGTCCCACGGGAGTAGGGCTGCCAGATTTAGAAAACAAAAATATAGAGCACCCAGTTGGATTTGAATTTTAGATTAACAATGAATACATTTTTAGCATGTCCCAAATATTGCATGGGATGTGCATATACTAAAAAAGTATTCCTAAAAAAAGTATTCTTTATTTATCTGAAATTCAAATTGAAGGGGAAGTCTTGTATTTTAACTGGCAACTCGACATGGGTGACACAGATGAGTTCAGCTGTATGAGTTCACCCACAGTGTGTTGCATTACAAGAGACTGACACTGATTTGAAGAACCTAAATCTTTTATAATCTTTTATAAGGGCAGTAAGCATGCTTGCCCTTTAATTCAGAGAGCCACAGGCTCTGCCTTCCAAGGCTATTTGCATGGAAAGGTAGTCCAGAACAAAAGGCAGTCAGTGGCTCTGCTTGTAAGACTTGAAAAACCACTGGAGAATTGGCTCCCAATGCACCCTAGTGAACAGGTGCTGGGAAAGGGATTTGGCTGTGGCTTCAGTATCTTGAGATAAATGCTTGTCAGTGGGGCTGGTTTCCATCATATCCCTCCCCTAATTCCCACCCCCACTCCACTTTCAGTCTGATTTCTTTGCAGGGAGAGACAAGGTTGTAGGGTCACAGAGGAGTAAGTCTGTCAAAAATAAGAAATGGACGAGAATACATACCCTCCCATTTCCATTCATTCAGCAAATGTCTAGTGCCTACCATGGTCCAGACACTGTGCTAAGCACTGGGGCTGCAACAGCAGAGGATACCCAGCCAGTCCTTGCCCACATGGCACTTCAGTCTGATGGATTTGTGAAGGGACCTGGAAGAAAAATGACAGCTCCACGGCCGGGCACAGTGGCTCACTCCTGTAACCCCAGCATTTTGGGAGGCCAAGGCAGGAGGATAACGAGGTCAGGAGTTCAAGACCAGCCTGGTCAACATAGTGAAACCCATCTCTACTAAAAATACAAAAATTAGCCGGTCATGGTGGCATGTGCCTGTAGTCCCAGCTACTTGGGAGGCTGAGGCGGGAGAATCGCCTGAACCCAGGAGGTGGAGCTTGCAGTGAGCTGAGACCACGCCATTGCACTCCTGCCTGGGTGACAGAGTAAGCCTCCGTCCCCCCAGCCAAAAAAAAAAAAAAAAAAAAAAAAGAAAGAAAAGAAAAATGACAGCTCCTTTTTGTAAAGAAATAGCTCCAATTGGGAAGCCCCTGCTCACTTCTCTGCCATGGAGGCTTCAGCGGTAGGCTGAATCTTCCTGCGACTCTTCAGTATGCCTCCTGTGTCTCCACTGCCCCGACTTTGTTCCAACTGTAGCTGCTGCCTAGCAAGGCCTCCCCTCTGTCCCACTTTCCTCCTCCTAATATCCTGCTTTTCCTTGGAAAATTTTAGCTCAAATCTTGCCCCCATCCAAGAACCCTTCTTAGAATGACTCTTCCTGTCTTTGTATTCCCACTATAGATTTCAACCTTACACTGAGCATGGATAACAACCTGCTTTGGATCAGAAGCCCCGGGAGAGCCGGGTGCGGTGGTCGTGTCTGTAATCCCAGCACTTAGGCGGGAGGATCACTTGAGAGCAGGAGACCCTGTCTCTAAAATAATAATAACAATTATTATTATTATTTAAAGAAGAAGTAGTGGAAGAGACCCAGAGCCTGAAAGCTGGGGTCACACTCCCTGGGTTTCAGGTCAGGCTCTGCCACTGTAAAGCTGAACAACCCTGGGAAAATCACTCTACCTCTCTGGGTTCCAGCTCTGCCATCTGTCTAGTAGGACCATAGTGAGGACTGAATGAGGTCATGCAGATAAAAAAGGCCCGCACAGAGCAACATGCTCACTCCTTAAGTCATAATGAGGACAATGATGCTAAACTGCTTGTATATTCCATTTATTTTAATTCCCCGCAACAACCCTATCTGGCAAATGTTATAATCCTCATTTTATGGATGGGAAAACTGAGGCTCAGAGACAAGAAGTCTCTAGCTTCTCTGTACAGAGCATTTTTTTTTCCCTAGATGAAGTCTCACTCTGTCGCCCAGGGTGGAGTGCAATGGTTCAATCTTGGCTCGCTGTAACCTCCGCCTCCTGGGTTCAAGTGATTCTCATGCATCACCTTCCCGAGTAGCTAGGATTACAGGTGTGCACCACAATGCCCCGCTAATTTTTGTATTTTTAGTACAGACTAAAAATTTAGTATTTCACTAAATTAACTAAATTTAACTAAATTTGGTACAGACTAAAAATTTTATATTTCACCATGTTGGCCAGGATGGTCTCAAACTCCTGACCTCAGGTGATCCACCTGCCTCAGCCTCCCAAAGTGCTGGAATTACAGGCGTTAGTCAATCGGGGCCCAGCCTTCTCTGTACAGAACTCCAGTTGGCTCCCCTAACATCATGGCTTGCTGTTCCTCATCTCCAATGTGGGAAAAAATGGGTTTTTTGCACGATAAACATAATTTGTGGACATTTGAACCTCTTGTTGTCTTGGCAATGCTAAAGTCATTTTGAGCCTTTGCAGACGTGTGCAGCTCATTTCCTTCTGCTCTTGCTCGGCCTCTCCCTCCCTCCTCCCCCATCAGCCTTGCTCTAGGGCCAGACATGTGTTTTGGGGTCCGAGTCCTGCCCTGAGGCCTCCTGCTTGCCTAGGTCTGGTTTGTTCCTGGATAGTCGGGTCTCTGAATTTCCCGAGAGGCCTGAGATGCTGAGAGCCAGCAGAAGTGGACAGGGCAAAGAGTGCCTGGTTCCAGTTGGGGAATGTAACCTGCTCCTGATCCCCCAGGTGTTCACCAGGGACTCATAGCCCTCTCTTCTAAGTTCTGCTGACAAATACAAACCCTAACCCTAACCCTTCCACTCACTGGGCAGCAAATCATACTCCATCTCCATTCTTCAAGTTAAATTAAAACCAGCTGCTCCAGGAAGTGCTGTGTCGTCAGGGATGCTGGGGATGGATACAGGCATCACAGAGAGAAGCCGCTGTTTATGTTTTCCCTACCGCCAATGCCATGCTGCTAGCTGCTGTGTGGCACTGCTTGGGTGACAGTCTTCTGTATCTATCCACTGTGGCTGCCTCATATCACCCAGTTTCTGGTTCAGGCCACCGTGATCCTTCTAAGCATGGGGGCTCAGCCAGCAATTTCATCTCTCAGTGCTGAGCTCAGCCACTGGTGCCCTGGGGGTTTGCGGTGCCCACTCACTGCCCCTTCCCCCCAGGGGAAACTCTCCTTTTCATCCCCCAGAAACATTAAGCATGCATTCTGCCCCTTTCTCTGACCCAAGGCTTCAGGGCTTATCCGGAAGGTTAGGAACTTAGAAATGCAAAGGGCTTGTATACTCTCTTTGGTAGGGAGGGTGCTTAAGCTCCCCGCCGAGGGTGGGATGTCTTCCATTCCTTCCTGAGCCAAATAATCTCCCCTTTTTGCAATACTCAGCAGCTCAGATTGGCTCAGCCAAGGGGTCTTCTTTCTACAACAGCGGGAAAACAAAACCCAAGCTCTCTGTGGGCCAGCACAGCACCCGCAGCCCCTTAATCCAGTCCCCGTGGATCCGCCTGAGAGACAGGGTCTATGAATCCATTTTAGAGATAGACGAGCTCTTTCATAGTGAGCAACACCGTCATCAGAATGGCTGTTGCTGGCCGGGCACGGCGGCTCACGCCTGTAATCCCAGCACTTTGGGAGGCCGAGGCGTGGATCACTAGAGGTCAGGAGTTCAAGACCAGCCTGGCCAACATGGTGAAACCCTGTCTCTACTAAAAGTACAAAAAGATTAGCCGGGCGTGGTGGCACATGCCTGTAATTCCAGCTACCCGGGAGGCTGAGGCAGGAGAATCGCTGGAACCCAGAAGGCAGAGACTGCAGTGAGCCGAGATCGCACCATCACACTCCAGCCTGGGCGGCAGAGTGAGACTCCATTTCAAAACAAAATAAAAAGACCAACCTGGGCAACACAACGAGACCCTGTCACTCTCTCTCTCTCTTTTTTTTTTTTCCCCTGAGATGGAGTCTAGCTCTGTTGCCCAGGCTGGAATGCAGTGGTGTGATCTCGGCTCACTGCAACCTCCGCCTCCCGGGTTCAAGCGATTCTCCTGCCTCAGCCTCCCAAGGAGCTGGGACAACATGCATGAGCCACCACATCTAGCTAATTTTTTGTATTTTTAGTACAGATGCAGTTTCACCATGTTGGCTTGGATGGTCTCGATCTCTTGACCTCATGATCCACCTGCCTCAGCCTCCCAAAGTGCTAGGATTGCAGGCGTGAGCCACTGTGCCTGACCTGACCCTGTCTCTTAAAAACGTAAAAAAAGCCAGGTGTGGTGGCATGCACCTGTCATCCCAATACTCAAGAGGCTGAGGTGGGAGGATCGCTTGAGTCTGGGAGGTTGAGGCTACAGTGAGCCAAAATGGCGCCATTGCACTCCAGCCTGGGCAACAGAGATCCTGTCTCAAGGAAAAAAAAAAAAAAAGAATCTGAAGCTAGGTGGATTATCTCAGGCTTGTTCTACTACATACAAATTTTATTTCTAATGCCCAGAAGATAACATGCAAACTCTCGAGAAGACCTGGTACGTTAGCTTTTTTAAATGTGTGTTTTAAAATTGTTTTTATGTACTTAATTTTAAAAATACATAAGACATTCTCATGGAACAACAATCTGAAAGTGTAAAAAGGTTTACAGGTCAGGTGTGGTGGCTCATGCCTGTAATCCCAGCACTTTGGGAGGCCGAGGCAGGCGGATCACAAGGTCAGGAGTTCGAGACCAGCCTGGCCAACATGGTGAAACCCTGTCTCTACTAAAAATACAAAAATTAGCCAGGCATGGTAGTACCTGTTGTCCCATCTACTCAGGAGGATAAGGCAGGAGAATCACTTGAACCCGGGAGGCAGAGGTTGCAGTGAGCTGAGATTGCTCCACTGCACTCCAGCCTGGAAGGCAGAGTAAGACTCCGTCTCAAGAAAAAAAAAAAAAAGGAAAAAATATAAAATGCAAACCCCTGGTCTTCCCCTTCCAAGCCTCCCTGCTGTGACTCCTCAGCTGGCCTCTCTGGCCCAATGTCCTCCTGCAGGGATCTCACGGTCCTTCTCCCGTGCCAGGGCACACATACTTTTCCCTGCCCCGCACCCCTTCCAAATGCTGTCTGTTCATTCCACTTCCTCCAAGACTCTACTCTCACGTTCCCTTCTGCTTCTCCGGACCAACCTTACCACTCCTGGGAATTTCTTTAAAACACCTCCCCCCAGGCCCCCAAGACCTAGGAGTTTCCCCACCTGCGTGGGGCTGAGAAGCAAGTGAGAGAGCTATGGGAACAAAACCTAGCTCTGCAAATGCCAAGCTTGTGATTGTGAGGAAGTCACTGCCATCTGGATCTCGTTTCCTCATCTATAAATTGAGGGCTGGGACTGGCCATCTCTCAGGGTTCCTGGGCTGTGTGTTTTTCTAGTTCTGTGGAAGTTTTGCACTTCCTTTATCTGGTATTTCTGTGAAAAAGGCTCATCAGACTTTGGGGAAATCGATCCTCCCCCTGCCTCCCAGCTCACTGTTACTGACATTTCTCTTCCCCACCAAGATCTCAAGGAGGGCATTTTCCCTGCCAAGAACATTCTGGAAGTGCATTCCAAACCCTGCCTGCCAGAGGCCACCTCACCTTGGTGTTTCTGACATGGAGAATCTGAGGAAGAAAGGGGAGGACAGAGGGAGGACAGGGTGAGAGAGGATGGGAAGAGGAAATGCAAGAAATGCAAGAGGTGGTTATCCAAGTCACTGGGGAGGGCCTACCAGTAGTAGGCTCCAGGTGGGCTTAACAGAAGTGTTAGGCCAGGCGTGGTGGCTCAAGCCTGTAATCACAGCACTGTGGGAGGTCAAGGTGGACAGATCACCTGAGGTCAGGAGTTTGAGACCAGCCTGGCCAACATGGCGAAACCCCGTCTCTACTAAAAATGCAAAAATTAGCCAGGCATGGTGGCATACAACTATAATCCCAGCTACTCAGGAGGCTGGGGCAGGAGAATCACTTGAACCCGGGAAGTGGAGGTTACAGTGAGCTGAGATCGAGCCAGTGCTCTCCAGCCTGGGCAACAAGAGCGAAACTCCATATCAAAAAAAAAGGAAGTGTTACCGGTGGAGGGTGTGTAGGTTCTTGGCATTCTGAGCAAAGAATTGGACAAAAATGCAGAAACAAAGCAAGGAAAAAATGAAGCAACAAAAGCAGAGATGTAATGAAAATGAAAGGCGGAGGTTGCAGTGAGCCAAGATCATGCCACTGCACTCCAGCCTGGGCCATAGAGCGAGACTCTGTCCCAAAGGAAAAAAAAAAAAAAAGACAACCTCAGAACTGAAATGTGATCCTGGGAAGGCTACCAAACATGTAAAAGGTTTACAAAAATTTGCATTGTCATGAATTATTATAATCTTTTATAAGTCATTCAACCAGTTTGCAGAGAGAGAGAGAGGGGCCAGAAGTCCAACTGGTAGGAAATTCTTACCCTAGGCCAGCGCGGTGGCTCACACTTGTAATCCCAGCACTTTGGGAGGCCGAGGTGGGTGGATCACGAGGTCAGGAGTTCAAGACCAGCCTGGCCAAGATGGTGAAACCCACCTCTACTAAAAACTACAAAAAGTAGCCGGGTGTGGTGGCAGGTACCTGTAATCTCAGCTACTCCGGAGGCTGAGGCAGGAGAATCACTTGAACCTAGGCGGCAGAGGTTGCAGTGAGCCGAGATCACACCATTGCACTCCAGCCTGGGTGACAGGGCGAGACTCCATCTCAAAAAAAAAAAAAAAAGAAAGAAATTCTTACCCTATTGTTGGCATGTTAGGTTTCTGGGTTCTTTCTCCTTGAGCGGCCCAAATGATGCTGCTCGACTGTATGCAAACAAACACATTGCCATGAATTAAGAATATTCCAGTGGCTCATGCCTGTAATCCCAGCACTTTGGGAGGCTGAGGCAGGCAGATCACGAGGTCAGGAGATTGAGACCATCCTGGCTAACACGGTGAAACCCTGTCTCTACTAAAAATAAAAGAATTAACTGGGCATGGTGGCATGTGCCTGTAGTCCCAGCTACTCAGGAGGCTGAGGCAGGAGAATCCCTTGAACCCAGTAGGTGGAGGTCAGGCTGGTCTTGAACTCCTGACTTCAAGTGATCCGCCCACCTCGGCTTCCCAAAGTGCTGGGATTACAGGCGTGAGCCACTGTGCCCGGCCTAACCATGTTTTTAATAGCCAGTGAGCATCAGGTGCTCACCTAAACATAAGGAAGGATATCAAAGTTAAATACATAGCTATTTTTGCCAACAACTCAGAAGATTTAGCTAATAGTATTAAATTAACTCTCATTTGTCAAAAAAAAAAAAAAAGCACGCAAACCAAGATCATTTTGTTTTGGCTGGGTTTATAGTTTTATAACCTTCTATGCCAAACTCTGACACCTCAAAGTATTTAGCAGAGACAAATATAAAGTCCAGACAAAAATGTATGCTGACAATTCTGAAAGCATTTCTATTTTACCAATAATTTTAAAACCAGCCTGTTTATTAAAGTTATACTTAAGTCATATGAACTTGAAAATTGCTTAGACTTATTTAGTTAATTTATGAGCACTCTTTTATTTATATGCCAATTTGGTAGGCACAAGATATAACAGTAAGTGTACCTACAAATAAACACATCTAGACATGTATATACCGACACAAACAAAGATCCAATAGCTTGGAACTGTAGCCATGAGATAGCAATACAAGCTCGCTGGTTTTACTTTGTTTGCCCCAATAGATAATCCAATGAAGGCTGTGAACTAAAATTTTGGGTAAAGTAGTTTTCATGGCAGTTTGATTTTTTTGTTTGTTTGTTTGTCTATTCATTTAAGACTGAGTTTCGCTCTGTCACCCAGGCTGCAGTGCAGTGGCGCAATCTCGGCTCACTTCAACCTCCACCTCCTGGGTTCAAGTGATTCTCCTGCCTCAGGCTCCCAAGTAGCTGGGATTATAGGCGTGTGCCACCATGCCCAGCTAATTTTTTGTATTTTTAGTAGAGACAGGGTTTTACCATGTTGGCCAGGCTACTCTCGAACTCCCGACCTCAGGTAATCCACCCATCTTGGCCTCCCAAACTGCTGGGATTACAAGCTAGAACCACCTCGCCTGGCCTGGCAGTTTGATTTTTATTTGTATTTATTTTTTATTTTTTCTTTTCTTTCTCAGTCTCCAGCCTCCCGAGTAGCTGGGATTACAGGTGCACGCCACCAGGCCTGGGGAATTTTTCTATATTCTGTAGAGACGGGGTTTCGCCACGTTGCCCAAGCTGGTCTGGAAATCCTGAGCTCAAGCAATCCGCCCACCTCGGCCTCCCAAAGTGCTGGGATTACAGGCGTGAGCCACCGCGCCCGGCCGAATTATTTAAGAAGCGAATTTCTTAGTCTATGAAAATGACGTTCAACGGCAAATGGCAAAATGAAGTTCTGACTTTTCCACCTGTAAAGTAGATTGATATGAGCGGGAGTGAGAAGACCTTGTCGCTATCAGTATAAGACAAGAGAACTGAGGGCAGCCAGTTGTGGCCACAGCAACTCTCTGAGTGAATTGCTGCCACACTGGGCACAGAAGCGCACACTCTGAAATCGAATGTTTGGATTCCTTTCTACATAATTCTACTAAAGAGTTATTCCACAGCCTAGGGGCTGCCTTAGAGCCCCGTTTGAGACACTCTGGGCTCACAGATCATGAAGTCAGTGCGCAAACGCGGGCAGACCCTGAACCAGGTGCCCAACGCCCAGCCCTCACTTCCAGAGCTCAGGACTCTCGCAAGAGCGACTCCAGCCCCGGCCTGCCGCTGTCTACATTCGCGCTCTTCCTTCCTCGGGAAACAAACGGTGGATCAGATCTCCAAGGCTCTGAGTTTCCCAGAGTTTGGCCGTGCGCCAGCGCAGCGCAGCCCCTCCCAGCAGCACAGCACAGACCCCACCCCATCCTCCAACGCCCGGGGTTCCTGCTCTATCACCTACACCACCACCACCACGTGCAGGCCCGAGAAGGCAAAAGAGGCCCAGCCACTCTCACCGGGGATTTTATCCGCCTCCCCGGCACACACACACTCTCACTCACGCACTCGCTCGCCGGCCTTCCAGCTGTCTGTGTCCGGGGCGGGGACCGGCTTGGCGCAGCCCGCTGTCAGCGCTCGCCGGCTCCTCGCGCCCCTACCCGCTGCGCTCTGCCCAGAGCAGAAGCCCGGCCGGCCGGCCCACGGGCGGGAGGACGCGCCTCCGCTCGGGCGGAGGCGGCGCGGTGGCTGATCAGAGCGCGTAGGGCTTCGCCGGGGCCGGGAGCTGGGCGCGGTCCTGCTCAGCCCAGCTCACCGCGCGCCGGCCCTCGGCGCCCTGGTTCTGCGGATCAGGTGGGTCCCGCGGGGAGCCGCCCAGGTCCCCGGAGGCCACGAGCAGGACACGGACGGGGGGCTCCGCGCTTGGGAGAGGGTGGTGAGGGAGTGGAGGCGGGCCGCTGCTCCGGCGCTGCCCGGTGTCTGCCCTGCCTGTGTCCCTGCTTTTGTTCTTGTCGCTACCTCGGTGCCAAATCGGACCCAGTTTCTGTCCCTCTGTCCCCATCCTGTGGCCGTCCCTCCCTCTGTCCAGCCTTCCAAGACTGGAGCCTGAAGAGCTGCAAGCTGAGGTTCCCCCACGGGTCCGCGGGGTTGGGGTGGGGGAAGAGAGGGGAGACGCAGGGGACACAGGATGCGACCAAGTAAGTCGCAGTGAGTGAGGGGTCTGTCCTTGCCTGTGGGGCAGGACAGAGGAATGGCTCTTGCCCAGGACAAGATAGGAAGGGCGCGCCTCTGGGAAGGGGAATCTGGGAGTGGGGGGATAAAGTGAGGGTCGCAGGAACCCCAAGGAGGAAGGGAATAGAGAGGGAGATGTCAGAGAGCTTCGGAGAGCCGAGGACTCAGTCAGACGCCCAGCATGGGGAAAGTTTCCGACACTAACTTTGGCATCCGGGGTGCCTGCAGCACTGGGGCGATGGGAGGCGGGAGTTTCCTCCAACTCTTCAAACCTTGCTCCTACTCGAAAAGGACACCACCCCGCGTTTGGAAATGGCAGGAAAACGGCTAAACACAATGATTGCACAAACTCTTGAAGAAAGTAAAAAAAAAAAAAACAGTAAAAAGAAGAAGAAAAAAATGTCAGCGCGCAAAGAGCCAGAGAAGCAGAGGGATTTGAGATTCCTCGATCTTCCCGCTGTGGCGGCCGGGAGGGACTGGGAGGCGCGGAGGGTGTGAGAGCCGCTCCTCCGGCAGGAAGGAACCGAGACCCGAGGCAGGTGTTTTGAGGCTTTGCTCTTCCTTTGCACTCCTTCGGGCTCCTGAGCAGGCCGGGCTGCCTCCTTCCTTTACCTGGAAACAGGCGTGTCTGAGGAAGCAGGAGATGTAGGGTGCAGCCCTGGCCTGCCGCTTGCTGCCAGTAAGGAACCACCTTCCCAGACAGAGCCTCAGTTTCCCCGATTGTGAAATAAGGATACTACTGGAGACCTTCCTTCCAGTCTCTGAGTAAGGAAATGCAAGTGCATGGCGAAGGAGGGCTCTGGGAGTGGGGGGTGTGGAGGACAGGGTTATTCTGCTGCATTTCTGTGCTTCTTTGACTACATCAGGCACTTTCTACCTCTTTCGGAGTTACATCTGGGTGAATTTTGCCTCCTCTACCAGATGGGGGCAGCATGTGGATCTAAGTTATCTCATTTACATGTAACAGGTGCTCAATGACTGAATAAGGCAGAGCTGAACGAGTCCCTAGGGATTGCCCAGTCCAGAAGTTTCAACTCTGTCCTGTAAGGCCCGGCATCCTGCCTCAAGGGCCACCATGGTAGGGGAGGGGAACCTAGAGGACAGGGCTCTGGCCCCTTCCCTATCTTATTTCAGACAGAACCAGTTCTGTTCTTCCTTTATCTCCTCTATGTATTGGGAAACTCCTGAGAACGTTTTTGATGTCAGATTGCTCAGATCCAACCTGATCCAGTTTTTGGTGGAGTAGCTGAGGTCCAGAAGTGTGCAACGTGATTTGGGCAAACTTCTCTAGTGGCCACACCTTACCAGGAGACCTGTCCCCTAAATCATAGGCTAGGAGCTGCCTTTGTCTGGCCATGGTGGCTCTGAGCAGCCATTTCCCCAGCTCTTACCACCAGCTCTCCTACACTCCAACTCCAGGGCCACAGGGCTGCCTTCTGGCCCTTCTGGGAGAAGAAGCCTGTGAATCTCATCCTCTGAGCACTTCCAGACCTTTAGTGGGACCATTTATGTGAGTTGGTCTCACAGGTTGAGGTAAAAAATAATGAGGTTCCCTGGCCCAACTGAGTAGACTAGGTACCTGCCTGTGTCCCTGCTTTTGTTCTTGTTGCTACTTCTATGTCAGAACGGACTCAGTCTCTGTCCCCATTCTGCGCCCGTCCCTGCCTTCGTCCAGCCTTCTAAGACTGGAGCCTGAGGGGCTGTGGGCTGAGCAGCCCCTCAGGCTAACCCATTTTCTAGTTGAGGAAAGGAAGGCTGAGAGAGACCAAGAAACATATGGGCACTCAGCAACTAAATGGCAGCTAGGATTTGAATGCAGTTCTGGCTCTAAGGTTGGTGCTTTTTCCATTACATCACCTCTCATGATGGCTAAAAAATGGCTAATGGACAAATGTCATGGAGACGGGGCAGAGGTGAGGGGAGAACAACCGAAGGAGGGGGCAGCTTTCAGTAGGGGACTGGACATTAATAGAGGTATAAACTCATAAATATAATTTTATCTGAAATGAATGTACTCTTTGCCCTGTACTTTCCTTTTATTTTAGGTTGGATATGTAAAACTTATTTTCTTTCTTTTTTTTGAGACAGTCTCCCTCTGTTGCCCAGGCTGGAGTGCAGTGATGCTATCTTGACTCACTGCAACCTCCACCTCCCAGATTAAAGCAATCCTCCCACCTCAGCCTCCCAAGTAGCTAGGATTACAGGCGTGCACCACCATACCCAGCTAATTTTTTAATTTTTAGTAGAGACAGGGTTTCACCCTGTTGGCCAGGCTGGTCTCGAACTCCTGACCTCAGGTGATCCACCCACCTCCGCCTCCCAAAGTGGTAGGATTACAGGTGTGAGCCACCATGCCCAGTTGTAAAACCTACAAATCTTACGTGTTTGATTTGACAACTCTTTTTTTTGTTTGTTTGAGACAGAGTCTCATTCTGTCTCCCAAGCTGGAATGGTGGGATCTTGAATCACTGCAATCTCTGCCCCCTAGGTTCATTCAAGCGATTCTCTCTCTCTTTTTTTTTTTTTTTTTTTTTTTTTTTGAGATGGAGCCTTGCTCTGTCACTCAGGCTGGAGTGCAGTGGCATGATCTTGGCTCACTGCAACCTTTGCCTCCCGGGTTCAAGCGATTCTCCTGCCTCAGCCTCCTGAGTAGCTGGGATTACAGGCACCTGCCACCACACTGGCTAATTTTCTTTTGTATTTTTAGTAGAGTTGGGGTTTCACCATGTTGGCCAGGCTGGTCTCAAACTCCTGACCTTGTGATCTGACCACCTCAGCCTCCCAAAATGATGGGATTGCAGGTGTGAGCCACCACGCCCGGCCTACCTTCTATTTTTTACGATTGAATTTTAAGAGTTTTTGGAGAAAATAACATGAGTCAGGGCAGAATAGGGATATGGTGATATGGAGATGGTGATATGGAGACCATTATGGGCCAGGGCTTGGGAAGGAAAGAACCAAATGGTGGTTGGAATAATGACCTCAGGAATAGGGATTTCTGGGCACTAATATGTTATGTGAAAAATAAATAGACTTTTGTGGCCAAAAGCTAAGATTTGGGGGTTGTTTGTTATGCAGCATGGCTGCAGCAAAAGCTAACTGATACACATTATATAGATGCAATAAGTGCAGATTGTGATGAAACTTTCATGCCATGATAAGGAGTTGTGAGCAATGGGGAATCAACAGAGAAGTAAGGAAAATCACATAACAGGTTAGTCTCTATGGGTCAACTGGGATTTAAAGACCTGGTACTTGTACTCTGTGGGCCAGGCAAATTCATCCATGTTCATGGCTTTAAATGCTACTTCTGTAGCATTCATCTTATCTCAAACTTTGGGCATCTAATTCACATGTTTAACTGCCCAATGGGCATCTTTGTTTTGAATGTCTCAAAGGCACTGCAAACTCAACAAGTCCAAGCTAGAATTATCTTATGGTGGCTTTCCATCACGGGTCACTGTATGAATGATGGTGCCACTAGCTGAGAGAGTAAGGGAGAATGAATGTTTGGGAAGGGGAGAGATAATGAGTTTAGTTCCATGCTAAATGGTTCAGAGCAGTCCAGGAAGATAAGGATTAGAAGTTGCATTGGGTAATTAGGAGATTACTGGAACATACTGAGAGCAGTTTTGATGGAGTGGAGGGTAGGCAAGCTAGATTGCTGATAGGTAAGGAGGACATAATGAAAACAATGAGGATAGTCAGCTCTTTCTCTTTTTTTGAGATGGAGTTTTGCTCTTGTTGCCCAGGCTGGAGTGCAGTGGCATGATCTCAGCTCACTGCAACCTCCGCCTCCCGGGTTCAAGTGATTCTCCTGCCTCAGGTTCCCAAGTAGCTGGGATTACAGGCATCCACCACCACGCCCAGCTAGTTTTTTGTATTTTTAGTAGAGATGGGATTTCACCGTGTTGTCCAGGCTGGTCTCGAACTCCTGACCTCAAGTGATCCACCTGCCTCAGCCTCCCAAAGTGCTGGGTTTACAGGCATGAGCCACCATGCCTGGCCCAGGATAGTCAACTCTTTCCAGAAGTTTATTTGAGGTCAGGAGAGGCCAGGTGTGGTGGCTCACACCTGTAATCCCAGAACTTGGGGAGGCCAAGGTGGGCAGATCACCTGAGGTCGGGAGTTCGAGACCAGCTTGGCCAACAAAGTGAAACCCCATCTCTACTAAAAATACAAAAATTAGTTGGGTGTGGTAATCCTGTAATCCCAGCTACTTGGGAGGCTGAGGCATGAGAATTGCTTGAACCCGGGAGGTGGAGATTGCAGTGAGCTGAGATGGCACCACTGCACTCCAGCCTGAGTGACAGAGCAAGGCTCTGTCTCAAAAAAAAAAAAAAAAAAAAGAATGATGTAGATTTGGTCCATGCGCTGAAGGCAAAGGGGTCATCACGTAGTATGCTCAACCCAGGTTTCTTTCTTTTCTTTCTTTCTTCCTTTATTTGTAAAAGATGAGGTCTTGCTTTGTTGCCCAGGCTGGGGTACAGTGGCTATTCACAGATGTGATCTCATTACCAATCAGCACGGGAGTTTTATCCTGCTCCATTTCCAACCTAAGTCAGTTTACCCCTCCTTAGGCAACCTGGTGGTTCCCCACTCCCAGGAGATCACCATATTGATGCCAAACTTAGTGCAGACACCTGATCTATCTGCATAGTACACTGCAGCCCAGAACTCCTGGGCTCAAGTGATCCTCCCACCTCAGCCCCCTGAGTAGCTGGGATGGTAGGTGTGAGCCACCATGCCTGGCAACCCAGAATTACTTCTAAAAGTCCTTTCAGTTCTAAAAAGAAGAAGTGAATATCTGCTGTCTAAATCTCCAGCCAAAGAGCTGATTGGCTCAGCTTGTCCAAATGTGGCGAGGAGACCACAGACCTCTGTCACGTGCAATCAGACCCGGCCATGAGAGTTTCCAAGGCTTGGGCTTTAGCAGCCATTATGCCAGTTTTCATTGCCAAACAGAGTCTCAGGAGGCAGAGGCAGTGATGGCAGTGGGGTGGAGACCCATTGCCTTCTGTTCAAATTTTGTGCCACAGGGCAACCCCACACAGACATCCACAAGAGACTTTGGGGGTGTGCACGTGCTTCCTGGGGTTCCTCTCTGAAACCCTGTGTGGCTGACAGATATGAATGGCAGGGAAAAGCATGGGTCTAACTCAGAGAGTGAGTGGTCTGAGATGGAGGAGGAGATTCCAGAGAGAGTGAGCCTAGCGGCTGGGTGCGGTGGTTCACGACTGTAATCCCAGGATGCTGGGAGGCCAAGGCGGGCAGATCACCTGAGGTCAGGAGTTCGAGACCAGCCTAGTCAACATGGCAAAACCCCGTCTCTACTGAAAATACAAAAATTAGCTGGGCGTGGTTGTGCGTGCCTGTAATCTCAGCTACTTGGGAGGCTGAGGCAGAAGAATCACTTGAACTCGGGAGGTGGAGGTTGCAGTGAGCTAAGATTGTGCCACTGCACTCCAGCCTAGGCAACAAAACAAGGCTCTGTCTCAAAAAAAAAAAAAAAAAAAAAAAAAAGAGAGTGAGTCTAGGAAGCTGAAGGAGGATGGGGTATCCAGGAGGATGTGGTCAAGAGGGTTGAATAGTGGAGAGGTTGGGTAGAAAAAAATGGATCCTGGAAGACAGCGGCTGACAGAGATCAGAATGGGTTGACAGTAAGACCCCCGAGGGAAACAAAAATAATTATAAAATTATTATGATAAGATTTCTCTACACTGATGCATAGTTTCAGAAGTAAGACCATGTACTCATCTCACGTGAGCCTCACAAAAGCCCTGAAGTTGGCAGAACAGAAATGATTTTCCCCATTTTGCATGTGGGGAAACTGAGGCTTAGAGTTTTAATGTCTTGGGCGAAAAACCTCAAAAATTAAGTAGCAGAACTGAGGCATGAAAGCCGGGTCCTGAAGCCAAACATAGGGTGGCTTGGAGCCCTCGGTGGGCACAGGTAGGGAATGGAGGTAGTTCACGAGGTAGCAGCTGCAGTGACCTTCCCTGGGGCATAGCAGGGCTCCTTCCTGGCTTTACTCAGACTGAAATCAGCCAGAGAGAGTGAAAAGCAGGAAATGGAAGAGGCTGGGCAGAGAGAGGCCAGATCCTGTCCTGCAATCAGTTCCTTTTTTTTTTTTCTTTGGAGACAGAGTCTCGTTCCGTCACCCAGGCTGGAGTGAAGTGGCGTGATTTTGGCTCACTGCAACCTCCACCTCCCAGGTTCAAGCGATTCTCCTATCTCAGCCTCCCAAGTACAGGCACACGCCACCACACCCAGCTAATTTTTGTATTTTTAGTAGAGACGGGGTTTCCCCATGTTGGCCAGGCTGGTCTCAAACTCGTGACCTCAAGTGATCTGCCTGCTTCGGCCTCCTAAAGTGCTGGGATTACAGGTACAAGCCACCACCCGGCCTCAAGATTAGTTCTTAATAAGAATTTTTCAAGCCACCTCTGTCTCAGTGCTCTCATCTTCAGGGGGGCCTGCTTTAAAAGCCCTGAACTCGACCGGGCGCGGTGGCTCATGCCTGTAATCCCAGCACTTTGGGAGGCCGAGGCGGGCGGATCACCTGAGGTAGGGAGTTCAAGACCAGCCTGACCAACATGGAGAAATCCCCGTCTCTACTAAAAATATAAAATTAGCCAGGCGTAGTGGCCCATGCCTGTAATCCCAGCTATGAGGGAGGCTGAGGCAGGAGAATCACTTGAACCCGGGACGTGGAGGTTGTAGTAAGCCAAGATCGTGCCATTGCACTCCAGCCTGGGTAACAAGAGCGAAACTCCGTCTCAAAAATAAAATAAATAAAATAAAATAAAATAAAATACCTGAACTCGGCTCCCCTTAGGGGTGAGGCACTGAAAAGAGCTCTGGGCTGAATGTGAGGTGGTCACGTCCTACCCCGTGCTGGTGCTGCTAGCTATGGGTACTGTGGGACCGTTTCCCCATCAGCCAAATGGTACAAGGCCCAAGTCTAGCCAGCTTCTCTCTGAGCAACGCCTGCGATGAAACAAAAGCAGGAAAAAAAAACTCTAAACACACAGGAAATGGATGCTCCAACCAAAAACCTGCAAGGGAAATGCAGCTGTTTTTCCCAAAGAAATCCCAACTTGGGGGCCTCTCTTGCCAATTTGGACACCAGGAACTGAGGCGCTAGAAGAGGTACCTGTTCCAGAGACTCATATTGTGAATCAGATACTCATTCAGCATTCACTGAGCTACCACAAATCCATTCATTCATTTATAAATTCACCCAGAATTTACTGAGCACCTACTAGGTCCTGGGCTAGATACCTGAGATGTCACCATGAACAAGATAGACACAATTCCTGCCCACATGGAGGCCATAGCTTAGCTTGGGAGACAGTTGCACATGGCTGAGCATGGTGGCTCACACTTGTAATCCCACTTTGGAAGGCAGAGGCACGCAGATCACTTGAGGTCAGGGGTTCGAGACCACCCTGGCCAACATGGTGAAACCCCATCTCTACTAAAAATACAAAAATTAGCTAGACTTGGTGGTGGGAGCCTGTAATCCCAGCTACTCAGGAGGCTGAGGCATGAGAATCACTTGAACCCAAGAGGCAGAGGTTGCAGTGAGCTGAGATGGCACCACTACACTCTAGCCTGGGTGACAGAGCTAGACGCCATCTCAAAAAAAGAAAACAAGAAAAAAAAAAAAACTAATTGCACAGTGACAGCCACAAAGAAGTGCAGAGCGTGTATAACAGGGGCCTGATCCTGGCCAGGGAGGTGGCCAGGGGAAATGACCTTTCCACTGAGCCCTTCAGGAGTTATAGGGGGAACCGGGTAGAGAGTTTCAGGCAGAGGGAAGAAGCAAGGAGAATCAATCGTCCTGCTCTTCCTCCAGCTGTTCTGGAATCTAGACAGCCCTGGTGGCTGGAGGGGCACAGAGAAAGGAGCAAGCCTAGGGCGAAGGGTGATGTTGGGGCTGGCAACATCTGTGAGCAGAGAAGCAGCTGCCTGACCTTCTCCTGCCCCAGGGAAACCATGAGTCCTCAAGTGGCAGGCCAGCTGTCCTCTGGAGGAATTCTCCTGGCATCTGTGGGAAAAGCCAAGACACTTTCAAAATTAGGAGTGGGGTAGCTTTTAAGGAGGCCTGGCTCCCCGAGAGCAAGGACTGGGCCGGGGTTTGCTTGTGGTTGCCTAAATCTCTGGCTGCTTATAGATTGGTGTTTGATGTAGCAAACTCTGTCTGATATTGGTGTTTGATGTAGCAAACTCTGTCTGCCTATATTCACCAGAGCCATGCAGAGAAAGGGATAATTAATATTTCTATGTGCACATTTAATCAAGTGCTTAGGAATTCATTCCAGGGCATGAAAATTCAACATAGGAAGTGCTCAGAAAATGTTTGGGGCAGCTACATTGAGTAGCAAATGAGAAGGCATATAGGCCAGAGGTCACGGTTGTATGCAACAGAGGGAGATTTCAGCTCACTGAGGCAGAAGACACCTGTCTTGGAAGGGATGTTTTGTTGCTGACAACATCTTTCAGAAGGCTAGAAAACAAAGCTGGCCAGAACCAGTAAAGGCCAGGCAATAAACACAAGGTCTTGTATAGGAGCTAATTCTAGCTCTTGCTGCTGTGAGTAACGTTGCTCTAGCACCTGCCTCCATGCGGCTTCCTTAGGTTGCAGAGCCACTAACTGGCCAGGCCTAGGTCAGTCCTGCATTCCAGGTGTAAGTGAATGGACTTGGGGAGGATCCGGCCCGTTGTGCTCTGGTGGTGAGTGAGGGGTTGCTGATGCTAAACTGGGCAGCCACAAGACCACTGATGCCACCAGAGATGGGGAACCTTGTAGTGCCACAGAATTCTGCTGGCCTAAGGAGGGTCACAGGGCCACAGCTGAGGGAGGGCAAAAGCCTTCTGGGGAGGTTTCAGATGAGATCGGGTGCATTCAGAGTGGTATGGCCATAGACTTTCTGGGGAGCTTTCAGAACAGCAGCCTGACATTGAGCACTTTAGTGAAACTCAAAATCCACCTGTGTAAAATAGGTTGGTTTTTAGAGCTAAGTGTCTATTGCCTGGCATGCGGTACTATTGAATGGCTGTGCTGTTATCATTATTATTAGTAGAAGTACTAGTAATTCCACCCAGCTGTTACCACAGCAGTTATGTCCTCGAGGGAAAGAGAACCAACGCAAGAAAATCTAGAGAAATTCAGCAGTAACCACACACATTGATACATAGAAATTCTTCGCAAGTTCCTTTAAATGTTTGCCTCCTCAGTATACTGAAACGGGGATTTGATTTACCAAAAATAATCAAATACGTGAATGAGTCACCATCTTACAGACCCTTGATACCTACTGTTAAAGAAAGTAGTTCTTTTGCAGGAGCAGACAGAGCTTCTTAGAGATCCCAGACTTCCTTCACTAAGGAAGGCTTAGCAGAGGAAGAAGAAAGTTCACACTCCTGTGACTGGGGGCAACCCCACCCCACCCCCAACAAACACACACACATCCCCAGGAGAGTTGGGCTTCACCACCATACTCTTCCCTGCCACCCGAAGAATGCAGCTTCCCACAAACACAGAACGCCTGCTGGCAGTGTTGTGCTAGGAAGTGTTTCATGACCAGTTCTTTGAAAAATGGAAGCTCTGGTATGTGGTCTTTGCCAATTTCTATAGTGTCAATATTTCCACCAAGGCCAATTTCAAGTTACCACCACTTGAGGAGCTGGGAGTAGGTGCACAGTAGCACATTGATGTATAGTATTTTCCACTCTGACTAGATACAATAGATGTAAGTAACTTCAAGAGTATCAAATGAGGCTGGCCACAGTGGCTCACACCTGTAATCCCAGCACTTTGGGAGGGGATGGTTTGTGTACGGGAGTTTGAGACCAGACTGGGCAACATAGTAAGACCTCACCTCTAAAGAAAATAAAGGATTAGCTGGGCATGGTAATGTGCACCTGTAGTCCCAGCTACTGGGGAGGCTAAGGTGGGAGGATCGCTTGAGCTCAGGAGACAGAGGCTGCAGTGAGCAGTGATCATGCCACTGCCCTCAGCCTAGGCAACAGAGTGAGACCCTGTCTCAAAAAAATATATATAAAATATAATAAAGTAATTAGGAAGTGATGAGTTTTTATGATTACCTTTGTTCCTAATACAGTTCATTTAATTGTAAGTTTACATAATTAAATTTTTTAATAAGGCCTATGTTTAACAACTGGGTTACCAAATTCTTGAAAATTTAACATGCAAGCCAGCATGAACCAACTCCATCACACTGCTGGCTTGGGGGATCCCAGAAAGAGGTCAGCACAAAGAGGTCATCCCTAAATAGTGACCCCTACCCCTCCTTATCACTTTCAAGATGTCAACATCCTTGTTTTGTTTTGTTTTGAGACAGACTCTGGCTCTGTTGCCCAGGCTGCAGTGCAGTGGTATGATCTCAGCTCACTGCAACCTCTGCCTCCTGGGTTCAAGCGATTCTCCTGCCTCAGCCTCCCCAGTAGCTGAGATTACAGGCATGCACCACCATGCCTGGCTAATTTTTTTGCTTTTTGAGACAGAGGCTAATTTTTTTGCTTTTTGAGACGGAGTTTCACTCTTGTTGCCCAGGCTGGAATGCAATGGAGAGACCTTGGCTCACTGCAACTTCCGCCTCCCGGGTTCAAGCGATTCTCCTGCCTCAGCCTCCCAAGTAGCTGGGATTACAGGTGTCCACCACCACCTGGCTAATTTTTTGTATTTATATGAGCCAAGACAGGGTTTCACCATGTTGGGCAGGCTGGTCTCGAACTCCTGACCTCAGGTGATCCACCTACCTTGGCCTCCCAAAGTGCTGGGATTACAGGTGTGAGCCACCATGCCCAGGCCCAATATCCTTTATTTGTCTTATAACCCTTGCGTTTGGTTCAGAGCTGAATCCCCAGGGTTTAGAACGGTGCTAGCCTGCATGTAGTAGGCCCTCAATGAACATGAATTGATTAAATGAAGAGAGGCAGAACATGGAGACTTCAAGAGTTCACATCCTAACAGGCTAAGGCGGGAGGATTGCTTGAGGCCAGGAGCTTGAGACTACAGTGTGCTATGATCATGTCTGAATAGCCACTGCACTCCAGCCTGAGCAATGCAGTGAGACCCTGCCTCTAAAAGAAAACTTTAAACACACACACACACACATGCACGCACACACGCACACACACACACATCCACAACCTGCCTCTGGTTGAGCCTGTTTCTGCATCTGTAAAATTAGGTTCCCTTCAGCTATAAAAAGTCTATACCTGGTAGGCCTGGCGCGGTGGCTCACACCTGTAATCCCAGCACTTTGGGAGGCTGAGGCAGGCGGATCATCTGAGGTCAGGAGTTCAAGACCAGCCTCGCCAACATGGTGAAACACCATCTCTGCTAAAAATACAAAAATTAGCTGGGCGTGGTGGCACGCACCTGTAATCCCAGCTACGTGGGAGGCTGAGGCAGGAGAATCGCTTTAACCCAGGATGTGGAGGTTGTAGTGAGCTGGGATCATGCCACTGCACTCCAGCCTGGGTGACAGAACGAGATTCCACCTCAAAAAAAGAAAAAAGTCTATACCTTGTAAAGACATCCTTTCTGCACAGCACGGCCAAACAGAGATCCTCAGTGGAGCATTTTCAAGGGTGGGCGCTAGTGCGCTGGTTCTTAGGACTGTAGGTTTGATTCTTTAGCTTTTTTTTTTTTTTTTTTTTTTTGAGACAGAGTCTCACTCTGTCGCCAGGCTGGAGTGCAGTGGCGCGATCTCGGGTCACTGCAACCTCTGCCTCCCGGGTTCAAACGATTCTCCTGACTCAGCCTCCTGAGTAGCTGGGATTACAGGTGCGCACCACCAAGCCCGGCTAATTTTTGTATTTTTAGTAAAGACAAGGTTTCATCATGTTGGTCAGGCTGGTCTCGAACTCCTGACCTCATGATCTGCCCACCTCGGCCTCCCAAAGTGCTGGGATTAAGGTGTGAGTCACCGCGCGCAGCCTGAGCCTCATCTTTAACTCGTGAGGCTCAGGGGCAGAGGTGGGAACAGAGATCAACCCAGGACAAACATCTTCTCCTGCATCTCACTGCTGTCCTCTCTGAAAAGTCGTCCCCTCTGGGGCAAACTGGGAATGGGCTGAGGACTCTTCCTTTGCTAGTGAATCTGGGTGCAGCTGGTGGCCTTCTCTGTGTGCCCGACAACCTGGGGCAAGAGCCAACCCCCAAATCCATCTGCTTTGGGGCAGCATCGAGGATTTCCTGTCTCTTCCCCCAGAGTTTTCTTTCCTGGCTGTGGGTGGCTCAGGCTGGTCTTCAGATTCGTTTTCTGAGACGTGTGGTGTGGACCTGGTCCGAAGAGCAAATAGGGGTACCTGAGTTCTGCTCACCTCTTCTGCAGATGGGCAAACCGGGAAAGGAAAGTCATCCAGACACCAGATTAAACAAATAATGAGACAATTATAGCTCATGTGTACTGGCCATTTGTTTTTACTCATGCTGGACATATTCTAGCCACTTTATAAAAGCCCTGCCTTTTATGCAGCTAGAAAAGCCAGGTGGTAGGGATTGTTATCTTTCTAGTTTTACAAGGGAGGAAACTGAGGCACAAAAAGATTAAGACATTTGTAGGGCCACATGGTATGGGAGAGACTTGGGACTGAGACACAGGCAATGAGATGGTGCCCTTCATCACAGCAGCGTGCCACCCGCACAAAACAACCTCACAGAGAGCAGGGAGCCAGCCCCGTGTGCAGCCCCCTCACCCAACAGATGGGAAACCCTGGCCCAGAGGGTTGTGGGGCCTTCCCTAGGCTCACTGGGTCCAGACTGGAGCCCAGGAGTCCTGACTGCTGTCTTAGTGCTCTCTGCACACCACCTGGGGTCCACCATCCCCAATCACCAGGGGACCTCCTGAGACTGGGAACCTGTTCATTGTGCACTGCGGACCTCCTACGAATAGACCCACGTGGGCGTGGTGTAGGTGGTCCAGCCAGATAGCAACAGTGTCCTCCTCCCACACTGAGAAAGGTCTTGGGGCATGGAGTTCTGGCTTCAGCTGTAAAGTTCAAAAACACTGTTCTCCTGTCAGATAGCCCTTGCAGCAGAGAAATGGGCCACTCATCAGCCTCTGTCACATTTCCTGTTTGTGAGCCTGGACTCAAGTGGAGTTTTAGGTGAAGGGCAAAGGGCATGGAAGCAGAGCCTTCCTTACTGGAATACAATTATCAGAGGGGAAAAGAGCCTAGAAGTTTCCACCTAAACCTTTGTTTTGTGGATGTGGAAACCGAGGCCTAGAGAATGCAAGAATCTATCCTAGTTCATGGTGTGCGCAGGAATCACAAATGGGTTTTTGGTGGTGGTGGTGTTGTTGTTTTGAGATTATATAATCTTAGAATGGGTGAGCTAGCAGAAACCCAAGCTGTTCCTCAGTCCACTTCCCCATGTTCCACAGATGTGATCTGAGGAAGTGGGTGTATGTGGGTGCAGAGGGGAGGGGACCTTCCCCACTTCCCTCCTTCTTTGAGCCTCTGTATCTTCATGTGTAAAATAAAGCCCAAGGCCCTGCTCTGCTGATCCCATACAGACATCCACCAAAGGTCTTTGTGTGTGCTAATCAGCGTGGATGCTAGCACTGAGCGGGAGTGGGCTGCTGGTTGTCTCCCATTTTTCTCCAGAGCCCGGCCTGAGTCCCAGGTTTGGGGAACCTTGTCTTCACCCCACTGCTTTCCTATACACCGCCATCCACTCAGCACTGACTACATTTTGGCAACTCCCTCTATCCCATCAACTCAGGAAGACACGTATTTCAAAGGAATATAATGCTAGACACTTTACACGTGACAACACTTAACCTTCACAACAACCTTGCAAAATCCTGTTCGTTCACTAGTTAGGACGGGATACTGAAGTTCTGAAGGAGGCTGCCTGGGGACTCTGTCACATAGCCAGTGGGGTGGGGGACTCTCGGGGGATTGTCCCAGCTCCTCACGGTTTTCCTGGAGGCTCCATTCTGTCTGCCTGCCTTGTAGCCAGCACTGAGCAGAGGGCAAGGGAGCCAGAGAAGGTAGGCCCATGTGGCCTGGGACCAAGGACACCCTGGCAGGCAGACCCGTTGGCTGCCCTTCGAACTCGTATTCTTTTAAGATTTGTTCAGCATTTATCTGGGGTGGGAAAATGGATTTGCAATGAATACAAATCATGAGCCTCTTCCAGATTCCAAATTCCATTCTACACCGGACTATTTTCCAGAAGCAGAAGGAACAGAAATTCACAGACAGAGTCACTTTCCCAGGGGCAGTGAGTTAATGTCCTGGAGAAACACTGGCTGTTCCTTGCTTTTCTGTAGCTCTCTGTTTCTCTTTAGTTTGTGTTTGAGCTTTTCCAAGCCAGACGGCTTCTGGGGAGGCTCATTAGAGGGTTTATTTTGGTTCTGGTTTTGTTTTAAGTTGCCTTAAATATAGACAAGAACAGCTAGTCTTAGAGAGGAGGATCACTCTGCGTGTCATTTATTTTGACTGAGCAGCTTGGTGTGTACTTCAGTTGGCATCCTTGAACTTAGTTCCTTGTATTAAATAAGGAAAGTATCGCTCACATTTACATAATAGCAACAATGAATTATTTCAGACTGTCAGTGTCAGAGAACCACCAGATTTATTTACTTAAATAACTTTCTGTCTGGTTACAAAAGTAATATGTTCTCATTGTAGAACATTTGAAAAATGTAGACAGCGGCGGGACCTATAATCCCAGTACTTTGGGAGGCTGAGGCAGGTGGATCACCTGAGGTCAGGAGTTCGAGACCAGCCTGACCAACATGGTGAAACCCCGTCTCTACTAAAAATACAAAAATTAGCTGGGCATGGTAGTGGGCACCTGTAATCCCAGCTACTTCAGCCTGGGCGACAGAGCGAGACTCCGTCTCAAAAAAAAAAGAAAAATGCAGAGGTAGAAGGGAAAAACAGATGACTCTCCCACAATCTCCTTGCCTGGTGTTCACCACTGTTGCCATGTGAATCTAGTTCTGGCCAGAATGTTTTCTTTTTTTAATTGTCATAAAATATACATAACATGAAATTTACTATTTTAACCCTTTTTACAATTTTTTAATAGATTCAGTGGGTACAAATGCAGTTTTGTTACATGGATATACTGCATAGTGGTGAGGTCTGGGCTTTTAGTGTATCCGTCACCCAAATAGTGAACATTGCACCCAATAGGCACAATGAGCCCAAGTCTATGCTCATAACCACCACGTTCTGCAGCCCCTCAACCACCCTGAGAGGTGGGGATTATGATTATCCCCTTTACACAGATCAGGAAGCCAACCAAATTGCTCTCTTATTTGCAAGCATCGTCAAGTAGGACTTTTTCTACCTCTCTAAACATGTTTAGGATTAAATGAATAGCAACAACTTGCAACCTTTGTGTCTGTAGCATTCTTTGCCAAGAACACTTAATCCTCACACCTCCACAGAGGTAAGCAGGTTGGAGATCGTGACCTTCAAGTTTCCCAGCAGGAAGTGACCTGGGACATGAAGCCAGGGCTCTTTACATTTGGTCTGCAGCTGCCTCTACAACAGTGAGGCCCTATAATTCTCCAACTCAGGATGTGGAAGATGGACAGATACTGAATGCTGGCTGTTATCTGATAGATCCATGGGCTGTTCGGGCTGTAATGATGAGATTAATCAACTCGGGGCTGGACACGGTACCAAGCTCTTACCTGGGCAGCCTCTGGACAGCTTTGATCAGCAGGACTCCAGCCCGAGGCTCATTTGCTACGGTTCTCTGGCTTTCAATTAAGGAATGACCCTAAATGTGTGCTCCTTTGTTTTGAGAGTTTGAGGATGAAAGTGTGTCAGGGAAGGAGGAGGGCCGTGTTTGAATTTTCTAGAAATTGAATTGTCTGCCTTCCAGGTTTGCACACTCTCTGCCAAGCTGTGGCTGACCAGCCAGGAGCCTTATTCATCTGATCAGTAGTGTTCCCTGGAGGCGCCTGGGTAGGAAGAACAGCATTGGCTCCAACGAAAAGAGGTCCCAGCTGGTGACCTCGAATGAGTCACTGAGACTCTCAGAGCCTCTGTATGTTGACCTTTGAAAATAGTGAAGGGCCCTGTCCTACCACTTCACAGGTGATTGTGATGATCCATTGAGATAAAAGAGAGAGGCTGCTCTGTAAACTGTAAAGTGGGAGGCACATGAGACCGGGGATCACTGCTTGCTCATGGAGAGGACCACTTTATCTCATCCTAGCTCTTTAGGTTTCGAAATCAATTTTCCTTCCCTTCCCCACTGACCATACATAGGTCCATGAATGGCTTTTAAAATTATTTTTCTTTTCTTTTTTTTGAGATAGAATCTCGCTCTGTCACCCATGCTGGAGTGCAGTGGAGCGATCTTGGCTCACTGCAACCTCCTCCCCGCCTCCCGGATTCCAATGATTCTCCTGCCTCAGCCTCCAGAATAACTGGGACTACAACACGTGCCACCACACCCAGCTAATTTTGTAATTTTTTTAAATTTATTTTTTTGAGATGGAGTTTTGCTCTATTGCCCGGGCTGGAGTGCAGTGGCACAATCTTGGCTCACCGCAAACTCCACCTCCCAGGTTCAAGCAATTCTCCTGCCTCAGCCTCCTGAGTAGCTGGGATTGCAGGCGCCCACTACCATGCCCTGCTAATTTTTATATTTTTAGTAGAGACAAAGTTTCACCATGTTGGCCAGGCTGGTCTTGAACTCCCAACCTCAGGAGATCCACCCGCCTCAGCCTCTCAAAGTGCTGGGATTACAGACATGAGCCACTGTGCCCAGCCGATTTTTTAATTATTTTTTTGAGACAGGGTCTCATTCTGTCTCCCAGGCCGGAGTGCAATGGTGCAATATTGATTCCCTGCAACCTCCGCCTCCTGGTCTCAAGTGATCCTCTCACCTCAGTCTTCTGAGTAGCTGGACTACAGGCACATGCCACTATGCCCAGCTCATTTTTACATTTTTTGTGGAGATGGGCTGTCACTGTATTGCCTAGACTGGTCTCCATCTCCTGGGCTCAAGGGATCCTTCTGCCTCAGCCTCCCAAAGTGCTGGGATTACAGGTGTGAGCCACTGTGCCTGGCCTCCTAGATTGTTTTAGCACAACAGATTGTCCCTGAGCCCCTCCTGAGGTGTTTGTGGTGCCTGGGATTGGGGAGGCAGGGCCCATCCAGGTCCTGTGGCCCTAGCGGGGAAAGACAGTGCCCAGGAGAGCTCAGCTCCCAGCAGGAAGATTTCTGATTTCTGTTACTTTTTATTCTTTTTTTTTTTTTTGAGACAGAGTTCCGCTTTTGTTGCCCAGGCTGGAGTGCAATGGCATGATCTCGGCTCACTGCAACCTCTGCCTCCCAGGTTCAAGGAACTCTCCTGCCTCAGCCTCCTGAGTAGCTGGGATTACAGGCATGCACCACCACGCCCAGCTAATTTTGTATTTTTAGTAGAGACGGGGTTTCTCCATGTTGGTCAGGCTGGTCTCGAACTCCTGACCTCAGGTGATCCACCCGCCTCAGCCTCCCAAAGTGCTGGGATTACAAGTGTGAGCCACCGTGCCTGGCCACTTTTTATTCTTTTTTTTTTTTTTTTTTTTTTTGAGACAGAGTCTCACTCTATCTCCAGGCTGGAGAGCAGTGGCGCAATCTTGGCTCACTGCAACCTCCACCTCTAGGTTAAAGCAATTCTCCTGTCTCAGCCTCCTGAGTAGCTGGGATTACAAGCACATGCCACCACACCCAGCTAATTTTTGTATTTTTAGTAGAGACGGCGTTTCACCATGTTAGGCTGGTCTCAAACTGCTGACTTCAGGTGATCCACCTGCCTCAGCCTCCCAAAGTGCTGGGATTACAGGCATGAGCCACCGCCCCCTGCCAGTTTGGCCTATTTTTGAACTTTAAATAAATGGAATCATCCAGTGTGTACCTTTTATGCTGGGTTTCTTTCACTCAGTGCTGTGTGTGTGAGATTTTCCTTGACGTGAGTAGCTGTAGCTCGCTCATTCTCATTGCTCTAGGTAGAATCCCATTGTGGGACTAGGTGATAATTTACCTGTTCTGATGATACGCCTTGGGAGAGCATCTAGTTTGGGGTGTGCTATGAATTTTTTTTTTTTTTTTTTTTTTTTGAGATGGTGTCTTGCTCTGTCGCCCAGGCTGGAGTGCAGTGGCGCGATCTCGGCTCACTGCAAGCTCCGCCTCCTGGGTTCAAGTGATTCTCCTGCCTCAGCCTCCCGAGTTGCTGGGACTACAGGTGCCTGCCACCACACCTGGCTAATTTTCTGTATTTTTAGTAGAGATGGGATTTCACCGTGTTAGCCAGGATGATCTCGATCTCCTGACCTCATGGTCCACCCGCCTCGGCCTCCCAAAGTGCTGGGATTACAGGCCTGAGCCACTGCACCCGGCCAACTATGAATATTCTAATGCCTGTGTCTTGGTGAACATCCACACACTTTCGTTTGGGTGTGGAACTGGGAGCAGAACAATAGGATAGGCAGGTGGGCATCTGTTTGGCTTAAATAGTTAGCCACAGGAAGGATTTAAGCAAGGTATTAGGAAGACTTCTGGACCCTAAAGGTTGTGGCCAAATAACTCATCCCCTTAAGAGGCGGAAGCTGTGAAATTTCCTTCTGGGGAACGGGAGGAAGAGGCTGGATTAGGCACTACTGAGCGACCGGGGGGCCAGTCCTTGATTCCTTCCTGTCTGGCTTTGGTCCCCTGTCTTTAGTCTGGGGTTTCCAGACTGTACTCCCTGGAGATGTCTCAGCCACGTGGGAGGATGAGGAAGGGGCTTTGAGCATCATTTCCCTGCTTTAGCCAAAGGACTCCGTGTGCTCTGTTTCAGGTCGTGGGGATTCTGAGAATGATTTTGTTTGCTTTTTGAAAAAGTTTTAGCTGTTTCGACATTGGAAAATCTACTGCCCACCGGGCATGGTGGCTCACACCTGTAATCCCAGCACTTTGGGAGGCTGAGGCGGGCGGATCACGAGGTCAAGAGATCGAGACCATCCTGGCCAACGTGGTGAAACCCTATCTCTACTAAAAATACAAAAAAATCAGCTGGGCGTGGTGGCATGTGCCTGTAGTCCCAGCTACTCGGGAGGCTGAGGCAGGAGAATCACTTGAACCCGGGAGGCGGAGCTTGCAGTGAGCCGAGATCACGCCACTGTACTCCGCCCTGGGCGACAGAGTGAGACTCCATCTCAAAAAAAAAAAAGAAAAGAAAAGAAAAAAAGAAAGAAAGAAAATCCACTGCCCCTAGGTCCCTTCCAGCTGCAAGATTCTATTTTGGGAGCAGGAGGTGGGTATGGGAAGGGTTAAGCATTATTCAGCCAGAGAGCGGAGTTGAGCCTTGGTGACCTTTTAAAGTTCTTGTAGTGTGCTTTGTGCTGTGGGAGATCCCGTAACATTCTATAAAAATGTAGTGTTCAAACCAAACAGCGACTTCTGAAGCCTAAAAGATGTAGAGGAAGGACTTAACTTTGAGGAACATTTAGGTAGAATTTCCACCAGTCTTGAGGACTCTCAAGATAGCCCTTTGTCCACTCCTCTGTGGTGTGTGTGTGTTTGTGTGTGTGTTTTAACGTCTCCATTGGCTGGTGGCTGGTCCTAGGAGCAGTCACTTGAAGTTGTTTGGGTCCAGAATGGTTTCCATTTTTATCCAGTAGTGTGTGATGTGGGCCCCCTTGGTGTCCCTCTCAAGGGTGGGTGGTGGCCTTTCCTCCTCCCATACTAGGCCCAGTTTGGACCATGGTTTTGCTTGGCAAGGAGGCTGGGCCGCTCATGGATCCAGAGAGGAACATTTCTGCCTTGGCACACAGCTCTGAGTCAACAGGCCTGATAAACAGCTCGTTTCCCAAAGGCCTGCAAGGAACAAAGCCCCTGGCTGCTGAGGGCTCTGTCTACTCCCCATCTCCTGAAACAGCTGTTTATTCTTTCGACAGGAGTTGAAACCAGCACCTTCCCTTTCTCTGAGTCCTGCCTCCTTCTGCAGAAGGGAGCTCAAAAGAACTTTGTTGTTTTGCCTTTTACTCTGGGGTGAAAGCGGCAGGAGGTATGTGAGATGGTGAAATGATTTGCTTCTGCCATGCTGGGGTCACGGGTGGATCGCCCTAAACTCTCGGTGGCCCCCTCAGTAGTTTTGGAAGAGGACCAAGTCCTTGTCTCTCCAGCAGTGGACCTGGAAGAAGGATGCCGGCTCAGGGACTTCACTGTAAGTTCAGCTTTATTTTGCTCCCCTGGTAGGACCTCACAGGGCTGCAGCCAAGCTGCAGCCTGGAGTTTTTCCTGAAGGATTTAAGTTGTTAATGCAGGAGCAGGGGGCAAGTCTTGGGGCTCAGGGTGAAGTTATGGATGGAGGCAGAGCCCTCTCAGAATTGTGTAGCATCTTTCATTTATCTTACTTTGGTTCTCTGGGAAAAACCCTTGCAGTGATTTCCAGACCAGGCAGCATGGAAAAGCTGGCTGGATTCAGCCTTTAGATTTCCCAAAGGGGATTCGAGAGAAAGCACTGTAAGATATACTTCAGAGAACAGGTCGTTCCATTTGAGATGGCTGGAGCGACAGTGGGCCATGTATTCAGTCTGAGACCTGTCTCTTATTTTCTTGTGTCTGTTTACTCTGACCCTTATAATGAAAAACAAAACTGGAGACAACCTTCCATGCACTTCCCCTGCTTCCCCGTGAATTGTATCGTGGAAGCATTTCCTTGTAAGACCCACCAGCTCACTGAGGTTTTAGGATAATAAGGCACTCTTCCTCCTTACACCCAGCACCATCCCTATGCCAAGGGCTGGGCCTGGGAGGCAGGCATTTTAAATCTGGCACCAAGACTTCTGGGCATGCCCAGTGATCTCTGGCAAGCTATGCCCCTTTGCTAAAGCTCAGTTTCCTCAGCTAAAAAAGCCACACTAAGGCCACCGCACTGACCATTGTGAGGAATAAACAAGATGCTGTGAGTGAGGACACCCCACAACACGCACACAGAAGGTGCCTGGAAATGCTAGGAGAGTTGAGCTGATGCTCACCAGCTGGTCCAAGGAAGAGCTGGCCCCACAGCAATTAACCCATGCAGAAGACTTCATGTTTTCTAGAGCAACAGAGTGGTTAAAAGAGAGGGCACTAGAGCCTGGCTCCCTGGATTTGAACCCCAACTCCACCACCTTATGCTATGTGACACTAGGCAAGTTACTTCACCTTTCTGAGCCTCTGTTTTCATATCTGTGAAATGGGGATAATAATAGAGTAACTTCACTGGGTTGTCATGGGGCTTAACTAAGAGACTCCTGAAAAGGGGTTTAGCCCAGGGTCTGGCCTGGCCTGGCTTGACTGGGGAAAATACAGGTGTTGCAGGGTTTGAAGCTGATTCCATTTGGGGAGCCCTCTTTAAGAAGAAGAATGGGCTGGCCGTGGTGGTTCATGCCTGTAAATCCCAGCACTTTGGGAGGCTGAGGCGAGCAGATCACGAGGTCAGGAAATCGAGACCATCATGGCCAACATGGTGAAACCCCGTCTCTACTAAAAATTAAAAAAAAAATTAGCTGGGCGTGGTGGCGGGTGCCTGTAGTCCCAGCTACTCGGGTGGCTGAGGCAGGAGAATGGCATGAACCTGGGAGGCGGAGCTTGCAGTGAGCTGGGATTGTGCCACTGCACTCCAGCCTGGGTGACAGAGCAAGACTCCGTCTCAAAAAAAAAAAAAAAAAAAAGCAAGGTTGCAAATGCAATGTTAGGTATGAAAGTAAGTATCTGGAATATGAGAAGTGATATCACAACAAATAACAAAGACTGACAAACATTCCAAATATAACAAAATCCAGAAAACAACGACATAAGAAAATGATGTAAAACTAATACAAAAATGATTAGTATTACTTAACTGTCTGATACACCTGTCATGTTTGGGCTACATACTCTTTGACTGCCACATTATCTGACAACAGTTTTCTAGAATCATTTCCAATAAAAGAGAAAAGACAGATAAATCAGTTTTGCCTGTGGCATGGTTAATCAATGGGTGCTTTTTATTACTGAGAGTTTAGAGCAATTTATTTTAGCTTCCCAATTTGTTATTGGCGATGCCACTTCTCTAAGTCATTTGACAGTTTCTCAGGTGGCTCCAGCCAGATCATGAGAAAACTCAGCCCTGGATCCTTGCTAGGCACAGTGAGGCAGACGAACCTGGGTGGAGCACGAGGTGGCTGTGAGACCTGGATCATAGTGACCCCTGAGCAGGGAGCAGAGAGAGTAGTGTGTAGTTCATCTCCTTCTTCTTGAGGCCAAAGGAGGAGGGGCCCAGGTGCTCAACAAGGTCCACCTGGGACCGGTTGTTTCTGGGACCTAGGTGGGTGTGCAGGTAATGGGTCAGCACCCCAGCTCAGCCTGCAGCCCCTGGACAGGCACTGAGGCTAGAGAGTGACTCTCCCAGGCAAGGCAACACTCTACCTCTGGGAAGCATTTGGGGCTTTCTCATGCTCACCCTAATGGGAAATCAGGCCCAGTCTTGCAAAGGGGCTTGTGCACATGAGGACCCTGACACCTAAGCGTCATTAGCTCCTGGTAAGTCAGCCTCTGCATTCAGCGCATATTGGTTGGTGGTTCCTATGCATGATCTGAGCCAAAAGGCTGAGAAGTGATAGTTGATGAATCCTATCATTTGATCATCACACCAAGGGGCCCGTGTAGGTCACTGCAGCAGGGTGAGCTCTATGTGGCTAAAAGAACTGCCCTCAAAAAATGAGGTTTACATCCCTGAGGCTGATTTCTCATGCACATCCTGGGTTCATCAGAGAAGAACTGGGGATTACTGGGGAATCTTAGCTCCAAAGGACTTGTTTCTGGGCCAAGGAGTCTGAGGCCAGAGAAACTCGTGACGCCAGTTTAGAAAGCTGGCACTGTGTTGGTGCTGGGGCTGACCTGCAGGACTATGACAAGGCTGGGGACAGGGTGAGGCAGGGGTGGAGCAAGGAGGTGGGGTGGGGTGCAAATGGAGGTGCAGCTGGTCTGGTCAGAGCCGTGTTCCTGGGATAGAGCAGGGCATGGAGCTGACTTTATCACAACATGCAGTTGGCGTGTGGACTCGCTCCTGACTGTTCTGAGAGATGCTGCCCATCAAGATTCCCCTCTCAGATGAACTCACAGCCCTGCTTTCACACCAAGCTCTGAGCCATGCATTTCTGAATTTCTCCCATTAAAAAGCATCATCATTATTATAGGTACTGTGTGGGGGGCATTAACAGACCATGGGCACAGTATGCTTTCAAGAACCCTTTGAGGAGGGTGTTAGAATCTCCATTTTGTATATGTAAATAGAGGCTCAGAGTGTTAAAGTAAGTGGCCTAAGGTGTACATCTAGGACTCTGCTGATTTAAGAGTCTTTGCTCTTAGCCTAATTTTTACCTGGAATGCTGGAGCTGAACACTCTCCTTTATAATCAAGGATCTGGAGGACTTAAGACTAGAGTCTTGTCCAAGGTCAGTAATACCCAGTTAATTACTGCACCCTTCCCCATTCCCTTACCTGTTTTCCTTCTCTTTGTTCACTGTCACTACCTGACATTATATATCCTGTTGAGTCTCTTGACTCCCATTGGAACAGAAGCTCTATGATAATCTTGTTCAGTAAAGCATCTCCAGTTCCAAAAACCATCTGGAGCACAGTAGCCTAGTCCATGTTTGTTAATGAATCCATGGCAGAGCAGAACTGGAGTGCCTCAGAACTCTCCTTACTCATTTGTTCACCCCAAACACTTGTGTTACAGGAAGGGGGTCTGGATCCAGACCCCAAGAGAGGGTTCTTGGATTTCACTCAAGAAAGAATTGAGGGTGAATCTGTAAAGTGAAAGCAAGTTTATTAGGAGAGTAGAGGAATAAAAGAATGGCTGCTCCATAGGCAGAGCAGCCCTGAGGACTGCTGGTTGCCCATTTTTATGGTTATTTCTTGATGACATGCTAAACAAGGGGTGGATTATTCATGGCTCCCCTTTTTAGACCATATAGGGTAACTTCCTGACATTGCCATGGTATTTGTAAACTGTCATGGTGCTGGTGGGAGTGTAGCAGTGAGGAGGACCAGAGGTCACTCTCATCGCCATCTTGGTTTGGTGGGTTTCAGCCGGCTTCTTTACCGCAAACTGTTTTACCAGCAAGGTCTTTATGACATGTATCTTGTGCTGGTTTCCGGTTTCATCCTGTGACTTAGAATGCCTTAACCATCTGGGAATGCAGCCCAGTGGGTCTCAGCCTTATTTTACCCAGCTCCCATTCAAGATGGAGTTGCTGTGGTTCAAACGGCTCTGACACTTGGGATGCTCCTACTGGGAGCCAGGGCCTGTGCCAGTCTGGACCCATCACAATAGCCTGAAAGTGATTAAGGCTCAAGCGGAGGACGGGTGGGCTCTAGGGGCCTGATGTAGGAATCTCAGGCTGGGAGGAGAATTCTTTAGCCTGCGGAGAAGGCTTGGTTTCTCCTGCCACCACTTTCACCCTGCCGGATTCCTGCTCTCTGAGATAATGGCTTTTCCATGGCATCTGAGTGCATGGCATTCAGCTGAGAGGTTCACCTTTTCCCCTGGCACGAGATGGAGAAGATAGGATCTGCTAGAATTCCTTTCAGAGTGGAATTCTGTTTGGAACGAATTACCTTGACTTCGCCCTGTTGGGGTGGAACTGTGAGATTCTCAGAGGGTGTGTGTGTTGTTCTGTGTGAGAAGGATTGGAGGTGGGTGGTAGGGAAGAATTCACTTATAGGCCATATGGAAAAGTCTGTCTGACACTACAAGGAAACAGAAGCGGAAAAGGAGGAGGGTGAGGGTAGAGTGAGGAAGGTGGAGAAATGACAGGCTGTACAATGTGACCCTGCCTTGCAAAATGCCTCTATATTTTTAGCATAATCTGCACACGTTCCAGGAATGGGGGTGAGAGTGCTTGCATTTGGGAAGCAGTGCAGGCGCTGAGTTCTGGTTAACTGAGTTCTACAAATGGTCTGGGGCCATAGGATGGATTCAGAGAGAAAGTATAAGAGTATTAAGGCAGAGGGTCTGAGAGATGGCAGGAGGGCTCTGGACCATTGCAGGCTGTGCAACTGGGGCTGGCCAAGTTCACCCAGTCCTCTGAGGGGTGGGACCCAGGGGACATCAGGGTTCCACTCTCCCACTTAAGACAGGGTGTTAATACTTGGAAGGTCCTAATTCTGTGCTCCACCCCTTGAAAGGAGAATTTTAGAACTTTCTTTTCTTTTCTTTCTTTCTTTCCTTTCTTTTCTTTCTTTCCTTGTTTCTTTCTTTCTTTCTTTTCTCTCTCTCTCTCTCTCCCTCCCTCCCTCCCTCTCTCTCTCTCTCTCTCCTTCTCTCTTTCTCTCTTTCTTTCTTGCAGGATCTCACTCTGTCGCCCAGGCTGCAGTGCAGTGGCTTGATCACGGCTCACTGCAGCCTGGACCTTCCCAAGCTCTAGTGATCCTCCTACCTCAGCTTCCCCAATAGCTGGGACTACAGGTATGCACCATCACACCCAGCTACTTTTTGTAGAGAGGGGGTTTCCCCATGTTGCCCAGGCTGGTCTCGAACTCCTGGGCTCAAGCAATCTGCCCATCTTGGCCTCCCAAAGTGCTGGGATTACAAGCATGAGCTACTGTGCCTGGCCCAAACCCATGTTTCTTACTGGTGGGTAGGACAGTGAACCACCAGTCTTCAGAATTACACAGTTGAAAATTCAGAGAGACAAACACACAAGGGAAGAACTTTTAGACCACAATGGCTGCCAAATGCCTCATTTTTTTGTCCAGAGAGAAAAATAAAAATGTTTTAAAAGACCCATTGGCCACCCTGCCAACCTTTCCTCCCTGGAGGCTTGGATTCCAGATTCCAGGAAGCATGTCACCGCCTATTTGTAGTGCTTTGCTGAAGGATGCAAAATTGGCTCGTTCGGACGGCTTCCAATTCTAAGTCTTTTTTTTTTTTTTTTTTTGAGATGGAGTCTTGCTCTGTCACCTAGGCCGGAGTGCAGTGGCATGATCTTTGCTCACTGCAGCCTCTGCCTCCCGGGTTCAAGTGATTCTCCTGCCTCAGCCTCCCAAGTAGCCGGTATTACAGGCATGTGCCGCAACACCCAGCTAATTTTTGTATTTTTAGTAGAGAAGGGGTTTTGCCATGTTGGCCAGGCTGGTCTCGAACTCCTGACCTCAAGTGATCCGCCCACCTCAGCCTCCCAAAGTGCTGAGATTACAGGTTTGCACCCGGTCATCCAATTGTAAGTCTTAAACAAGAGTAACGATTGACCACAGCAAAAAAGCAGGCAGATTCAAGCCATAGATAAGCTCCAGAAAGAAGTGGGCTTCAAGAGTTGCTTCTGATGCTAATTTTTGGAATAAAAAAAAATCATAAACATCTCTGTATTTGGAGCGGGGATTTGGAGGTATGTCTGATTCGGGCTATCCCTGATGTAAGCGCCAATGTTTCCAACCGTGAGAGTTTTCACCTTTCTCTGCCTAACGTTCCTTACAATTTGCATTTGATCCTCAGCAGGTGGGGTTGGCAAGGCTTGGGACACACAGCCAGCCTCTCTGTTGCCTCCTCGGCACACATAGGGGGTTGTAGCAGCGCCTGAGGCTTGATCAAAGAGAATCAAAGTCACATCCCACTTCTGAGGCATCCTTAATCAGGCTATGACACAGAACAGATGGGTAAACCTTTAGAGTCCTTCATTTGCATTTATTTGCACTTCATTGTATAACATGTTCTTATTCCAAATCCCTCCTTTCTTTCCTTCAAATCTGTTTTGAGCACTTGCTAAATACCAGGCACTGTGCTATCTCATTGCATCCTCCCAACAGCCTGTTTTATGGCTATCAGTAATAAGAACTAGTGGACTTTTTTTTTTCTTCTGCATTTATACGATGCCAGGCACAGTGCTAAATATTTTATGGGCAACATTATCTCTTGTAATCATCACTATTAATTTAATGTGATCCAGTAGAGGTCCACAATCCCTTATCTGAAACCCTGGGGCCAGATGTGTTGGAATTCAGAATTTTTTGGACATGGATTATGTATCATATATAACATTCCTGGTGCAGCAGCACCACATAATAAAATACATCAATATTTATGCATAGAAATGTTTAAACAGCCTCACTCAGTGGGATAAAGATTATAAATGGCCTCATGTCAGTTAGGGCCTTGATGCCAATTGAATTACAAAAAGGTGTTGGGTTTTCAGAGCTTTCTGGAGTTGTTGATGAGGGCCACTGCTCAGGGTTACCCAGCTTCATTTGTCAAAGTTGAGACTCACATCCCCACATCACTCCAAAGCCTGTGGCTACCACCATCCCCACTTCTCTGGAAGTGAGGACATCGGCACAGAGAGGTGGCCACAGCCTTAGGTTTTTGCACCCGAAACTAAGACTTTTCCAGCACTCAATGCTGGTGCTTCGGATGCAGACTCTAGTGACTTTTCTCAGCAGTGGGGGATGAGTTGCCTGCAGCCATCTGCCTTTTCTGACTTTGCCACGGGTCTGGGGCTGTATGTGCTGGCTCATATGGTACTTAGAGGGAAGAGGCCTGAGACTATCTTTACCCAGCAAACTCGTCATCTCAGGGTCTGTGGAATACTGCCCATCACAGTTGTGTGGAAAGCTGGAAGTTGGGTTATAACATTGAATTCAGCCCAGCTTTTTTGTTTCCAAACAGAGCTCACTTTCTGAAGATCCCACTCTTTCTCTTCTTTAACTGGATTTCATAATAAAGGGTTTGTAAGATATGAGATCTGAGTCTGGAATCATCTAAGAAATCTCTTTGAAAAGAATTGGAAAATGACCTGTGTCCAGAGAACAAATTTAAGTATCATTCTTATTTGATTTCATTCACTCAGCAAACATTAATGGAGTGCCTCGTGTACTCTATGTGAGGCACTGGGGATTCAGGGTTGAATAAAACACACCTCCTGCACTCAGGAAGCTCACAGACTAACTGATACCGGAGGCAGAGCCACCTCCAAAAACAACATGTACAGCAACGTGAATAGACAGGGGGAGCCCAAGAAGAGAAGGGGGACTCAGCTGCTGGGTGGGCAGGGGTGGGATGTGGTTTCACAAAGCAATGACATTTGGTGTGTGGCTGGCCACTGTCTCCTCTTAGCTTCCAGAGGTCCACAGTCTTGGTTTTCTTCCTCCCTCCCGGGTTTCTTCTCAATCCTACTTCAAAATGTTGACATTTTCAGGCTTCAGCCCAGGGCCGGCTTCTTTCCTTTTCCTCTCTCTACATTCTCTCACAAGGTAACCTTGTAACCGCCCAAGGGGTTCACCTTGCCCGCTGCCTAGACAGAGCTGATTTATCAAGACAGGGGAATTGCAAAGGAGAAAAGAGTAATTCACACAGAGCCCGCTATGCGGGAGACTGAAGTTTTATTATTACTCAAATCAGTCTCCCTGAAAATCTTATGACCTCCAGAATAATGGCTGGTAATATTTAGAATTCCAGCCCCTCTCATTCTAACTTGGTGGCTGGTGGCCTTCATTCATTTTACAAGAACAGTTTAGCTTTTGGGAAGGGCTATTATTTAAACTATAAACTAAATTCCTTCCCAAGGCTAATTAAGCCTACGCCCAGGAATGGATGACAGGTTAGAGGTTAGGAGCAAGATGGAATTGGTTAGGTCTGATGTCTTTCACTGTCATAATTTATTTAGTTATAATTTTGCAAAGACAGTTACAGCCTCATTCATTTCCTTCACATTAACTACCTTCCATATGTGAACAACTCTTCCAACTGCATGTCTAGCCCATATCTCTGTTGAACTTCAGACTTGAATGTCTGTTTGCCTCTTGTCATCTCCATTTAGGAGTGTGTAGACACCTCAAAATTAACATATTCAAGTGGGAACTCATGATTCTTACCCCTCAAACCAATTCCTCTTCCATCCAACACATCTCAGAAAATGCTACAATTGTCCACCTGACTGCTTAGACAGAAACCTTGTTTCTTTCTTCTCCCTTGTCCCTGACACCTACATGACCAGCCAAATCCTATCAATTCTCTTGCCAAGGTATATTTTGATTAATCTACCACTTTCCATCTCTCTACCTACTTTTTAACACAGGCCACTGTTATGTATTCTTTTATGTGATGGTCAGTCCAGTGTGATCACAAGAGGAGACACAGGAAAAGCTCAGGAAAAAACAATGTTTATTATGCTCACGGGTCCCAAAGACAGGAGGCATAGCACACCATATGGGACCACATGGGACCACATGGGAAAGACACAAGGGTGGTCAGGAGACAGAAGACAGGCAGCAAGGGGAAGACTGAGGCCAGAGCCCTTATTGAGGTTTCCATGGGAAAGACAGTGCAGGGTGAACAGTTTAGGATGGACTAGTTTGAGTAATTTCAGAGGGCTTTAGGCTGTAGGGATGGCCCCTAGTTGTCCCGTACCTGGCCCTGATGGGATGCTTAAGGCCAAGTCATATTGCCTCCTGGGGTGTGCAGGGCAGGTGAAGATCTACAGCTCAGGATTGGTTCATTTGTATATCAAAGGCATGCTTCTAGCTGAGCCCTGGCTATCTCTAAGAACTGGCTAGTCATAGAAGAGGACATTATCTCCTCAGCCAGAGAGGTTTTTGAAGATGTGAAAACATCATAACATATAGCCAAGAAAAAAACATGTATGCAATACAGCCACCCCTTCGTTTTGGCCATCAGAGTAGTCTGCCACCTCATTCTCCACGCTGCTGTCAGCTCTGATCTACCCTCCACACCCCAGCACACAGGCAGGCATCTCTGCATGAAGTTAAATCTGGTTATTCTCTGGCTTCCAAGGTGCTTGTGGCTCCCTTTCCTCCCTCCCATGCCTTTCATCGTCTATTTGCCCTGTCCGCCATCCTGTTGCCAACTAGCACCCCTCCTTGGATCCAGCCATGCTGAGGTGACAGTATTTTTCTTCTTTAATGCTGTCTGTTTAAATACAAGAAGTTTTTTCACCTGTCAGCCTGTTACATATGCTGCTCCCAAAATAGTCTCATTCCTTCTTATGGTGCTTTTCATCCTTTTCCATCCCTCTTTATCCCTTGGGACTCGACTTTACTTTTACCTACACAGTGAGCCTTCCCTGATCACCCACATTAAAGTACTTCCTGGCCTGTTATTCTTCACACAGCACCCCTGCTTTTTTAAGCAGTTTCACGCAGCGATCAGGGAATATCTATGCACCTGCTGTGTACCATTTTTTTTGCTTGCCTGTGAGTGTGATGAGGCTACGCTGGGGGTAGCTGGGAAGTGGATGGGGCCTAGCTTGTAAACCCAGGGTCATTTTCTCCTCTGAGCAAGGGAATGTGTTATCACTATACCAAGGGCATGGAGGTTGGGGATGGGGTGGCTCCTCACAGTCACGAGATAAAAGGTGGGGCGATCAGACTTGGGAGGCAACTGGAGTCCCTGGGAACCATGTACAGCTACTTCCATTGTCTCCTACATCCATGGCAGATAGGGATACCTCCCCTCTGAGCCCCAGTGTGGCCTTAGCACCCTTGCCAATGGAGGCAGCCTCCTCTATTAACCAAATTGGCATGATCTGCCACTGCAGGTCTATGCAATTTAAGGTAGAACAGACTCCTCAGCTCTAGTTAGATCATCCTAAATGTATCCTTTTAGAAAGAATTAGGTGGGCATGTAAATTAGTTCAACCATTGTGGAAGACAGTGTGGCGATTCCTCAGGGATCTAGAACCAGAAATACCAGTTGACTTAGCAATCCTATTACTGGGTATATACCTAAAGGATTATAAATCATTCTATTATAAAGATACATGCACACATGTGTTTATTGCAGCACTATTCACTATAGCAAAGACTTGAAATCAACCCAAATGCCCATCAATGATAGACTGGATAAAGAAAATGTGGCACATATACACCATAGAATACTATGCAGCCATAAAAAAGGATGAGTTCATGTCCTTTGCTGGGACATGGATGAAGCTGGAAACCATCATTCTCAGCAAACTAACACAGGAACAGAAAACCAAACACCGCATGTTCTCACTCGTAAGTGGGAGGTGAACTATGAGAACACCTGGACACAGGGAGGGGAACATCGCACACCGGGGCCTGTCAGGGGATGGGGGGCTAGGGGAGGGATATCATTAGGAGAAATACCTAATGTAGATGATGGGTTGCTGGGTGCACCACCATGGCACGTGTATACCTATGTAACAAACCTGCACGTTCTGCACATGTATCCCAGAACTTAAAGTATAGTAGTAATTTTAAAAAAGAACGGGGTAAAAGCATTTTTTAAAAACTGCCTCTTGAAGTTCATTGATTTAATCTGTTCTCTTTTTTTCTCCCCTCTTCTTTTTTCCTAGGAGAAAATAATGAATGTCAAAGGAAAAGTAATTCTGTCAATGCTGGTTGTCTCAACTGTGATCATTGTGTTTTGGGAATTTATCAACAGGTAATTATGAAACATGATGAAGTGATGTGGATGAAAATACTGCTTTGATTCTATCCTACTAGTATCATCCAAGTTGCCAGGCTGAATTGAAATTAGGATTAACTAAAACCATAAATAAGGGATTCCACCCTTCCTGAATTCCTAAGCCCTGGACTGTCTTTAAAATCATTAGCTCTCCCAAGTGACTTCTGGCTAACTACTTATCTTCCTTCCTGCCTTGTTCCTAATATCATAATTTTTGTAACAGTAGGCTAGATCCAGAGAAAATGAGATCAAATTAGGCCCAATGTAATTTTAAATAACTTGGATAATCAAATATGGAAATTACCTTAAGAAATTTCAGACAGGAATTCCATGAGAAATCCACCCTGAATTTTGAAATCCTGAAATATTTGCAGAGTTTAAAGGAGCAACTTAAGTTGTTGAATTTTGCTGCAAAATACATACTGAATTGCTAGTGATTCATTTGTGCCTGGCTAAAATCTTTGAGAGAGAGAGAGAGTGTGTGTGGGTGTGTGTGTGTGTTTAACTTTGAAAAGCAAAATGAATTAAGCATTTCTAAGTTTTCAAATTCATCTATGGATTCACCCCAAATATATGAGCTACCTCTGTGCCTTTTGAAACTACAATGCCTGGCCATTCCAGCTGGAGAGGCTTCTGACTGAAGTCTTCACAAGCAGCCACAGAAATGCCTGATGCCTTTGACTCAAAAGACTGGAAAAGCTCAGCCTTAAGGTTCAAAAAATCTACTGTACAATTGAGTTGTACAGAGCTATTTTGGTACCATTAATATTTTCATAGCGGAGTGTTTCAGTGGCCCCCAAGTTCAAGATGGTAGCCTGGATTAACATTCGAATATCTCTTTTGATTCTTTTTTTTTTTTTTTTTTGAGACAGAGTCTCTCTCTTGTCACCTAGGCTGGAACACAGTGGCATGATCTCGACTCACTGCAACATCTGCCTTCCAGGTTCAAGCAATTCTCCTGCCTCAGCCTCCTGAGTAGCTGTGATTACAGGCGTGTATTACCACGCCCAGCTAATTTTTGTATTTTTAGTGGAGACAGGGTTTCACCATGTTGGCCAGGCTGGTCTTGAACTCCTGACCTCAAATGATCCACCTGCCTCGGCCTCCCAAAGTGCTGGGATTACAGGCGTGAGCCACCATGCCCGGCCTCTTTTGATTCTTAAATTCTAAGATTTGATGATCTAGGAGGACTGTCTTGGTTACTAAAAATGGAACCGTGCCTTTAGGTGCATCAGTAGCAGAAGAACTCTCCGAATGCTGGAGCCATTAGTCCCTGTGGTGCTGCACAGATGTAACCATTTCTGGAATGTTGCTTTGTTTCATTCTGCACAACTCATTTTAAGAAAAACATGACAAACTAGAGTGTGACCAAGTTAAAAGGGTCTGGAAACTAGGTCTTTTGAATTGAGAAAACTGAGGGGATTTAGTTCAAAGAAGAGATGACTCAGAGTTTTGTGTGGGGACCCTGGAACTCTCTTAGGCAACTGAGGGCTGAGGACGTTTCCCACTCAGACTCTAGAGCTAGGCTGCTCCTTGGGCAAGTTGCTCAGCCACTCTGTTCTTGTTTAGTTTCCCTATCTTTAAAAATTGGGGATAATAGGCTGGGCATGGTGGCTCACACCTGTAATCCCAACACTTTGGGAGGCCAAGGAGGACAGATTGCTTGAACCCAGGAGTTCAAGACCAGCCCTGGCAAAATCGCAAGACCCTGTCTCTACAAAAGTAAAATTAAAAAGTTAGCCAGGCATGGTGGTGCGCACCTGTAGTCTCAGCTACTTACGACGCTGAGGTGGGAGGATCACTTGAGCCTGAGAGGTTGAGGCTGCAGTGAGCTGTGGTCCTGCCACTGCACTCCAGCCTGGGTGACAGAGTAAGGCACTGTCTCAAAAAAAAAGTTGGGGGAGGGATTATAATAGTACCTGCCTCATAGGGTTGTTGGGAGAATTAAATAAGTTATTGTGTATAAAGCACTGGGAAGCAATGCCTAGGGCTTAATAAACAATAAATGCTAGCTGTCATCCTCCTCCTCCTCTTCCTCATCATCATTTTAGTTCAGGCCACTATAACAAAGTACCACAAGGTGGTTTAAGCAACAGGAATTTAATTCTTTCAGTTCTAGAGGCTGGGGAGTCCAAGATCCCCAGTGAGGGCTCTTCCTGGCTGGCAGATGGCCACCTCCTCCCTGTATCCACACGTGATGGAGAGCAAGTAAGCTACTGCCTCTTCCTCTTCTTGTAAGGACACTAATTCCTTCATGGGGGTCCTACTCCCACGACCTCATCTAAACCTAATTACGTCCCAAAAGCCCCACCTCCAAATATCATCGCACTGAGGGCAGGGCCTCCACATACGAATTTTGAAGAGATACAACATTCACTTCGTAACAGTCATCATCATCATGATCTGCTCCAGAGGGCAGAACAAGAAAGATTTTGGTAAATAGAAGAGCTCTAGCAGTTGGAAGAGTCCAACAGAAGAACAAGTACCCTTTGGGGTTCCTGCCTGGAGTCGGAATGTCTGCTTGGATAACCTTCAAGCTCTGAGTTTGAACACTTGATCAGATAACTTTGGTGTTTGGAATTGTAGCCAGAGTTGTATGTGCATAACTGAGCCAAAGGCTGAAACGTGCATGTATATACCAGCCTCTCTGGGCACACTCTCTCTGCATGGTAGCCAGAGCAGGTTCTGGCTGCTCTTCAGGCTAATCGTCTGGCACCTGGACTCTGGCCACAACATCCTCTGATGTGCAGAATCCACTTGAACATCTGCAAAAAACTTCAAGGGGAGGAGTTGTTTTTTGTTTTTTTTTTTTTGTTTGTTTTGTTTTTTTGCCACTTTACGAATTGGCCACATGATAGGTTGAGGTGAGCCGAGGACACAAACCTTACACAGGTAGGCAGCACTAAGCTAAAATGGATTAAAAATAACTAACTCAAGCATGTCAACCAATTAGTAAATAGAAGAATTGTCAGTAAAGCGTATTGAAAGAATATCATCTAGGATAGCATTTGATTTCAGGCTGGATGAAAAAATAATCTTCGAATTTTAGAGAATTAGAGGAAGCCTTCAAAATTATGATGAAATATTCATGATAGTGGTGATCATGATGGGAACTACAAGTTATTGAGGGCATGTGCCAGGACCCTTGCTATGCATTACCTCCGATTCTTTTTGTTTTGTTTTGTTTTGTTTTTGTTTTTGTTTTTGTTTTGAGATGGAGTCTCAGTACTTTGGAAGGCTGATGCAGGCACATCACTTGAGGTCAGGAGTTCGAGATCAGCCTGACCAACGTGGTGAAACCCCGTCTCTACTAAAAATACAAAAATTAGCCAGGCATGGTGGTGTGTGCCTGTAGCCCCAGCTACTCAGGAGGCTTAGGCAGGAGAATTGCTTGAACCCAGGAGGCAGAGGTTGCTGTGAGCCAAGATCGTGCCACTGCACTTTAGCCTGGGCAACAGAGCAAGACTCCATCTCAAAAAAAAAAAAAAAAAAAACCTCAAGGAGGCAAAAATTATGTTTGGCTTGGAGGAGGATCCATTGTTCTGCATCCATTCACAAATATTTATTGAGTATCCACTATGTACCAGGCACTGTGCTAGGATCATATCAAGCAAGGCATTGAAAAGGTGGCATTTGAGTGGAGGCTTAAAGCATGAATACATGTTTAAAAGCCACTGCAATGTGGATATTGCTGTGACCATTGTGCTGTTGAAGGATTCTGGAGAGGAGGGTAAGGAGAAGGGTTGTTGAGGAGATATGAAAAGTTGGTGAACCTGAATCTATAAATCCATGGCCTGAGTGCCAGGTAGGGTTATGCGTGCTAGGCTGCAGCACTTGTAGGGGCTTAAGAGTCTCACTGCCTTCATTAGTTAAAGAAATGCTTTTGGGGGCTGTTCTATAGAAGGCTCTGAGTTGGCCATGGCATTAGGCTCTGCAGTTGATGCTTTTTTTTTCTGGAGGAAGATAAATCCTGGGGGAAGGATGTCTGGGCCACGGCATTTCCGTCCTTTCAGGGCCTTCGTCATCACCAGGCACCTGAGTAGGTGGCAGGAGAGGACCCATCTCTGCAATGGAGAGCTGTCTTCTTTTTAAAAGAGCAAACAAACAAACAAAAACAAAACAGAATTTGAGGCCAGGAGTGATGACTCACACCTGTAATCCCAGCACTTTGGGAGGCCAACGGGGGTGGATCTCTTGACTCAGGAGTTTGAGACCAGCCTGGGCAACGTGACAAAACCCCGTCTCTACAATACACACACACAAACACACAATTTGAGATTTTGCAGAAAACTGTTTCCCCTTGAGATCCTGAAGTGGAAATTTCCATCCTCCTGATGTCATTGGTTATGTCTCAAAGGAAGGTAGAAACCAGGAAGCAGCTAAAACCCAGGCTCTTAGCTCAGCCCCGGGCTCAGTGATAATGGTTACAAAATCGCCTTTCTCAGAATTAAAAGTAACATGATATGTTTTTATTTCTTTTTTGCTTTTAGCACAGAAGGCTCTTTCTTGTGGATATATCACTCAAAGTAAGTGCTTTGAATTCTAGATTTCTAGGGGATGTTTCCCACAGCCACTCTGGCACCCCCTACAGTCCATTCTTCACACGGCAGCCAGCCATGGTGTTCGGCCAAAGTCGGAGGGGTGGGTGGGTGGATTCCTGGGGATCTGGAATGTTATTTCTGCAGCTTCCGTAGACTTATCTGTATAGAACCATGGCTTGTATCTTGCCCTCAGTTCTCCTCAAAGTTCTCTTAAGCAGTGTCATTTGGGGAACATTCCTGTCTTGCTGATAAAAAGTATCCGGGGAGATATTGTCTATTATTCTGCCCTTTAAATGTTATATAAAGACCCATATAAGAAATTGCTCTAAGAATAAAAATCAGGAAAAAAATTTGAGCCTCTTGAGAAACTAGTGTGTATCATTAAAATTTTCTTTTTGTATTTTTTGAAAAGAAAATGAGAGCCATGTAAACCTTTATATTTCCAATGGTTGGGTTGGTTGTCAGAAAGCTCAGAACAAAGTATTGCACTTAACTGCTTGTACTTACCCCAGCCTTCATTTCTGATATACTTTATCCCCTGGTGTGAAATCCCGGCTTTTGTGCCCACATGTCATGTGCCCTTGGAAATTTGCTGAAATCCACCCAGCCAGTATCTCAGCTCTGAAATGAAAGTAAAGGTGAAACTTTTCTTTGGGATGACTGAGGTCATGTGAAAATATATACCTGGGTGACGAAATCAATGTATCTCTTTCTGTTCTCTCTTGTGTTTTTTATTCTTGTGTTGTTTTTCTGTTTATTGTACCTACGTATTGGAAGCCATCTCAAACACTTCCAAGAGTTAATAGGCTTTAAAACAGATTTCATAATATTATGCCTGTTCATGAGTTAGCTCACCACCGTATTTGTCCATCGGACTTTCCTCTTTCCCCATCCTCCAGAAGGCACCCACCTTTTCTTTTCTTTCTTTTCTTTTTATTTTTTTTTAATTTTCTGAGACGGAGTCTTGCTCTGTTGCCCAGGCTGGAGTGCAGTGGTGCCATCTTGGCTCACGGCAACCTCCTTCTCCTGGGTTCAAGCAATCCTCCCGCCTCAGCCTCTTGAGTAGCTGGGATTATAGGCACCTGCCACCACGCCCGGCTAATTTTTTGTGTTTTTGGTAGAGATGGGGTTTCACTGTGTTGGCCAGGCTGGTCTTGAACGCCTGACCTCAGGTGACCAGCTGGCCTTTGCCTCCCAAAGTATTGGGATTACAGGCGTGAGCCACCGTGCCCGACCCCCCACCTTGAAGAGACTTTCACAATGAATGAGTGTGGAAACTTTCTCAAATGGGTGGCTACAGTGGCTTCTAAGTAGTTTCCTGAACTTCTTGCTCAGTGACCCTCAGATTTCCTGAGGCTGTTACTGCTAACCTTTGGGCAACCCAAATTTTTCTCTAGACTTTTACAACAATCTGAATTCTGCTGGTTTTAGCTAAAGAAACATGGAAACATGCATCGGTTTTTCATGAAGCGTATAACTTGTTACAGTCATTTTCAACTCATAAAGCTCTTATATGTATGCTATTTCATTCAGTCTTCAAAATTACCTTCATGGTAGGTCTGTTATTAGTACTATTAACTATACTTTTTGGAGGAGAAAGTCAAAATTCAGAGAGGGAAAATGTCCTATCACAGTCACACAGCTAGTAAGTGGCAGATCTAGAACTCAGGTTTATGCATTAATACCACCCCCACTCCAGCCCCCTTTTCCCTTCTCTTCCTCTAGGGCCCCCAGGATGAGCTGAGGGCTGGGGGCTACCCAAGGGAGGAGAGATTGAGGGAGTCTCAGGTCTGTTCTCTCTCATTCAGCTAGAGTGTCTCATTTCTGTCTGTTTTATAAATTGGCATTTTAAGGTTTTTTATTTTTTTAAAGTAATCTCGGCTATAGAAAGAATTTGGAAACCCTAAGTTTGGGGACACCACATTTTCTAAAAATATTTGTAAACTTTTTCATTTCTTAGAAACCCAGAAGTTGATGACAGCAGTGCTCAGAAGGGCTGGTGGTTTCTGAGCTGGTTTAACAATGGGTAAGGCGATCAGACAGCAGTCGGTGTTTGCCCACCCGCCTGGTGCTTGCAGAGGGTCCACACACAATGGTTTCATGTTCATGACCTTCTCAGTCACTCATCTTTCTTGCTTATTGAAATTATATGAAGAATATTTTGTGAGTGGGACTAGGACATTTGAGGGTTGGTTTTGTTTTTGAGACAGGGTCTCACTGTCACTCAGGCTGGAGTGCAGTGGTGCAAACATAGCTCACTGCAGCTTCAAACTCTTGGGCTCAAGTGATCCTCCTGCCTCAGCCTCACGAGTAGCTAGACTACAGACATGCACTACCACATCCAGATAAATAAGTCTTTTGTTTTGTTTTGTTTCAGTTAACTTGGGGGCTGAGGCTTGGGCTGAAGTTTATTTATTTATTTTTATTTTTTTGAGATGCAGTTTTGCTCTTATTGCCCAGGCTGGAGTGCAGTGGCGTGGTCTCGGCTCACTACAACCTCCACCTCCTTGGTTCAAGTGATCCTCCTGCCTCAGCCTCCCAAGTAGCTGGGATTACAGGCGCCCGCCACCACACTCGGCTAATTTTTGTATTTTTAGTAGAGACAGGGTTTCACCACGTTGGCCAGGCTGGTCTCTAACTCCTGACAGGTGATCTGCCCACCTTGGCCTCCCAAATTGCTGAGATTATAGGCGTGATCCACCATGCCTGGCCTGGGCTAAAGTTTAGATTGCAGGAAAGACAATCATAAACTAAAATGTTCTTAGAAGAATTGTCTTATCAAGTTTCCCTCACCCCCCCTGAAATAACCTGAGGGTTGCTGGGTCATTAAATTGTTAACTGTGGTGACTTGGAAGGGTAATGAGTTGAGTACTGCATCTTTTCATCAAAAATATGTCTTTATGAATAAACGCTTAGTGCCTAGAGCCTTTTTCTGGTCAGTTCACTTAGTGCATGCATAATCTGCCTTGGAACACATTTCCACAAGATATTCACCAGTTCTCTGACCACCGCAATCACCTTCCCTGCCTTACCTGGTTTACTTTCCCTTTGTACTTAGGATCCACAATTATCAACAAGGGGAAGAAGACATAGACAAAGAAAAAGGAAGAGAGGAGACCAAAGGAAGGAAAATGACACAACAGAGCTTCGGCTATGGGACTGGTTTAATCCAAAGTAAGAAAAGCGGCGTCACTCCCTGTGCAGCAAATCCATGGCCCTGCAGGGGGTGGTGTGGCAGTGGAGGCAACAGTGCCATTGAGAACATTCCTGATTTAGGAGAAAGAGCCTTAGCATATTAGACCTTTAACAGTAGACATATGTATATGTGCATCTATTTGATTGTGATGTAAAGTATATTTCTCACTGTGAGTTATGGTCAAAAACACTGTGCTAGGCATTGTGTTAGGGAGAGGAGACAGGAGAAATCAATCAACATGGTTGTATTTGAGAAGTTCATGGTCTCACAGGGGTCGTTACTGTGAAACTATTATTTGCCTAGATTGGTAGGAGGCAGGATCAACTGGAAGGATGTGGTTCTGGGAGTGAGGAGATGGGAGCTGTCCAGGGTGACTTTGAGACCTGAGAGACTGGTGGGTGATGGTGCCATTGGCCAGAAAGGGGACTGGAGGAGGAGACACAGGCCTCAGAGCTGGGGGAGGTGGGGACCTCCATTAGGAATGCATGTGGATGCAGGTGCTTATGGGACATCTGGACAGAGTCACAGGGTGCTCCTGAGCTTAGCAGATGGTATGTGCTGGAGATGTGCAATGAGGTATCATCAGAGTAATCAGGAGAGAATGGAATCCTTTTTTTTCATTTGATTTTTAATTTTTATTCATTTTGAGACAGGATCTTGCTCTGTCACCCAGGCTGGAGCGCAGTGGTGCAATCGTGGCTCACTGCAGCCTTGACCTCCCAGGCTTAGCCTCCTGAGTAAGGAGGCTTGGTGTGCGCCACCACGGCCAGCTAATTTTTAATTCTTTTGTAGAGACAGGGTCTTACTATGTTGTCCAGGTTGCTCTTGAACTCCTGGGCTTAAGTGATCCTCCCACCTTGGCCTCCCAAAGTGCTGGGATTACAGGTGTGAGCCACCATGCCCAGCCTGAAAATAGCATCTATCCCATTGTGAAGGAGCTTGGGCTCTGGAAAGACTGAATATGTTCTGGCAACTTCTCTTATTGTTTGGGGATAAGGGATCCATGCCAGTGTGAAGGGATGGGAATTTTGGCTTCCCATATGTCATTTGATGATCTGCACAACAGGGTAGGCATCTCTGAAATGCTAAACCACTCATAGAAATGTGAGAAGATGGAAGCATTGTTGCTTTGATAAAGCCCCTTAGATGGGGCAATGAGACTCCGCCAGGGACAGGCTAGATGGGCCAGAGATGGTCCCCAAAGTCCCTTCTAAGGAGAATGGGGCAATTTTACTGTGGTACTTGTTCTTTGCTGAGCAGGACTTGGGAGGTGGGGCTGGGGCTGAATGACTGGGGGCAGAGAGGAGGGACAGACCATAGTCACCAGCTTTCACCCTCTTCACTCTTCCCCTTGCATGGCTTCATCTCCAAATGAGTAGGGAGCAGATATTTATTTTTAATTTATCTTATCTTATCCTTTATTTATTTATTTATTTATTTATTTATTTATTTATTTGAGACAGGGTCTCATTCTGCCACCAGGCTGGAGGGCAGTGGCACAATCATGGCTCACTGTAGCCTCCACCTCCCAGGCTCAAGTGATCCTCCCGCCTCAGCCTCCCAAGCAGCTGGGACTACAGGCATGCGCCACCACGCCTGGCTAATTTTTGTATTTTTTGTAGAAACGGGGTCTTGCCATGTTGCCCAGGCTGGTCTTGAACTCCTGGTTTCAAGTGATCCCCTGCCTCGGCCTCCCAAAGTGCTAGGATTACAGGCATGAGCCACTGCTTCTGGACACAAGCAGATTATTTAAAGAATGTTGGTTTGAAGTGGCACCAAATTTAAGTCTTCTCAGGGCATCTAAGTCTATTTCTTGCATAAATGAATGATTGGATGAAGGAATGGATGAGCAAATAAACATACTTTGTATAAATGTATCCTTTTTGGCTCACGCCTGTAATCCTAGCACTTTGGGAGGCCGAGACAGGTGGATTGCCTGAGCTCAGGAGTTCAAGAACAGCCTGGGCAACATGGTGAAACCCCGTCTCTACTGCAAAACAAAAAATCAGCTGGGAGTGGTTGTGGGTGCCTGTAATCTCAGCTACTCAGGAGGCTGAGGTATGAGAATTGCTTGAACCCAGGAGGCAGAGGTTGCAGTGAGCCAAGATCATGCCACTGCACTCCAGCCTGGGCAACAAAGCGAAACTCTGTCTCAAAAAAAAAAAAAAAAGTATCCTTTTCTGTAAACTACCTAAAACCACAGTATATTGTGCATATTTCCATATCAAGGTCGCTTTGCTTCCATGACACCACATCCTCATTTGTGACCGTCTCCCGAGAGGGGCAGCTCCCTCTTCCCAGCTGTCAGGGATTAGAGTTTATGGGAGCTAAGTCCAGCAACCTCTTCTCTGTTCTTTATATACTGTTTTTTTTTTTTTTTTAAGATGGATTCTCGCTTTGTTGCCCAGGCTGGAGTGCAGTGGCGCAATCTCGGCTCACTGCAAGCTCTGCCTCCCGGGTTCATGCCATTCTCCTGCCTCAGCCTCCCGAGTAGCTGGGACTACAGGCGCCCGCCACTGCACCCGGCTAATTTTTTTGTATTTTTATTAGAGACGGGGTTTCATCGTGTTAGCCAGGGTGGTCTCAATCTCCTGACCTGGTGATCCACCTGCCTCAGCCTCCCAAAGTGCTGGGATTACGGGCGTGAGCCACCACGCCCGGCTTATACACCATTTTCCAATGTGCTCTCATCCATTTTCATGGCATTAGGTACCATTAGTGAGATTAGATACCATCCTACATTTAAATCTTTAGCCCAGATTTTGCCTTTGAGCTGTGACTTGTGTCTACCTGTCTGCCTGACATCTCTGCATGTCTCACATGGCCAGAATGGATTTCTCAATTCCACCCCACCCTTGTTCTCCTCATTTCCCATCCCAGTAAATGGCTCAAGACACACAGTCTGGGAGACCTTTTCCTCTGTCTACCTCATGGTCTAATGCATTAGCATGTTCTGTCAATTCCTCCTCCGAAATCCTTTCTACTTCATCCCCTTCTCTCCACTCGACAGCCGCTATGCCATCCCTGTTCATGTTGCCATCAGCTTTTCTCTGTGTCCTTGTTTAGCCAACCTACTCCTGCTTAGAGGGAATTCAGTCAATAATGAGTTGTGTTGGACGCAGTGGCTCATGCCTGTAATTCCAGCACTTTGGGAGGCTGAGGCAGGAGGATTGCTTGTGTCCAGAAGTTCAAGACTAGCCTGGGCAACTTAGTGAAACCCTGTCTCTTCAAAAAAATAAAAAATTAGCTAGATGCAGTGGCGCATGTCTGTAGTCCCAGCTACTCAGGAGGCTAAGGTGGGAGGATCACCTATATTCCACATCTTTTTTTAACCTACTCCATGATTCATAGAATTTTAATGCTTCCGGCTGGGCATGGTAGCTCACGCCTGTAATCCCAGCACTTTGGGAGGCCAAGGTGGGTGGATCACCTGAGGTCGGGAGTTCGAGACCAGCCTGACCAACGTGCCAAACCCAGTCTTTACTAAAAATACAAAATTAGCCAGGTGTGGTGACCCATGCCTGTAATCCCAGCTACTCAGGAGGCTGAGGCAGGAGAATCACTTGAACCCAGGAGGCAGAGGTTGCAGTAAGCCAAGATCTCACCATTGCACTCCAGCTGGGCAACAAGAGCCAAACTCCGTCTGAAAAAAAAAAAGAATTTTAACTCTTCTTCTACCCACCCCTTGGGTACCAAAATGTGCCATAAATAAATATATAAAATTTAAAAGCTGCCAATAACCTAGGAAGGTGTGTGCTTTGGTTAGGGGGCCCTTTTATTTTGGGGGAAGCTTTTGTGGAACTTCTCACACTGGCATCACACCATTGCATGTCCTACGTGGAAGGAAAGCATCTGAGCAGCTCTTTCCTGGCACTTTTTCCTTTCTTTTTAGTGCCCCATCTTTGTGATCTTGGACTTCTCTGGCAGTTGACATTATCAAAGACTAGCTTTTCACATGTGTGAGCTGCCCTCCGTCACTTCTTTTTTGGGGGGTTTTGTGGGTTTTGATGACTAAGACTCCTTGATGCAGCGGTTCATCCAGGAAGCTGATCTTGATCTCATTCTCCCTCCGCCCCCATCTCCCCAGCTGCCTGCATTTTCAGGCTGTTGTGTGGCTTTGTAGTCAGGGTCACTGACCTGTTGGAATTGTCAGTGGAATCAAATAATTAACAGCTGGGAAATAGAATATTTTAATTTTTAATTCAACATAAATTTTTAATGTTGCTGTTTTTTCTTCCAGCTTGAAGGAATCCGAATAACTAAACTGGACTCTGGTTTTCTGACTCAGTCCTTCTAGAAGACCTGGACTGAGAGATCATGCGGTTAAGGAGTGTGTAACAGGCGGACCACCTGTTGGGACTGCGAGATTCTCAAGGGGAAGGACTGGGTCTCATTTCTCCCATCTCAGCGCTTAGCAGGATGACCTGGTATAGAGCAGGGAACTGGGAAATGTGGGTCAGGGGATCAGACACTCCAGTTGGGTCTTTTATATAAATTAAATGGCAAAAGGCTCCATACCCTTCTCCTTCTTTCCTACCCTCCACTTTATCTGCAAAATGGGAATGATGATAACACCCACTTCATAGAATGGTCATGAAGATCAAATGAGAGAATAAAAGTCAAGCACTTAGCCTCTGGTGCACAATAAGTATTAAATAAGTATACCTATTCCTCCTTTTCCTTTTTTAAAAATAATATTACCAAATGTCCAGCTTATACACATTTACAAGACTTAGCTAGTGGGCTATGTTAGAGCTACTAAAAGATCTTTGACAAGCTAAAACTAAGATGCAATGAATGAGGTGTAACGAACAAGAGAGTTTTAAGTTCAGAAATGGTTACAGAAGTATAAGACAGCTGTGTGGGTGTTTTTTGGTTTTTGGTTTCTGGTTTACAATCTCGTCATTCAACAAAGATGGGAGTTTTATAGAACTAAAAGCACCATGTAAGCTACTAAAAACAACAACAAAAAAGGCTCATCATTTCTCAGTCTGAATTGACAAAAATGCCAATGCAAATAAAAATGATTACTTTTTATTTTATATTGTTTGTTTATTTATTTATTTCGAGATGGAGTTTCACTCTTGTTGCCCTGGCTGGAGTGCAGTGGCGCGATCTTGGCTCACTGCAACCTCCGCCTCCTGGGTTCAAGCAATTCTCCTGCCTCAGCCTCCCAAGTAGCTGGGATTACAGGTGTGCACCACCACGCCTGGCTAATTTTGTATTTTTTTAGTAGAGACAGGGTTTCACCATGTTGGCTAGGCTGGTCTTGAACTCCTGATCTCAAATGATCCACCCGCCTTGGCCTCCTAAAATGCTGGGATTGCAGGCATGAGCCACCGCGCCCGGCTTATTTTTTAAGTGGAAATAGGGTTACCTTTAGATCTGGACAAACCTGGGTTTTAACCCCAACTTCATCAGCAGAGGAATGAAAAGGCATATAAGAAATAGTGTACGTGGTAGCTCAGCTCAGAGCATGGACTCCAGAGTCAGCAGATCTTGTTTAAATCCCAGCTTTAACCCCTACCAGCTGTGCAACCTCAGGCAAGTTGTTTGACTTATCTGTGCTAGTTTCTTCATTGATAAAATGGGAATCAAAATAGCACCTACCTCAGAAGGGTGAGTGAGCCCTTTGCACAGTGCGTGGTCCCAAAGGAATTGCTCAGTGTGTGTTAGCTTGCATCATTAGTGACCAGGTGTTTGGCCTTGGACAAGATAATAAGCTGCTCTGAGACTTGGTTTTCTTACCTGGACCATGGACATGATACATTGCAGGGCTGTTGCAGAGACTAAATGAGAAAGTGTACGTGGTGGGTGCCTGGCACAGGTTGGTGCAGAGTGCACAGTAGCTTCTTTCATGATTGAAGGAAACCAAGGGCAACTGTGTCCTCCATGCAGCAGGCGTACCTGGGGTGCTGAGGGCAGAGCTAAGTCTTAGAGTTTGAGACTCCAGACAAGATGTGGTGAACCAGGAGAGCACCCTGAAAGTGTTTCCCCTGTCTGCCATCTGGACAAACCTGGAGCAATTTCAGCATTGGGGGTGAAATGTAGGAAGCAGGCCAGTTCCAGCTGTGGTGGAATCTGGGAAGCAGACCAGATGTCATGCCTGCGGCTGGGGTGGGAGGGCAGAGTCAGCTCAAGAACTACAGGGTGCAGCGTTTGGGGACAAGGGACAGGAGGCCCGAGAGGAGAGTCTACTGAGGCCCCTTTTCCACTCTGAGGCTGGGATGAGGCAGGGGATGACCCAGCTGTACTATCAGCCTCGCTGTGGGAAAAACCCAACTTTGCTGATGGGTAGGGCGATTCTGTGAAAACCCAGGCCTCCACTGGCCGTGCTGGCCCGACGTATTTGCTAACGTCTCCTTGACAGCCTCACCAGGACCACGGCAGTGCAGCCAGTAGGGATCACCAGGACTTTGCCCCAATCACTTGCCTTCCTGGGGTTGAACTAAGATGCTGCCCACAGTGAATCCAGTAAAGTACAAGCAAATGCCAAGCAGGGTGCCAGGCCCATACTGGGGTTTGAATCTAAATGACCTGTGCCAGTCTCTGCTTCCCAACGGGGAAAATGCAGCCACCTCCTGAGCCAATAGGGAGTCAGAGCCTCCCCCTGCCTGGAGCTTCACCCTCATGCTGGGGCCCCTGCGGCTCTGTGCTTTCTGCATTTACCCTTCAGGACTTCAGGGTTTTGTGCTTTGTTATAGCTTCCTGTTTTGCTTTGGCCTTGCCAAGTCCCATTCCAGCTCTCTGAGCACAGCACAGAGCCCTCCCTCTCACCCCTTTTGTGTTCCTAGTAAAGATGCTCCTGGTCTAAGGAGAAGGTCCTTGCCAGAGCCCTAGGCTCCAGTCTTGGCCTTGCTGGGCCTCCATCAAATGCCTTCCTTTCTGGCGCCTTTGTCTCCTGGTTTGTAAAGTAAGCAGTAACATCAGAATCCCTTTAATCTGGGGCCCTTTTTGTCCAATGACCAGGTTCCCACCCAGATATCTCTTCTAGCAAAAGGCAAATGGAAACAGCTTTTTCTCTTTCTAATCTAATGTCACTCTCTCATCCGCCTTTATCAAGGCTTAGGATCTCCTTAGGCTCAGATGACATCCACAGGGATAAATAACACCCAAAGGTGCTACTAGTAGCTTAGGAAGGGGCTGGGAAAGTAGGGAAAGGGATTTAGAAGTAGGAAGAGAAAAAATAAAGTAGAAGAGGTAAGAAGGTATGAGATGTAGAGATAAGAGCCTCATAAGGGCCCCCCAAAATAGCCCTGAGAGGGCTAGGCCCAGTGGCTCACGCCTGTAATCCTGGCACTTTGGTAGGCTGAAGCTGGCGGATCACCTGAGGTCAGGAGTTCAAGAGCAGCCTGGCCAACATGGTGAAACCCCATCTCTACTAAAATTACAAAAATTAGCCAGGAGTGGTGGGGCACGCTTATAATCCCAGCTACTTGAGAGGCTGAGGCAGGAGGATCACTTGAACCTGGGAGGCAGAGACTACAGTGAGCCAAGATCCTGCCACTGCACTCCAGCCTGGGTGACAGAGCGAGATCTGTCTTAAAAAAAAATAAAAAATAAAAATAAAAAAAAAAGATAGCCCTCAGAGGCACCTGAGCCAAAGCCTCATCTTCCTTACCCAGAAGATGCTACCCCTGCAAATGGCATACCTCCCAGCCAAGTGTTTGGCGTTAAGCTACAGTCAGGATTCAAGGACAGTCCCTGCAGATCATAGCTGACCCCCCTTATCCTTGGACAGTCTCTGCCCCACAATGGCAAAGCTGCCCTGACTCAGGGAACTCTACGTTTTATCACCAGGAAACACCCAGAGGTTGTGACAGTGACCAGATGGAAGGCGCCGGTTGTGTGGGAAGGCACTTTCAACAAAGCCATCCTAGGAAATTATTATGCCAAACAGAAAATTACCGTGCGGTTGATGGTTTTTGCTATTGGAAGGTAGATGTCACTGATAAAACTGTCCTTGACTGTCTCTTGTTCCACTGTCAAAACATTTGTGTGGAGACTCCTGAACTGATGGAAGCCAGTCATGATTTTTTGATTTATTAGATAGGAGAATGTTTTCATGGAACTGGTTCAGTCTCCTTTCTGCTGAGGCCCTAAAATGCTGAGAACAAAATAATAGTAGGTAAGTCCACTCATTCCTACCTCAAAATGAGGGACTTGGGTTGCAGGAAAACATGTCTGTTCCACCCACCAAGCCCAGGGTCAACAGCATACCCACAACCACCTCCTCCCTGACCACCATGGCTTCCTTTAGAAATTCCACAAGTGCTAGCTGCTAGACAGCCCAGAGTGCATCATTCTTTTTCCTATGCTCTACGGCCCAGGACCAACTACAGAGAGATTTATAGCAAGTTCTAGGTGCTGAGTGACCTAAGCACAGTGGCTTTCCACGCTGGAACACAGCTGACCACTCTTCCATGGGTTCCTCAGATCACTTCTACTTTTTCTCTCATGGAGGATTTGGCCCTAGAAGATTTGCTGGTCAGAGCTTGCTCTTCCAAAGGTTGGATAGGTTCCAGTTTCAACTCCCTTGTTCAGAACATATGACGCAGAAAAACTACGATCATTCTTACTTGAAAGTTCTAGCTCTAGGCCAGGTGCGGTGGCTCACATCTGTAATCCCAGCACTTTGGGAGGCCGAGGTGGGTGGATCACGAGGTCAGGAGATCGAGACCATCCTAGCTAACACGGTGAAACCCCGTCTCTATGAAAAATACAAAAAATTAGCTGGGCGTGGTGGCACATGCCTGTAGTCTCAGCTACTTGGGAGGCTGAGGCAGGAGAATCTCTTGAACCTGGGAGGCGGAGGTTGCAGTGAGCTGAGATCACGCCCCTGGGTGACAGAGCAGACTCTGTCTCAAAACAAAAAGAAGAAAAGAAAAGAAAGAAAGTTCTAGCTCTAATGTTAGTTATTAAAGATAATCCATTTTGCTTTTTTTGGAGAATTTTCCTTTTTTTTTCAAAATAAAACTAAAAGTCCAATTTTCCTATTTTTTTTTCTGCCCTCTGGGCCTTTCCCTCTATATCTCTTCTGAAGAAGCTTCATGGAAAGTCGATTCCTTTGCCTTGTATAAAGAGACTTGAAGGCTCAGGTTGATCTGAGCTTTGCCAAGGTGGGGCTTAAAAGAGAGCTCTGTAAAGATCTGATAGTTCTCCAAAGATAACCTTCCCCAACCCAGAGCCCAGCAGCTATTACTGTTCCGTCATTAACAATACCAATCAAGTTCTAATGTCACTGAATGTGCTGATCCTAGGGACCTATGTGGTCTCTCTAACAGAGAAAGGTGACTGTGGAGTTTTGACATGTTTACCAGAAGAATCTCTACTCATATAGGTTGGGAGCCACCTAATTAGATTAGGTGAACCACCCAGCTCACCTAATCCTTTGGCACAAAAGGGGATAACCCAGCCACGTTGCAGATTGATTTGATCCTGGTGTTTCCAAAAAGAACAAAACGTTGCCCAATGCCCCACAATGGCTTCAGCCATCCAGTTCCAACTCTGCACAACTAAACTGTAAATTGCACATCCTGGTGAAAGCATTCTGCCCTCAGCTCTGAGACAAGGGAGGACTGTTTGTACTCAGCAGCAATAAATCTTTACAAGTGGATTTGGACTTTTAGGAGGTGTAATGTTTGGTTTGTTTTCAAGCAACAATGCATGGAGCCAACTGCAGTGCTTTAATCTCTAAACAATGTGAAACCTCAAAATGAATCTCTCCTGTACTAAACCACCCCCCCGCCACCCCACCCCAGTATTGTTTCCCAAGCTTCAGGGCACAATAGATTTTTCTCGAAGTCCCAGAATACTGAAGGATTTCCTGGCCACTAGCCACAGAGCCACACTGAAGTCCCTTTTTATATTCCTCAGATATATTCTCTTCATTTAAAGAATCAATACTATAAACCCTTGGATTACCACATGCCAACATTAAAAGCACACTTTATTTTGGTAACAAATAAAGGGAATCCAAGCAGCAACAAAAAGCGAAAAGAAGTGCCATTCACTTTACTCACAAAACACCATGATTGGCCAGTAGTGTGATCAGCACATTAAATTCAGTCCACGTGTGTTTAGGGTTTGGTCAAGTTGTATTAAGCCAACTGGCTTATTCTTCCTCTTCCTGGTAATCTCCATAGCATAGCTTCACAAATAGTCTATAGCTTAGGCTTACAGAAGACACCAATAAAATGTTTTTCTTTTCTTCTTCTTCTTCTTTTTTTTTTTTTTTTTTTTGAGATGGAGTCTTGCTCTGTCACCCAGGCTGGAGTGCAGTGGCACCATCTCAGCTCACTGCAACTTCTGCCTCCCAGGTTCCGGCAATTCTCCTGCCTTAGCCTCCCAAGCAGCTGGGACTACAAGTGTAAGCCACCACACCCAGCTAATTTTTGTATTTTTAGTAGAGATGGGGTTTCATCATATTGGCCAGGCTGGTCTCAAACTCCTGACCTTGTGATCCACCCGCCTCGGCCTCCCAAAGTGCTGGGATTACAGGCGTGAGCCACCGTGCCCGGCAATGGGAGATGGCGTGCAATGCTTTTCAAATGAATAGATGAATAGTTAAAATACCACTAAATACCTACTAGAATGGCCAAAATTCAAAACACTGACAACACCAAATGCTGACAAGGATGTGGAGCAACAGGAACACTTATTCATTGCTGGTAGGAATGCAAAATGGTACAGCCACTTTGGAAGACAATTTGGCAGTTTCTTACAAAACTAAATATATTCTTACCACACGATCCAGCAATCGTACTCCTTGGTATTCACCCAAATGAGTTAAAAACTTATGTCTACAAAAAAACCTGCACATGGATATTTACAGAAGCTTTATTTCATAATTGCCAAAACTTGAGAGCAACCACAATGTCCTTTGGTAGGTGAATAGAAAAATGAACTAAGTCACATTCAGACAATGGACTATTATTCCATGCTAAAAATAAATGAGCTATCAAGTCATGAAAAGATATGTTACTAAGTAAAAGAAGCCACACTGAAAAGGCTACATGCTGTGTGCTTATATGACATTCTGGAAAAGGTAAAACTATGGAGACAGTAAAAAGGTCAGTGATTGTTCAGGGTTGTTCAGGGAGGCAGGGATTAATGAGCAAAGCTCAGAGAATTTTTAGGGCAGTGATGCTATTTTGTATGATACTATAATGGTGGATACATGTCATTATACTTTTGTTAAACCCTTAGAATGTACCACACCAAGAGTGAACCCTAATGTAAACTATGGATGTTGGGTGATAGTGATATGTCAGTGTAGCTTCATCGATTGTAACAAATGTATCACTCTGGTGCAGGGATGTTGATAGTGGAGGGGTGGGGCTGTGCAAATGTGGGAGCAGGAGGTATATGAGAACTCTGTACTTTTGGCGCAATTTTTCTGTGAACATAAAACTTCTCTAAAAAAATAGTCCTTATTTTTCCTTTTTTAAATTTCTTTTAATTTTTTTATCTTCTCTTTTCATCTACATTTACTCAGCCACCGAATGTGGCTTACTGCTAACATAGTCCTTTTTTTAAGATAAAGTAGTTAAAATAAGGTTAAATCAGAAGTTGCTCATTCTAGTATTCGGATGGACTAGTATTTTGGATGATGGTGTGTGGACAATGGATTGGTGTTTTAAGTGACTAGTGGGAGGCTCATAGGATGACTATGTAACATGAAGGCAGATCTAGATCTCATAACTCATTCTCTGTATCACAGAGGACAAGAGAGTGCTGCTGTTTGGGCTTAATGCATCCCCAGTGGATCCAAGGGTCACATCACCCTTGTATCTGGTCTGGCAGTAGCAACATTGGGGTTTATGTTAGGGCTTTTGAATGGAGATCAAGAACTAGTACCCCCTTTGACTGTCCAAAATCTGAACCAATTGGTAAATTGGACAAAGGGGTAAGGAAGGCAGAGGGTGGTAAATATTACTTTCATTATAGTTAAAGCTGATATTGGAGAATGTGGCTTATATCTGCAAACCCTGGGCCTCCTAAATATGTAACCCCCAGAGTTAGAAAGACTTAAGCATCCAGGCACCTACAGGCCTCTGGATGTGAGAATAGATCCTGTACTAAGCTTCCTGTAAAACCCAGAGCAGTTGAGAACACATGCTCTCTTGGACTGGCTGGCTCCTAAGAGCCAGAGGAGAGGAAGGATAGGGTAGTGCATGTCTAGTTCTAGTTGCTCTTCCAAAATTGGCAGTGAGATAAGTCATTCCAGCTCCCCACGGACTGAGTGACTGAATGGTGGAGAGTAGCCGGGGTATTACACTAACATGAAAACACACCTGGGGTAGGAGAAATCATTCTCCTACTAACCATAAAATATAGACAAGATGATTTTACATCACGTGGTTTCTTTCAGGAATCCCAGCATGTGGTTTCTTTCAGGAAACCCACATGTGGGTTTTTTCAGCTTGTGGTTTCTTTCAGGAATCCCAGAGGATAAATGTTTTGCTTTTCTTCTTTGTTTCAGATATAATGATCATTACTTGGAGGAGTTCATAACATCTGCTAATAGGTACTTCATGGTTGGCCACAAAGTCATATTTTACATCATGGTGGATGATGTCTCCAAGCTGCCGTTTATAGAGCTGGGTCCTCTGCATTCCTTCAAAATGTTTGAGGTCAAGCCAGAGAAGAGGTGGCAAGACATCAGCATGATGCGTATGAAGATCACTGGGGAGCACATCTTGGCCCACATCCAACACGAGGTCGACTTCCTCTTCTGCATGGATGTGGACCAGGTCTTCCAAGACCATTTTGGGGTGGAGACCCTAGGCCAGTCAGTGGCTCAGCTACAGGCTGGCGGTACAAGGCAGATCCCTATGACTTTACCTAGGAGAGGTGGAAAGAGTCAGCAGGATACATTCCATTTGGCCAGGGGATTTTTATTACCATGCAGCCATTTCTGGAGGAACACCCATTCAGGTTCTCAACATCACCCAGGAGTGCTTTAAGGGAATCCTCCTGGACAAGAAAAATGACATAGAAGCCAAGTGGCATGATGAAAGCCACCTAAACAAGTATTTCCTTCTCAATAAACCCTCTAAAATCTTATCCCTAAAATACTGCTGGGATTATCATATAGGCCTGCCTTCAGATATTAAAACTGTCAAGTGATCGTGGCAGACAAAAGAGTATAATTTGGTTAGAAATAATGTCTGACTTCAAATTGTGCCAGTAGATTTCTGAATTTAAGAGAGAAATATTCTGGCTACTTCCTCAGAAAAGTAACACTTAATTTTAACTTCAAAAAATACTAATGAAACACCAACAGGGCAAAAACATACCATTCCTCCTTGTAACTTGGGGCTTTGTAATGTGGAAGAATGAATCTAGGGCAATCAGATATAAATTCCCAGTGATTTCTTATCTATTCTGGGTTTGGGGGAAATACTATCAACTGAACCAAAAATAACTTGTCATAGGCAGAGATAAAGCCAGAAACACTCTACACATGCCAGATGACATCTGGAGAAAAGGGTGCTAAGGGAAGCGTTTGGCAGCAAGATATGATTGTAAGGGGTTGTCCCTTGAGTTCAATGTCTGCCTATTTCTGATGGGTCTAAAGCAACATGGAGTTACTGTGCAGCAGAACTCTCAGTAAAGACACCATTTGCCTTGGCAATCCTCAAAAAGCTTCAATAGCAGATTGCTTCAGACCATCTGTAGTCCGTCCTTTTCTCATCTGGATGTTGTTTGGCTTCTGTGCGAAAGATTGGTGGAGTGTCCCAGTAGATATCATGGTGGTGTGTGATCAGAGTCCCAAGGAACCTGAATGAGCCAAGGTGCCCAGCATGAAGTCAAAACAAAGCCTTGACATGAGTTTGCCATGAAATAGCGAAGAGAGAGTGGAAGAGAGGAGCCAATCACTGTGGGGCAGTGCCACCCTGAGGGCACTTAGGGTATGGGGTTGGTGCTTAAATACATCACAGATCCAGGTACTGAATGGGAGGAAGTGTGGGTGATTTCCAATCTCATTGACCCTATGTTCAGGGACTTGAACGGAAGATGTTTCTTGTGTTGCCTAAGTGGTATTCAGTCTACCAGACTCTGCAACTTGCATCTTCAAATCCTTGGTAAAGAGATGTGGATGGTGTCAGAGAAGGCAAAGGCCTGCAGTGGATTGAAGAGGCTTGCAAGCAGTTCTGTTTCTAGGATGTGGGCTTCATCAGAAGACACTCGGTCACCACTTAGCTAGTCTAAACCTCAGGGTTCCTCAGCCCATCATACCCCAACTTGGAGGACTGACATCAAGGAGTAGACTGGAGAAACAGCCCTCCCATCAAGTAACCTCTTGTTCTCTCCTGCTCCATCTGCACTATAGAAGTGTAATAATTAGACATACTTGGCAAAATGGCTAATTGATTTGGTAACAGAAGCATGAGCCATAACAATGGAAGATCTAGTTATCATGACTGAACAGCTTAACATTCAATTCCCTTCTCTAAGAGAAGCTGTGAAATCCTACATATTATTTAAAGTTAACCAAATCAATGTAAAGGGAGTTAGGAGACAGTGTGTACCTATGCACGTATATTTATGTTTTGCTTGTGTTCCAGTCTCGGTCATTTGTTTCCATTTTCAAGCAATTTATTTGAAGAGCCATTGCACTAGCCTGATGTATACTGCAATGAGCTTCTTTGATAAAATGAAACTTAGATTTTTCTCGACCATTTCACCGTGCCTCCTACTTCATTTTTTGCCAGAAAATCTCACATCCAACAAAACAAAACAAAAACCCTGAATTAGTGGGCTTTGAAAAGGAAAAAGCAGGGCTTTGAAAAAGTAGATCACACATCAGTTAAGACTCCTGCTTCTCTATTAGTCAGGTTGTCTTGGATTCAGTCTGGAGTAGGCAGAGCTTAAGGGTTTTTAAGTCCTGACCCAAAGAAATGATCTAGCCTGAAAGTTTAGAGCAAAGGACTAATGTTTACTTTTAAAGGAATTTCTTGATTTTTTTAAAAAACTTCATTAAAGTTTAAATCCCCAATGGACAAATTCATAATCTTGTTAATCGTTATTACTAAACTTTTTAAAAAATGTCCCAATTTACAATTAAATAAATTACTTTCTCAGTATATTCTGGTCTGGTCATGGATTGTGCATTTCCTCCCAAAGATATTCAAAATTGTCAATTAGAGAATTTTAGGTTTTCAGACTCAGAAAAGTCCTCACGCCCTTCTGAAAATGTGTCCACTATTACAGAAATAGAACAGACTTGGGATTCCCAAATTTTTGTTTGTTTTTGAGACAGAGTCTCACTCTGTCACCCATGCTGGAGTTCAGTGGTGTGATCATGGTTCACTGCAGCCCCGACCTCCTGGGCTCAAGTGATCCTCTCACCTCAGCCTCCTGAATAGCTGGGACTACAGGCACCACCACGCCCCACTAATTAAGAAAAAAACGTTTTTATAGAAATGTGGTCTCACTATGTTGCCTAGGCTGGTCTCAAACTCCTGGGCTTAAGTGATCCTCCTGCCTTGGCCTCCCAAAACGCTGGGATTACAGGCGTGAGCCACCATGCCCGTCCAAGGGATTCCCCAACTTTTAAGCAACAAATACTTATATAGAGCTTTCCACAGCAATGCGCTGAAATAATGAACTGCCAGTGAAAGAATCATTAGGGAAAGGCTTGCCCCTGAAGCTCAGGGTGGGGCATCAGGGCAGAGGAAGAAAACAATGCCATCACCATATCTGGGGATTATTAGTCCTGACCTCTGGGGAATATATCTGGTCAAGTGGGAAAGTCTGGATTTCCAGCAGGTGTACTTATACTAAAAAATTTAAAGATGACCAGGCTAATTTAGTGAGATGCACTGAATATGCAACAGGGCATGATTACCTCATAGTGGAGAATTAGTCTCATTTCATAAAAGAGGAAGATGAGGTCCAGAAAGCTTTTAGACTCGGGAAAGTCCTCATGCCCTTCTGAAAATGTGTCCACTATTACAAAAATAGAACAGACTTGGGATTCCCAAATTTTTGTTTGTTTTTGAGACAGGGTCTCACTCTGTCGCCCACGCCGGAGTGTGGTGGTGTAATTATGGCTCATGTGGCCGCAACCTCGAACTCGGCTCAAGTGGTAAGTGGTAGGTGACTGATGTGGGCTTCATCAGAGGACAGTCGGTCATCAGCTGGTCCCACTGCTTAGCTAGTGTAAACCTCAGCGTTCCTCAGCCCATCATACCCCAACTTGGAGGGTTGACATCAAGGAGTAGACTGGAGAAATAGCTCTCCCATCAAGTAACTTTTTGTAAGTGGTAAGTGACTGAACTGAGGCTCAAAGCAGGGAAACTCACAGGACAGATGTGTTGACAGTGCATTCAGAGGGCCATGTTTCATATCATGGAAAGCACAACTATATATCTTCCCAGGCCTCTACCATCTCCCACTTTTTATGCATGAAACCTGCCCCAAATGCATTAAGTAAGTTTAAAAGCACCATGTTAAAAAAAATCGGTTAGGCACGGTGGCTTAACCCCCATAATCCCAACACATTGGGAGGCCAAGGCAGGTGGATCATTTGACTCCAGGAGTTTGAGATCAGCCTTGGCAACAGGGCGAAACCCCGTCTCTATAAAAAATACAAAAATTAGCCAGGTGTGGTGGTGTGTGCCTGTAGTCTTAGCTACTCAGGAGGTTGAAGTGGGAAGATCACTTGAACCCAGGAGGTGGAGGTTACGTGAGCCGAGATCGTGCCACTGCACTCCAGCCTGGGCAACAGAGACCCTGTTTCAAAAAATAAAACATTGTTATCATTCTTATCTTTACATTGTGCATGGAGGGCTGATGTAAGCACCATGGCCGTGCACTGAGCGGTTATATCAGGGCGGGGCTTCAGGAGGTGTGATCAGGCAGAGGAGTAGGTGGAAGGAACAAACCATACTTGCTCCTTCCACTCCACCTCAAATCTGGGAACCACATTCAGCCAAAAGGGGAAAAATGTGTTCAAGGCCTGAAGGATTTCTCTTTGTCCCTCTTTGCTCTCTCTTAGCCAAAGCCACCACTATCAGGAACCTCAACTATGGCAGTACTTACAAGCACTTATTTAATGTAATGTACTGTTTGTTAAATGTGCCTAACATAAACAAATAACACTGGCATGATTGCATATTAACAAGCGTGAAAAGTCATAGAAAGTGAATGTGTAACACACTATACATACCTTTTAAGGAAAGAAAAGAGTCAAGTAGGGATCCACTGGTGAATGTCTGAGATCTGAAAGAGTGCTGATCCAGGATTTAAACCCAGGACTGTCTGCCTATAGATTATCTTACTATAAATCCTGTGCTCTTTCCACAGCTCCACACTTCTTTCTCACACTGTTTTACACACACACACACACACACACACACTTTAACCATCTTATTGTTGAAATTGGAGATACCAAAGAAATCAACATCAATGCTCTCAATGCTTTTGTTAGGCATTAAAGAGAGGGGATTTAGGAGACCCCAAACTCTTTAAAGGCAAAATGTAAGTCTAAAATTGGAGAAAGAGGAACATGAAACCTGACCAGGTATGAGGCATAGGTAGTACCAGGGCTAAGGGAGTATGAAAGAAGGATGGCTCAGGGAGGTGGAAGAAGCCTCAGATAATCTGACTCTGAACTGAGCTTTGAAAGGAGAGAAAGGGTCACTGTGAAGAGTGGATGGAATGAGGTTTCAGAGAGGCAAGCAGCAGGTGTGAAGCCCAAAGTGCTACAATAAGACCTTCATGGAAATCCACAGGAATGGTGCTTTGGGACCGGATGAAATCACCTGGCAGAGCCTGTGTGAAAAGGGCTGGCTGACCACCCCATATTCACCCAGCATTTCTGGTGCTCTCTCTCCCTTCTCAGCAATCCCTGATCTCCTTCAGGGAATTTATGTGATTTCTATGGAAACTGGTGCCATGCTTGAAGCAAGTACCCTTGGCTAAATCAATCCATCAGGACTTTCCATTTCTCTGGTGACAACTATTGATTCAAGGGTGGGCAGGTGACCTAAAGTAGTCAAAGTGAATTTCAAGTCTTCTACTAGAAATAAGGACACGTGTAAAAATAGGGGCTGCTGGAAAAGGGAAGTCCACCTTAGGATAAAATTGACAATAGGAAAGGAGGAGCAGAGACACTGGAGGAAACCCAGGCCCTGGTGACAACTTTGAGCCATTGGATCCAGCCTTACCTAAGGTCTGCACTGTCTGTGGGCTTTTCAAATGCATGGGCCAGTAAAGTCCCATGATTGTTTAAGCCAGCTGGAATTGGACTCTCTCTTACTTATAACTGACAGTATCTCCATTGAACCCCTCTAGGATGATTAGCTCCTTAAAGGCAGGGCCATAGTCTGACATTGCATCAGCTCTAGCACCTACTGCATCACGTATTTCAGAAGTACTCCTTAACAAATATTTACTGAACAAATGAATGAATGCACCAACATCCATTCCGATCATGCCTTGATATGTTTTGCTTTAGTTGGAAGGTTTTACATTTTTGATTATAGACTGTGTGTCCTATTAAAAAGCAAGTGTTTGGATATCTGGCACCTGGAACTTTTCCTCCTGTAGTATACAGTATGGGAACTCAGGAGTTACAGCCTGGGCTGTAGGCTTAAGCTCCAACTTGGTGCCATAAGCTGGTGGATTCAGTGCTACTTCAAGGTCAGCAATGTGTAAAATAAATTTGCTTCATCAGCATAAAGCAGTGGTTCTCAGCCTGGGAATCACTCTCCTCTCCATCCCACGGGACATTTGGCAATGGCAATGTCTGGAGGTATTTTTGGTTGTCACAGTTGGTGGAGGGGTGGGTGCTATCTACATACTGGGTAGAGGCCAGGAATGTTGCTAAACATCCTGGGCAACATGGCAAAACCCTGTCTCTACACAAATTACAAAAAGAAAAAGAAAAAAATTAGCCAGGCATGGTGGCGTGTGCCTGTAGTCCCAGGTACTCGGGAGGCTGAGGTGAGAGGATCACCTGACCCCAGGGGTTCAAAGCTGCAGTGAGCTATGATTGTACCACTGCTCTCCCACGTGGACAACAAGTGAGACCCTGTCTTAAAAACAGAACAAAACAAAACCAGCCAGGCACAATGGCTCCTGCCTGTAATCACAGCACTTTGGGAGGCCAAGGCAGGTGCACCACTTGAGGTCAGGAGTTCAAGACCAGCCTGGCCATCATGGTGAGACCCTGTCTCTACTAAAAAATACAAAAATTAGCCAGGTGTGGTGGTGGGCACCTGTAATCCCAGCTACTCAGGAGGCTGAGGCAGGAGAATCGCTTGAACCAAGGAGGCAGAGGTTGCAGTGAGCTGAGATTTTGCCACTGCACTCACTCCAGCCTGGGCGACAGAGCGAGACTCTGTCTCCAAAATCAAAACAAAATGAAACAAAAAAACAAAAAACCATCCTACAACAAAGAATTATCTAGCTCAACATGTCATTAGTACCGAGTTTCTTGGACTTCAGTAATAAACAAACATTGGGAACTAATATGCATTACACTCGCCCGTCTATACCCTGGGAATAGTCCCCTGTTGCCATCAAGAGCCTCTAACTCACCTCCTGGTTGTCCGCTAACATTCACAGCCTTAGAGAACACAAAAGTAGTTCTCTATACTGGACACGAGAGGGCAGGAATTTCCAAAGATAACCCTGTTATCCTAAGCGACTGCAGTGATTAAAAATATTCTTTTCCGGAGCTGGTGAAGACTCTGCACATTTATAGAAATAGATGTTAATTTTGCATACAAATGAAAATGGCAATTAATATTTAAAGGATGTGGCTATAAAAAAACAGCCTTATTAGTTAAAATAAATGAGTTTAACAATTAGTTAAAATAAGCCTTAGCTATATAAACCCCAAAAGGAGTTTACTGGGAGACTATTGGAGAATTCTGTGAATAGAAGGGAGAATTGACAGGGGAGCAGGGGTGTGCTGAAGCCAGCTTATACTGGCTTGTGAGAGTCTATTATAGGCAATACTTCCCAGCTCCCTGTTCAGTGACATCACTGTGATAATAGGCCGTGGTGGGAGTATTTAAACCATGGGAGTCAACACACACTAGAAACCAGGGCTCTTTTTCCTTTCCTTAATTTCCTTCTTTCTTTCTTTTTTTAAAGTGTCAGTTGTTAAAAATTTACCAGTATATCACTGCAACCAGGCCATGAGTAAGAACCAGGAAAGCTTAGGGGCCTCTGCAACTGAAAATTGTGGACTCTCCCTAGAGGTCTGCCATTAATATGACTCAGTTCCAACTATCTCCAGTCTCAGGGTTTCTTCCTTCAAAATTCTAAATTCCTAGGAAAGAAAACTCAAAAGTCACAACACCACTCCTGCTCCCAGCAGCTGTGTCCTGGAGTTTGTTTACTGGAGAATGATTACACTATGGGCAGTTCTCAGAGAAGCACATATTGTTGTGAGCTGGGTATCTACCCTCTAAAAGTATCTACCACTTTCCACTTATGGCTGTCTGGCTGTCAATCACTTCTTCCCATACATTCAAAATATTCCCTTCTACCATGATCCAAAAATGTTATATACTACTCCAGCACAGCCCCTTCTCCCAACAGACCACTGAATCCACAGATAATGTCAGAGGCCAGGCTACTCAGAGTCTACTTCTCCAGATAGTGATCATTTCTCCTTTGATCCTTTAGACAGCTTGTATGACTGTTCTGCAATCTGTGACATAAACGGCAAGTTTAGCTCATATCCAAACACACTACAGTGAGAGACAAGGAAGAAAGAGAAGGGAAAATTGTAGTAACTCCTATTTAAAGAGGAAAATGATGGTTTCTTGCTCTGGAATTCAGTGGGACTGTGCTGTAAGTTTCCAATCACAGCTAGCCACATTCTTCAACCACCATTCCAGTCTACTTCAGACCCATTGAACTATGTAAAGTATGACTGGTCTTAAGGGCTGTGGCAGCCTGGACCAGGTAAACAGCTTGTCCAGGGTCCCACTAAAAGCTCACTTATTTTACCTTTATCAGGTAAATGGCAAGCAGCTGGACACCCACATGTGTGGGACATTGCTTGCAGGAGTTAATGCCTCTTTCTCAGAGATAGGGGACATGAAATGCTGGTTGTCAAACTTGGCTGTACCCTAGAATTACTTGGAGAGCTAATATTGATGTCTGGGGCCCCACCCAGAGATTCCAAGTCAGGTGGCACAGGGTGAAGGCTGGACACTGGGATTTTTACAAGCTTCCCAGGTGATTCTATAATAGTATGCAGCAAAGTGTGAGAACCATTGTCACAAAATACAGCAATTTGCCTTGTGGTTTCCTACGTGTGGTTTCTTTAGTGTTTTTATTTCTCGGGGGATTTGCTAAACTTCTTGGATCTGTAAGTTTATAATTTTATTTTAAATCAAATTTGGAAAGTTTATGGCTATAATTTCTTTTTTTTGCAGATGATATGACTTTATATTTGAAAAAATCTAAAAACTCCATCAAAGAATGATTAGAACTGATAAATTCAGTAAAGTTGCAGCATACAAAATCAACGTACAAAAACTAGTAGCATTTCCACATGCCAACAGTGAAGAATCTGAAAAAAAGTAATCCCACTTACAATACCCACACATAGAATTAAATACTTAGAAATTAACAAAAGAAGTGAAAGAGCTCTATAATAAAAACTATGAAACATTGATGAGAAAAATTGAAGGGAACACAAAAAAATTGAAAGATATTCCATATTAATGGAGTGGAAGGATCGATATTGTTAAAATGTCCATACTCCCCAAAGCAATCAACAGATTCAATGTAATTCCCTATTAAAACGCTAATAAAATTCTTCACAGAAATAGAAAAACAGTCCGAAAATTTATTTATTTATTTATTTTATGTTATTACATAATTTTATTATATAAGGATTAAAAACAGGTGAGTATGAGTTTCTAGTCAGTATAACATTTCCCCTGAAGAACTGGAACTGAACTTAAAAGGAGCCTAAGGTAAAATGAATGTTCCATATGTTCATCTAGGCGTTGTGCAATCACATGTACGTGTTTGTCAAATCTCATTCAAGCAAATACATAAGATCTGTGCTTTTCTTTATATGTATTTTACCTCCATTTCAAAGAAGGAATAATAAAAACTTGTTTTATTATTATTACTTCCAAAAAATGTCTGTTCATGTTCTTTACCTGCTTTTCTATGGGTTTTTTTTTCTCATAAAGTTGTTAAAGTTTCTTATAAATACTAAATATTAGGCTTTTCTCAGATGTACAGTTTGCAGAAGATTTCTTCCATCCTATAGGTTGTCTGTTTACTCTATTGATATTTTATTTTTGTGTGGAGAAAATATCTTCAGTTTAATTAGATCCCATTTGTTAATTTTTGCTCTTGCTGCAATTCCTTTTGGCATCTTTGTGAGATCTTTGCCCATGCCTATGTTCTGCATGGTATTGCCTAGGTTGTCTTTCAGGGTTCTTGTAGTTTTAGGTTTTATATTTAAGTCTTTAATCCCTTGAGTTGGTTCTTGTATATGGTACAAGGATTGCGGCCCAGTTTTATTTTATTTTATTTTTTTATTATTATACTTTAAGTTCTAGGGTACATGTGCACAATGTGCAGGTTTGTTACATAGGTATACATGTGCCATGTTGGTGTGCTGCATCCATTAACTCGTCATTTACATTAGGTATATCTCCTAATGCTATCCCTCCCCCCTCCCCCCACCCCACGACAGGCCCCGGTGTGTGATTTTCCCGTCCTGTGTCCAAGTGTTCTCATTGTTCAATTCCCACCTGTGAGTGAGAACATGCAGTGTGTGGTTTTCTGTCCTTGTGATAGTTTGCACAGAATGATGGTTTCCAACTTCTTCCATGTCCTTAAAAAGACATGAACTCATCCTTTTTTGTGGCTGCATAGTATTCCATGGTGTATATGTGCCATATTTTCTTAATCCAGTCTATCATTGATGGGCATTTGGGTTGGTTCCAAGTCTTTGCTATTGTGAATAGTGCTGCAATAAACATATGTGTGCATGTGTCTTTATAGCAGCATGATTTATAACCCTTTGGGTATATACCCGGTAATGGGATGGCTGGGTCAAATAGTATTTCTAGTTCTAGATCCTTGAGGAATCGCCACACTGTCTTCCACAATGGTTGAACTAGTTTACACTCCCACCAACAGTGTAAAAGTGTTCCTATTTCTCCACATCCTCCCAGCACCTATTGTTTCCTGACTTTTTAATGATAGCCATTCTAACTGGTGTGAGATGGTATCTCATTGTGGTTTTGATTTGCATTTCTCTGACGACCAGTGATGATGAGCATTTTTTCATGTGTCTGTTGGCTGCATAAATATCTTCTTTTGAGAAGTGTCTGTTCATTCCTTCACCCACATTTTGATGGAGCTGTTTCATTTTTTCTTGTAAATTTGCTTAAGTTATTTGTAGATTCTGGATATTAGCCCTTTGTCAGATGGGTAGATTGCAAAAATTTTCTCCCATTCTATAGGTTGCCTGTTCACTCTGATGGTAGTTTCTTTTGCTGTGCAGAAGCTCTTTAGTTTAATTAGATCCCATTTCTCAATTTTGGCTTTTGTTGCCATTGCTTTTTGCATTTTAGACATGAAGTCCTTGCCCATGCCTATGTCCTAAATGGTATTACCTAGGTTTTCTTCCAGGGTTTTTATGGTTTTAGGTCTAACATTTAAGTCTTTAGTCCATCTTGAATTAATTTTTGTATAAGGTGTAAGGAAGGGATCCAGTTTCAGCTTTCTACATATGGCTAGCCAGTTTTCCCAGCACCATTTATTAACTAGGGAATCTTTTCCCCATTTCTTGTTTTTGTCAGGTTTGTCAAAGATCTGATGGTTGTAGATGCACACACACATCTTATCAATAGTCAGAGTCTAGCTAGTAAAGCAGAAACTACTATTCTAGGTATTTCAAACAGTGGGGATTTAATATAGGGAATTGGACATGAAGGTGATAAAAGAGCTTGGGAGAAATACAAGGGAGAAGAGGCAACCCATAATTTTTAAATAAAAGCAATAATATCCTGAAAGTTGAAGGAGAAAAATGTAGGATGTCTAGAAAGAGCTAGAACCTAGCAGAAGTTATCTGGCATGAGGTGACACAAAAGAGAGAGGAGTTTCAGCTACTAATTGATATGGTACCCATAGTGAGGGTGTGGAGGGGACATCCAGGCTTTTCTCCTCCTCCTACCCTCCTCTCTTCTGTTAGTATTTTTCATCAGAGAGCAAGGGAGTCTGGGTAATATGGACCTCTGCCACACTGAGCAGAGCACAGGAAAAAATGGAAGATTCAAGAGTAAACAGGCAAATGTCTACACAGTCCAATCACTGTGCCACAAAGCACCCATTTTTACCCTTCTATCCATACTTAACTTTCATAAAATGACTTAGTGCTTCCACCTACTAGAATTCAATTAACTTTTGCACAAATGGACACTCTCTTCCCAAAAAGATGGAACACAAAGTACCATCTGACATAGTGTCTCTCACCATGTCCAGGAAGCCCACATGAAGTGAGTTCCTCTCCATCAGAACTGTACTTGGCTCCTCACAGTTTTGTGAACTCTGATCTAAACTAATAAAAGAATATCAGTGTAAATAACAGAGAGAGATTCTCCACAGATAATAAGTTTTTTCAGGAGTATGCAGAGCATTTGCAAATCTGGGATATGTAGGCTATGGAGCCCACAGGCATATTGAAAGAGGTTGAGGCAAGGGGATGCCTTTAAATGTAAAAGGGAAAAGTATACATAATTTGTTCTGAAACAAAGATAACTTTGGTTACAGGGGCTTATTGCAGGAGTTAATACCAGTTCATTATTGGTATGTAAGACAAGAGTTCTTGTGCATCTGGCTAGCTGTCCTTGTGACTCATGTAGCAAACTGTGTAAGAGCTCTTCAGAGAGTCTTTGTAATCATTCTTATCATAAGCATGTGTGCATGAGGGCCCTTTCTTGTCAGCCTTCTGGCTTTATTTTTGTTGTGGTTAGGGTTTGACACAAGTGACTCCATTTTGATCCTGACAACTTTCACAAAAATAACTAACATTCCTCATTTTAAAATAATAGAAGGAAAAAAGAAAATAGATTATTGACTAACATATAGAAATATATATTTATGTTTATAATATATAAATAAGAAGAATATGCATGCCTGCTGCAGTCCTCATTTCCATAACTGGTCACAAGGTCAAGTTCATATTTATCACATTTCTTTCACCACCCATTCCATGTTCCTTCCCCTCTGCTAAAAGCTCAGCTAGATACTGTTCTTTACCTGGTGGAATGGCATAATTGTTTTCCCTATGGGACCTGAGTCTTTGGTGAGTCTTTATTGGATTGCCACAGTTTTCCCTTAACAATGGCTGTTGGATAAAATTGTAGTAGAAGACCCCCAGTGAACACATTGAGCTGTAAATATAGCACCATTCCACTATTGTATAGTAGCAACCAACTTTCTTCTTGATAATTTTGGACCCTTGATAATTGGGTCCCCTGACCCAATACAGAGAACTCCTCTGGCTGTTGATTCAGCATGATGAGAATACAAAATGTCCAAGGGGAAGTCTCAACTTCCAGTCGACGGAATGATGATTCTGTTTCCTGGTGAATACATTTCTTTCTGAGGCTCTAGGGCCTCCAAACCCACTGAACCCAAGCTTGCAGAGATGGAAACAAAAATGACGCCATTGGGTTATTTGGTGTAATTGTAAAAGAGGGCCTCACGTCTCTACCTCATGCATTCTGGCTATGGAGAAGACAGTATGACATAGTAGCCACTATTTTAAGGCATATTCCACATACTTTAGGACAGCACCCAACAACACAGAGTGTTGTCTCACAGCTCACATTGTAACAGAATCTTCAGCAAGCCATAAAGTGACCTGCTTCCAGTGATGAGTTGCATGGTAAGAGCAATGGACTCCGTGGGTGTGAGTCTATTGTTGCACTTACTTCACAGAAAAATATATCTCTTTAGTCTGAGGCAAAGGATAAAGCCTCTTTAGTCTGAGGCAGTGGATAAAGCTGCAAATAGTGGTCCTGGCAGAAGAACTGTAAGAAAGGAAGGCAAATCTCTACCAAACATATTTTTATTGGGGGACAAATTTCTTACTTTTACATGATGGAAAAGATCCAAGGTAACCAATATGCCACCATGGTCTCTGCTGTTGGCACATTGGGCATTTAGCAGTGGGGATAGCCAGATCATCACTGATGAGAGGAAATCTATCTTACTGAGCCTTGGCACAGCTTCCATCCCTGCACCAATGCCACTTTGTATATAGGCCCATTGAGCAAATACTGTGGTGGCTGTAGAAAAAGGCTGACTGAACTCAGTCACGGAATAGATTATCTCATCGACTTGATTATTGAGAGCTTCCTCTGCTGAGACTGCTCTTTGGTGAGCATGTTCATGTGATACATATATCCTGACACTCTGCCTATTTCAGAAGCCCATAAAGGACCTCGGACTTTCTTGTCACCAATTTACCAATCTGCACAAGTCAAATCTCATATAAACCACTTCCATTTCATGGATCGCAGATGCATACACCAAGCTTTTAGTTTGTTGGATCAGACAGCATTAAGTTCATGGTGTTTAGAAGAGTCATAGCTCAAGTAAATTTCTTATGTATCGGGCATTCATCTTCTACCTGGGTCATGCAAAATGCCTCACCCAGTGTCTGTATTTGCCACTTGAGTCTGCTAAGTGGCACAGACCTTGCTCTACAAACTGGACTTTAAGTAGACCCTTCTCTTGTCTTGGGCCTCACTCAAAATTGGAATGGTTACCAGTTGCTCAATAAATAAGAGTGGCAACCCAAATGCAGTATATGTCACCTCCAATAGCCAGAGTCCCCCTGAGCATTGTGCCTCTGATTTAGTTGAAAGTGGTGCAAGGCACAGGAACTTGCTTGTCTAGAGCAATATGTCTACATGCTCCTTAGACATAGTGTTGATTGTCAGGCCCCTAAATTTCTATGGGGTTTTTCTTCCACCTCTTTGTATACATTTGTGTTAGAATAACAACTGTGACTCTTGCTATTTTCTGCTGAAAAGATCCAATCAGCTTGTTGCTAACAATAGTATCCTATGAGCTGTTCTGATGATCAAGGACCCTGTGGACTGTATTACAACAACATAGGAGAGTTCACATACCTCTGGAGTTTATTGATGTCTCTGCCAGGTGAAAGCAAACTGCTTTTGATAATCCTCACTAATCAATATAGGGAAAAACACATTTGCCAGCTGCATACCAAATACCAAGGACTATGCTAATTTGCTCCAGCAAAGATACAACTGGAAAAGTAGCTGCCATTGGAGTCAGCACTTAATTTACTTTACAGTGATTCACAGGCATTCTCCGACTCCATCTGGGTTTTATACTGGCTAAGCAGGCAAGTGCTAGGAACCAAAAGCCCACAATATTCAAGTCTTTAAATGGTAGCGCTGATCTTCACAATTACAATTTCTACAGGGAGGTGCTATTAGTTTTGATTTGCTGTTTTAGTAGGAGAGCCTTTTCCATTGGCTTCCATTTGGCCCTTTTTACTGTATTAACCATTTCTCCATGGGTCAAGTTCAGATGTAAATACTTGACCAATTGCTAAGTATAAATATTCCAACCATACATTCAGGAACTAGAGCAAAAACCACACAGTGGCTCTTATATACTGGGGTCACTGTGAGATACATTGAGGGCACAATTTATCCCCTGTTCTCTGTAAGTCTTCACTCTCTTCAGTAGACCACAACAGCATTTCTAGACCCTAGAAATTATTGGCAACTCAGAACTAGTGTCCATTCTACATTTCCCCCAAGGACATAGGTGTCCTAGCAAATAACCACAGGTCCTCCCTCAAGGTGACATAGCCTCCCTTCAATCAAGGGATTCAAGTTCTGTAAACTAACTTAGGTGTGGGAACATAGCAAGAGACCATAACTTATTGTGGCAACTCAAGTTACATTTCTGCTGACCAGGCCTAGAGTTTTTCCGGTAATATAGAAACGCATCATTTTTATTTAAATCAGAGTCTATTTTAGTATCTCCTCATACTGATTCATTTCTTAATGACTTGGTGAAGAAAAATGTCCTCTAAGTCCCACCCCCAACCAAAGAACATAGAGGGAAGGGGAATGGACTGAACATAATAAATTCAGTCACTCCAATATTCCTGTCTCCCTAACTAAACCTTTGGATGTCTCACATAATGCCAGGGAAGTTATGGCATCTCAATCTCATTAATTGTGGACTACCACTGAATCCAAATTTTAGTTTAACAACCAAGAAAATGCTTAGAACCACTAGTAAGATAACATACTAAATCCAGAATCTCAGGTAAATGTTCCTGTTTTAGTAACTTCAGCTCAATCCAATATTATATTCCATTTATCTTGGTCTAACAGTCTTATAATCCATTCCCACATGTGTTTCCCTACTAATATAAATTAGTGAGAGCTTGAAATTCTTTTAATGTACTATTGGAGCAGATCTTGAATTCTCTCCCTGGGGCATGCTGTGTCTAACTCTAGGTATTAAGTCTACAAGTAATGAAAATAGGCATCACCCTATAAATCAGCTATATTGGATGGGGTCATGAGAGCCTCTATAAGCAGGGAAAGACTTATTTCCTCAGAATACTAAGAGGAGTTGTTTCCACTGACATGGGAACCTCGAGATTTAGAATTTCAAGTTCTCAGATTCATCTGAATCCACCCAAATGTTCTCATCCCACATGAGGGTCCTAGTCTTTCCCAATTCTCTAAATTTAACGAAAGAGATTTTTAGAATATAGAATATTTTGTATATTCAAATTTCATTCTACTTATGTACATCACACAAGTATATTTTGGGTTTTATCCTCAGCCATGTGTGACTATGGCCACACACGGAATTCCTTGTGAAATTGCTAAGGAGCTAAAAGGGACATGCACACACTCGCAAATTAAATGGCACCATAAAAGTCATCTGGTTCTGTGTCCATGCTTTGAGGTGAGAGTTTAAATTTCTAGACTTGTTATTTTACTTATATAAGCTCTCTAGGACAATCAGAAGCAGCAATTCCATCCTATAGACCTTGCACTCATTATAACCACAATGGAGTACAGCAGCTACTTAATGTCACAAAGTCTTTCCTTCAATTGACATTTCCTCCCAAGCAACTACAGGTGATAAGATAATTTTAATAACTATGCTACTACTACGTGCCAAACATTTCTAGTTACCCTATTCTACTTTTTAAGGAGGTTTCATGGTATTCCAACTCAAATAAGTGAGCAATCCCAGAATTATTGTGAGGGTCTATTTCTCAGGGCTTTTGGTAGTTTGCATAAATGGCCATTATTATCCATGGCCTTTTGCATTGCCCCCAGATGACAGTTTTCCAACAGCTAGTTACGTGAATATGAACCAGCACGCCTCCAACAGACCTACCATGAGTGCTCCCTAGCTGAGATTAGCTGAGCCGGGCCTAGATCAACAGAACCACACAAATGACCCATAGATTCATGAGAAATGCTAAAGCATTGTTGCTTTAACCCATTCAGGTTTGGGGTGGTTTGTTATACAGCAAAGACTGATAACAGAAAACTCCTAGTACTACAAACTATATCAAATAAGGGTCCAATCAGGAAAATATGGGTATTTCAAATGAGAGATTCTCATGTGAAAATTGGTTACACAGATGATGGAATTGATAAGAAGCTAAAAGGGACAGTGAAGAAACTGAGAAGCTGCAACCATCCCTAGGGCTAGAGGGGCAGAGGAAGTCCAAAATACATGAAGGATGCAGCTTCTGCAAAGGACACTTTGACTTCAGATTTGTGCTTTTTATTTAAGCTCTCTAGTACCATTAGATGCAGCCATTTAATCTGTCTGTTGGCTGTTAGTTTATTTATGTCCTTTATTTCATTAAGTTAATATATACAAAGTTCTTAGGACAGTGGCTGGCACATAGTAAGAGTTATATGAGTGGTAGCTGTCATTATCATTGTTGTCATAATCATTGTATATTTTTATGTAGGGGTGGGTTGCCCCTTCACACCTGTGGGTGTTTCTCGTAAGGTGGGACGAGAGATTTGGAAAAGAAAAAGACACAGAGACAAAGTATAGAGAAAGAAATAAGGGGACCCGGGGAACCAGCGTTCAGCATATGGAGGATCCCGCCAGCCTCTGAGTTCCCTTAGTATTTATTGATCATCTGTGGGTGTTTCTCAAAGAGGGGGATGTGTCAGGGTCACAAGACAATTGTGGGGAGAGGGTCAGCAGACAAACACGTGAACAAAGGTCTTGGCATCATAGACAATGTAAAGGATTAAGTGCTGTGCTTTTGGATATGCATACACATAAACATCTCAGTGCTTTACAAAGCAGTATTGCTGCCCGCAGGTCCCACCTCCAGCCCTAAGGCGGTTTTTCCCTATCTCAGTAGATGGAGCATACAATCGGGTTTTATACCGAGACATTCCATTGCCCAGGGACAGGCAGGAGACAGATGCCTTCCTCTTGTCTCAACTGCAAGAGGCATGCCTTCCTCTTATACTAATCCTCCTCAGCACAGACCCTTTACGGGTGTCGGGCTGGGGGATGGTCAGGTCTTTCCCTTCCCACGAGGCCATATTTCAGACTATCACATGGGGAGAAACCTTGGACAATACCTGGCTTTCCTAGGCAGAGGTCCCTGCGGCCTTCCGCAGTTTTTGTGTCCCTGGGTACTTGAGATTAGGGAGTGGTGATGACTCTTAAGGAGCATGCTGCCTTCAAGCATCTGTTTAACAAAGCACATCCTGCACCGCCCTTAATCCATTCAACCCTGAGTTGACACAGCACACGTTTCAGAGAGCACGGGGTTGGGGGTAAGGTCATAGATTAACAGAATCTCAAGGCAGAAGAATTTTTCTTAGCACATAACAAAATGGAGTCTCCTATGTCTACTTCTTTCTACACAGACACAGTAACAATCTGATCTCTCTTGCTTTTCCCCACATTTTTATAGCAAGAACCATAATTGCCCTTAGTCCATTTTTTTGTTGCTATAACAGAATACCACAGACTGGGTAATTTGTAAAGAGTGGAATTTTATTTAGCTCATGGTTCTGGAGGCTGGGAAGCCCAAGGGAGAGGGGCTGGCATCTGGTGAGGGCCTTCTTCCTCATCATAACATGGTGGAGGACATCACATGGCAAGAGGTCAAGAGCTTGCCAGCTCAGATCTCTCTTTTTCTTCTTATAAAGCCACCATTCTCATCAGAGGGCCTCATCTGATGGCCTTATCTAATCCTGATTTTTTCCCAAAGGCCCCACCTTCAAATGCCATCAACACACGAATTTGGGGATTAAATTTCCAACACATGAAATTTGGGGGACACATTCAAACCACAGCATGCCAAAAGTCTTTGGCATCAATAGTGACCTTATTCATGTGACTGCAGGGATAATTTAATTAGCTGTTTACTAATATATTCCTCAGGCTTCTAGATACTTATTTTTGAATACTAATATGATTTTTTATTGATGCATAATAGTTGTACATATTTAGGGGGTACATGTAATATTTTGATAAATGCATACAGTGTATAATGATCCAATCAGGGTAACTGGGATATCCATAATCTCAAACATGTTTCCTTATCTTGGGAACATTCCAATTACTTTCTTCTAGCTATTTGGAACTATACAATATATTATTTTTGACTATAGCCACCCGACTGTACTTTCAAAGACTAGATCTTATTACCTCTATTTAATTGTACTTTTGTACTTTTTACTCATTAATTCACTTTTCTTCATCTTCCCATACCCCTACCTTTCTCAACCTTTAATAACCACCAATCAACTCTCTACCTCCATGAGATCCATTTTTTTGGCACCCAAACATGAGTGAGCACATGTAAAATTTGTCTTTCTGTGCCTAGCTTATTTCACTTAACATGATCTCCAGTTCCATCCACGTTGCCACAAATGACAGGAGTTCATTCTTTTTTATGGCTTAGTAATATTCCATTGTGTATCTATACCACTTGTTCTTTATCCACTCATCTGTTGTTGGACACAGGTTGACTCAATATCTTGGCTATTGTGAATAGTGCTGCAGGAAACATGGGAGTGCAGATATTACTTCAATATAGTGATTTCCTTTCTTTTGGATTCAAATGAAGATTTCCTTTCCTTTGGGTTCCTTTCTTTTGGATTCAAAAGATTTTCTTTCTTTTGGATTTAGCAATGGGATTGCTGGATCATAGGGTAGTTCTATTTTTAGTTTTTTGAGGAACCTCCATGCTATTTTCCATAGTGGCTATAGTAATTTACATTCCTACCAACAGTGTATGAGCATTCTCCTTTCTCTGCATCCTCATCAGCATCTAATATTTTTTGTCTTTTTGATAAGTCATTTTAACTGAGGTGAGATGATATTTCACTGTAGTTTTGATTTGAATTTCCCTAATGATTAGTGATGCTGAGCATTTTTAAATATACCAGTTGGCCATTTGTATGTCTTCTTTCAAGAAATGTCTACTCAGATCTTTTGCTCATTTTTAAATTGGATTGTTTGGGTTTTTCTGCTATTGAGTTGTTTGAGCTCCTTACATATGTTGGTTATTAATCTCCTGTCAGATGGATAGTTTGCAATTATTTTCTCCCATTCTGTGAGTTGTTTATTCACTTTGTTAATTGTTTCCTTTGCTGTTCAGAGGCTTTCAGCTTCATGTGGTCCCATTTGTCTATTTTTGCTTTTGTTGCCTATGCTTTTTAGATCTTACCCAAAAAGTCTTTGCACAAACCAATGTCTTCAAGTGTTTCCCTAAGGTTTTCTTCTAGCAGTTTCAGAGTTTCGGGTCTTAGATTTAAGTCTTCAATTCATTTTGATTTGATTTTTTACTTGGTGAGAGTTAGGGGTCTAGCTTCATTCTTCTGTACATGGTTACCCAGTTTTTCCAGCACCATTTATTGAGGAAACTGTCCTTTTCCCCAAGGTATGTTCTTGGTGTCTGTCAAAAATGAGTTGGTTATAAAAGTGTAAATTTATTTCTGAGTTTTCTATTCTGTTCCATTGGTCTATGTTTCTGTTTTTATGCCAGTACCATGCTGTGTTTGTTACTATGGCTTTGTAGTATATATGTTGAAGTCAGGTAGTGTGATGCCAAAAGCAGTTTTTTGGTAAAGTCTAGGTTTTTCTAAATATGATGTTGTCTGTGAACAAGGATACTTTGATTTCTTCCTTTCCAATTTGGATGCCTTTTATTTCTTTCTCTTGCCTAATTGCTTTGGCTAGGAGTTCCAGTACTATGTTGAATAAAAGTGGTAGAAGTAGGCCTCCCTGCTATATCCAAACCACAGCAAATGCTTTGAATGTTTGTGAGAGCTGAGACAAACCTGGGCTTAAGGCATCATCTACTCCTGAAAAGGAGACAGTGTTCTTAGAGAAAAGGCTTTTAATTTTCCCCCATTAAGTATGATGTTAACTGTATGTCTGTTATACATGCCTTTATTATTTTGAAGTTCCTTTTATACCCAGTTAGTTGAGAATTATTATCATAAAGAATGTTAAATTTCATTGAATGCTTTTTCAGCATTTATTGAAATTATCATATGGCTTTTGCTCTTGATTCTGTTAATGTTATGTATCATATTTATTGATTTGCTTATGTTAAATCATCCTTGTATCCCTGAGATGAATCCCACTTGATGATGGTGAATGATATTTTTAATGTGTTATTGTATTTGGTTTGCTAGCATTTTGTTGAGGATTTTTGCATGTATGTTTATCAGAGATACTGGCCTCTAGTTTGCTTTTTTTGGTTATGTCCTTGTCTGGTTTTGGTATCAGGGTAATCCTGGTCTGTAAAATGAGTTTGGAAGTATTCCTTTCTCTTCAATTCTTTGGAATTGCTTGAGTAGAATTAATAGTAAAGCTCACACATTAACCTCTTGTAAGTGTTGGTCACTGGCTCCTTGCTTTGTTCATTTGTGGAGGTCATGATTTCATTTGCTGTTGTTTCTTATAAATGTACGTTTATGGCTTCACATTGAGGAATTAGATATTTATTACCATCTTTGTTGTTTGGTTTGTTTTGGTCTCTCTATGGCATGTTTCCTTAGAGGTTCTTTGCAGCTGCCTGTGAGTTCCCTAAGCCCAGATCATTGCCTCCTTTTTAGGACTAGAACATGGTGCCTTAAACCCCAGTTTGCCTCGGCTTTTATAAACATTCAAAGCACTTGCTATAGTTTGCATATTTGGCCCCTCCAAACCTCATGTTGAAATTTGATCCTCAATGTTGGGGATGGGGCCTAATTGGGGGTGTTTTGGTCATGGGGGCAAAACCCTCATGAATGTCTTGGTGTGGTCCTCATAGTAATGAGTGATTTCTTGCTCTGTTAATTCCTTTGAAAGCTATAGAGCCAGTTGTTAAAAAGAACCTGGCACCTCCCTACCTCTCTCTCTTGCCTCCTCTCTTGCCATGTGATTTCTGCACACATCAGTTCCCCTTCTCCTTCTGCTATGAGTGGTAGCTGAGGCCCTCACCAGAGGCAGATGCCAGTGCCATGCTGCTTATACAGCCTGTAGAACCATGAGCCAAATAAACATCTTTTCTCTATAAATTACTCAGCCTTGGGTATTCCTTTATAGCAACAAAAACAGACTAAGACAGCATTGCTGGTCCTAGATTGAGCAAAGGGTTCTAAAGGGAATACCCCAGATGTGTGGGAAGGCTGGCTAGGGGTTCGTGTCCAGAAGACCTGTGGAGCATGTGCCTCCCACAGCGTGGTGCTGCTGAACAGCAACTCTGATTTGGCATCTCCTTTGGCTGAGATAAAGAGCAGAATTTTGAGGGCTGGGGTTAGTACTCCTGCCTCCTCTCTTTGTTTCTAGCTGCCCTCAGGAGTTTTTCTCCCTACAGGAACTCGCAATGCTTCCCATAAGATGAGGCAGGAATGATTTTCCTGCAAGGGAACCCAATGTGATGGTGAAGCTGGCTGCTGGCTTCAATCTCACTTTTTCCAGTGTAGAAACCATGAGTCTGGGAGGAACTTTCCATACCTGGTGCATGGTAGACTGCGGAAGGGTATCATGGATGGAGAAGCCTATTTCTCTTACTGTATACTCGAAGTTTTTCACTTCCCTGTGGCCCTACGGATTGTCTAAGCCTCAACTTTGAGTTCTGAGACATTGCTAGTGATAATCTTGGCAATGGATATTGTTTTTGGTTTTCTGTGGGGGACAGTAAAGCCAGATTGTTTCTTCTTTGCCATTTTGGTGACTTTGCTCCTAGTATGATTTTTTAATTGCCTTTATCTCCAAACAAGGCCTGATAACCAATTCTAGATTCCTCTTATCTCTATGCTGCCTACAATTCTCACTATAGTACCAACACCTGAATTTGTCAGGGCACAGAAACCAATCCTGATTCATCTAAACAGAAAGAATTTATGGAATGGATAAATTCTTGGATATTGGATCAGAATATTAAACTCCCAAATATTAGTGGCCTAACACACATAAGAAAAGTTTCTTACTCATCCTACAGAGCCAGTGAAGGTTGGGGGGAGGAAGTCTGTTCCATATTGTCATTTGGGGACCCAGAATGATGGAAGGCCCACTCTCTGGAATGCTGCTGGTCGCCATGTCAGGAGAGACACTAGAGAATCATGCAGGAGCTCTTCAGGGCCTCAACTGGACTTATCACATGCACCTCCCCAAGTCCAAGAGGGCTAGTAAGTGGAGTCTAGGAAGGAAGAGAGATCTGGATAGTGGTGAGTAATAGTAATGTCTACTACAGAACAGTAGGAAGTGGCTCACAGTGTTTACAAATAGTTGCAGAGAGAGAAATAGGATCTGAGGGAGGAAATGCACAGATAAGATCCTGCCATAGGAATAATCTGTTTGAACACCAACCTTGACCCCATCACCCTGACACTCAATATCTCACTACTGACCTCCATACTCTTGGAAACATCCGCTGTAATGTTAATCCTTGACTCCACTTCAAATAACCTCAAACTGAACCCCCTTAAGGGTCAAAGTCTCAGGTAGTTTACATAGTCCTGGGTAGTACCATCTTATTAGCATGGCCTTAGAATGCCAGGTAATTTGGGTCATGTGCCCATGTTTTAGCTGCAAGAAGTGGGAAGAGAAAATTTCTATTTCAACTTCCATTCTGGACAGAAGGATACTGCTGCCTCTCAAATTTAGGATTCCTCCTTTAAAAGGGTGTTCGGATTCTGGGCAGCCAAAACATAAAAATGTGCACTATATAGTTTACATGTTTTACATTTTAAGAATTGTATTTTATTTTTTGACTTCCTTTCTATGTGGATAGTTTGAGAATTTTATATAAAAAGAATCATGCCATATGTGCTCTTTTTTTGCCTGGCTTCTTTCAAAGAATAATCATTTTGGGGTTTAATTATGTTGTAGCATGTATCAGTACTTCATTCCTTTTTATTACTCAGTATTATTCCACTGTCTGGTTATACCATAATTTGTTTAATCATTCACCTGAACATTTGGGCTGTTACCGCTTTTTGGCTATTACTGATAAAGCAAGTATGAATAATCATGTATGGGTCTTTTTAGGGACATAAGCTTCCATTTCCCTCAGACAAATACCTAGGAGTGGAACTGCCAGGTCATATGGTAAGTGTGTGCTTAACTTAAGAGACTGTCAAACTTTTTTCCAAAATAGTGGTGTCATTTTACATTCCCACCAACAGCTTATGAGAGGTCTGGTTTTCTGCATCCTCACCAACACTTAGTATGGTTAGTGTTCTTGATTTCAGCCATTCTACTAGGTGTGTAGTGGTATATTATAGTGGTTTTAATTTGCATTTGCCTTAGTTTTCAGAGTTTTGGGTTTTTGAATAAACATCAGCTATAGCCAGGCAGTACTCCGCACGGGCCTTAAGTAAGATCCATTACAGTGTTGGCTTCAGGTGTGACCCAGCACATTCCCAGCTGCCTTGGCCATGAGGAGAGACTCCTTTTGCTTGAGAAAAGGAGAGGGAAGAGTAAAGGAGGCTTTGTTTTGCAGCTTGGGTACCAGCTTGACCATGGTGGGTTAGAGCACGAAGTGGGCTCCTGGCAACCCCAATTCCAGGACTTGGCTTCTGGATGGCATTTCTGGACATGTCCTCAGCCACAGGGGAGCCCACTGCCCTTAAAGGAGAGACCCAGGCATGGCAACATTCACCACAAGCTGACTGAAGAGAACTTGGGCCTTGAGTGAACTTCAGTGGTAGCCAGGAAGTACTTGCCATGGGCTGGAGGTGATGGTGACCATAGGCAGAGACTCCTACTTGAGGAAAGGAGAGGGAAGAGTAAGAAGGACTTTGTGTTGTGGCTTGGGTACCAGCTCAGCCACAGTAGCATAGAGTATCAAGTAGATTCCTAAGGTTCCCAACTCCAGGCCCTGGCTTCCAGATAGCATCCGTGGGCCTTCCCTGTGCTGGGGAGGGGAGCTCACTGCCATGAAGAGGGGAACACAAGCCTGGTTGGATTTACCACCTGCTGACTGACCAGCCCTTGGGCCTTGAGTGAACACTGGCAAGTAGTCAGACAGTGGTTGCTGCGGGCCTTGGGTGAGACCCAGTGTTGTGCTGGCTTCAGTTCTGACCCAGTGCAGTCTCAGTGGTGGTGGACACAGGGGTGCTTGTGTCACCCCAACCCCAGCTCTAGGCAGCTTAGCATGGACAGAGAGACTGCATTCGTTTGGGGGAAAGTAAGGGAAGAGAACAAGAGTCTCTGCCAGGTAATCCAGGAAATTCTCTCAGACTTATGCAAGACCACCAAGATGGTATAACTATGAGCCTGCAAGCATCACAGTGTTACTTTCCTAGGCTTGGGGTGACCCCTAATGCAGATACAGCTGCAGTAACCAAAGACTTAGATAACAATATCCAATTCCCTTTGAATACTTGGAAAGCCTTCCCAAGGTGGAAGGGTACAAACAAGCTCAAACTGCAAAGACTATAGTAAGCACCTAACTCTTCAATGCCCAGACATTGACAAACATCCACAAGCATCAAGACCATCTAGGAAAACATGACCTCCCAAGTGAACTAAATAAGGTACCAGTGACCAATCTCAGAGTAACAGAGATATGTGACCTTTCAGAGAATTCAAAATAGCTGCTTTGAGGAAGCTCAGTGAAATTCAAAATATCACAGAGAAGGAATTCATAATCCTATCAGATAACTTTAACAAAGAGATTAAAATAATTTTGAAAAATCAAGCAGAAATTCTGGAGCTGAAAAATTTAATTGACATACTGAAGTATGCATTAGAGTCCCACAACAGCAGAATTGATTAAGCAGAAGAATAATGAGTGAGCTTGAAGACAGGCTATTGGAAAATACACAGTCAGAAGAGACAAAAGAAAAAAGGATATAAAAAAATAAAGCATGCCTACAAGATCTAGAAAATAGCCTCAAAAAGGCAAATCTAAGAGTTGCTGGCCTTAAAGAGGAGGTACAGAGAGAGATAAGGGTAGAAAGTTTATTCAAAGGGACAATAACAGAGAACTTTCCAAACCTGGTGAAAGATATCAACATTCATGTACAGGAAGGTTATAGAACACCAAGCAGATTCAACCCAAATAAGACTACCTCAAGACATTTAATAATCAAACTCCCGAAAGTCAAGGATAAAGCAAGGACCAAGCAAGCTGCAAGAGAGAAGAAATAACATACAAAGGAGCTGCAATATATGTAGCAGCAGACTTTTCAGTGGAAACCTTATAGGCAAGGAGAGAGTGTCATGACATATTTAAAGTGCCAAAGGAAAAAAAATTATATTAGAATAGTATATCCAAGCCAGGCGCAGTGGCTCACGCCTGTAATTCCAACACTTTGGGAGGCTGAGAAGGGCGGATCACTTGGGTCAGGAGTCTGAGACCAGCCTGGCCAACATGGTGAAACCCTGTCTCTACTAAAAATACAAAAATTAGACAGGCATGGTGGTCTCATGTAATCCCAGCTACTCTGGAGGCTGAGGTAGGAGAATCGCTTAAACCCAGGAGGCAGAGGTTGCAGTGAGCCAAGACTACAGCACTGCACTCCAGCCTGGGTAACAGAGTGAGGCTGTGCCTCAAAAAAAAAAAAAAAAAAAAAAAAAAAAAAAGTATATCCAGCAAAAATATCCTTCAAACAAGAAGGATAAATAAAGACTTTTCCAGACAAACCAAGCTGAAGGATTTCATCAACACCAGTCATGTCCTATAAGAAATGCTAAGGGGAGTTCTTCAATCTGAATGATAAGGATGTTAACAAGCAAAAAGAAATCATGTGACGGTACAAAACTCACTGGTAATAGTAGGTATGCTGAAAAACACAGAATATTATAACACTGTAACTATGGTATATAAACTATTCATATCTTGAATAGAAAGATGAAAAGATGAACCTATCAAAAATAATAATAATTACAGCAAATTTTCAAGACATAGCATATAGCAAGATACAAATAAAAACAACAAAATGTTAAAAAGCAAAAGGATGAAGTCAAAGTTTAAAGGTTTTATTAGTTTTCTTTTTGCTCACTTGTTAGTGTGTTTTTGAACTTAGGGTTGTCATCAGTTTAAAATAATGGGTTATAAGATGTTATCTGCCAGCCTCATGGTAACCTCAAATCAAAAACCTACAACTTTGGGAGGCCTAGATGGGCAGATTACCTGAGGTCAGGAGTTTGAGACCAGCCTGGCCAACATGGTGAAACCCTGTCTCTACTAGAAATACAAAAATCAGCCAGGCGTGGTGGCACATGCCTGTAGTCCCAGCTACTTAGGAGGCTGAGGCAGGAGAATTGCTTGAACCCAGGAGGTGGAGGTTGCAGTGAGCTGAGATTGCACCACTGCACTCCAGCCAGGGCAACAGAAAGCAAACAAACAAATAAACAAACAAACCAAAAACCCTACAACAGATATACAAAAAATAAAAAGGAAGAAATTGAAACATATCACCAGAGAAAAAAGGAATACAGGAAGGAAGGAAGAGAAGACCGCAAAACAGCTAGAAAATAAGGCTTCAGACGATCAAACTACCCTGAGCTACAGGAGGAAATTCAAACCAAAGTCAAAGAAGTTGAAAACTTGAAAAAAATTTAGACGAATGTATAATTAGAATAACCAATACAGAGAAGTGCTTAAAGGAGCTGATGGCGCTGAAAGCCAAGGCTCGAGAACTACGTGAAGAATGCAGAAGCCTCAGGAGCCAATGCGATCAACTGGAAGAAAGGGTATCAGTGATGGAAGATGAAATGAATGAAATGAAGCAAGAAGGGAAGTTTAGAGAAAAAAGAATAAAAAGAAACGAACAAAGCCTCCAAGAAATATGGGACTATGTGAAAAGTCTAAATCTACGTCTGATTGGTGTACCTGAAAGTGACGGGGAGAATGGAACCAAGTTGGAAAACACTCTGCAGGATATTATCCAGGAGAACTTCCCCAATCTAGCAAGGCAGGCCAACATTCAGATTCAGAGAAATACAGAGAACGCCACAAAGATACTCCTCGAGAAGAGCAACTCCAAGACACATAATTGTCAGATTCACCAAAGTTGAAATGAAGGAAAAAATGTTAAGGGCAGCCAGAGAGAAAGGTCGGGTTACCCACAAAGGGAAGCCCATCAGACTAACAGCAGATCTCTCGGCAGAAACTCTACAAGCCAGAAGAGAGTGGGGGCCAATATTCAACATTCTTAAAGAAAAGAATTTTCAACCCAGAATTTCATATCCAGCCAAACTAAGCTTCATAAGTGAAGGAGAAATAAAATACTTTACAGACAAGCAAATGCTGAGAGATTTTGTCACCCCCAGGCCTACCCTAAAAGAGCTCCTGAAGGAAGCACTAAACATGGAAAGGCACAACCGGTACCAGCCACTGCAAAATCATGCCAAAATGTAAAGACCATCGAGGCTAGGAAGAAACTGCATCAACTAACAAGCAAAATAACCAGCTAACATCACAATGACAGGATCAAATTCACATATAACAATATTAACTTTAAATGCAAATGGACTAAATGCTCCAATTAAAAGACACAGACTGGCAAATTGGATAAAGAGTCAAGACCCATCAGTGTGCTGTATTCAGGAAACCCATCTCACGTGCAGAGACACATATAGGCTCAAAATAAAAGGATGGAGGAAGATCTACCAAGCAAATGGAAAACAAAAAAAGGCAGGGGTTGCAATCCTAGTCTCTGATAAAACAGTCTTTAAACCAACAAAGATCAAAAGAGACAAAGAAGGCCATTACATAATGGTAAAGGGATCAATTCAACAAGAAGAGCTAAATATCCTAAATATATACGCACCTAATACAGGAGTACCCAGATTCATAAAGCAAGTCCTGAGTGACCTACAAAGAGACTTAGATGCCCACACAAAAATAATGGGAGACTTTAACACCCCACTGTCAACATTAGACAGATCAACGAGACAGAAAGTTAACAAGGATACCCAGGAATTGAACTCAGCTCTGCACTGAGTGGACCTAATAGACATCTACCAAACTCTCCACCCCAAATCAACAGAATATACATTTTTTTCAGCACCACACCACACCTATTCCAAAATTGACCACATAGTCGGAAGTAAAGCTCTCCTCAGCAAATGTAAAAGAACAGAAATTATAACAAACTGTCTCTCAGACCACAGTGCAATCAAACTAGAACTCAGGATTAAGAAACTCACTCAAAACCGCTCAACTACATGGAAACTGAACAACCTGCTCCTGAGTGACTACTGGGTACATAATGAGATGAAGGCAGAAGTAAAGATGTTCTTTGAAACCAACGAGAACAAAGACACAACATACCAGAATCTCTGGGACACATTCAAAGCAGTGTGTAGAGGGAAATTTATAGCACTAAATGCCCACAGGAGAAAGCAGGAAAGATCCAAAATTGACACCCTAACATCACAATGAAAAGAACTAGAAGAGCAAGAGCAAACACATTCAAAAGCTAGCAGAAGGCAAGAAATAACTAAAATCAGAGAAGAACTGAAGGAAATAGAGACACAAAAAACCCTTCAAAAAATTAATGAATCCAGGAGCTGGTTTTTTGAAAGGATCAACAAAATTGATAGACCGCTAGCAAGACTAATAAAGAAAAAAAGAGAGAAGAATCAAATAGACGTGATAAAAAATGATAAAGGGGATATCACCACCGATCCCACAGAAATACAAACTACCATCAAAGACTACTACAAACACCTCTACACAAATAAACTAGAAAATCTAGAAGAAATGGATAAATTCCTCGACACATACACTCTCCCAAGACTAAACCAGGAAGAAGTTGAATCTCTGAATAGACTAATAACAGGATCTGAAATTGTGGCAATAATCAATAGCTTACCAACCAAAAAGAGTCCAGGACCAGATGGATTCACAGCCGAATTCTACCAGAGGTACAAGGAGGAACTGGTACCATTCCTTCTGAAACTATTCCAATCAATAGAAAAAGAGGGAATCCTCCCTAACTCATTTTATGAGGCCAGCATCATCCTGATACCAAAGCTGGGCAGAGACACAACCAAAAAAGAGAATTTTAGACCAATATCCTTGATGAACATTGATGCAAAAATCCTCAATAAAATACTGGCAAACCGAATCCAGCAGCACATCAAAAAGCTTATCCACCATGATCAGTGGGCTTCATCCCTGGGATGCAAGGCTGGTTCAATATATGCAAATCAATAAATGTAATCCAGCATATAAACAGAACCAAAGACAAAAACCACATGATTATCTCAATAGATGCAGAAAAGGCCTTTGACAAAATTCAACAACCCTTCATGCTAAAAACTCTCAATAAATTAGGTATTGATGGGACGTATCTCAAAATAATAAGAGCTATCTATGACAAACCCACAGCCAATATCATACTGAATGGGCAAAAACTGGAAGCATTCCCTTTGAAAACTGGCACAAGACAGGGATGCCCTCTCTCACCACTCCTATTCAACGTAGTGTTGGAAGTTCTGGCCAGGGCAATTAGGCAGGAGAAGGAAATAAAGGGTATTCAATTAGGAAAAGAGGAAGTCAAATTGTCCCTGTTTGCAGACGACATGATTGTATATCTAGAAAACCCCATCGTCTCAGCCCAAAATCTCCTTAAGCTGATACGCAACTTCAGCAAAGTCTCAGGATACAAAATCAATGTACAAAAATCACAAGCATTCTTATACACCAATAACAGACAAACAGAGAGCCAAATCATGAGTGAACTCCCATTCACAATTGCTTCAAAGAGAATAAAATACTTAGGAATCCAACTTACAAGGGACGTGAAGGACCTCTTCAAGGAGAACTACAAACCACTGCTCAATGAAATAAAAGAGGATACAAAGAAATGGAAGAACATTCCATGCTCATGGGTAGGAAGAATCAATATCGTGAAAATGGCCATACTGCCCAAGGTAATTTATAGATTCGATGCCATCCCCATCAAGCTACCAATGACTTTCTTCACAGAATTGGAAAAAACTACTTTAAAGTTCATATGGAACCAAAAAAGAGCCCGCATCACCAAGTCAATCCTAAGCCAAAAGAACAAAGCTGGAGGCATCACACTACCCGACTTCAAACTATACTACAAGGCTACAGTAACCAAAACAGCATGGTACTGGTACCAAAACAGAGATATAGATCAATGGAACAGAACAGAGCCCTCAGAAATAACGCCGCATATTTACAACTATCTGACATCTTTGACAAACCTGAGAAAAACAAGCAATGGGGAAAGGATTCCCTATTTAATAAATGGTGCTGGGAAAACTGGCTAGCCATATGTAGAAAGCTGAAACTGGATCCATTCCTTACACCTTATACAAAAATTAATTCAAGATGGATTAAAGACTTAAACGTTAGACCTAAAACCATAAAAAGCCTAGCAGAAAACCTAGGCATTACCATTCAGGACATAGGCATGGGCAAGGACTTCATGTCTAAAACACCAAAAGCAATGGCAACAAAAGCCAAAATTGACAAATGGGATCTAATTAAACTAAAGAGCTTCTGCACAGCAAAAGAAACTACCATCAGAGTGAACAGGCAACCTACAAAATGGGAGAAAATTTTCGCAACCTACTCATCTGACAAACGGCTAATATCCAGAATCTACAATGAACTCAAACAAATTTACAAGAAAAAAACAAACAACCCCATCAAAAAGTGGGCAAAGGACATGAACAGACACTTCACAAAAGAAGACATTTATGCAGCCAAAAAACACATGAAAAAATGCTCACCATCACTGGCCATCAGAGAAATGCAAATCAAAACCACAATGAGATACCATCTCACACCGGTTAGAATGGCAATCATTAAAAAAGTCAGGAAACAACGGGTGCTGGGAAGATGTGGAGAAATAGGAACACTTTTACACTGTTGGTGGGACTGTAAACTGGTTCAACCATTGTGGAAGCCAGTGTGGCGATTCCTCAGGGATCTAGAACTAGAAATACCATTTGACCCAGCCATCCCATTACTGGGTATATACCCAAAGTACTATAAATCATGCTGCTATAAAGACACATGCACTCGTATGTTTATTGCGGCACTATTCACAATAGCAAAGACTTGGAACCAACCCAAATGTCTAACAATGACAGACCAGATTAAGAAAATGTGGCACATATACACCAAGGAATACTATGCAGCCATAAGAAATGATGAGTTCATGTCCTTTGTAGGGACATGGATGAAATTGGAAATCATCATTCTCAGTAAACTATCGCAAGGACAAAAAACCAAACACCGCATGTTCTTACTCATAGGTGGGAATTGAACAATGAGAACACATGAACACAGGAAGGGGAACATCACACTCTGGGGACTGTTGTGGGGTGGGGGGAGTGGGGAGGGATAGCATTAGGAGATATACCTAATGCTAAATGACGAGTTAATGGATGCAGCACACCAGCATGGCACATGTATACATATGTAACTAACCTGCACATTGTGCACATGTACCCTAAAACTTAAAGTATAATAATAATAAAATTTAAAAAAAAAGAATAGCAGAAAGGAACTGTTCAGGACACCACAAATAAACTTAACAGCCTATATGAAAGCTACCTAAACAAATATTTTTTTGTCAATAAACCTACTAAGCTGTTATCACCAGAATATAATTGGGATACAAAGTTTAGAACCCCTCCCCAAATTAAAAATGTTAAGATAGCATGGCAGTCAGAAAGGTGATGGTTATACCATTAGGTTTATGAATTAACAAAGGAATCACAGTAATTTCTCAAGTACAAAATTCATGAAAGTTTTTAGCTTTTTAGAAACTTACAAAAATGTACAATCTTCCAAAATAAATTATGTTTCTCTTTGCAATTTTGAATCATCTAATTCTACCTATGCTGGATAAAGAATAAATGGATGATAAACTAATGTTATTACTTACACAATGTGATGTTATTATATATTATTATAAATAATGTGGAAATACTTTGGAGGCATAAAATTTTCTTATGAAGAAACATACCCAGACTCTAGCTCAGAAACATATATATGTGTGTGTATATACATATGAGTATATACGTGTGCATATATATGTATACACATACACATGTATATATAAAACACATATATACATATATAAACATATATGTATATATACGTATGTGTGTATATATACATGTGTCTATATATACACAAACACATACACATACATTCATGCACAAAAACATGCACAGAGACTATGTCAAAGGGATATATATATATATATATATATGGAGAAAAATGAATATTCATCAACTCATTCATCAGATATTTACTACATTTTTCAGTGTTTGGATATGAACTGCTTGTGATTAATCTCCTCAATTAGTATTCAGTCTGTCTACTATCTGAGTGAACTTAGGTGAACTAGAGATACATAAATCAAATCTATATCTCACTTTTATTGATACAAAGAGATGTTGAGTTCATATTTTTAAAAATGCTATGGGACTTTTTTTTTAAAATAGATATTTACTGAACTCCATAGTAAATGTACTCTTTTGGGTGCAGTCAGGTGTAAAAAATGTTAAAAACCATAATTTGTCAGACCGAGTGTGATGGCTCACGCCTGCAATCCTAGTACTTTGGGAGGCTGAGGTGGGCAGATCACCTGAGCCCAGGAGTTGGAGACCAGCCTGGGCAACATGGTGATACCCCATCTCTACAAAATATACAACAATTAGCTGGTCATGGTGGCATGCACTTGTGGTCCCAGCTACTCAGGAGGCTGAGGTAAGATAACTGCTTGAGCCCAGGAGGTCAAGGCTGCAGTAAGCCTTATTCAAGCCACTGCACTCCAGCCTGAGTGACAGAGTGAGACCCTGTCTCAAGTAATAATAATAATTTATCCTCAAAGACCCTACAGTCTAGCAAGGGAGAGAAGACTATTCACAAATATTCCTTTTGCAAGTTTAAAAGTGCTCAAAATCACAAGGAAGACATAACTAAAATGCTATGATGGCTCAGGAAAGGAAGAACTTGCCTCTATAAGAATATGTAATCATACTAATTATGTTTTCATAAATTTAGTGAGGCATCATAGCATAGTTATAAGAAGGTTAGGCATGGTGGCTCGTGCCTGTAATCCCAGCACTTTGGGAGGCTGAGATGGGAGGATCACTTGAGCCCAGGAGTTGGAGACAAGCTGGGGCAACATAGTGAGATCCCCATCTCTACAAAAAACAAACAAAAAAAGTAGCTAGGTGTGGTGGCATGCACCTGTAGTCCTTGCTATTCAGGAGGCTGAAGTGGAAGGATTGCTTAAGCCCAGGAGATTGAGGCTGCAGTGTGCTGTGATCATGCTATTGCACTCCAGCCTGGGTGACAGAGGGAGACCCTGTCTCAAAAAAAGAAAAAAAGCTCGTGCCTGTAATCGCAGCACTTTGGGAGGCTAAGGTGGGCAGATCACTTGAGATCAGGAGTTCGAGACCAACCTGACCAACATGGTGAAATCCCTTCTCTACTAAAAATACAAAAATTAGCCCAGTGTGGTGGTGTGCGCCTGTAGTCCCAGCTACTTCAGGAGGCTGAGGCAGGAGAATAACTTGAACCTGGGAGATGGAGGTTGCAGTGAGCCGAGATTATGCCAATGCATTCCAGCCTGGGTGACAGAGAGAGAAAGGAGAGAAAGGGGAGAAAGAGAGAGAGAGAGAGAGAGAGAGAGAGAGAGAGAGAGATAGATAGATAGATAGATAGATAGATAGATAGATAGAGGGAGAGACAGAGGAGGGAGGGAGGGGGAGAGAAAGAAAGAAAGAAAGAAAGAAAGAAAGAAAGAAAGAAAGAAAGAAAGAAAGAAAGAAAGAAAGAAAGGGAGAGAGAGAGAAAGAAAGAAAGAAAAAGAAAGGGAAAGAAAGAAATGTTATAAGAACTGGAGGTTCTAAAGTCACAGTTATATTTTAATCCCCTTTAATGAGAGAAAAAATTGAAAAAACTGAGGTTTACTAAGTATTCTACAATGATAAGAATTATTGGCCATTAAAACCCTAAAATTGTAAGGAATATTGATGATGACTGTGGCAGACAGACTCTACTATGGTCCTTAATGATCCACTTCTGGTATTCATGTCCTTATGTAATCTACTTCCCCCACGCCCTAACCTTGAGTGTGAGCTGAATGTAGTGACTTGCTTTCAACCAAAAGAATATGACAGAGGTAATGAGATGTCATTTTCATGGTTAGGTTACATAAGATTGTGACTTCTGTCTTGCTACTGGACTTGCTTGCTTGCTGCTTTGGGTGCAGCAAGTTGCCATGTTGGACTCCTTCAGCAAGTAACTGAGAGCAGCCTCTAGCCAACAGCCAGAAAGGAACTGAGGCTCTTAGTCCAAGAACCCTTAAGGAATTGAATACATCTGACAACCACATCAGGGCACTTGAAAGTAGATCTTTCTCCCGTTGAATATTCAGATGAGACCTTACTGGCAGCCAACATCTTGATTACAGCTTCGTGAGAAACACAGAAGCAGAAGATCTAGCCAAGCCATGCTGATTCCTGACCCAGAGTAACCCAAGCCCACTGTTTCCTGACACTCTCCCTCCAACATCGGTGGCAGAAGGCACCCAGGTAGATGTTTCCCACCTCAGCAGCAGTAGCAGAGATGCAGTAAGGAAGCTCATCAGCACCAAGTGACCTGATGAGCAGGCCCTGAGAATTATTGTCTATCCATAGCCCCAGCATCCTCCACCCATAAGCTGGCACTAAGGAGGGCAGGAAAGCACCTTCCACGCCCTCAGGTAACACCAGCAGGGATCAAACAAGAGCCCCACTGGCACTAGCCAGCCCAGAGGTCAGGTTCAGGGAAGCACTCACTGACCCATGGCCTGGCATCTCCCACACTTCACCTAGTGGAACCAGGCCTGAGAAAGTGCACTCACCCCTGCAGGAAGCATCAGCAGAATCAAGTGGGAGCTTCAGTGAACAAAGTGAACAAAGAAGACTCGAATAGCTCTGTATAGGCTCTGAAACCTATATTGCCATTGCAACCACAGCTTCAAAAGTAGGTGAGGAACTATGCACTGTATTAGTCAGGGTGCCCCAATGAAACAGAGTCAATAGGATGGAGACACATATATACAGTCAGCCTTCCATATCCCCAGGTTCCAAATCTGCAGATTCAACCTGCCAAGGGTCAAGAATACTCAGAAAAAAAAATTATCCTGAATAAGTAGACTTTTTCTTCCGGTCATTATTTCCTAAAGCATACAACCTAACAACTATTTATGTAGTTGTGTTAGGTATTATAAGTAACCTAGAGATGATTTAAAGTATACAGCAGGTTGTGTGTAGGTTACATGCAAATACTATGCCATTTTATATAAGGAACTTGAATATCCACAGATGTTGGTATCTACAGGGGTCCCCAAACAAATCCCTCATGGATACTGAGAATGACTGTAGCGTGTGTGTGTGTGTGTGTGTGTGTAGTGATAACACAGAAAGAAAGAGAAAATTTATTATAGGAATTGGCTCACACTGTTGAGTCTGAGAAGTCCCACACTCTGCCATCTGCAAGCTGGAGAACCAAGAAAGCTGGTGGTGTAATTCAGTTCAAACACTAAGTCCTGAGCACCTGGAGGGCCAACGTCTGAGGGCAGGAGAAGATGGATGGCCCAGCTGAAAGAGGGAGCAAATTCACCCTCTCCCTACCCTTTGGATCTACTCAGACACTCAATAAATTGGATGATGCCCACTCACATTGGTGAGAGCAGATCTTCTTTACTCAGTCTCACTGACCCAAATGCTAATCTCTTCCACAAACACCTTCATAGACAGAAATAATGTTTTAGCAGCTACCTGGGCATCCCTTAACTCATTCAAGTTTATACATAAAATTGACTATCACAGATTATGTATGATTCAATTTACATGACATTTTGGAAAAGGCAAAACTATAGAGATGGTAAACAGATCAGTGATTGCCAGGACCTTGGGGAAGGGAGGGCTAAATAAGTGAAGCCCATGGGATTTTTCAGGATAGTGAAACTATTCTGTATGATTCTGTAATGGTTGATACATGTCACTATGCTTATGTCAAAGCCCATAGAACTTTACAGCACCAACCACATCTTAATGTATGCAAATTTTTGAAAAATCATATAGGGGGTAAGGAGATCACAGGACAGAATATAGAGTGTGACAAAAAATAATCTAAATGTATTACAAATGCATGAAATGATCTCACTGAAGAGTTTGTGAGGAAAACATCCTGACCTAACTTTGGAAATGAGTGGAGACTGTAAGACTAAAAAGGAACTGTACATAAGTGCTGGACTCTAGTTGGTCAAATTGTTGTTTCCATGGGGGTACAGGTTAATAATTCTGAAACCACCATACATGGACATACTGGAATTGAACAGTTAAGTAAATGGATGGTGGATGGTGGGGGCCATGTTTCTTACTGTTGGAATGTGAGATTACAGACAAACCAGAGGAGGGGGCCGGAATGATCCATGTGGTAATGCATGAGAGTTGGAGACATCAATATGAACTCATGTTTAGCTTAATATCGATACAAATGAATACATGTAGAAATGTTTATAAACATATGTGTGTATACACAGGTTAGTAGAAACATATATTTCCTTGTTCTGTCAGCTGAGTGGGGCTTAGAAACAATGACACTCCAGTAGCAACAAATAGACCTAGAACCAAAATTTTGGTTTTTAATACCATTCTCCAATAAAAGGAATCAGAGCTCCTTGAAGAAATGGCTGATTCCAGAGGATGGGTATGGAATATGTACAAAAAGGGGACACATTCTCATACCATTTCTGTACATTTTCCCTACCCATGCCGATGATCCCAAGATGATCCTGGAGTATATTCTAGTCCCAGAAGCAAGGAAGTGCCCAAAAAGAACACAATGAAAAGAGTATGTCAAAGGCAAAAAGAAGCCAACTAAAAGAGCTTCCAATGGAACAATTTGAGCAACAAAATAAATAATGTAGAACTGAATTCTAACCCAAAATATAAAACAAACATCCATGAGTCCACACAGATATGAATAAATGAATGATTGCAAAAGAATTCCAAATAATTGATGTGAATACTCTGCCCTCAAGGAGGTAGAGAATAATTTCCCATCCTTCTGGCTTAGTAAGTGTGGGCTGAACATAATGACTTCTGTCCAAAGAGAATAATTTAGAAGCAGGGAGGAAGAGAGTAACTTTACCGTGGAGAAACTTGACAAAAACTACCATAGCCAAGTTATTAAGGTTAACATCAACAGTGATAAGCCATGTTGATAACTCGTGTCCTTCATACGATGTGATGAGAATGGCACTGTTATGAGTTAAATTGTGTCCCCCAAAAAAGATGTGCTGAAGTTCTTTTTTTCCCCCAATTTAGAAAGTTTATTTTCCCAAGATTAAGGATGCACCTGCGACACCGCCTCAGGAGGTCCTGTCGACATGTGTCCAAGGTAGTTGGGGCACAGCTTAGTTTTATACATTTTAGGGAGACATGAGACATTAATCAATACGTGCAAGATGTACATTGGTTCGGTCTGAAAAGGCATGACAACTCAAACAGGTAGGAAGGAGGACGACTTTCAGGTCATAGGTAGATAAGAGAGAAAAGGCTAATTCTTTTGAGCCTGATTAGCCTTTCACTGAATACACAATTTACATGTGAGAGGAGGGTAGAGGAATAATCTCTTATGCCTTAGTCTGGCTTAGCGAATCTACATTTTTACATAAACAACAGGGCAGAGCAAGCAATCAGGTGTGCGTTTGTCTCAGGTGAGCAGAGGGATCACTTTTGAGTTCTGTCTTTGACCTGCACCTGTGAAGATAAGCTACCAATTTACTTTGCCAGGGTGAAATTCAACAGAACTGTTTTAGGGTAAAGATCTTGAGGCCCACAAGAAATTTCCTTGTGGATAAATTGTGAGGGAGGTGTGTAGCTTTTTTTTTTTTTTTTAAATCTTTGTGGCTATCTTATTTGGGAATAAAATGGGAGGCAAGTTTGCCTAACACAGTTCCCAGCTTGACTTTTCCCTTTGGCTTACTGATTTTGGGGTCCTGAGACTTATTTTTCTTTCAAATTTCCACCCTTTTCTTTTTAAAAATCTTTCAGAGAAAGCATTTTAGAAGAAAATGAGTCTCTGTTCTCAAGTTTTGTCTACCCCAAACCTTATGAATGGAACCTTATTTGCAAATAGTCTTTGCAGTTACAATTAGTTAAGGTGAGGTCATCAAGGTGGGCCTTAATCCAATATGACTTATGTGTTTTATAAGAAGAGGGAAATTTTGACAGACACACAGAGAGGATAGCTAGGTGAAGACAGAGGCAGAAATCAGAATGATGTATTTATAAGCCAAGGAACACCAAAAATTGACAGTCATCGCCAGAAGCTAAGGAGAGAGGTGTGGAATAGATTCTTCCTCACAGCTGTCAGAAGAAACCAACCCGGTTAACACTTTTAGACTTCTGGCCTCCAGAACTGTGAGAAAGAATAAATTTCTGCTATTTGAAAGTCACATAATTTGTGGTACTTTGTTATGACAGTCTCATGAGTCTATTATAGGCAATTTATCTTTGTGGTCTTCCACCCAAAAACCCATAACTTTAGTGTGTTCTTGATAAACACATCAGACAAATCCCAACTGAGAGACATTCTGTAGGCCCTCGAAACTTTGCAGTTATTAACACTCCTCAAACTGTCAAAGTCATCATAAACAAGGAAAGTTTGAGAAATTGTCAAAGCCAAGAGGAGTCTCAAGAGATTTGATTAGTAAACATAGTGAGGAATCTTGGTTGGGAGCCTGGAACAGAAAAAGGACATTAGATAAAAACTAAGGAAATCAAAAGTGTAGACTTGAGTCAATAATATGCATCAATATTGGCTCATTAATTGTGACAAATGTACTATACTAATGTAAGATGTTAATAATAGGGGAAATAGGGTGTGGGTCATATGGGAACTCTACTATTTTCACAAATTTTTGTAAATCTAAAACTATTCAAAAACAAGTTTAAGAAATGTAAAGCAAAAAATTATTAGCTCATGGGTCATGCAAAAATAGGCAGACCACAGGCCATAATTTGTCAATCTCTAGTCTAGGAAATAAGATCCAACTCTTTTACCAATTGAGGACATCACAGAGCTAACAAGATTACGTAGAATTCCCAGCCTAGGATCTTAGAGGATAGAAGCTCAGGGAATAATGAGCCTGTGCCATCTTTACATCCTTTTCCATGGTCTTGCCCCAAATCTCATCAAAATGACAGGGAAAAAGTAAAGCATCTACAAGAACAGAGAAAGCATTAGATGAGAGAGGTCACCGATTTTTTTTTTAAAAAACTGCACTAGGAAATACAATCTAAGGCTGAGGCCCTAAAACAAAGCTGAAAAAAGTATTTTTTAAAAATTTTCTTTGTGACATCAGAAATCTACCATAACTCTTTGGAATTACTTAGCCAGGAGGGTAATTACTGAGCCAGAAAGACAGAGGCTCAGGAGGGTTAGCCCGGCATTTGAGATGACCTTTCCCCTGGGGTCATCTGCCTATTTAATAAAAGTCCTTTAAGAGAATGAGTGGTGCTTTTGAAAACCTTGAGCGGCAAAGGGGATAAAGAAGAGAGTCCAGAGCTCACTGATTATTAATACTGATATGTTAGGGCGTAGGTCTGACATTTTATTTTTTCTTTTCTGTTTGTTCCCTTTGTTTTTTTGTTTCCTCTGTTTCTCTTTTCTTGCCTTTCTGTGGATTACTTGAACATTTTTCAGAATTCCATTTTGATTTATTGATAGTGTTTTCGAGTGTATCTCTTCATATAGATTTTTTTAAGTGGTTGCTCTAGGTATTACATTGTACATACCTTTCATTGTACCAAGGAAATTTTCTTTTTTCTTTTTTTTTTTTTTTTTCATTTTTGTCCTGACCTAGTTGGCAGGAAATTTTCTTTTATTCTAGTATGCTAAGAATTTTTATCATGAATATTTGGTAAATTTCATCAAACTGTGTGTCCACGGAGATGATCAAATAACTTTTTCCAGTATTTCTTAATAAAGTGAATTATATCGATTGGTTTTATTAATCAAAATTAAGCTTTCATTTCTGATATAAATTCAGATTAGCCAGGTGCTATTAGAAGAGCTAAAATATTAATAAAAAATTATAACAATACCATGTTCTGGCAAGATGCAGAGAAACAACGTTTCTCATCCCACCATTACTGATAAAATGGTATAACCACTCTGAAAAGTATTTTGGCAGTTTCTTAAAAAACTAAATATATACAACCATGCAACCCAAGAATTGCACTTTTAGTATTTATCCTAAAGAAATCTTATATCTACATAAAACCCTGCACACCAATGCTCATGGCAGCTTTATTTGTAATAGCCAGAAACTGAAAACAACCAAAATGTCCTTCAATGGGTGAATGGTTAAACAAACTGTGGTATACTAACATCATGGAATACACAAAGAAAGGAACTCAGATAGACCAAAAAGGCATTGTGCTGAGTGAAAAAAATATCGTTTCAAAAGGTTATATACTGTATGATTCCATCTATATAATGCTTTTGAAATGACAAAATTAGAGAGGTGGAGAACAGATGAATGGTTGCCAGGGGTTAGTGATGGTAGAAGTGAGGGGAGTAAGGTGAACTATAAAGACATCTTTGTGTTATAACATAGCATAAGGAATATCTTTGTGAGGACAGAATAGTTCTGCATCTTTTTTTTTTTAACAGAGTGTGGCTCCGTCACCCAGGCTGGAGTGCAGTGGCACGATCTTGGCTCACTACAACCTCCGCCTCCCGGGTTCAAGCAATTCTCATGCCTCAGCCTCCCAACTAGCTGCAACTACAGGCGCACACCACCACACCTGGCTAATTTTTGTATTTTTAGTAGAGACGGGGTTTTACCATGTTGGCCAGGCTGGTCTTGAACTCCTGGCCTCAAGTGATCCCACCCGTCTCAGCCTCCCAAAGTGCTGGGATTACAAGTGTGAGCCACTGCTACCAGCCTAGTTCAGTATCTTGACTGTGGTATTGGTACAAGAATCTATATGTGTGATAAAATGGCATACTACTATAAGCACACATTATACTAATGCTACTTTCTTGGTTTTTATACTGTACTATAGTTACACAAGAATGCAACTATTAGGGGTAACTAGTGAAGGCTAATAGAACTCTCTGAATCATCTTTGTAACTTCCCATAAACACATAATTATTTCAAACTAATTTTTAAAAAATATGTACCCTCAATGAGGTCTTACATGTCTACCATTTTTTTAAAAATTCCAGTAGTCTGTTCCCTCCTTATCCATTTCTCCAGTTATTTTTCTTCACAGCCCTTAATCCCTTCTAAGGTACTAAAATATTATGTAATTTACTTATTTTATTTATTATCTATCTCCCCGACCAGAATGTAAGCTTCATGAGAACAGAATTTCCTGTCTGTTCACTGATGTATCCTCAATACATAGTAGGTGCTCAAAATATGTATTGAATGAATGAGTAATGTTTAGCAAAAACATTAGTTGAGTAATATGTAGTTGAGTAATATGTAGCAAAAACGAGTTATGGCTGGGAATAGTGGCTCACACCTGTAATTCCAGCACTTTGGGAGGCTGAGGCAGGAGGATCATTTGAGTCCAGAAGTTTGAGACCAGCCTGGGTAACATAGTGGGACCTTGTTTCTACAAAAAAATGTAAAAATTAGCTGAGAGTGGTGGTGCACATCTGTAGTCCCAGCTACTCAGGAGGCTGAGGTGGGAGAATCACTTGAGCCCAGGAGGTCAAGACTACAGTGAGGTAATATTGTGCACTCACTGCACTCTAGCCTGGGCGATAAAGTGAAACCCTGTCTCAAACAAACAAATAAAACCCAACTATCTAGGCCAAGGTCTAGAGCATCATCAGTGCTCAGAAAAGAAGAAAGACTGACAATGTTCTATTTCTTTGCTAGTAGTGGTTTCTATTTAAAAAGACTAATAAAATTGACAAACCACTGGCAAAATTAGACAAGAAAAAAAGAAAGCACAAGTAACAGTATCATATAAAAAGGGGGAGCTACTCTTACCAATAATACAGATATTTAAAAGCTAACAAAGCATATTATAAGCAACTTTAATAAATTTGAATATATGGATGAAATAGAAATTATTTTAGAAAAATATAAAATTACAAATGACACAAGAAGAAAACTGTCCCACAAAATAACGCTAGGCCCTTACCTCAGACCATTTACAAAAGTTAACTCACAATGGATAAAAAATCTAAACATAAGAGCTAAAACTATGAAACTCTTAGAAGAAAATATAGGAATAAATGATTATCTTGGATTTAGCAAAGATTTATTTCTTTAAAAAGAATTTTTTTTTTTTAGAGACAAAGTTTCACTATGCTGTTTCACTATAATACACTGTTTCACTACAGTACAGTATTAAAACCTCAAACTCCTGGGCTCAAGGGATCCTCCCGCCTCAGCCTCCCAAGTAACTGGGACAACAGGCGCACACTACCATGCACAGCTGGGAATGGTTTCTTAGATATGACACCAAAAGCACAATCAAAAGAAAAAAATAAATTAGAATTCATCAAAATACAAAACTTTAGTGTATCAAAGAATACTAACAACAAAGTGGAAAGACAACCCATAAAATGGGAGAAAACTTTTGCAAATAATTTACCTGATGAGTTAGGTATGTAGAATATGTAAAGAACTCACACAACTCAAAAAACAGCTTTCCACAGTAGCTGAACTAATTTACATTCCCACCAAAAGTGTATAAGTTTCCCTTTTCTCTGCAGGCTTACCAGCATCTATTTATTTTTATTTTTTAATAATAGCCAGCCCGGCGCAGTGGCTCACAACTGTAATCCCAGCACTTCGAGAGGCTGAGGCGTGTGGATCACGAGGTCAAGAGATGGAGACATCCTGGCCAACATGGTGAAACCCCATCTCTACTAAAAATACAAAAATTAGGTGGGCATGGTGGCTGAGGCAGGAGAATCACTTGAACCCAGGAGGCAGAGGTTGCAGTGAGCTGAGGTTGTGCCACTGCACTCCAGCCTGGCAACAGAGCGAGATTCCATCTAAAATATAATAAAAATAAAATAATAATAATAATAGCCATTCTAACTGATATGAGATGGTATCTCATTATGGTTTTGATTTGCATTTCTCTGACAATTAGCGATGTGGAGCATTTTTTCATGTATTTGTTGCCCACTTGCAGGTCTTCTTTTGGGAAGTGTCTGTTCATGTCTTTTGCTCATTTTTTAAATGGGGTTATTGGTTTTTTGCTTGCTGATTTGTTTAGGTTCCTTATAGCTCTAGATATCAGACTTTTGTCAGATGCATAGTTTGCAAACATTTTCTCCTATTCTGTAGGCTGTTTACTCTGTTGATAGTTACTTTAATTGGTAGCTTTAATTGGAAGCTTGTTACTTTAATTAGGTACCACTGGTCAATTTGTTTCCGTTGCAATTGCTTTTGAGGACTCAGTTATGAATTATTTCCCAAGGCTGATGTCCAGAATAGGTTTCTTAGGTTTTCTTCTATGATTCTTATAGTTTGAGGTCTTACATTTAAATATTTAATTCATCTTGAGTTAACTTTTGTATTTGGTGAAAGGTAGGGGTCCAGTTTCAGTCTTCTGCATATGGCTAGCCAGTTATCCCAGCACCATTTATTGAATAGAGAGTCCTTTCCCCATTGTTTATTTTTGATGACTTTGTTAAAGATCAGGTGGTTGTAGATGTGTGGCTTTACTTCTGGGTTCTCTATTCTGTTCCATTGGTCTGTGCATCTGTTTTTGTCCCAGTACCATGTTGTTTTGATACTGTAGCCTTGTAGTATAGTTTGAAGTTGCTAATGTGATGCCTCCAGCTTTGTTCTTTTTGCTTAGGATTGCTTTGGCTATCTGTACTCTTTTTTGGTTCCATATGAATTTTAGAATAGTTTTTTCTACTTCTGTGGAAAATAATGTTGGTAGCTTGATAAGAATAGCATTCAATCTGTAGATTGCTTTTAGCCATTTTAACAATATTGATTCTTCTAATCCATGAGCATGGACTGTTTTTCCATTTGTTTGTACCACGTATGGTTTTTTTCAGCAGTATTTTGTAGTTCGTGGAGAGATCTTTCACCTCCATCATTACTTGTATTCCTAGGTTTTTGTTTGTTTGTTTTTTGCAGCTATTGTAAATGGGATTGCATTCTTGGTTTGGCTCTCAGCTTGAATGTTATTGGTGTATAGAAATGTTACTGATTTTTGTATATTGATTTTGTATCTGGAAATTTTGCTGAAGTTGTTTATCAGTTCTAGGAGACTTTTGGCAGTTTTTAGGGTTTTCTATGTATAGATTCCTATCATCAGCAAAGAAGAAGTCAAACTATCTTCTTCTTTTCCTATTTGGATGTCTTTTATTTCTTTCTTTCACCTGATTGCTGTGTCAAGGACTTTCATTACCATGTTGAATAGGAGTGGTGAGAGTGGGCATTCTTGTCTTGTTCCAATTCTCCAGGGGAATGCTTCCAATTTTTGCCCCTTCAGTATGATGTTAGCTGGTTTATCATAGATGGCTCTTATTTTGAGGTATGTTCCTTTGGTGACTATTTTTTAGAGGGCTTTTATCATGATGGGATGTTGAATTTTATAAAAAGCTTTTTCTGTGTCTATTGAGATGATCATATGGTTTTTGTTTTTAATTCTGTTTATGTGGTGAATCACATTTATTGATTTGTGTATGTTGAACCAACCTTGCATCCCAGGAATGAAACCAACTTGATCATGATGAATTAACTTTTTAATGTGCTTCGGATTCAGTTTGCTAGTATTTTGTTGAGGATTTTTGCACATACATTCATCAGAGATATTGGCCTGTAGCTTTCTTTTATCATTATGTCTTTGCCAGATTTTGGTATCAGGGTGATGCTGGCTTTATAGAATGAGTTGGAGAGGAGTCCTTCCTCCTCAAATTTTTTGAATAGTTTCAGTAGAATTGGTACCAGTTCTTCACCACATTAAGAGATTCAAGCAGAAAAAAAGTTACAGTATTTCTACATAGATGCAAAATTTCTAAAGCATTTGATAAAACTTAATATCCATTCAAGATTTTTAAACACTTAAGAAAAAAGAAATAGAATGAAAGTTCTTAATCTAATAAAAAGTATCTGTAGAAAACCAAAGAAAAGTAATGTTTTATGTCAAAAGCTTTTCCTGTAAAGTCAGGAACAATTAAAGGGTGCCTAATATCACCATTTCTATTCTGTGTTGTACTAGAGCTTCTAACTAGTACATGAAGGATAAGAAAAACAAATTAATGGTATAATTATCTACAAATGATAAATTGTATATGTAGGAAAAAGAGATTTATTTGAATTATAAGAGCATTTAGCAAAATCCCTAGATGAATAATCAATATGACAAAAGTAGTTACATTTCCAAACACCAGCCATAATTGTTAGCAAATGATTTTTTAAAGATGCCTTTTTAGCCTAAAAAAATCAAGTATCTACAAATAAGTGTACCAAAAGATATATAAGACTTTTATGTCTATTGAAAGACACTAAGGAAAACTGAAGTAAATCGTGATTGGAAGGCTCAATAGTATAAAAATATCAGTTCACTCTAAAATGATTTAATGATTCAGTTCAATCCCAATAAATATTCCCAGGAGGGTTTTTTTTTTTTTGACAGAATTTGACAGACTGATTTTAAACTTTATGGAAAATTTAAAGGCCAAGACTATCCAAAACATTCTTTTAAAAAATGAGGTGGGAGTTCTTGATGTACTAAATATTAACAATGATTATAAAGTAAAATGATAAAGACAATATGATATTGTCACAGAAATTGACAAATAAATCAATGGAGCATAACCAAGATAGGCAATGACTCACATATAAATGGACACTTCATATATAACAGTAACGGCACTGCAGAGTCCTAAAGAAAAAAAAATAATCTTTTCAGTAAATGGTGCTTTGAAAACAGAACATTCACATGGGAAAAAAATGAAATGTACTCTTTCATCAAAGTAAGCTTCCATGAGTTCAGGGTTCTTTCAGTTTTGTTCACAGCTGTAACCCCAATGCCTAGAAATGTAACTGCAATATAGAAGGTATACATACTCACTCAGTATTTGTGAAGTGAATGAATGAATGAATGAATGAACGAACGAACGAATAAATGACGACTTTGGAAACAGTTCTCAAGTTTTTAATTCATCTGTCTTCTTTTAAACATCTAACTAGGAAAAAAGTACATGAGAGTTACCAGTAGATGGCGCAACATAACAAAGAAAGTAATCAACACATTCTTTCCTTCTGAAAGGAATTGCTTCAAGAAAAGCCTGCTGATGTCACCTGTGCTGTAATAACTCATATTTCACTGACTTATACCCCACTGCACAGATGTTATTCTGTTCTGCTAAGTATTTTAGTTTTTCTTGTACCAGTACAGGTTACCAGTTCCTCCTTCTCCCTTTCCCCACCCTCTCCATCCCTTGGAACTCCCCCAACCTGTATTTAACTGAATCTCCCAATGTACTAAAGCCCTCAGGTTTCCAGAGCTGTGGGGTAGTCCACGGTGAGAAAGAATCTGTCCTCTCTGAGTTACACTCTGTTAAACGGGGTCACAGATTAGTGAAACAGTTCTTTCGTATTTTACTTCCAGCCTCCTTTCTCCGTGGGACCCCAGATTGGATCCATTGGGAGGTAGATTTGAATAGCAACTACCATGCATTATCAAGGATCACCATTTCTTTGCACCACTAAAGGCTCTCTTGCCAGGTCATGGTTATCCCAGAAGGTGTTTCAGTGCTTATGCCGATAAGCTCCTGTCACTAATCTGTCCGCCCATTCATATTAGGCTAGCATGACCAATTTGTCCTGGTTTGCTGGGGACTTTCACAGTTTTAGCATTGGAAGTCTCACATCCCAGGAAATCGAAATCCCTTAATCTTGGATAAACCAGAACAGCTGGTCACTCTACACTAGGCCCAGATCTCTCTGAACCCCACTCAAGCTCAAACCAGATTGTTTCATACAAGTATATAATTTTTAACCACATACATAAATTCCTGTTCTCTCTTCCCACTCCACATAGTCAGCCACCAAGTCTGTCAATTCCACTTCCTATGTATCATTTAAATTCATTTTCTCCTCTAATTCACACTACCTTACTTAGCTCATGTCTCATCATTTTATTCAGAATTACTAGGTAATCTTAAATAATAGCTCTACCCCTAGTATTGCTCATCTCAAATTCTCCCTCATGGAATATCTTTCATATCAATGTGATGTGATCACATCACAGTCCTGTAAAAAAAAAATCACTACTTTTCCCTCAGCATAGGATTTTGTCCACTTTCTTCATATGGTACATAAAGCTCCTTCCAGTATAGCCCTACCTAACATTTCCCGTTTTATCTCCCACCACTCCACTCTTCATACTCTTCACCCCTAGTGCTACTTACTACTCAACTGAACTAATTACTGCTTCCAGAACCCACAATGCCCATAGGCCTTTGCTTCCACTGATCTTATTTTCTAGAATGCCCTCTTGCTTTGCTATCTGGTAATTTACCTTTACTCATCAGAACCACCTAAATTGGGAAGGGAAGTTTGCCCAGACCAAGAGATGCTATGTAGACCAGAAAGAAATATTCAGACAGCCTACAGGAGGACACACATACATGTTTCTTACCATAATACAAGTCCAAAAAAGTTCCTACTTAACAAAATGTACTATTTTGTATACAACCACATATGAAGGGAAAACAACCAAAGTCACATCTGGCCGCTATATCAATAGGTAATGTTATGCAGTCTTTGTTTTCCAAGTTCAGGATTATTGTGCCAGTCCTCGGCCTCTTTAGATTTTGTAGGCAACACAAACCACAAGTGGATGCTCTGCTCTGATCCGGTTACACCAAGTAACTTGTAAGGCTGCTACTTCTGAATGGTGCCTGAAGCAAGAGAAGGCTCTACAGTGGGTCGAGGCAGTGTCATTCCAGTCTGTCTATCCAGTGGTGCTCCAAGTGTCTGTGGTAAGAGTGCTGCATGGCTCCTCACGCAAGCCTCAACAGGAAAATGACACAACACATAGCTAGCTAACAGAACCATACACTCCTCTGCCCCCTTAAAGAAGCAGCTCATAGCTCACTATTACGCCCTGGTAAAAACTGTTTAACCATGGAATTCCTATTACATGACCTAACAATTACATGACATAACTTGCCCATTATGAACAAGACCTAGCTATAATAATGTGCAGCAGCAATCCATTATCAAATAGACATAGTATGTACAAGATCAGACTCAAGCAAGCTCAGAGCACAAGCAAGTTACACGAGCAGGTGGCCCAGACCCCCACAGCACTTACTTCTGATGCCTTTTGGCCTCTCCCTCAACCAGCACTTGTGGTTTCATGGGGAGCTCCTTATGGCCTGTTGAAAGAGGGGGAAAATACACTTGGGCCTTATCCCTGTCAAAATACCAATGACATTCTTCATAAAAACAAAAAAATCCTAAAATTTATACAGGACCACGAAAGATCTTGAATAGCCAAGGCAAACCCAAGCCAGAAAACAAAGCTGGAGGCATCATACTACCTGACTTCAAAATATACCACAAAGCCATAGTAATCAAAACAGCATGGCACTGACATAAAAACAGACACATAGACCAATGAGACAGAATAGAGAACCCAGAAATTAATCTATGTATCTACAGCCAACTGATTTTTGGCAAAGGGACCAAGAACATACATTGGGGAAAGGACAATCTCTTCAATAAACAGTGCTGGGCCAGGCACGATGGCTCATGCCTGTAATCACAACACTTTGGGAGGATGAGCAGGGAAGATTGCTTGAGCCCAGAAGTTCAAGACCAGCCTGGGCAACAAAGGGAGACCCCTCTCTACAAACACACAAAATATATTTTTTTAAAACAGCCAGGTGCAGTGGCATGCACCAATAGTCCCAGTGACTTGGGAGGCTGAGGTGGGAGGATCACTTGAGCCTGGGAAGTTGAGGCTGCAGTAAGCCATGATTGCACCATTGCATTCCAGTCTGGGTGATAAAGCAAGACCCTGTCTCAAATAAATAAATAAATAAATAAATAAATAAATAAATAAATAGTGCTGGGAAAACTGAATATCTATACGCAGAAGAATGAAACTAGACCCCTATCTCTCACCATACACAAAAATCAACTAAAAAGGGATCAAAGACCTAAATATAAAACCCAAAACTATAAAAGTACTAGAAGAAAGATTTTAGGGGAAATGCTTCAGGACATTGCTCTGGGAAAAGACTTTATGAATAAGACCTCAAAAGCACAGGCAACAAATGCAAAAATAAATGGGATTATATCAAACTAAAAAGCTTCTGCACAGCAAAGAAAACAATCAACACAGTGAAAAGACAACTTACAGAATGGGAGAAAATATCTGCAAACTACTCATCTGACCAGGGATTGATATCCAGAATACACAAGAACGCAAATATCTCAACAGCAAACAAACAATATGATTAAAAATGGGCAAGTGATCTGAACAGACATTTTTCAAATGCAAATGACCAAAAGGTATATGAAAAAATGCTCAATATCACTAATTATCAGGGAAATGTAAATCACAACCACAATGATATAACATCTCATCCAAGTCAGGCTGGCTATTATCAAAAATACAAAAAAAAAAAAAAAAGTGCTGGCAAGGATGCAGAGAGAAGGGAACTCTCATACACTTGGTGGGAATATAAACTAGTACAGCCAGTAGGGAGAACAGTATGGAGGTTCCTCAAAAAACTACAAATAGAGCCACAGTATGATACTGAAATTCCTCTACTGGGTATTTATCCAAAGGAAAGGAAATCAACATATTGAAAAGAAACCTGCATGCCCATGTTTACTGCAGCACTATTCACGAGAGCCAAGATAAGGAATCAACCTATGTGTGCAACAACAGATGGATGAATAAGAAAAATGTGGTAAACATATATATATTTATATACACACACAATGATATATATATATACATATATATATACACATATATATATACATATATACATATATATATACACATATATATACATATATGTGTATATATATATATATATATGCACACACACACAATGGAGTACTATTCAGCCATAATAAAGAATAAAATCCTGTAATTCGGGGCAACATGGATGGAAATGGAGGACATTACGTTAAGCAAAATAAGCCAGGAACAGAATGTCAAACACTGCATGTTCTCACTCACATGTGGAAGCTAAAAAAAGTTGATCTCATAGAAGTAAAAAGTAGAACAAAGGATACTAAAGGCTGAGAAGAGTAGGGGGAAGAGGGAGATAGAGCTTTGTTAAAGGAAACAAATAGATAGGAGAAATAAGTTATAGTGTTCTATGCCACCATAGGATGACTATAATTAACAATATCTTATAGTTTCAAATAGCTAGAAAAAGAATATTGAATGTTCCCAACACAAAGAAATGATAAATGTTTGAGGTGATGGATATGCTAATTACCCTGATCTGATCACTATACATTGTATGTATCACAACATAACTATGTACCTCATAAATACGTACAATTATTATGTGTCAATTTAAAATCTTTTAAATAAAAAATTTAAAAAATTTTTTAAACCAACTTGGGCCTGGTTCACAGAAGTGTGTCCACATTACACTAGTACCAGTATACTCCCTCAGAGATGCCACTGAAGGGGAATGGTGAAGGAAAACCCTCCAAGAGGGCAGAAGTTTTGGCAGTATACCTTGAAGTCCCCTCAGCCAGGAAAGAGGGGTGGCCTGTGGTACAGATGTACACTCATCTGTGGACAGTGAATAATGCTTTGGTCACCTGGTCAGGAAATTGAAAAGAACAAGCCTGGAAGATTGATAACAAGGAAGACTGAAGAAGAGACACATGCACAGATCTTTCAGAATGGGCACTAAATGTGAAGGAATTTGTGTGAGTGCTTACCAAGGTACATCCATTGTAGAGGAGGCCTCAATAATAGGGGTGAACAAAGTGACTTGTTCTGGGATTATCAGTCAGCACCTTTCCTCATCTTCTGTTTTAATGGGCTTGTGTACAAAATGGCCATAGTGGCAGAAATGAAGCACAGACCCAACAAAATGGACTTCCCCTTACCAAGCTAATCTGACTGTTGGCACTGTTGAGTTCCCAAATTATCAAGAACAGAATCTAAACTGTGAGTCTCCAATATGGCACCATTTCCCAAGGGGATCAGCCAACTCTGTGTTGGTAGGTTGATTATAAAGCACCCCTTCCATCATGGAAATGAAAGCCATTTGTTTGTGCTAGAATAGACAACTATTCTGTGTATAGATTTGCCTCTTCTGCCCATTGTGTTTCTGCCAACACTACCACATAATTCCTTACTCAATATCATGGTATCCTACTCAACACAGCTTCTAAGGAACACATCTTAGAAGTGTAATTAGAGTTTGCAAATCATGGAAATAACTAGCCTTACTGCACACCCCACCATCTAGAAATATCTGGCCCGATATAACAATGGAATGGCCTACTACAGACTCAGTTACAACATGAGCTGAGAAACATTTTGTAAGGCTGGGACTGTCTTCAAAGAACAACATATGCTTTGAGCCATTGACCAATGTATGGCACTATTTCTCCCAAAGCCACAAGACACAAGTCCGTAATCAAAGAGCAAAAGGGAAAGTGGCTTCTCTCACTGTTATACTTCTTCACAGAATTCTGCTTCCCGTAATTTGAACTCTGCTTTATTCCCAAGACAGTTTCCATTGAATTTCTAACAGCTAAATGGCCATTTTAGACTCCACATGCAACTGAACCAATGGGCAAAGAAGGGAATTACTGGCTGGAGTGATTGATCCTGACAACTAAAGAAACATTGGGTTGCTGCTACAAAATGAGGCCACGAAGGACTATATATGGGGATGCTGTCATTCATGGCAACATGGCACCCCTATATTCCCATCGCTGACAGTAAAAGTTAATGGTAAACTACGATAACCAAGAAAAGACAGGACCACTGACAATTCAGACCCTTCAGGAATGACAGTTTGGATCACACCACTTGGTATATACTGGCTCAGAGTACAGGAAGCATGAAATGAGCTGGGGAGGAAGGGACACTAACCACAGGCTCATGACTAGACAGATACAAAGACTAATAACTAAGCATTATTTCTTACTTGCTTAATGTATATGTGTGTATTTATGTATTTCTGTATATATTAACTTTTTTTCTTCTCCTTTCCCACTGTAATTTTAAAAATTAATGGCAATTGTTAACTTTACAATTTCATCTTTAGGTTACAGAAGGTTCATAAGGGACTTTACTGAATTGAGGAGTAATTAACACATAATCCAGAGATTAATATAATTTGGGATCATCCGTTTATGGGGAAAGGGTGAGAGTGTCAATTTATTTTTTTATGTTTATTTACTTTTTTGAGACCGAGTCTTGTTCTGTCACCCAGGCTGGAGTGCAATGGCACAATCTCCACTCACTGCAACCTCCACCCCCCAGGTTCAAGCTATTCTCGTGCCACAGCCTCCTGAGTAGCTGGGATTACAGGCATGTGCCACCATGCTCAGCTATTTTTTTTATTTTTAGTAGAGATGGGGTTTCATCATGTTGCCCAGACTGGTCTTGAACTTCTGGGCTCAAGCGATCCACCTGCCTCGGCCTCCCAAAGTTCTGGGATTACAGGCGTGAGTCTCTGTGCCCGGCCAAGAGTGTCAATTTCTACAAAGGGTAGCTGTATCTTGTTAAAGAAAAAGCTGCCATTTTTAAATTGCTATATGAGAAGCTCAAATATACAGAGAAAGTTGTGCATGAATATTGAGTAAGCAAAGTAATGAGCTGTCCCAGTTGTTATGCCATTTTCTCTCAGTCCAAACTCACACATTTATACTCTTCTTTATGACCACGGGGCTGGGACTATGAGAGCTATATTTCTACTTTGCCAGTTGGCTTCCTGTTAGTTCTTCAAGGCAGAAGGAGTGAGACAGGATATGCTTCCTTCCTGACAAGTGGCTATCATTTCTAACACTCAACTTTTTTTTGGCATTCCTAGAACCAGCCTCAACATGTCTCATCAATGAGCCAGCAAGAGTTAGGCAGTGGCCCCTCCTCAGAAGTCTGAGATGCCTCTCCTTTAAGTTTCCTTTGGTGCAAACTTCCTTTTGTGTCCTCAGCCATAGGAGTGGTAGCTTCTTCCTATAGTTACTATATCTATGTTCAATATCTGCCCCGACCTGTTTTTTTGGTTTTTTTTTTTTTTTTTTTTGCTTTTTTGGTTCCCCAAAACTCCGTAGCCAATTCCTTATGTTAAATTATCTCTGTTGAAATACCAAGTGTGGTTTCTGTTGTTCTGGCTTTATCCTGACTGATACAATCATCCTGCAAGTAAAGAACCCAAACCATTTGCAGTCCTAGCTAAAAGCAAAGGAAATATGGAATAAGTGGTAGAAAAAGGAAATGATAAAAATCAACTTCATCCTTGCGACTTTTTATAGCAACAAGAATTGTAGCATTCACGTGTATTTGTTATGTATCTATTAACCAACGATTTCTATTTTGTCCCCTTCCCCTTCCCCTTCCCCCACAGTTTTGCATGGAAAGTGTCAGTGGTTGCTTAATTTACAATTTAGTTCGTAGGTCACCAGGCCACAAAAAGACACATCCAGACCTGATGGGAAGGAATGAGGATCACCAGTAGATCCCAAACTTGAGATGGATACAATGATTGATGGGACTTGGTGTCTCTCCTCTTGTTTGTATGACAGACAGAAGTATGATGGTATTAAACATGGGTAGAAGGGTGAACTTGAATGCTGAGTAGCAGAAGGGGTGAACAATATGGATTCTGAATCCATTTGTCCTCAAATGCATTCCTTGCCCTTCCCTGCTCTGTTTTGTATCGCAAGGGGTTGATCCATTGACTGCGATTCCCAGACTCATATCAGCTGGTTTCTCAAAGATTGGAGGATGAGGAGGGAAGGAATAAACCAGCACATTTCTCCCCCTTCCTCTTCTAACTCAGTCACTTCTCTGGCAGTGACTGCATCTCCTCAGCAGCTCCAGTTCTCATCACACAGGTCCGTAGAGGCCCTAGCCTCCAGTAAATGACCTCCAGCTCCAGAATTCAGTGATTCTTGTCTTCTTTTGTCTTTCCAGGCTACAGGCAATGGTTTTCTGTTGTTACTAATATCTGAATTGCTCCCCTTTCTCCATTAGGTGCTCAGTTCCTCCAACACCTGGTAACCACTTTCCTGCATTAAATTTTCCCTGTTGTAAGTACTAGAAATGATTGCTATTTTCCTGATTGTCCATATTAAAACAGATGATAGATAATCCCACTCTAGATATATTATAATACTAAACTGATACTCTACAACTCTACTACTTCTGAGAATGTTTACGCAAATATACCTACAAACCTATACAATGAGGTTCATATGAAGTTATTCACTGCAGTATTGTTTGTAAAGCCAAAAATGAGAAACAAACCCAAGACATTTTCTATAGGGCATTGGTTAAATAAATATTGGTACATCTACAGAGCTGAAAAAAAGGACTCTTCCTATGCACTAATATATATCATGCAGCGAGGAAAGCAGAGTACAGAACAGTATCTGCTGTTCTGAGTACAGTATAGAATGGTATTTATAAGCCATACAGATGTATTACACAGATGTAGTAACAGATACATTATCTTTATTGAAAAAGTAATAAAAATTATAAAAACGCATAAAAAATAAAAAAGTGCAACTCAGTCACTAAATGGTAAACATTTCTGATATCAAAACACTCTATAAAATTGTAGGAAAACAAAAGGTGAAAAAGAAAGGAGAGAGAGCAGATACACAGAGAGCTACAGTCCTCCTTTATGTAACTGGTCAAGAAACCATAGTGGATATTGTAACTCCCCTCCTCTACCCATTCAAGTTTAGGTTGCCTTTGGCTAGCTTATGCCAGTTAAGGTTCTTTGCCTGGTGGACTGACTCAAACTTTGACTCCTGAGGTGCCCAAACCCACTTTGTTTTTTGGTAACCTTAGTAACTGGGCATTGGAGTATACAGAAGCACCCCATTGTAATCCCTGCTTTATAGCAGTAACCCTAATTTACCTTTGAAAATCAGGGCCAGTCACACCAGCCAATACTAGAAGAGTTTCTTCTCTAGCTGGGAACTGAATTTCTGATTGATCACAATGCTTTACAAAACATAACAATGGTGCCCAAAAAGTATTCAGTAATTTCATGTATTATATCAATGGCAGAATTATGACAAGCAGAAATGACAAATCTAAACACAGATTAAATATCAATTTTGATGATGATAAAATGTTTCTCTGGCCGGGCGCGGTGGCTCATGCCTGTAATGCCAGCACTTTGGGAGGCTGAGGTGGGTTGGATCACCTGAGGTCAAGAGTTCGGGACCAGCCTAACCAATATGGTGAAGCCCCGTCTCTACTAAAAATACAAAAATTACCCGGGTATGGTGGCATGTGCCTGTAGTCCCAGCTACTCGGGAGGCTGAGACAGGAGAATTGCTTGAACCTGGGAGGTGGAGTTTGCAGTGAGCTGAGATCACGCCACTGCACACCAGCCTGGGTGACAGAATGAGACTCCGTCTCAAAAAAAAAAATATTTCTCCCAGAGCTTCCAAATAAAGAAGGCAGATTGAACATAAAAATACAGTTTTAATCTCTCCGAAGCCCCACTAAGCTACAGTAAAGGGATTAAAAAAAAAAACTCACAAACTCACAGAGAGAAAAAAGAGACAATAGCAACAAAATTGTGGAGACTGGAAAACAGAAAAATGACTTAGGATACAGTAGGAAAAGCCAAAAACTAAGCTGATGTATACCACAGAATCTTCTAAAGGCTCAGGAACCAAGTGGACTTTTGGAAGTGGGGTGGGGGAGTATCAAATAAGGATTGGTAGAATGCAGTTTTAAAATAAATTCTCCACTCCTTGATTTTGGGCTGTACTTAGTGTCTTGCTTCTAAAGAATAAAGTATGGAAAAAGAGTAACTAGGAAACCTTTCAGACACCACCTTAACCAAGTGATCAAGGTTAACATCAGCACTCATAGTCACGTGGATATCATGCACCCCTCATATGATGCAATGGAAAGGGCAGTTCACCTCTGCAGTATTCTTCCCCCAAACCCATATTCCCAATCTAATCATGATAAATCCCAATATCAGACAAATCTAAGTTAAGGGGCATCCTACAAAATACCTGGCCATTATTCTTCAAAAATCCCCAAGGCCATGAAAGACAAGACCAAAAAAACTGGCACAGATTGGAGACTAAGGAGTCATGATGACCAAATACAATGTGATATCCTGAAACAGAAAAAAAGACATCAGCAGAAAAACTGGTGAGATCCTAATAAAGTCTATGGTTTAGTTCATAGCATCATACTCATGTTAATTTCTTAGTTTCAATAAATGCACCATGATTATGAAAGATGTTAACAACAGGTGAAGCTTGATGAAGAGTACACAGGAACTCTCTGTACCATCTTTGCAGCTCTTTTATAAATCTAAAATTATTTCAAAATTAAAAAAAAAATTAATACAAAACTTAAAAGGAGGTAGATCTGTAGTTCCCCTCTCTTACTCATGACATTGAGCAACTACCCCTGCAGAAGACTAGAACTGGTGATCTCTGGAATACAGAATGATAGAAACAGCCGTGTGGCTGGACACAGTGGCTCAAACCTGTAATCTTAGCACGTTGGGAGTCCGAGGTGAGAGGCTTGCTTGAGCCCAGGAGTTTGATACCAGCCTGAGCAACATAATGAAACCCTGTCTCTACAAATAATTTAAAAAGAAATTAGCCAGGTATAGCATGCAGTGGTGGTCCCAGTTACTCAGGAGGCTGAGGCAGAAGAGTCACCTGAGCCCAGGAGGTTGAGGGTGCGGTGAGCCTTGATGACACCACCACACTCCAGCCCGGGTGATAGAATGAGATCCTGTCTCAATAAAAAGGAAAAAGAAAAAGTAAAAGAAACAGCTGTGGGAATAATTACTCTACTGGAAAATAGGAGCATGATCTGAACATGTGCATACTTAATGCTAAGACTCAATGCCAATCTTAGAACTGGGCGCCTAGGCCCCATACATTACAGGGCCCTATGTATCATCAAGAGAGGGCTATCAACTTATGAAAAAACACACTGGTGTATGTCACTCACCATCCAGCACTCAGAGCTGCCACAGTGCAATCTATAACCTTAAACATTCCCTTTTGTGACACTAACTTCATTTAGGCTCCAAGTAAATGTTTCTCCACAGCTCTTGCTCAAAATAAAAGGTGACTGGCTGGGCACAGTGGCTCACATCTGTAATCCCAGTACTTTGAGAGGCCAAGGCAGTTGGATCTCTTGAGGTCAGGAGTTTGAGACCAGCCTGGCCAACATGGTGAAACCCCGCCTCTACTAAAAATACAAAAATTAGCCAGGTGTGGGGGCACACGCCTGTAATCCCAGCTACTCAGGAGGCTGAGGCGCGAGAATCACTTGAACCCGGAAGGCAGAGGTTGCAGTGAGCCAAGATCACACCACTGCACTCCAGCCTGGGCAACAGAGCGTCTCAAAAAAAAAAAAAAAAAGAAAAAGAAAAAAGGTGACTACCCTGGCATTCTATGTAGGTGTGTGAGTTGTGCCTCTGCTGTCCAAGACTGTGCTTTGGACAACAGAGAAAATTTGGACAAAAGTAGAAACACTTTAGTAAGAGAAAATACAAATAGTTTGACAAATCCTTCCTCTCTGAGAGCATGAATGAAATAGATACTTTACCAATGTCTCAGAGTGTCAAATGTCCCTTTTTTTTTTTTTTTGGCTTCTCTTCAGGTTTCACTTGGAATATCCAGTGATAATCACTGATTGCTATACTATTCAGCACTGTTATTCATGGTAGCTGAGAAACAGTCTGTAATATTAAACAATTCATATTACACTTAAAAAATGTTTTTTTTAATTTTTTTTAGAGACAAGGTCTTGCTCTGTCATCCAGGCTGGAATGTAGCGGCAATAATCATATCTCACTGCAAATTCAAATTCCTGGGCTGAAGAGCTTTTCCCACCTCAGCCTCCTGACTAGCTGGAACTATAGGAATGAGCCACCATGCCTGGCTAATACCTTTTTTTTTAAGTCTGCATCGCACTACGTTGCCAGTGTCAGAGGCATTTAAGCCAGAGTGACTCCATCTTTAATAGGGGCTGGGTAAAATAAGGCTGAGAGGTACTGGGCTGCATTCCCAGGAGGTTAAGGCATTCTTAGTCACAGGTTCAGACAGGAGGTCGGCACAAGATATAGGTCATAAAGACCTTGCCAATAAAGTAGGTTGTGGTACAGAAGCTGGCCAAACCCACCAAAACCAAGATGGCAACAAGAGTGACCTCTGATCATCCTCAATGCTCATTATACACTAATTAAATGCATTAGCATGCTAAGAGACCCTCCCACCAGCACCATGACAGTTTACAAAAGCCATGGCAACATCAGGAAGTTACCCTATATGGTCCAAAAGGGGACTGGCCGGGCACAGTGGCTCACACCTGTAATCCCAGCACTTTGGGAGGCTGAGGTGGGCAGATCACGAAGTCAGGAGTTCAAGACTAGCCTAGCCAATATGGTGAAACCCCGTCTCTACTAAAAATACAAAAATTAGCCGGGCATGATTGCACACACCTATAGTCCCAGCTACTCGGGAGGCTGAGGCAGGAGAATTGCTTGAACCTGGGAGGCAGAGGTTGCAGAGAGCTGAGATGGTGCCACTGCACTCCAGCCTGGTTGACAGAGTGAGACTCTGTCTCAAAAATAAAAATAAAAATAAATAAATAAATAAATGGGGGAAGAACCCTCAGTTTCAGGAATTGCCCCCCTTTCCTGGATAACTCATGAATAATCCACCCCTTGTTTAGCACATAATCAGGAATTAACCATAAAAATGGCCAACTAGCAGCTCAGGCTCTTGCTCTGCCTATGGAAGTAGCCATTCTTTTATTCCTTTACTTTCGTAAAACTTGCTTTCACTTTACTCTGTGGACTTGCCCTGAATTCTCTCTTGTGCAAGATCCAAGAACCCTCTCTTGGGTTCTGGATCAGGACCCTTTTCCTGTAACACCAGAACTGATCTTGAACTCCTGGCTTCAAATGATTCTCCCTCCTTGGCCCCTCAAAGTGCTGGGATCAGAGGTATGAGCCAACCATGCCCAGCTCATATTACTTACTCATGAATCTATGCGTGTATATGTCTAGGTGTAATAAGTATGAAGCAAGTTATTCTCTTTAGCATAGTGAGTTTGGGGGTCCCAGTTTTATACTGACATTTGGGTGTTAATTCTAGAGTCATAATTAGTTTTATTTTTATAAGATGTTTACCAGTATTTAATTAAATTTTCAAAACAAATTAGAAATTCCAGCTTTAAATATTTTATTTAAATTTTTATATTCATTTACTATAATTAGTATTATAAACCAAAAATAAAATTCTAAACTCCCCAATCAGCTGATGGACCCTCCCCTCGGCCAAGGGCATTCCAGAATTAACCTGAAAAACCAGTTCAGGCCATGATGAGAAGTGGGGGTCAGACATGCCTCATTATACCCTCCTTGCTTTGGAATTCAGGTACAGCTGACCAGCATTAACACTAAAACGGAGATCTTAAGACTGACAAAACAGACTTTTTGTAGCAATAGGACACCAAATTCCAGCCTGATTCTAGTATAGCATCACATAATGGATAGCAGACCCTGAAAGAAATTGAAGTATTTTACCCCAAAATGTATTTCTTTGACATATTTTGAAGTGGCCCTGCAAAGCTGTCTCTTGTGGGGAAAATCTGCATTCTATAGAGAATTCCCATTCCTTTTCCAGGTCTTTTTCCTGATCCAGGAGAGAAAATTAACTAAGAGAGTAGCACCTTTTCAGGTCTGATAAGAGCTCTGAAGCCTGCTACCTGGAGGCTTCATCTGCATGATAAAACCTTGGTCTTCACAACCCCTTATTTTAACCTAGACATTCCATTCTATTGATTCTAGGTCTTTAGATAATAACTCTTTCAATCAATTGCCAATCAGAAAATCTTATGACCTGGAAGTTCCCTCCTTCCCCTCCCCATCTTGAGTTGTCCCACCTTTCCGGAACAAACTAATGTATATCTCACATGTAATAATTGATGGTGTATGTCTCCATAAAACCTATAAAATAAAGCTGTAACTTAACCACCTTGGGCACATGTTCTTAGGACCTCTTGAGACTGTGCCTCAGGCCATGGCTACCCTTATTTGTTTCAGAATAAATCTCTTCAAATATTTGACAAAGTTTGGCGCTTTTCATTGACACATTTAAGAATGATCATTGATCATTTAAAAATGATCCAACGACTGCATATGGAGCATGAAACTAACTGATTAGCTTCACTCGGGGGGAAGAAAATAGCCTACACAATGGAACACTTTTATTAATTACTGTATTTCCACTCTGTAAAAACATGGTAACTTTTATATTTTTTAAAAAGATAAGTACCACTACAACTGAATTCTAATCACTTAGTTGAATACTAAGCATAACTTAATTATATTACTGTTTGAGGAAATATGTTTAAAATTATCCCTTAATTTTATGAAATGCAGATTATAACATATACTGTTTTCCAGGATTTAGTGAATAGTTTGTCTTTTAATTTTCCTTTCAGTCTATGTACATTTAGCCAATAAATAATAAAAATAGAACCAACCACAGCAATAGCTGTTAATTTCTTTTCTCCCAATTAAGAAACAATTTTTATTTCTCTACCAAGAAATCACTGTTTACAAGAAACATGAGATAATAAGAAAGTCACTTTGTTTTATCTTTCCAAAAAAAAGGGTAAGTGAAAGGGAAAAAGCAATCTTTTTTTTTTTTTTTGAGACAGAGTCTCGCTCTGTCACCCAGGCTGGAGTGCAGTGGTGCGATCTAGGCTCACGGTAACCTCTGTCTCCCACATTCAAGTGATTCTCATGCCTCAGCCTCCCAAGTAGCTGGGATTGCAGGCATGCACCACCACACCCAGCAAATTTATATATATATATTTCACCAGGTTGGCCAGGCTGGTCTCAAACTCCTAGCTTCAAGTGATCCACCTGCCTTGGCCTCCCAAAGTGTTGGGATTACAGGCGTGAGCCACCACACCTGGCCAGCAATCATTATTTCTTTAATTCCCAAATATGGTTTGACTAATTTTTAGTAACCACAACCCCTACATTCAGTATAGATTAAAAGAATTCTGATTTCTAGATCATTTTAACTTTTCAGGAGCTATTAATTGTATCAAGAATAAACTTTTAATTTATATTTTGTTAAATCTCAGTATTTACCATAAAAAACATCACATGGCATTGAGAAGCACAAAAAAACACTTAAACATATAAAGGGATATATCATGTTTTTGGCCCTTCAACCATTCATGCAATGCTGACTTCCATCAGAGATTAGCTTATTTAAGCTTGTCATTAAATATCCAGAGACTCTCTGGTTCCCTCAACTAGTTAACTAGTATATTTGGAATTTCTCTTTCAATCTGAGCCACTTGCCATCTTTTCTCTGCTTTTCAAATTCTATCCATCACTTTCGCCTATGCGTTTCCTTTACCTAGACAGGACCTTGTTGGGCTGGGCGCAGTGGCTCACACCTGTAATCCCAGCACTTTGGGAGGCCAAGGCAGGTGGATCATGAGGTCAGGAGTTCAAGACCAGCCTGGCCACGATGGTGAAACTCCGTCTCTACTAAAAATGCAAAAATTAGCTAGGCGTGGTGGCAGGCGCCTGTAATCCCAGCTACTCGGGAGGCTGAGGCAAAGAACTGCTTGAACCCGGAAGGCAGAGTTTGCAGTGAGCTCTGATCACGCTGCCAAGTCTTTCTGTCCTCAGTGATATAGCCACTGTAATTTCTACACTATTTTTCACCGCAGCTACCTTGCTCTAGCATTCTGAGGGTTGGGCTGTAGAAAAATATGCACAAGCCTCTGCTATACTCAGCTCATCTGTTCACTACAATGTAGGTCAACTGTCCTTAAACCAAACATAGGTTCCTGAAAACTCTTTCCAAATTAAAATAATGAAGCATTTATGATGTCTTTTTAGGAAAATTTACTTCATCTCCAATTGATAAAGGGAAGTTCTCTTTTAATAGAAGAATGTAGATAATAATTGTAGAAGAAATGATACATCGGAAAAATCACCATTTGCCAATGCCCACTCCTCAGTGAAATAATTGATTCAGGTAATGATCATCAGTGGCTATAAAAATTAGCAAATAAAGCAAATACAGCAAAATGATAGCACCTATCAAATCTAAATGATGGGTAAATTCTTTCAACCTTCCGTATGATTAAAAATTTTTCAATTAAATATTGGGGAAAAAAGTCTCTCAATTTAAGATGAAGTTTTTCCCAGGAGGATCCATGTTACCTTATAAAAAGGGAACTCTGATGACTGACCCACCAGTCATCTAGGCATGCCCAGATATATCTCCCAATGTGAACTTCTAAGGTAAGTACAGCTTAAGTCTGAGCTCAGAACCCTGCCACACTTGAGTCGTAATTTCTACCTTGTCCCTTCCTCTTTCTGATCCTTTCAGCTCTGCTTCCTCCCATCTGTCTTCAGCAAGATCCTTGAAAACACGTATCGGTTTACTATTGCATAAACACAACAGAGTGCAAGCCAGCACCATCCGAGGAGTTTTTCAAAATGTACACGCCCAGAGCCTGACTCTCATATATTTCAATTCATTAAGTCTTGAGTGGGGCCTGGGCACATCATTTTGGAAACTGTATCCAGATAATTCCGATGGACCTCTCTGAAAGAGAACTATTTCTATGAAGTTATCTTTAGGTTTTTACCAAGTGAATCTATACACATAAGAAGAAATTTAGAAATCAAAAAGAGAAATATCAAATTAGGAAACTCAAAAAGTTCAATTTGCTGTGGTAGTTATTTTATTTTATTTTATTTTTGAGACGGAGTCTCGCTCTGTCGCCCAGACTGGAGTGCAGTGGCGCCATCTCTGCCCACTGCAAGCTCCACCTCCCGGGTTCACGCCATTCTCCTGCCTCAGCCTCCTGAGTTTTTGGGACTTCAGGGGCCCACGACCACGCCTGCCTAATTTTTTTTGTATTTTTAGTAGAGATGGCGTTTTGCCGTGTTAGCCAGGATGGTATCAATCTCCTGACCTCGTGATCCGCCCGCCTCAGCCTCCCAAAGTGCTGGGATTACAGGCGTGAGCCACCGTGCCTGGCCGCTGTGGTAGTTATTAATGCTGCTCACTTATGTCTAATTCTCCTCTCTTTCCTAAAGCCCTTGAAGTTAGACCTGGTCATGCTACTGGCTTTGACCAATGAAATTATAAGCAGCAGTGGCACTTGTCACTTCTAAAAAGAAATATTTAAGAACCAGTGCAGAAGTCACCATTTCCCTTTTTTTCTGCCTTGGCCATGATAAAACATACGGCAAATGGAGCATCCCTCAGCCTAGATTCCTGGGTGACTATAATGAAAGAAGTCTCCCAGTCAAGCCACATAGGACATAAAATGGAAATGAGAAATAAACTTGTTTGTGATAAACTAAGGATATATAAAAGTTGTTCATTAATGCAGCAAACCTAGCCTAACCTGACTGATAAACTGGCAAATCTGTTTTTTCACAGAGGTAAAGCCATTTAGGAGAATCAGTTCTCTCTTCACCAATGACTAAAAATTTACACAGAGAGAGTTGAGTAAAGGAAAAGAAGGGAACTTCAGGGCCAGGGAGACTTAAGTTTAAATCCATGTTGTCACCTATTTGTAATAATAAAAAGAATATACAATGACTGTGTAATATACAATTACTTTTAATAACCACTAACATTTATGAAGTACTCACTCTGTACCAGCCACTGTGCTGAGCACTTTACATGAATTATTTCACTTAGTCTTTCATTTTACAGATGAGAAAAATGACATTAAAGGAGTTAGATAACTTGCCTAAGGTCACAGATTTAGGAAATGGTGGAACAAGAATACTAACACAGGGAATTAGGCCACAAAGACTGTGCATTTAACTATTACTCTGTACTGCCTTCCTGTGTGACTTTGACCAAATTAGTTGATCTCTTTGAACCTTAGTTCCCTCAATTTAGAAGAGGGCTGAGAACTATAATGCAGACTTTTTGCAAAGATTAAAGGAGATAATTATATAAAGCTATTAATATGATTACTGGCATCTAGTAGACCAGGCAGTCTATTATTTTATGGACATGGTAGCCATTATTTTATAGTAGCTAATATTTCACTCATTCACCTCTTCTCTATAAACAGAGAATAGTCAATATAAAGAAAGGTAAAACATGAATGTAACTTGTAAAGGTAACTTGTCATGGCTTATGGGAATTTAGTACTGTAAAATGATAGGTAACACAAATACAATAATCAAACCTTACATTACAATGCTTGCATTACTTAATGGCCAATATTGAACTGACCATTGCTGACTTCTCAAAACAGGTTTTTTTTGTTTTGGTTTGGTTTGTTTTTTTTTGAATTGGAGTCTCATTCTGTCACCCAGGCTGGAGTGCAGTGGCATGCTCTCAGCTACCTGCAACCTCTGCCTCCCGGATTCAAGCAATTCTCCTGCCTCAGCCTTTCGAGTAGCTGGGATTACAGGCACATGCCACCATGCCTGGCTAATTTTTCGTATATTTAGTAGAGATGAGGTTTCACCATGTTGGCCAGGCTGGTCTCCAACTCCTCACCTCAAGTGATCCACCCACATTGGCCTCCCAAAGTGCTGGGATTACAGGCGTGAGCCACTGCACCCAGCCAAAATAGGTTTTTAAAATAAAGATACAGTGTACAAATAGCACCCATAAAACACCCAATAATACAGTAACTGGACCCAGTAGCTCCACAGCTATTATGCTGAAGACCCAAGAAAAAATATTTCAAGGGTAGTAGGAGGATATTTTATGGTCAGCTAGTCCCAAATGACATACTGGGATCAATTCATTAAATATGAAGCTATTTGTTATGTATCTTTTATTTGTTTAACTTCCTCCTTTCTTTTGCTTCCTAATGGTATATATGTTTACAAGAAGCTTTTTTGTCTGGCAGGATCATCAGTGTTTATATTCTAAGTCTCATTCTTAAAAATCAATTTAAAGTTATGTAAAAAGGATGCCTGATGTGAATTCATTCAAGAGTGAAACAGATTGAAGTCTGGGTGGCTTACTGATAGCATGCTTTTTAAAAAAATCAACTTTATTTTTTAGAGCAGTTTTAAGTTCACAGCAAAATAGAGCAGAAAGTGCAGAGAATTTTCTTTTATGACTTTTGCTCCCACACACACATACATACACATACATACACACACACACACACACACAGCCTCCCCACAATTAACACCTCTTGCCTTTGTTACAATCAACTAGCCTATATTGACATTTTATTATCATCCAAAGTCCATGGTTTACATTAGAGTTCACTTTTGGTGTTGTACATTCTATGGGTTTTGACAAACACATAAGTACATTCATTCACCATTATAGTACCATATAGAATAGTTTCACTGCCCTAAAAATTCCCTACATTCTTCACAGTTTTTCCTCCCTCCCTCCAATCTCTCACAACCATTGACCTTTCTACTGTCTCCATAGTTTTGTCTTTTCCAGAATGTCATATGGTTGAAGTCATATAGTATATAGCTTTTTCAGATTGGCTCATTTCACTTAGCAATGTGCATTTAAGATTTCTCTATGTCTTTTCACAGCTTGATGGCTTCTTTTTCTTTTCCTTTTTTTTTTTTTTTTTTTTGAGACAGGGTCTCACTCTGTGCCCAGGCTGGAATGCAGTGGCACAAACATGGCTCACTACAGCCTCTCCTTTCCGGGCTCAAGCAATCCTCCTCTCTCAGTCCCCCCAAGTAGCTGGGACTACAGGCACATGCCACCACGTTTGGCTAATTTTTGTATTTTTTGTAGAGATGGGTTTTTGCCATGTTGGCCAGGGTGGTCTCGAACTCTTGGGCACAAGTGATCCATCCACCTCGGCCTCTCAAACTGCTGGGATTATAGGCGTGAGCCACTGCACCCAGCTGATAGCTTATTTCTTTTTAGCACTGAAAAATATTCCATTGTCTGGATGTACTACAGTTTATTCATCCATTCACCTACTAAGAGACAATTTGGTTGCCTCCAATTTTTGACAATTATGAATAAAGCTGCTATAAACATCTGCATGCAGGTTTTATGTGGACATAACTTTTCAACTCATCTGAGTAAATACCAAGGCTCATGATTACTGGATTGTATGGCAAAAGTGTGTTTAGTTTTTTTAAGAAATTGACAAACTATTTTCAACAGTGGCTGGGTGTTTAGTTTTTTAAGAAATTATCAAATTGTTTTCTACATGGCTGGGGTTTGGGCCATACTCCTGAAAGATACAATTGCAAATGCTGTAATATCAAATGTTGAAATCCCAAAAGATCAAAATCCCTAAAGTCTAAAATCCCAAAAATCCTGATCCTGATAGACCAAAATCACAATATAATTCTGGAAAGATAATTAAAAAACAATTTTTTAAAGACATTTACTTACATTTGTAAAGGAGGTTTGTTTGAGAAACATAAAAACACAACCGAACACTTCATAGGCATTTGAGATTATGGCATTTGGGATTTTGTCTTTCGGATTATGATTGGCACTGTGTAACGGCTCTACCATTATGCATTCCCACCAGCAATGAATGAAGAGTTCTTGCTGCACCAGCATTTGGCATTTGATGTTGTTAATGTTTTGCATTTGAGCCATTCTAATATGTATGTAGTGGTATCTCGTTTTAATTTGCAATTTGCTAATGGCATACAATGTCGACAATTTCATATGCTTATTTGCTATCTGTATGTCTTCTTTGGTGAGTTTTTAGAGTACTTTGGACCCCAGTCCTTTATCAAATGTATTTTGCAAATGTTTTCTCCCAGTCTGTGGCTTGTCATTTCATTCTCTTGACAGTGCTTTCACAGATTAAACGTTTTTAATTTAATGAAGTACAACTTATCAATTATTTCTTTCATGGATCATGCCTTTGGTGTTGGATCTAAAATATTCACCTCAAACCCAAGGTCATCTAGATTTTCTTCTGTTATCTTCTAGGAGTTTCATAGTTTAGCATTTTACATTTCAGTCTATAATCCATTTTGAGCTGATTTTTGTGAAGTTTAAGATCTGTGTCTAGATTCATCTTTTTGCATGTGAACATCCCCTTGTTCAGCACCATTTGTTGAAAACTTATCTTTTCTCCATTGTATTCCCTTTGCTCCTTTATAAAAAAAATCAGTTGATAGTATTTGTATGGGTCTATACCTGTGCTCTCTATTCTGTTCCATTGATCTATTTTTCTATTATTTTGCAAATACCATACTGTCCTTATTACTGTAGCTTTATAGTAAGTCTTGAAGTCAGGTAGTGACAGTCCTCCAACTTTGTGCTTCTTCAATATTATGTTTGCTATACTAGGTCTTTTGCCTGTCCTTATAAACTTAAGAATCTGTTAATAGGCCGGGCACAGTGGCTCACGCCTGCAATCCCAGCACTTTGGGAGGCCGAGGCGGGGGGATCACGAGGTCAGGAGATTGAGACCATCCCGGTGAACAGGGTGAAACCCCATCTCTACTATAAATACAAAAAATTAGCCGGGCGTGGTGGCGGGCGCCTGTAGTCCCAGCTACTCGGGAAGCTGAGGCAGGAGAATGGTGTGAACCTGGGAGGCGGAGCTTGCAGTGAGCCGAGATCGCCCCACTGCACTCCAGCCTGGGCAACACAGTGAGACTCCGTTTCAGGAAAAAAAAAAAAAAAAAAAAAGATTCTGTTAATATCCAGGAAATTATTTTCTGGGATTTTGGTTTGGTCTGCCTTGGATCTATACATCAAGTTGGGAAGAAGTGATGTCTTGGTAATATTGAGTCTTCCTATCCATAAACATGGAATCTCTCTCCTTTATTTAGCTTTTTATATGTTCATCAGAGTTTTATAACTTCCCTTATAAAGGTCTTACATATTTTTGTTAGTTTTATGCCTAAGTATTTAAGTTGGGGGTATTATTGTAAATGGGATTTTGGTTTTAATTTCAAATCTCATTTGTTTGTTGCTGGCATATAGGAAAGCAATTAACTTTTGTATATCAACCTATTTTTGCCACCTTGTTATCATTGCTTATTAGCTCCAGGAGGGTTTTTTTGGTCAATTCTTTCAGATTTTCTACATAGATAATCATGTCATCTGCAAACAAAGGCAGTTCTATTTTCTTCTTCCCAATCTGTATACTTTTTACTTCTTTTTCTTGTCTTATTGCATTAGCTAGGACTTCCAATAAATATGATGTTGAAAAGGGTTGGTCAAAGGAGACGTCCTTGCCTTGCTCCTGATCTTAGTGGGAAAGCTTCAATTTCTTACCATTAAGTACGATGTTAGCTGAAAGATTTTTGCATATGTTCTTTATCAAGTTGAGTAAGTTCCCCTCTATTACTAGTTTGCTGAGAGTTCTGATCATGAATGAGAGCTGGTTTTTGTCAGATGCTTTTTCTGCATCTATTGATATGATCATGTGATTTTTCTTCTTTAGCCTGTTGATATGACAGATTACATTAATTGATTTTCAAATGGTGAACCAGATTTGCATTATTAGAATAAACTGCACTTGGTCATAATGCATAATTATCTTTATACATCATTGGATTGGATTTGCTAATATTTTGTTGAGGACTTTTGCATCTATGTTCATAAGCCATATTTGTCTGTAGTTTTCTTTTTTTCTAATGTCTCTGTCTGATTTTGGTATTAGATATTAGAGTAATTATGGCCTCATAAAATGAGTTAGGAAATGTTTCCTCTGCTTCTGTCTTCTGAAAGATTATAGAGCATTGGTACAATATTTTTCTTAAATATTTGGTAGGATTTGCCAATGAGCCCATCTGGACTTGGTGCTTTCTGTTCTAGAAATTATCATTATTAATTCAATTATTTAATATATATAAGCCTATTTAGATTGTCCATTATATAATATTTTGATAAGTCCAATATGTTCATTCCACTCCCATTGTTAAGCTCTTTGAGCAGCTTCATAGTTATCTTTTAAGTTTAGGCTATGCCTTTTAATCCACTGTCATTTTTCAACACCACTGCCTGCACTGTTACTACTTACATTTACCCAAAAGTGTCAAGCTCTGACACACGCCTATGAATTTACAAGGACCTTTCTGTATTCCTGAAGCATCCTATTGTAAGCCATGTTTATCCTACTAAACTCCTGTTTCCCTGGAAGTCTTTCCTGATGTCTCCAAGCAGTCAAGCTGCCCCATTCAACTTGTACAAGAGAAAAACAAAAATTATGTTTTAAAACTACAAAGAGGAAAGTCCAAACTTTTAAATAGTTATTTAAATTTTTCAATTTCATTCAAGATATACAATGAAATAAACTATAATATGCTGATTTGGTTGTGGATTAAGTCCTGTCATTTATAAATTTACTATCTAAGATGGACAGACACATTCTGACACAGCACATCAACAATGATAAAATACTGAACAAAAAGATAACATTTCAATATAAGACAAGGATTAAAATGTACTAAAATTGAAGGGAAACTTCAGTACCCAATTAGGTATATGCTTACATGTGTTCATATCTAAAAAGTGCATCAGGACAAGTTTGTGTCTTTTTGTCTCTTTTTATTTATTCTGAATAATTAGGAGTTCAAATTCAGGAATTACACAGTGTATGTAGGGCAAACAATATCTCCATCACTGACTTGTACCTGACCAAGATCTGTGAAATTTTGGGTAAATGACTAAACTCAGTCTCAGTCTCCTCATGGGATAAAAGTACATCGTAACTGGTGGTGACAGTAAATGATGGTAACGATATTTCTTGAATTATTAAAAGTAATGTCTTATATAGACCGCTCTTTCCTCCCACATATGGTATTTGAAACAATATTTTTTTTTTTACTATGAATCCATAGTGCTCTGTGAGTAAGAACCTAACTGTTAAATAGAGGACCCCTTCTTCAACACAGTTTCCCCTTTATTCATTTTTAAAACTTTAACAAAAGTAGTAGAATATGGTGAACACTAGATGGAGCATCATTCCAAGTAGAATAATCCTTCCTAACCAAGAACTTTTTAGTATAGCTTAAAATTAAATTATGTCTTGTATATTTCAAAATAGCGAAAAGAGAATAATTCAAATGTTTCTAACATAAATAAAAAACAAACAAGGTGATAGATATCCCAATTACACTGATTTGACCTTTACAAATTATACAAATGTATTTAATAATCACATGTGCCCTGAAAATTTATACCTCTATTATATGTCAATTAAAAAGTAAAACTTTCAAAATAATAAGTCATACCTAGAAAAGTAATCACTCATAATTACAGGTCACTGGACACATTTTGCAAGTAAACATAAATGGCTTTGGATATCTCAGGGATGTGGATAGGAGAACACAGACAACACAAAGATGTGGATACACAGTAATCATATGTGATATTATGGGCTGTGTTCCCCCAAAATTCACATGTTGAAGTCCTAACACCATATATCTCAGCATGTGACTATCTTGGGATAAAGGATCTTTAAAGAGGTAATTAAGTTAAAATGAAGTCATTAGGATGGACTCTAATTGAATATGACTGGTATCCTTCTAAGAAGAAGAAATTTGGACACGGACACACAAACAAAAAACAATGTGAAGACACAGGAAGAAGACATTTATCTACAAGTCAAAGACAGAGGCCTGGAACAGATCCTTCCTTCATGGTCCTTAGGAGAAACCAACCCTGCTAACATCTTGTTCTTGCACTTCTAGCCTCTAGAAGTGTAAAAAAAAAAAAAAAAAAAATTTAATTCCTGTTGTTTAAGCTACCCAGTCTGTCATATTTTGTTATGGAAACCCTAGCAAGCTAATGCATATGGAAAGGAATACTAGAATGTGAGATCCACGAGGACAGGAATTTTGGTCTTTTTTGGTCCCTGATGTGGCCCAAACACCTGGAACAATGCCTGGCACATAGTTGGTATGCAATAAATATTTGCTAAGTGAGCTAATAAAAAAGCAGATTAATAAGATTCTTTTCATAGATAACTCCAATAAATAGCACTAATATTACAGTAATGCTTTTTATTTTCATAAGTCCTGAGGATCCGGACTCCCGGTATCTTACCTAGTGCTGTGATGTAATTAGTCTGCTGCCACAGCCCAAGTGTATAAAATCCTCTGGTGAATCTCTTGTGATGATTCAAATCCTGGAGTAATTTCCTGAAAAAGAGAAGAGCTAAGAAGACAAAAACCTTGTTGTAATGCAATAAGTGTGAATTAATACATATTAAAAAAAAACAGATCAAATTTGTTAGTCCCATCCTAGAGAAAATGTCACAGACAGATGTAATTTGATGGTATTGCTGTTCTCTCAAGGTATTTAGTTAGCTGACTTCCATAAAAGCATCGAAAACATCCTGGATTAGCAATTTAAAGGAAAAAAAAAAGACTTTTCTATTGTTCTTATTAAAGCACTGCTATGGACACAGGAAAAAGGCTAATTAAATTTCCTTCTGTCTTATTCAATTACGGATTCATGGTGCATATCTGTCTTTAACCTGATCTCCAAGTCTTAATGTTATCACTATTACCATCAATCAATACTTAATTTGGTACCTTGAATATGCTAGGCAAATAACAGCAAAATAAAACATAAAGGAAATACGGAACGGCCAGGCGTGGTGGCTCACGCCAGTAATCCCAGCACTTTGGGAGGCCAAGGCAGGTGGATCACGAGGTTAGGAGATCGAGACCATCCTGGCTAACACAGTGAAACCCCGTCTCTACTAAAAATACAAAAAATTAGCCAGGCGTGGTGGCAGGTGCCTGTAGTCCCAGCTACTCGGGAGGCTGAGGCCGAAGAATTGCTTGAACCCAGGAGGCAGAGGTTGCAGTGAGTCGAGATCATGCCATTGCACTCCAGCCTGGGTGACAGAGCAACATTCCATCTAAAAAATAAAAAATAAAAATAAAAAATAAAGGAAATATGGAACATCTACTCTGATTTTCAAACTATATATAAGTATCCTTCAAATAACAACTAGAGGAAAAATTCACCAAAATTGTAATAGCAGTTTTGTTAGAGGTGATAAGAAATTCTCTCTTCAAAGTACTCACAATTTTATATGTCTCCATTTAAAAAGCATAATGTTATTTATTTATTTATTTTATTTTATTTTTTGAGATGGAATCTCACTCTGTTGCCTAAGCTGGAGTGCAGTGGCATGATCTCCGCTCACTGCAACCTCCGCCTCCCGGGTTCAAGCAATTCTCCTGCCTCAGCCTCCCAAGTAGCTGGGATTACAAGCATGCGCCACCATGCCCGGCTAATTTTTTGTATTTTCAGTAGAGGCGGGGTTTTACCATGTTGCCCAGGCTGGTCTCAAACTCCTGACCTCAAGTGATCTGCCTACCTCAGCCTCCCAAAGTTCTGGGATACAGGCATGAGCCACTGCGCCTGGCCATAAGGTTCTTTAAAAAAAATCATTCTAACTTCTAATCATTACTGGGAGAAAATTTAAGATTAAAAATCCTCCAAAAGGAGAAAGGGATGTACTAATATTTGTTTTTTTCTAATCTTAAGAGTGAGAAATTGATTTTTAAAGTACATTTAATCAATACATTTATAACAGAATATGCACGAGAAAGCCAGAATACACCAATTTCATGGGCAAGTGAGAGTAAGCATATTTAAATAAAAAATTGGAAACTCTATTCTAAAAGCAGTTTAAAAATCAAGTCAAAGCTTGTTCTTAGTTTAGGGCCAGGAATTAGTTTTAGAACTGATGCAATCTGAAACCAGAGCCAAGAAGTGTTTACCAAAGTCTTTACCCCAAAGGGAGACACTTCTAATTCTCCAGAAGGGACACTACACTGTTAAGATTGTCTTGAGACTTGGGCTTAGGTAACTGATAGGGGTACACATATTAAATTCATTTTGAAATACCATTTTCCTTTCCAACAAAAATGAAACCTAAATCCTTTTTCACAATATGCAATTTGTAATCAAGGCCTCCTCTACCGAAGGGTTTAATTAGTTTCTTGTGTATTTGCTCCTCTTTCCTGGGAATGACAGGATAAACGGGAAGTTTATGTCTCCAGGGCTTATTCGTTACAGAATGGAAAAATGAAGCTATGGACTTTCTCAAGGATGATTTAGAGAGAAGGGATCATTAAATTACTGTACTCCCCTCCTTATCTTCTCCAGAAGGCTAACAAAGTGACTGCACAAGCTGCACTCCATCCCAGGAATACAAACAGTTCTTGGCCAGTATTTGACTAAAAGTCAACTGCAAGCTCTGAGTCAGGTTTTGATCACACACTGGAGCCTGTTCCTGCAAGCAAAGATCATCTTAATGCCTCTCTTAACACCTGTTGTGTCTGCTCCCGTTTCCGTCCTGATAGTCACAAAGCTCCAGAGCTGTAAAATCAGAGAGAAAGTCTACCATTTCATATGACCTAAGCACCACAAGGTGTTGGGTAGTACACAGCCAAATATTGAGCACATTAAGAAAGAAGTGCTCCTCCTGAGGGAGATCTTTGTGGTAATGGAATAGTTCTGTATCAATTACTGTGGTTATATCAATCTACACATGTTAAAATGGCACAGAACTATAAATACATTTTGTGCCACTGTCAATTTCCTGGTTTTGATACTCTAGTTAAGTAAGACGTAACTATTGGGGGAAACTGGGTAAAGGGGACATGTGACCTCTCTGTACTGTTGTTGCAAATTCCTGTGAATCTGTACTTATTTCAAAATCGAATGTTTTTATAAGTGCACCTTGTGTACATTAACATACTTTGAACATTGTGCAATAGAACAAGTCTAATGCAAACACAGCCTACTTTCCAAATATGAGGTCTTCAGCCACACCCCAAGAGAAGGCCTGAGGTTGGGAATGCCCTTGCACATGCTTTTCCCTCTACCTGGGATACCCTTTCCCACCTCCTGCACCGCTTATTCCCCTTCCCCAGGCTGGCTCCTTCTCATTTCTCAGGCGACATCTCAAAGCCCCTTCCTTACAGAGGTGTTCCCCTGTCCTAACCTTTGCTGTTCTCCGAATATTCCACTCCTTTCACAGCTTCCTTCACCATGTGTAATGATTCAATTACTTGTTTGTGGCCCATCTCCCAACTAGAGTATAAGGTAAACTCCACGAGGCCCTTAGCACACTCCCTGCCACATGGAAGATGCTCCAAGAAGATTTTGTTTGAATAAATGACCCCACCGACTGAATGGACTCCCTTGTGGCCAAGGGGACTCCAGAAAACTTTAAAACTGAGTTCCCAGCCAATGACAGGACAGAAGGTCAGACTCGCCTCATTATAACTTCATCGTATTGGAGTTTAGACACAACAGCTGACCAGCATTAACGTTAAAACACAGATCATAAGACTGACAGAACAGACTGTTTGTGACAATAAGATACCAAATTATAAACAAATTATACCTAAGGTCATGCCAGGCAAAGGTTAAGGCACACATCCCTTCACTTAGAGAATAAACTGTGTTCTAACTGCCACAAGGTTGTTCTCTTTCTCTAGCAGCTTAACAAGCACTGGCCTCGAGATAAGCAATATTAAAACAATTTGCAGCTCCACCAGATGTGGCCTAATGGAACCCCTATTCCACCAGCCATCATTACAGCTTTAATTGGACAAGAGGCTGATTTCAGTAACTTTCTCCTCATAGGAAAACTACCGACCATGGACTGGCTCTGGCTAGTTTACACAGACTGCATACTTGCACACCTTCCTGTCCTGAAAAGACCTTTTGACGCATGGGGTCTAACTGTAATACATGTATTGTTATTATTTTTTAGAGTCCATCAGGCTGGAGTGCAGTGATCTGATCATACATCACTGCAGCCTCCAACTCTTGGGCTCAAGTGATCCTCCTGCCCCAGCCTCCTGACTAGTTGGGACCGCAAGCACACACCACCCCACCTGGCTATTTTTTTTTTACTTTTTGTAGAGATGGGGACGTCACCATGCAGGCCAGGCATTTAACATTTAATTGGTAACTCTTCACTCCAAAATGAACATGGGTTGTATGTTACATGCATGTTTGCTCAATGGGCATGCGTCAGGACCACCCTCATGAATATTCATAGCTCCTCCTGTCACCTGCTGAATATGCATGTCTACCCAAGCTGTTCAGCATAAAGCCGCTACTCCAACCCCTCCTCCAACGAAATGCCTGTCTCTGGTCCTGGCCATTCTCCAGCCTGCGGAATGGCCACCTTGCAGGCTGTAACCCCTTACAAGAAATAAAGTCTCCTCTCCTGTTTTTTTGTTTTTTGTTTTGTTTTTTTGAGACGGAGTCTCGCTCTGTCACCCAGGCCATCTCGGCTCACTGCAACCTCTGCCTCCCAAGTTCAAGCGATTCTCCTGCCTCAGCCTCCCAAGTAGCTGGGATTACAGGCGCGCGCCACACGCCCGGCTAATTTTTGTATTTTTAGCAGAGACGGGGTTTCACCATGTTGGCCAAGCTGGTCTCGAACTTCTAACCTCAGATGATCTACCCGCCTCGGCCTTCCAACGTGCTGGGATTACAGGCGTGAGCCACCGCGCCCGGCCTCCTCTCCTTTTCCAAATTTATACATTTTGATTTTCTTAACACACCTCACTCGAGTTCGTTCACTTCGGCTGCGGCGTGATCTGCCGGCCCTCTCAGCTCAGGCTGACCTCAGCGCCCTCACTTCGGCCACTTCTGTGTCCCTCAGTCTTCTCCCCTCAACTCGGACCTCGCGCCCTCATGACAGGGCGCCATTTTCTTCCCTCTAACTCCTCAGCCCAGAGGAGGCGCCTTGGTCCCGTACCTCTGCCCGGCAAGGCGACTTTTCTTCACTTGCACTTTTGCCTCGGGTCATCCTCTGCTGCTACCTCCCCACTATCCTCACCATCTGCTCCACGTCCCGTGGCTTCCGCCCTCCCTTCCGGTGCAGGGCCCCGGCCTCATACCCACAGCCTTGGGGGCTCTCGCCCCTCAGGCCACGCCCCTCAGGCCACGCCCCTCAGCCCACAGAACTAGCGGGAAGTGACTGCGAAGCAGTCGCGCCGTGGAGGGACAGGAGGGCGGGGATTGGGAGGTGGGTCCTCCTCGATCCTGGGCGTTGATTGGCCAACTCTCACGAGGGCGGGACCTCGATTGGGGGCGGGGCGGCAATCTGGGTCTTGTGCCTCTGGCTCCTCAGGGCATTCCCGGCGGCTCCGGGTTTGGCAACGAGGACGGGGGAGTGCGACTGCGTCTCGGGCAGCATGGCCGAGAAGCGGCACACACGGGACTCCGAAGCCCAGCGGCTCCCCGACTCCTTCAAGGGTGAGTCCCGCGTCCCCTGACCCTCCCCCGTGGACCGAGCCCCCGCCCGCAGCGTGCGCTCCGAGGTCTGACAGCCGGGCTCCTGGCCAGTCTCCGCTGCTTCGGGCTGGGCGAGATCTCAAAGCCGCGGCTCCTCCCTAGTAAACTGAGCATCACGAACCCTGTTTGGCAGACTGAGGTCACGATGGAGGGGTGGCGGGCTGCCAACGGCACGTTTCCCATCGCACGGGCCCTGGTTATCTCGCGGCCGCCAGATGCCAAGCCCCATGCCAGGGCTGCACTATCTCGTGTCACGCACGCGGACTAGGAAACGCAGAGGGAACTGGCAGCCAGCGAGGCGGGGACCGGGACCCCACATCTCACCCTTTGCCCACTCCCCTTCTTTCCCGACTCACTCTCTCGAAGGCCGCCTCCTCCACCCAGCCCTGGCCTGGCCCCAGGGTGAACCCCCTCCTCCCCCAATCCCACCTCCCGAAACTTAGACCGATTTGCAGAAGGAAGAAGTCTCTCTGGCTTTCTTCTTACCTCTCTTTCTAGCTCCACTTTCTGCCCCATTTTTCCCCCTCCGCTTTCCTCTGCGTTTTGGAGAACTCTCCTTCCCGGCTTTTGTTCCTCGCCAGGAACCCTGAGTTCTCCCACCCTCACCCCCACCCTCCCTTCCCAGTCTTCAAGGCAGGAGCTGTAAGTGGCTCAGTCTCGTTCCCCTGTGGAGGAACTGGTACTCTGGGGAGGGGGTTCCAATAAAGAGAGATGGTGGACCTCTCAGGAGTCCTGGTACCCACTCAGGAGCTCTTAGTGATCCAGAGGAATTACAGTGTTTCTAAAGATGGAATTTCAGGCAGGATGGCAGTGAAAGCAATTTAGAGGGCTGGGTGGTCCTTTCCAGGACCCCTCAAAGAACATGACATTGGAGTCATCTATTCTGATTATTTGTAAAGCCAGCTTTATCCACAGCATCTTAGCTATAAGTTCCATTTCCCTTGTCCAGGGATCCCTGTGTTCAGTTCCTTCCCAGGAGCATCAAAGGAATTACAGAAATCTTTATTCCTCACTTTTTGTCTACTAATAACGTTGCAGGTTATCTTCCCAAATGGAGAGTGTAACAGGGAGGAGTTGATGAGAATAATGGCAACCACAACAACAAAAATTGAAACTAAATAGGTCAGGCTCCGTATCACTTTTTTTTTTTTTTTTGAGACGGAGTTTCGCTTTTCTTGCCCAGGCTGGAGTGTGATCTCCGCTCACTGCAACCTCCGCCTCCCGAGTTCAAGTGATTCTCCTGCCTCATCCTCCCAAGTAGCTGGGATTACAGGCGTGCACCACCATGCCCAGCTGATTTTGTATTTTTTGTAGATACAGGGTTTCACCATGTTGGTCAGGCTGGTCTCAAACTCCTGACCTCAAGTGATCCACACGCCTCGGCCTCCCAAAGTGCTGGGATTACAGGCATGAGCCACCGCGACCCCCCCAGTGCCACGTATTTTATGTATATATTATTTTATTGAATCTTCACAACAGATGATGTGGTAGGTATTCTTATCCCCATATTATACTTGATGAAACTGATAGTCAAAGAAGTTAAATTACTTAAAGTCACTTAGTTTGTATTTAAATCTAGATTTGACTGATTCTAAAACTTGAATAGGGAAAAAATGGGTGGTAACTGCCTCTTCGATAGTTAGTTGTCTTTTCCTAGATAAAAAGGTGGGTATTAGCATGCATTCCTCAATACCCTGACCTCCTGGTGGGAAACTGCAGTGGCAAATCTGCTTGGAGTTCTTTGAGAATCAACATGATCTTTGTACTTAATGTTTATTTACAGACAAGTGGTCATAGATGAGTTTTTAACTTCCAGTTTTTTTCCTTGGTTCTACACTTAACTACTGTTTAGACAGAAATCTTTCAAGATCTAATGAAAACCACCACTTCCTCTCAAAAATTAGACATACAAATAAAATTTTGCATAGTCTGTGTTTTTTTAATGTAAACCTAACAAATTTGACGCTACTAGGAAAGGTATTGCTGGAATTTATTAAATAGAGGTTATTGAATGCTTTCCCTGTGCCAAAAGACAGTTTAAGTGCTTTACAAACATTATCTAATTGCATTCTGTAACAGCTCTACAAGGAAAAAGTCATTATTCACCATTTCACAATAAGGATACTGCGGCTCACATGGCAAAATCACAGTTTCTAAAATTTTCAGCCCTGTTTCAAACCCCGGCTATCTGATTTTCTGAATCATTTTCCCTATCCCAGAGATGGATACCAAAATGTAGAACCTTGTCTAACTTCAGTACTTTACTTAAGTTGAGAGACAATAAACAAAAAAAGCCTGGAGGAACACAGCTTCAGTGATGACTTCCAGAAGGCTGCTTGTGAAAGAAGCAGTGGAATTTTAAAAGCCTAAACTCTGCCTCTTTGTCTTTACTGAGAATTAGTCCTAGGTAGGTAAATAGCACCAGGCCTAGGGCAAGACTAGTTTTTCTTAAAGGCGATGCATTCACTTTGTAATGAAATAATGCAAGTAATTGCAAAGAATGTATCACTGTAATTAAGAGCCATGTCAACAAATAAAACCCTTTGGGAGACTGATTGTTTATTTCAGTTGTTATAGCCAATCAGATTGGAGAGAACTTTGTAACTTCTTCAATAATTAATCTGAGTTATTCCATCAGTGGTCATAAATTAACTTATGGAAGACCAAGTCTACAAAACTGGCATATTTATTCATGATTAAATAGATTTTTGGTGCCATTTGATGGTATAAATTTTACCTAGTAAAAGACAGTCACTGATTCCTAGTCATCTTTGAGGGAAAAAAAAGATGTTGATAAAGTGATACAGATGGAATTCAAAATCAGTTTTTTTAAGAAGGCATGGAAAAGCAATTTCCTGAAAACTATTGTAACTACAAAAAAAGTGAATACCCTTTCCCTGCGTCTGCCTGGTATCCTGTGCATATCTCTATCATAATGTTTATTACATAACATATTTATCAGTTTGACTCATCTGTCCCCTCCCCTCCCATAATTAAACTACACTTTTTCTTTTTGAGACCGGGTCTTGCTCTGTTGCCCAGGCTGGAGTGCAATGGTGCAGTCATAGCTCACTGTAGCCTCAAGTGATCCTCCCACCTCAGCCCCTCGAGTAGCTGGGACTACAGGTATGCACCACCACACCCAGCTAATTTTTTTTTTTTTTTTAACTCAGGGTCTCACTATGTTGCCCAGGCTGGTCTCGAACTCCTGGACTCAAGCGATCCCACTTTACCCTCCCAGAGTGCTGGGACAACAGGCATGAGCTACCAAGCCTGGCCTTTAGACCACACTTTTGAAAATAGAGATTGTGTCCTTCTTCACTGTAGTAGCCCAGTATCAAGTACATAGTAGGTATACAAAAACATTTGTTCAAAGAAAAAGGAAGCAGGCAGGGAGATAAAAATCCCCCTGGAGTAAATAACATTGTTAAGTGTTTGCCTTAGCCTTATGTTGGTGGAGCAGTTTTTCTGTTTACCATTTATTTTATTAAGTTTGTTATAACTTAAGCTGTTGATTTTAGGGCATGGCCATTATGTTTATTATATATTATTACAGATAGACTATTTGTCTGGGTTTATATTATCAATAAAAGGATTATAATTGCCAAGATAATATATTGTCCTTAATAAGAAATCTCCTTTTATTTATTAAAGCATGGAAAGAGAAGTTTAGAGGTCATGGTTAGTAGAAAGAAGGAAGTGTGTGTCAATAGATAATTTTCTATTGACACACACTTGTTGATAATTAAAATAGATCATTTCAATTAAAATAATTTTCTATTGACACACACTTGTTGCTACATTCTTTTTTAATCTTTCTCTGTCTGCTGGGACTACTAAAGAAACTTGAACTCCAAGCATTTGGCCTCACATTTCAGAAGATTATCCTTGAAGATACAACCAATAAAGTCCTAAAGTCTCAGACAATGAAAACTATACTGAACTTGTGGTCCAGTTAAAGTGAGCACTATGGTAAGGTAGTAGAATATAGTGAAATGAGAGTGGAATTTATAATTAAAAGATTTAGGTTGAGATCACCCTACCATCACTTAAGAGATTTGTATGAAGGATGGTCCAAGAACATTTAGAACTCTGACTTACTGCCCCAAGTGTAGTCTGTTTCTCCTCCAGAGATAGAGTCCCCAAGCAGATTGTTAGTTGATATTTTCTCCATAGTGCCCAGATCCCAAAAGGTAATTCACTTCATAAAAAGTTTCTTCCTCTAAACTTATCAATAGTGATCTTAAAGTTGTGGTAATAATAATGGCTACTGCTTGTTGAATACTTCCTAAGTGTCAAGCCCTTTACATATTTTCTCGTTTTATCTCCACAACAACTGAGTGAAATAAATACTGTTCTTTTCCCCATTTTACTGATAAGAAAATTTAGTGGTAGATTTGGAATCTAACACCAAAAATGCAAGCTTTTAGCCACTGCTTAGCTGTTAATCACAGTGAAGAACTGAGAACTTTATCATCTAGTTTTCTTCTGCTTCCATTTCCCATTTTTAAATGAAAACGATGTTACCCTCCAAAGACTTATATGAGAAAAACTTAATTGTGAATAATTTTAAGATGTCCAAGTAAAAGAGCTGGGAAAAAAAAAAAAAACCTAAAAAGTGGGAGGGTTTTTGTTCTGTTTTCATGTATTTCAGGCCTAGATGAAATTTAATTAACTTAATACCCATTATGAAATTGTTTTTCTCTCCAATTTTCCTGAACATAAATGTTTTGGTGCTTCCAGACATGGGCCATGTTCAGCCCATTCTTCTGCTTTCCTGAATTCTCTAACGTCATGGTTGGAAAAGGTCTGATTTTTTTTTTAAAAAGAAAATACTTGAGGAAAGCAGTTGACAACTGCTTGGGCAGGAGATGGTTCTGTACTGTATCCCAGGATCCTGTCTGCTGTTTCAGTTTGTCTTATGTGAGAGGCAGTCTTTTTTTTTTCTTTTCCCCAAAAAAACAACACACTCAACTCATCCAGCAACTATTTAACAAATGTTTTTTGAGTACCTGTTATATACACTAAGTGTCTTCCATATTAGCTTATTTACTCATCACACTAACCTGAGGAGGTACTCTTATTAGCCCTATGTTTCAATGGGTAGACTGAGGCACAGTTGAATAATAAGGTACTTTCTCAAGATCACACAGCTAGTAAGTGGCAGAGCCATCTGTGAACCTATTATGCTATACTGTTTTCATAAAACCAAAATCTCATGAAGACACACAACTGAATAGAATAATTACAAGTGTGATAAATGTTGTTTTAAAAGGGTAAAGGGCTATTGCAGCATTATTTTAGACTGAGAGGTCCAAATTTAAAATTATTGCTGTTGCTCTCACCTATTTTTTTCCTCTTGTATGGCCTGAAACATTTGAATGCAGGAAAACTACAGAAAATCCTTAAAATATTTAGGAAATAAGACATTTATGCTTATTTACTTTCCTTATTCTTTTTGAGCTAAGCAAAGAATAACTGTTATTGCAAATCTTTCTTAGAAGTATTAGTCCATTTGTTTTCCTTAGTATTTCACAGTAAACACATTTTAAGCTTTGTAATTCAAACCACATAGTGCTTCATCAGTATCAGTTCTTTTGGTCTAGCATTTATAACTATAGATGGATTTTAATAGGGAGGAAAAGTTACAGTCTTCACTCATGGTTTTTAACTTGATACCATCTGGCCTGTAGCTACTCTAGCCCCAAGAATAATTTCTTCTCTAGAGATTTAAGGATAAGGGCATTCGAACAACTAAGCCGTGCCTAATTAAAATACTAATTTGAAAGGCAGGCTATAATGTGTGTGTGCTTGTTTGCTTTGAAATCTTCTGCCTTAAATGAATTGCAAGTTTTGATCTCTAATGAAACACTATCATTTTTTAACATACGTTTATCGAGACGCTACCATGTGGTAAACTCTGCCTCTTTCTCACTTCTAGCTTTTTTAATCTATCTCTCTTTGTAGGATTCTGTCTTCATTTTTGTTTCTCCCATTTTTACTCCTTCTATTTCTCTTATTTTCCTTCGCTTCTGCTATGTCCTTCCCTTCTTTGTCTTTTTCTCCTAAAATTCCAGTCATTTGAAAAACTTAGTTATAGTAAAAATTTGATTAATTGAAGAGGAATTTATATTCACTTACTCTACCTGCCCTTTTGCTTATTTTCACCAGGAGTTTTTGTTTATCAGGCCTTATAAAGGCCTTGCTTCAAAATAAGCAAAAGGGAGAAACTGAGAAGCTGGGAAATGTACCCTTATTTGAATAGCTGGAAGAAAGATCAAATGCATTATTTAATTTATGCAAGTCTTCCTCCTCAAATAAATAGTTGGCTGACATAAAACAGGAACAGCGTGTAACAGCCCATTGTCCAAATCTAGCTGACTCTGTTTCTGTATGTCCCACAAGTTATGAAATAGCTCTTATATTTTTAAATGATTTTAAAAAGGCAAAAGAATACTTTTTCATTACACATGAAAATTATGTGAAATTCAGATTTATGTCCATAAGTTTTATTGGAACAGCTGTGCTGTTTATGTAGGTACTATCTATGGCTTCTTTTGCACTGCAAAAGTAGAGTTGAGTAGTTGCAACAGACTGCAAAGCCCAAAATATTTAGTTCCTGGTTCTTTACAGGAAAAGTTTGCCAATCCTGACAAAGAATCACTGATGAAGAATCATAGTGGCCAAAAGTAACACTTAATCCTGAATACATATGTTTTTAAGAAGAAAGTTCAAAAATTGCCAAGACTTTTCAATTTGGCCTACTGTTACCCCTAAAAAGTGCTGCTGCAACTGAATAGCATGTGTTTTTGAGACTAAACTTCCAGCCTTTCTGTCTTGCCCCATCCAGGCAGGACTGCTCTCATCAATTTACAACATGAAGTGTTTTATTTGCACTCTGTGAAGGCAGAAGGAAAAAAGTGTCCGTTAAAAAGTGGCAGTTTAGGTATTTCAGTAATTCCTTAGCCCATCCTTTCTTATTGTGTAGGATAATGCTTATGACTCACAGTCAGATTCTCAGCAGAGGAAATCCAGTTATCTGTTGAACTTTACAATAATAAAATCTCAGTGATGAGTGGATTTATTACTCCACATGATTTCCAGTAGTGCTAAGGTTAATAGATCTGAAAGTAAATCAGCTGATGGGGAACGGGGACAACTACAGCCCTCTGGACTAATCAGCCTGTGTTGTCATCTTGGAAAGAATGTTTAACTGCCTTTCCAGAAACTTACCCAACAAAAATTACTACACAACAAATTTCATTTGTTTCATGGTTTGCTTGGTTTTCTTTTGTTTCTTCCTACAAGGTCTTTAGCCTTATTACTTTAGAACTTCAGGAGGCATATTTTAACACCTACTTCACAGATTTTTGTAAACATTATAAATACTCATGTATGTAAGGAGGAGCTACATGTGGCTAACATGTCATAGGAATTCATAAATGGTAGTTATTAGGAGTAGTAACAAAAGATACCTTCAGAATGAGAGAATTTTAAGAGTTGTATAATTTCATCTTTTCAGAAAAATTAACTTACACAGGAAATAAGCAGGTACAGAAACACTGCTAAATATATATTCAATGCAGCAGTTTCTAAGTGAGAAATTTGGACACAACAGATTTCATCATATAAAATGGAATTAATTAATTAATCTTTAATAATGATAAAGAATATGTGCTGATATGAAAAAATGTTCATAACATGGATGGGAGGGAGAAGATTTTAAATCACTGTGTATACCATTCTTTCATTATTGAAAAAATACAGGCTAGAAAAGGTTTAAAAGACGTATATCAAGGCAAAAAACATCCAGAGATAAAGTATAGATAATGTTTCTGTTTGTTGAGCTATCATTTCTAATTTTTATAGTAACTTTTGCTTTTAAAGTAAAAAAGCAATTTTAGAAAATGTATGTGAGTTTCCTGGAGGTAAGCCCAACTTGAATGTTCAATACAAAAATTCAAATGTACAGGCTTATGTCCATATTCAGACCCTTCTTTGATTAGTTAAAAGTTTATTCTACTGCCATTTTGGTAATAAAAGAAAAAAAAATACTCTAAACCAGGAGTCCCCAACTCCCAGGCCACAGACGGATCAGATCAGCAACATTAGATTCTCATAAGAGCACAAACCCTATTGTGAACTGCACATATGAGGGATCTAGGTTGTGTATTCCTTATGAGAACCTAATGTCTGATGATCTGTGGTGGAACAGTTTCATCCCAAAACCATGTTCCCCAACCCTTTCCTGTGGAAAAATTGTCTTCCACGAAACTGGTCCCTGGTGCCAAAAAGGTTGGGGACCATTGCTCTAAACTATGGCAAAGTAGTATTTACAACCAAGTATCATAGGATCCCTAATTTTTAGGAACATTCTCAACCAGCAAAATACCCACAAGTGGCCGGGTGCATTGGCTCACGCCTGTAATCCCAGCACTTTGGGAGGCCGAGGCCGGAGGATCACGAGGTCAGGAGATCAAGACCATCCTGGCTAACACGGTGAAACTCCGTCTCTACTAAAAATACAAAAAATTAGCCAGGCATGGTGGTGGGCACCTGTAGTCCCAGCTACTGGGGAGGCTGAGGCAAGAGAATGGCGTGAACCCAGGGGGCAGAGCTTGCAGTGAGCCGAGATCTCGCCACTGCACTCCAGCCTGGGCGACAGAGTGAGATTACATCTAAAAAAAAAAAAAAAAAAAAAAAAAAAGTCCACAAGTGTATTAACCAAAATATCACTATTTGTCCCTTTCCCCATAAAACTGGTAGGAAGGATTCAGTCCTAAAGTAATACATGGGAAACTTGAAGGAAATGAATTTCCTGAGATTTTAGTGAGTGAGAATTTCTTTTCTCTTATTCCCAGAAGTGGTAGATGACTAAGGGTTCATTTATAAGCCTGCTAGAGTTTAAGCCTCACCTCTGAGCTATGCATTTATAGCACAACATGCTATAAATAGACACAGCTGGAATTAAGAGGGCTTCCTCTGTAAAAACATCAGATTTCAGTCTCAGAACTCTAGTGATGCATTCCCAACTTAGATACTGTGTACCTTTTTGAGGGGTAACCAGGTGGGGAAGAATTTTGAGAGGTGAAGGTAGGATACTTTCATTTTAAAGTCATTAGAAAAATATGAAAGTGCCATTTTCCCAGTGTATACACTGATTATTTCTAGCCAAGCATTTGATATGTGAAAGACCAAATCCAGTTTTCAAAATGTGTACTTAATTCCTTGTTCCTGGTGATTTGCAATCCCATATACACATCTGGGGTTCTCAAAAACACAATGTGACATGGGAACTGACACAAAAAAAACTGGGCTGAACTTTTTGGCTTGTCCTCATGTAGATCATAAATGAACTTTTTGAGAGTCTTTGAATGTCCCAGCCTAGCCAGACTGGGGGCAGGTATGAAGCAAATGGCAAATTAAATTGTTTAAGAGGCTTTTGATCAAAAAGGGTAAATGCTATTTTCCCATTTTTCTTCATGAAGATACAAACACTTAAGTAAAATAGAAGGATTACAGAAAACTATCATCTACATTTACTGATCATTTTATCTGTATTCTACAAGGCCAGCCTAATAATCTTTACTTTCCACCGGTAAGGAAACTAAGGTTCAAAGAGGTAAAGATCATGCAACTAAGAAGTATCAGAAGTGAAATTCAAACATAGTTACTCCTCGTTCTCAGGGAATCTCAGTGTAATAAGGGATATAAATGCACAAGAAATTAAAATATTAGATTAAAAAATAATAAAAGATTAAAATCCTACATTGGAAGGTCAATTAAAAATAAATAAAAAATAAAAGATTAGACAAGATATAAGTGCCATAAGATAATTTTCAAAAAATGCTATCGAGATTCAAAGGAAAGAAAAAGACATATCTAGCTAGAAAACTTGCTGAGAAGTATTTTATTTTATATCTATTCTACTATGCAGGATACTGTGCTAGACATTGAGAATATAAAAGTGAATAAGCAACATCCCTGCCCTCAGGGAGTTTTTACTCTAGTATGTTATGGGAGACTTGGACAGTATTTGAAAAGGCACCAAATGCTGTCAGATAAATAAGTATTTGTGGTCAGTCTGTCCTTGTTTGGAATTCATTTCACCCTGGAAACCTAGACCTGTGTCTGTCACAGAGCCTTGAAACTATCTTTTGCTATAAATAGGCATGGCTGGCATTAAGAGGACTTCCTCTGTAAAAATATCAGATTTCATTCTCACAACTCCAGCCATGCTTTTCAGTTTGGATACTGTCTTGAGAAAGTGCTCAACCACGAAAACATTCTTAATGAGGATTTTTTTTATTGAGGGGTGAATTTGGAACACGGGCTTTGGAGTAAGATGACCCATATTTGAGTCCCAGGTCTTCCATTGTGTGACTTTGGGAAAGTTAAATGTTGCTTTAGGTAACTCATTTGTAAAAGGGATTTAAAAATACCCTCACAGGGCTGTTGTAAGAGTTAAATGAGATACATGTCTAAAGTAACTTTAAAAAATGCCTGGGGTATACACAACCCCTCAAAACAGCCACTGTTGCTATGATCAGTCATGGTAATACTAGATAAAGCTTTCTTCACAAACAGTACTATGGCCCTGCTTTGAATATTCTCTCAATGAATATGTCTGTACCCCCTAAATTATAACTTAGAAACCTCCAGGATTACTTTAGATCATTTTATTTAAGTATACATGAAGACATTTACCTCACACTATAACACAGGATCAGAAAACTACCAAGTCACATACAACCCAAGTACTCACTATATTTCTGATTTTTCATCCTATGTTTTAGAGCACTTGACCTGGGTGCCAACATGTGTCTCTCTTCTCCCATGTTCCCAGCCTGAACACTCTGCTTATTTCTTGGCCTCCTATTTATTCCAAGCCCCATCTTACTGCCATTTTGCCCTTTCTTCTGAGCAGTAACATGTGCCTGGCATACCTTTTCTCCCCTCTGTCATTAAAATAGCTCCTGAAAATACAGCAGAAGCCTTCCAAGTGGTTGATAAGAAAACCTACTATATCCCTTGGCCTTCTCAGTCCCTATGTCCTCTACAGAAAGCAAAAGCAAACTAAAAATGAGGATGACACTTGATACAGAAAATAGGAACACAACACTGAGGTGATGGGAGTTCCCAGGATGATAGTGAAAGCAATTGCAGAATGATAGCCGTGCACACCAGATGAAGGAAGTCCACACAAGGCTCTGAGAGAGAATTCTTCCAGAAGATAAAATTGATAGTATACCTGACCTCTTTGAGAGGAAATTTAGGCAATTGATTTAAGGTTGGATCAATAAGTACGTTGAAAACCGAACAAAGGGAAAAAATAAGACAGTAATTCCAGAAAAAACAAAAATAGTACAGGAAGAGAAAACCAGTGATACCTCACTACTTGGCTTAGCTTTAAATTGCACTTACAAATTCATAATATAAAATCTCATATTGATCTAAATGAAGTTATGATGTAATTATATTGGAAAGCTGGGTATAAGTATGTGGTGGGGGTAACGGGGAGGAAAGAGAACTAAATCTTTTTCTGTAGTAGAAAGTTAATAGTCCTCAAAACTGAAAAAGCAAGAAGTAACAAAACAAGCATTTCCTTCCTTCCTTCCTTCCTTTTCTTTCTTTCTTTCTTTCCTCACTTTGTTGTCCAGGCTGGGGTACATCACAGCTCACTGCAGCCACGAACCCCCAGGCTCAAGCAATCCCCCTATTTCAGTCTCCTCAGTAGCTGGGACTACAGGTGTGTGCCACCACACACAGCTAATTTTTTTTAAGAAGTTTCAAGTAGAGATGGGAGTCTCACTAGGTTGCCCATGCTGGTCTCAAACTCCTGAGCTCAAGCAATCCTCCCATCTCGGCCTCCCAAAGTGCTGGGATTACAGGCGTGAGCCACCATGCCTGGCAGAAGCATATTATTATTATTATTTTTTTTTTTTTTAAAGTAGAGACAGAGTCTCCCTATGTTGCCCAAGCTAGTCTCAAACCCCTGGGCTCAAGGGATCCTCCCTCCTCAGCCTCCCAAAGTGCTGGGATTACAGGTGTGACCCCTGCACCCAGCTGCAAAGCGTATTATTTAGAAATATGGAGGTAGATATCAAAATGGTCAAAATAGCAAATGTTTTTGAGGAGGAGGAAATTGGAAGAGGTGAGCATGGGAATGCCCTTTTTTTGTACTAATCATATAGAATGGTTTGACTTTTTAAACTTTATGCAAGTGTAACTTCAAAAACACAAATGCATAACCACGAAGGCCAAAAAAGAAGGTGAAAGAGAATAGCTACAGGGAAGAAAAATAGGTTACACATTTTATTTATTTATTTATTTTTAAAAATATGATTTAAGGCCGGGCGCAGTGGCTTATGCCTGTAATCCCAGCACTTTGGAAGGCCATGGTGGGCAGATCACTTGACGTCAGGAGTTCGAGGCCAGCCTGGCCAACATGGTGAAACCCCATCTGTACTAAATACAAAAAGTAGCCGGGTGTGGTGGCAGGTGGCTGTAATCCCAGCTACTCAGGAGATTGAGACGGGAGAATCGCATGATCCCAGGAGGTGGAGGTTGCAGTGAGGTGAGACTGTGCTGCTGCACTCCAGCCTGGGCAACAGAGCAAGACTCTGTCTCAAAAAATAAATAAATAAATATATATATATATATCATTTAAAAATATGGTGTGTACACTAGGAAAATTTTCAAAGAATATACCAAAATACCTCTGAATTTAAAGTAATTTTTCCCTCCTTTGTTATACTTCTGTGAATTTTTTGCATTATTACCTTTGTAATCAGACGGAAAAGCTGTTGCATATTACAGGAACAGGAAACAATTAGAAATGTGAGAGGAAAGCCGTGTACAAAGATGTTCACTACAACACTGTTTATAGCACTAAGAAATCAAACAACCTGTGTAATCAGGAAGTGGGCAATAAATGATGCTGCATAAACCTAGTGAAATATTTTACAGGTGTAATTTTTAAAAAGAGGCTCTAAACAACTTTATACTCATATCATATGGTTTTCACCTTTATTCGTACTGTACTCCTAGCTAAAATGCTCTAATGCCTTTTCCCTCTTTCCTTTTTCTTTTCTTTTCTTTTCTTTTGACAGATTCTTCCTCTGTTGCCCAGGCTGGAGTGCAGTGGTACAATCTTGGCTCACTGCAACCTCCACCTCCTGGGTTCATGCAATTCTCCTGCCTCAGCCTTCCCAGTAGCTGGGATTACAGGCACTCACCACAACGCCTAGCTAATTTTTGTATTTTTAGTAGAGACGGGGTTTTATCATGTTGATCAGGCTGGTCTTGAACTCTTGACCTCAAGTGATCCACCTGTCTCGGCCTCCCAAAGTGCTGGGATTACAGGCGTGAGCCACGACGCCCAGCCTCCACTTTCTTTTCGTCGATATTTTCTTACTATTACATCCTTCAGGAAACCCTCTGACAGCCACCTGAATCACCTCCCCGCCCCATTCCTTTCTCACCTCCATCCTAACTGCGTGAGTTAACTCATTCTGTGTCTTCAAAATATTCTGAACAGATACTCTATATCTGTACTTACCACCTAATATTATAATTATGTGTTTGTCTGACTTTCCCACTAAACTTTAACCCTGAAAGCTGGGATTGGGTCTTACTCATTGTTATCATTTCAGTACAAAGCAGAGGGCCTAATAAATAGTAGATGCTTAATAAATGTTTGCTGAATAAAGTAATGAGTAATGTGGAAATATACTTGTGTTATGACATCACATAGATAAGGGAAAGTAGTACTTACACTTCAGGGCTGTATGAGGATTAGATGGGGAAATTCATGTAAAACAGCTGGTGTAGTGCCAAGCACATAGGTATTCAGCGAATGGTAAGGATGAAGATGGTGGTGATTATGCTAGTAACAGTTGTGAGAGTTGTATATTTTTTGTTTTCAACAGACAGCCCCAGTAAGGGCCTTGGACCTTGCGGATGGATTTTGGTGGCGTTCTCATTCTTATTCACCGTTATAACTTTCCCAATCTCAATATGGATGTGCATAAAGGTAAAGAACATTTCATTCACTTCTGGGAAGGGGTCAACTCCTACCTCCATAAACCTACTTCGTGTGTGCCTGTGTGTATGTGAGAAAGAAACAGACTGTCTCTCTCTCTTATAATTCTTATTTCTTCATCTTTCTTTGGAAAATTTATTCTTCTACCCACCTATTAAAATGGAACCTTAAAACTTCTTTTCAGCCATTGCCCTTCCCCGTGGGCTAAAGTAAGTTTCACCATCAAAAATTTCCTGGGGCCAGGGATGTGAGATGGTTCTGAGAGAACAAGTTCTTCAGAGTTAGGATGATAGGGTTTGACTGCTGGCTTTACTGTTTATTGTGTGACCTTTGCTGTTTCCTCACCTGTAAAATGGGAGAAAGTAACAGTACCTACTTCATAGGAGTGTTGCGAGGATTAAATGAATTATGTGTCTAAATGTACTTATCACAATGCCTGGCACGTCATAAATACCCTCAGTGCTCGTTATTTTTTCTACAAAGTTGTTAATACTTTGATATATGACTATTATTTACATATTTCTAAGAAGATAAAATATGCTCCAAGCATTTTCAGATCAATTTATTCTTAAGGGAATCAGAAGAAAAACTGTGAAGACTTCAGCTTTTTGTGTTTCTGAATTAACAATGCATGAGTAATTTTTTTTTTTTTTTTTGAGCCAGAGCCTTGCTCTGTCGCCCAGGCTGGAGTGCAGTGGCGCGATCTCGGCTCACTGCAACCTCCGCCTCCCAGGTTCAAGCGATTCTTCTGCCTCAGCCTCCCGTGTAGCTGGGATTATTATTATTATTATTATTTTTTTTTTTTTTTTTTTGAGACGGAGTCACCTTGTGGCCCAGGCTGGAGTGCAGTGGTGCGATCTCGGTTCAAGTGATTCTCCTGTCTCATCCTCCCTTGTAGCTTGGATTATAGGCACCCACCACCATACCCGGATAATTTTTGTATTTTTAGTAGAAACAGGGTTTCACCATGTTGGCCAGGCTGGTCTTGAACTCCTAACCTCCGTGATCTGCCCACCTCGGCCTTCCAAAATGCTGAAATTACAGGCGTGAGCCACCGTGCCTGGCCTGCATGAGTAACTGAATAACAATGTTAACAGCTGAGGAGTGAGGTTATGGATTTGTTTCTGTATACTATTCTGTCCTTCCTAAATTTATACAGTGAATATCTATTGCTTTTGTAATCAGTAAGAAAATAATAAATAAGCTTTGAGAAGGTAAACATTGGACATGTGATTTATAGATATGATCTGGTTCTAAAGAAAAAAGATGAGGCATCTAATCTGTTTAGAGCAGAAATATATATTTAAGAAGCCATGCATGTATATATTTGTACTCTTCATGTTAAATTATTATTCATGTTTTTATTCTAGATTATAAAAGAGTATGAAAGAGCCATCATCTTTAGATTGGGTCGCATTTTACAAGGAGGAGCCAAAGGACCTGGTCAGTACTGGGATTCTAGATTGTTTATCTGAAAACTAAAGTTCTTTTTATTTTTTTTATTTTTAGGTAGTTGTTTTTTTAAAGACAGGGTTTCATTCCGTCGCCCAGGCTGGAGTACAGTGGCATGCTCATGTCTCACTGCAGCCTTGAACTCCTGACCTCAAGCAATCATCCCACCCCAGCTTCCCAAAGCACTAGGATTACAGACGTGAGCCACCGTGCCCAGTCTAAAATTTTTTTATTGACGTGATTTCCCTTATGAGGGCCTCTTCTACTCTGTCTTAGATAAGAGTTCATGTAGCAGGAGTTGTATAACAATAGCAGTGGTTCTAGCCAATCTTTTGTTACCCTTTCCTTCCTACCCTTCCCCTCCCCTTCCCATTTGAGCTGATAAGATTACCACCTAGGCCAAGAACAGTACAGCTATACAAGTTTGAGCATGAGAATCTCTACCAAAGAAAGACTTTCAGTCATTCATTTGGCAAACTTCAATTAAGCTCCTACTGTGTTCCAGGTTCTGGGAATTCAAGGGAGACTAAAACACAGTCCCTACCCTCAAGGATCTTCCTATCTAGTGGTAGGAACCAACAAGGAAACAGATAGCTACAATCCTATGTGATAAGTATTATGATCAAGTACTCACAGAGAGCTGTGAGAAAAGAGAAAACCAGAGAAGTGTTACTGATCTGAACTAGTCGTAGGCTGAGTCAAGGCTTTCTGGAAGTTACATCTTGACTGAGTCTTGAGGTCTGAAAAGGTGTTAACCAACAGGAGGTGTTTGCGGCGGAAATAGCAACATACACAAAGCAACAAAGAGGAGAGTATTGCAGATTCAAGAAACTGCAAGTAGATCAGTCCAGCAAGAGTGCAGGGTGTGAAGAGAGAGGAAGTGGCTGAAGAGGGGAACAAAGGCGGGTTATGCAGGACCATGCGTGGGGGAGGGTTTGTATTTTAGGGGGGATTGCTCGGCTTGCAGCTTAGGAAATAGATTATAGGAGAGAAACTACAAAAAATAGAAAGATGGCCTGGGAAACGATTGCATTGGTCCCAGTGGGGCGGTGGGGAGAAGAGTGATAGCAACAGTAGATTAAGGAAATGAACTCCACAGACCTTAGTGGAGACAGTCAAATGTGGGAAGTAAGCAAGAGGAATCAAAGTTATCATTCCTGGCTTCTGGCTCATTCACGAAGATGAACTGGTGACTTTTCAGTTCACTAGGTTGATTTTCTTAAAACTGAATGGAGAAGTGAACTGATTAGGTTGCTGGTGTCTGTATAATGTGTGTATCTTTGTTGCAGGTTTGTTTTTTATTCTGCCATGCACTGACAGCTTCATCAAAGTGGACATGAGAACTATTTCATTTGATATTCCTCCTCAGGAGGTAAGGTTTTCTTTGAATAACTGAGGTATCATATGTGAAAGTGCTTTACAATGAGGGACAGAATAGTTAGAGTGTAGGCTTTATTTATTTATTTATTTTAAATTTTTGTTTGTTTGTTTGTTTGTTTTAATTGGAATCTTGCTCTGTCACCCAGGCTGAAGTGCAGTAGTGTGATCTCAGCTCACTGCAACCTCCGCCGCCTGGGTTCAAGTGATTCTCGTGCCTCAGCCTCCCGAGTAGCTGAGACTATAGATGTGCGCCACCACGCCCGGCTAATTTTTTTGTATTTTTAGTAGACACGGGATTTTGCCATGTTGGCCAGGCTGGTCTCGAACTCCTGACCTCAGGTGATCCGTTCTGGCCTCCTAAAGTGCTGGGATTACAGGCATGAGCCACCGTTCCCTGCCAGAGCACAGGCTTTAGACCTTGACTGCCTTCAGCATTTCTAGCTCAGTGACCTTAAGCAAGTTCTTTAACTTTTCTGTGCCTCAGTTTCCTCATCCAGAAAATAGACATTTGTAATAGTAAGAACTACTGTATAAGGTGGTTCTGAGAAGTGAGATATATGTGCCAAGTGCTTAGAGCAATGGCTGACAAATAGTAAGTGCTATATAAGTTCTTACTGTTACTATTACAGTTGGCCCTTTGCATGCATGGGTTTTGCATACAGGGATTCAGCCAACCGCAGACTGAAAATATTAGGAAAAAACTCCACAAAGTTCCAAAAAGCAAAACTTGAATTTGCCATGCATCAAGCATGGCATTGAATCCACATGAATAAAGTGATGTGTAGGTATTGTATTGGATAATAGAAGTAATCTAGAGATGATTTAAAGTGTACAGGAAAATGTACATAGATTATACGGTTGGCTCCATGGATCAAAAATATTTAGGGAAAAAAGCAATTGACAATGATACAATAATACAAATTTTTAAAAACGGTGTAGTATAGCAACTATTTATGTAGTATTTACATTGTGTTAAGTATTATAAGTACTTCAGAAAGGATTTAATGTATAAAGGAGGATGTGCATAAGTTATATGCAAATATTGTGCCACTGTATATAAGAGACTTGAGCATCCTTGGATTTTGGTATCCTCTGAGGGTCCTAGAATCAATCTCCCACAGATACCGAGGAATGATTATTACAAAACATAGTGTAATGCTAATGTAAGTATAATAATATCATCATTGTTATTACTATCAACATTTTTACTACCACATTTCTCTTCTATGGGTTTCTGATAGAAAACCCTATTAGTTCATTATTTTTTTTCTTAAGGTTTTATTCTAGATAAATTGGTTAGAAACCAAAGAATTAGAAACTGCTTGTTGGGCATTTTAGATAAAACATAATATTTTATACTAGTGATTATTTTGTGCCTTTTCAAACTACTTCACAAGTATTATCATAGATGAAACTCATGGCAGAATCCCTAGAAAGTATATAGTTGCAGTGAAACAAAGGAATTCCTCCAGATTACAGTGGCAGAGCCAAGACTAAAATTGAGCTCTTCGGATTCTTTGTATAGTGCTGTTTTTTCCACAGCTCCATGCTAAATGCATTGTACATGAGCTCCCTCATAGCCCCCGAAAAAGTGATGGCCATCCTGGGAACCATGTCCTTAGGAGACTTAATAACCGTTGCATACAGAAAACCTGAAAACATCATGAAGGGGGAAGGACAGAAGAATGCTGTCAGTGTTTCCTGGCCAAAGGCCAGATACTCAGCATGGTGATGGAGCCTGGCCATGTTGCCTTCTCATGTCACAAATACCAGAAACCAGCTTAGGAACTTCCTTGTTGGTACTGATCCAAGAAGTGGGTGGGGTCAGACTTTATAATCCACCCAAAGTTAGTGATGCCAGGAATCATTTTGCCCACATTTTACTCATAAGAACAAGACTGAGAGTATCACTGTATTCTCTGTGTGTTTTCCCATCGTCTAAGGAAGATTGAGTCTCAGAAGGAGCCCTTCAGGGTAGCTGGACATTCTGGCATTTTCCACTATAAACATTACAGACATCTGGCAGAGTTGCTGTTTAAGCTTCTGCTTTCCAGTGGCCCTCTCCTATTCTGCAAGCTGCTGAATGCAAAGCAGATTGGAACTTGGCAGCAATCCTTTTTCTGATCCCCTGTGAAGTTTCTGTGAAGGGAGATAAACCCTTGCCGATGATAAACAGTAGGCAGAGAAGCTGTAGCTTTAGAAAGAAGCTGTGGCAAAGTCAAAGTGGCAAGAATTTGGGAATGACACACATTTTCCCATCATGTCATGGGAAATAATTAGTTTTCATACAAGATGGTAATACACTGTACATTTATTTATAAATCCTCCACTTCTCTTCCATGTTAGAAGTATTTTGAGATTACTAAAAAAGGATCACTGCTTTGATGTCTGGCAGGGCTAAACAGCCATGTTACAACATTGTTATTATTACCTTCCATTTTCATAGCTGTTTACTCTTTCAAAAGGGCTTCATTCACAAGTATGTTCTTATTTGATCTTCACAGAAATTTGGATAGAATTAGGCAGTATTATTAGCGCCATCTCACAAATGAGGAATCTGTTGGTCAAATGGGTTAAAAACCTTGCTAGAGGCCATCCAGGGACCTGAAGGCAGAGATGGGACTCAGTTCAGGTCTCCTAACTCTCACTGCTGTGTTCCTCATCGGTCACTGTTCTCAGGACCACATTTCAGTTCAGCTCCTCTCTCATTTATTGACTACCCGCTATGTTTCAAGCACTCTGCCAGTGTTAGAGTTACAAAGAATTGCCCTGAAGAAATTCATAGTCTAAGAGAGAAGTAGAAATGTGAATAAATAATGTCACTACAGTAAGGTGCAGTGGATGTGCAAGGGAAGAGTGCTTAACTCTGCCAAGTAAGCCAAGAAAGTTTCACAGAGAGAAGGACATTTAAATGATCAGTAGAAAGGTGCCAGCCTGATGTTGTTAGTGAGAGAGGCTGGAATTCCCAGGCTGGAGCAATCTTCCTGCCTCAGCCTCCTGAGTGGCTGAAACTACAGGTGTATGCCATCATGCCCAGCTGGCTTGTTTATTATTATCTAAATTAACTTATTACAGTTAATCAAGTCAGTGTTTTATTCAGTAAAGTTACCACCATTATCCAAGATGAAATAATAAGACAGCTCTTACGTGCCAGGAACTTTTCTGAGCACTTGAATGTATTTAACGCATTAATTCTAGCAAGAATGCAAAGTAGGTACTATAATTAATCTCTACTTTACAAATGAGAAAACTGAGTCCCAGTGAGTTTTAAGTGATGGATGTAACTATTTTCCTGGAGCCTCTCACTCAGATAACTTCTTAGCTTAAAACAAAAATATGTCATGTTTAGCATTTTTATGTAGCATGCTGTAAAATATGTTTTGATGCTGACCTTGCCCTTTAAAAACATTCCCCATGCACTTTTTGTTCCAGTAATATTGTGGAACTTGTAGTTTATCAAACCTTGACTCTCTAGTGCCTCTCTCTTGAATATTCTTCCACTCCACCCAACACCCTCAGAAAAATTGTATTCCTTTCTTCAAGATTCAATTCAGGTATCACCCCTGCCACCCACAGCTGCCCCTAAGAGTTTCCTTTGATTCCCTAACCTCCTTCAAAGGAGGAACCAAGTTTTTTTCCTACCTTAATCCCTGGTACCTAGTACAGTGCCTGCTGTTGAGTGATATCTCAATATTATTTGTATGATTGAATGAATTAATGGACTTGAATAATTTATTTTATTAAATTTTAAAAGATATAATTAACTTTCTGATGCCTTACTAAAGAAAATCAGCTAGTGTTATAAGATATTCTGTAGAATAACATTCCTTACAGTTATGTTAAAAAAAAGTCGTTGACAGATGTAAAATTGCTTCCTTCATCTTGTAGATCCTCACAAAGGATTCAGTGACAATTAGCGTGGATGGTGTGGTCTATTACCGCGTTCAGAATGCAACCCTGGCTGTGGCAAATATCACCAACGCTGACTCAGCAACCCGTCTTTTGGCACAAACTACTCTGAGGAATGTTCTGGGCACCAAGAATCTTTCTCAGATCCTCTCTGACAGAGAAGAAATTGCACACAACATGCAGGTGGGGAGTACGTCAATGCTGTTACCCCCCAGAAGCTGAAAAATGAAGCAAAGAGTCAATGGTTGTTTGAGAACCTTTTATTAATTCAAGTTGTGGGGGTCTGTGACCGTTTTTTTTTCTTCATAGTAAAATTTTTCAAATTTGGCAGGAGGGGACATTTTTCACATTAGCAGTTCATGAGTTCATAACACTCATGCGTACATTTTTTTAAAATTTTCTTCAGTGTGTATTTTTTTCCAGAATCAGTAATAACCTTTTTGTTTAGAACAGAGGCTATTCTGCAAGATAGTGTAGGTATTCCTAAAGCTTTATTCTGTGTGTGAGTCCCATGAATTATAACTGTTGTGCTTTCCAGTCTTTCTTGAGTAACAGATATTCAGTTAAGCATAGCTTATTCAAAAAAGATAAAGTGCTATAACTCTGGATTCTTATTATTTGTATAGACTTCATCGTGGGTAAAATCTATGATTGTATTTGATATGCACAACAACCTATGAAATAGATGTGTGGTTTCATTCCTGACATTCTAAAGGGAGGAAGTTGAAGCACAAAGGAGTAATATGACTTACACAGAGTCACATTAGCTCAGGAGTTGGCAAACTGTAGCCTACAGGCTGTAGTTTTTGTAAGTAAAGTTTGACTGGAGTATAGCCACAGCCATTTATTTATATATTATCCATGGCTGCTTTTGACTACAACAGCTGGGTTAAATAGTTGAGACAGAGACTACAAATAAACAATCACTATATGGCCCTTTTAGAAGAAGCTGCTAACCCCTGCATTAGCTTGTTAGCAACAGAATCAGGATCAGTGAGCCAGCCCCTGCGTCACCATTCGTTCCACCGTGGGGTAACTGTCTCTCCACAACTCTCCCCAGCACCTTATCTCCTCCAAATCCCAATGAATACAGCCTCTGTCAGCATCTGGGCTGGGCTGAGGAGATTTAGCTTGCCTTCTCTCTTCCTAACAGTCTACTCTGGATGATGCCACTGATGCCTGGGGAATAAAGGTGGAGCGTGTGGAAATTAAGGATGTGAAACTACCTGTGCAGCTCCAGAGAGCTATGGCTGCAGAAGCAGAAGCGTCCCGCGAGGCCCGCGCCAAGGTAACTTTTTTTTTAAACTTGTTTTTCTTACTGAGTTTTCTCTTTTATTAATAATTATAAAAAAACGTAAAACATGCTTGCTGTAAAAACTTGAAATAATCTTGAAGTGGTAAAGTTAGAAGTGAAAACCCTCCCCGTAACTTCAAATCATATTCCCCCAGAGGTCACCACTCCTAACAGTTGAGTGTATTTGGATTTTATTTGACCAGGTTTTTGGATTACTGGCTTGTTTGTTTTACAAAAGTAGGGTTATACTGCACATGTTGTTCTGCGCTCTGCTTTTTTCATTTAATATTAATATCTATGGACGTATCAGTACATGTAGAGTTACCTCATTCTTTTATGACTGTGTGTACCATACTTATTCTCCCGATTCCATATTAAGGTCAAATTAACAGTTCCAACTTCGGAGCAAGTGGGTCATCATTCCATCCATACCACCCATCTCTTACTTATTTTTGGCTTCTTTTTTGTTCTGTTTCTTTTCTCAGGCTCTTTTTCCCTTTTACTGTTTCCTATTCCTCATTCTCTCTTTTCCTCTTGTTTATATTCTCTTACTTTGACATCTGCCTTTTTTCTTCCTTCTTTTCATCATCATCTGCCTATGTCTTAACCCTGCATGGGTGGCATGGCCCCTCTGGGAGGCACTGAGGAAATATTTGTTAACCTAACCTAGAAAAGAGTATCTTTAAAGATGATAATGTGTAAAATTTCAGGGATATCTCACCAAACCCAAAGGTAGGAAGTAGGGGCAAGTCTCACCAAAATTGGAACCAGAAGGCAGTTCAGGGAACTAGTCATTCCCTTTCCTGTGCCACATCTCACTGTAGATAGCTTGTGGTGGAGAATGTCTAGCTCCCAGGTTTAGATGTCTGCCAGGTGAACACTAAAGAACACAGACCAGCCCTAATTCCACATTCACAGAAGAGACAGTCTTTTTGGTCCAACTTTGGTCAAAGTGCAAAGATAGCATAATAATATGGTTCCACAGCCCTATGCCTGTGAATGGGCTGAAGAAGAAGAGCAGTTTTCATAGGAGGAGTTGCTGTGGACTTGACAAATCTCCCAAGACACAAGGAGCAAACCAATTTGTTGTTAGAAAATAGTAGTAGCTGGTCATCACTGGCTGACCACAGAACGCTGTTCTTTTCTTAGGATGCCCTTTAAGCCACAAACTGGTCACTATAATTTCTTAGCCAGCATCAAATAGGATAGTAGCTCATTTGACATGCGACTTCAGAATTTTGCATTAACCAAAATGTTTAGGTTTTCCTGGTATGATGATTGTTGCTTTGTGATGATAACCTGGTAGTACTACAGAACCCTCTAGTGCTTTCTTTCAAAACTGTTACGTTTAGAAGATTAAATTATGTTTACGATGTTATTAAATGTGCCCTATCATCTCCTTATTTTGAAAATTAGGAATTGCTTTTAACTAGAATATGTTATTAGGCAAAAGCCTCATTTCCAAACCAGATTGAATAGTAGAATGTACCATACATATACTACGTAGAATGTCAGAGCCCAAAGGATCCTCAGAGATTATCTTCCATAGGTGGCAAACACTTAGCCCAGATGCTAGCACTCCATCCTGCTATTCCCATGCTAGTAATTAACCACAGCACTGTTTTCCTCTGAGCTTAGACTTGGCCTCAGAACCCTTCTATAGCACTCTGGGTAACAACCCTCAACTGCTTAGAGTTAGCTCTAAAAAACAAAACTTGAGGCCAAGCACAGTGGCTCACGTCTGTAATCCCAGCACTTTGGGAGGCTGAGGTGGGTGGATCACCTGAGGTGAGGAGTTCAAGACCAGCCTGGCCACCATGGTGAAACCCCGTCCTTACTAAAAATACAAAGAGTAGCCTGGTGTGGTGGTAGGCGCCTGTAATCCCAGCTACTGGGGAGGCTGAGAAGGAGAATTGCTTGAACCCTGGAGGTGGAGGTTGCAGTGAGCTGAGATTGCGCCACTGCACTTCAGCCCAGGCGACAGAGCAAGACTTCTTCTCAAAAAAATTAAATTAAATAAAAAATTAATAATAATAAAAACTTAAAAAAAAATGAAACTTGTTTGCCATCCCACTATTCAAAGGAAAAATTGAAGCTCTGAAAAGTTAAGTGACGTCCGCAAGGTCGCACAGTTGATTAGTAGCAGTGGAAATTAGAATTCCCCTCTGCTCCTCATTGCCTCCTCTAGTACTGACTTCCCAGGATGGGCTATGAGCCTCTTCCATAGCATTCTTAAGAGTTTGGAAAGAAAATTTCTATCTTCCCTTTATAACAGTAAGAAAAGATAGAAGAAACCGCTTAGAATTCTGAATTGCCATGCTCCCACTTGGACGGGGCTGTAGGGTTAGTCTAGAAGCAGTCTCATGAACCTGGGCAGTGACTGTCTTGGAGTTCACACATAGAATCACAATGAGCCTAGCCCTTCTGTAAAATACAGTAACCCTGCAACAACCATA